>NC_000019.10:32240874-32865874 GCF_000001405.40 Homo sapiens
TCTATAATTACCTGCATGCTCTTAGCTTCCGCTGGTCAGATGAGTTCTGAGACACTTATATAACCGGCATTAAAAAGATGCATTTAGCGGCTCAGATGGTTAAAGTACCAAAGCCTATAGAATCCGGAGGTTATTGTATTCTCCCACAAGTACTTAAATAATAGCCTAAAATCTGAAGAATTACTTTAATACTCCAATAAAAATAACCCAATTCAAAACATTTTCAAGGAAACAGAGTTCTTTGCTCTAGGCTACCGAGTAATGGCTGAGAAAAAGTATATAGCCTGTCACTTCTGATTAGAGAACTGTGCCTCTGTGCTTTGAATGAGGGGCATGTCTGGTAATAGGAAGTGCAGATATTAAAGTTAATAAAATAATGTGGAATACGATATATATGAAACTTGACCAACTAGAGCACAGAATATAACATACATTACCCTGTTCAGTCAACTCCTGTGGCCCGGCATCTAATGACAAGTTTAATTTCTGTTTCCAATGAGAGTACAGCTAAAAATACAATTTCCAGATTAGACAAATATTTTATCCGACTCCCTAACAAATGTAACCAAGAATGGCTGACGTGTCTACACAGATGCCCAGTGACCATGAGAGGGAATTACTAGGATTGCAAACTGCTCAGCCTCAAAAGTCCGTGAAACCCCATCATCTTTGAGGTCATTATAAATAATTAGTTGCAGACGCAGAGATGTTGAGGCTTCGTCACTAGGAAAGCACAAGGGTGGATCCATTTCTCTCCTGCCCTGAGAGGCTCCAAGCTCCCTCTCGGCACAATTAGGCCTCCCCAAACCATCCGACATCAAGGCCCCTGAACACCCATTATTGCATCTTTAATCTAAAACCCCAACGCCAACCATAATGGTTTTTGTTTTTCGATACATTAACCTTCAACTTGTATTTTCACTATTAAATAACCAGCCTGAGAACCTCTTAGAATTTTTTTTTCCCAGTCACCTACAAGAAACCATGCAGTTCCCATGACATGACCCTCTTAAGGGATTTAAAAGCAATTCAATGAGCTAATCTCAGTAAACCTAGAATTAAAGTTCTTGTTTCCATATTTCACTTTCAAAATATTTAGAACTTTGACAGATATGACATTATGTTTTCATTAAAACAGCTGATTTCAAAATGTTGCTCTGTGCAGAAACGCCATAAACAGTTTATGATGAACTGCCACGCTCTTAATTAAAACAATAAATCCAGCACACAATATTTGTGCAGCCTCCGGTCTGACCTTTGCCTCTTGCTATCCACCACCAAGCCGCGGCTGCGTTCCCAACGCCAGACGTGGAAGGTTTTAAAACATGATCTGAAAGGCACTAAAGATAAAATAAGAGAAAACGTACCATTAGTCTTCGCAGTTATGATTAATTCAGTTCATATTTTACAATCTGGTTATGGAGTAAAACTGCAGACTTTACATCAAGTATTTGCCATTCACTATACCTAATGTATAAAAATGCTTGATATTTTAGAAAATGGCACCGAGCTAATTCACCACAACCCCATGAAGGACAGGAATTGAAATAATAAAAACAGAGAGTGATTCGCTATCCATCCAAAGTGAAGATAGGTTCGCACTGGTTGGACGGTCAGCCTCGGACGATAAATATGTCGATTGCAGCCCGGCTTCACCATGCCACGTTTATCTCTGTGCCGCGAGATTTCAGATTAAAATATTCCCTAAATCTCTCACATCTGCTTCCAGAGCAGGCAACAAGGGTGTTAATTACCAAGCAGTAATGACAGTTGATTTGTTTCCCTGGCCTGGAGGCACCAAGCTAACTTCCAGCCTTGCCATCCTCAAGGACAGAAATGATTCTGAACTGGGGCTCACTCATTTGTACCCCATAGAGAGAGAGCACTGGGCTGGTTTGGGGACCATTTTGTAGCCTCTCTGTGGAGGGATGCGTGGACAGCCAGCATCTGGGCTCCAGGAGAAAATGCTCCCAGCTGTCTTTGGAGCACAGACTTCCTGCAGGAAGGGGAGGGAGTGTCCAGGCACCTTTGAGGGCATGGAGACCTACCTCATGATGCCTGCAGCAGGCTGACCCCCAAGACACCTCCCCATCACACCTAACATGAGCATGTGTCCCCATGCCCGTCCTCCGGGCTTTGTCTTACCACCTTCTCTGTCTTTCCAACCCTCTGTCCCCACCTGCTCCACATCCATATGACAAACACATGCACACAATACATGGACTAATGCAGAGCTGGGGAAGCAAAGCCTCTGAGGCTGGGAGACCAAGGGTGACAGTGAGTGGGACCCAGCTCTGCAGGTCCTTGTCTGAGTTGCAGGCAGAGTGCACCAGGGTTCCAGAAAGATGGAGGAAAGGAAAGCAGTGCTGGCCATGGGAGGCCATTCAGGCTCGCAGCCCCGGACCTGGGTTCCTTCTGCCCACATTAGAAGGAGTAGAACCCCACGTGGGCCACCTCTCTCTGCCAGGGCAAGACCCTCACGTTGGCCTACCTGGCTCCAGCCTTTGCTCACCTCCAAAGCCTATCATGCCTTTCCTCTCCCCTCTCCAGGACCCTTACTTCCCTCTAAGGGCCCTTTCCAGCCTACACAGCACAGTGGACTTAGAGCTGTCATCGGGACCTGAACCCTGGAGGGAACCAATGCTATGCACCCCTGCCTGCCATGGAGCCTCCGAAGCGGCTTCCAGGGAAGGCGCTGCCAGAGCCTTTCTCCTACCTGGCCCTAAAGACGTGCCTTAGCCCTTGTTTGGTTGGGGAATTCTGTCCCAGCCATCCTAGCTGTGAAAGAGCCCTGCAGGAAGGTTAGGCCCTGGGGGTCCCTGAGCACCATCCAGGACTCCTGTGCTCCCCTGGCCCTGCCCCACGTGCAACATGGCTCTCTGCCAGGGTTCTCACTCAGTGTGCTCACTGTGTGTGTGTGTGTGTGTGTGTGTGTGTGTGTGCGTGCGCGCGCGCGCGTGTGTGTGTATGTTCGGATGGGATCTCGTTATGTTGCTCAGGCTGGTCTTGAACTCCTGGGCTCAAGCGATCCTCCCATCTCGGCCTCCCAGAGTGATTGGATTATAGGCGTGCACCATCATGCCTGGTCAAGCCTACAGCGCCCAGTATTCCCAGACAGTCTCCCATCCAAGTACTAATCAGGCCCCAACCCTGCTTAGCTTCCAAGATCAGATAAGACCGGGCACATTCAGGGTGATATTAGGGTTATGCCTTACACTTTGAATCAAGCATCAGAGTTGAGATGGGGCCCATCCACCTTCCTGTCTTCACAAAAGAAGGTACCCTAATGGCAGTTAAACCCCTCTGCCCCCCACCATCTGCCCCTACACCCAGGTACTTGGACCAGAAGGAACAGCTCCAGATCCTGGGTACCTGCCATCCCACCCCCTACATTTTCCAGCTGTGCAGCCCACCCTGGCCCACAAGGTCACACTACATGTATCCCTGGGATCACAGTGGCCCCTGTGAATATCACCATTTTTTAGAAAACTGATAGATCAGAGGAATAAAGTCACCATCCTGAAGGCACCCAGTGAATAAGTGGCACCACGGAATTGAAACCCACACCCAGCTGAGCACGGTGGCTCACACTCGTAATCCCAGTACTTTGGGAGACAGAGGCAAGTGGATCACCTGAGCTCAGGAGTTCAAGACCAGCCTGGCCAACATGGTGAAACCCCATCTCTACAAAAAATACAAAAATTAGCCAGGTGTGGTGGCGCACACCCGTGGTCCCAGCTACTCAAGAGGCTGAGGCGGGGGGATCACTTGAGCCTAGGGGGTTAAGGCTGCGGTGAGCCATGTTCGTGCCATTACACTCCAGCCCAGGCATGCAGTCTCACTGCAGTCTGAGAGTGAGATCCTGTCTCAAAAAAAAGAAACGCACATCCTCTGCCTTTAGGGCTGATAGGCCCTGATAGTAATGCCCTCCACCACCCTATGCAACCCCACCCTCGGTCAGACCCTTGAGTTTCTCAAACTGAGGCCCATAGATACGTCCTCAGGAGTTCACGACTCTTTTTTTTAAGTTATAATTTTTTTTTTTTGAGACAGAGTCTCTCTGTCACCCAAGCTGGAGTGCAGTGGCATGATCTTGGCTCACTGCAACCTCCACCCCTGGGTTCAAGCAACTCTTCTGCCTCAGCCTCCAGAGTAGCTGTGATTACAGGCATGCACCACCACTCCCAGCTAATTTTTGTATTTGTAGTAGAGTTGGGGTTTCACCATGTTGGCCAGGCTGGTCTCGAACTCCCGACTTCAGGTGATCCGCCTGCCTTGGCCTCACAAAGTGCTAGGATTACAGGCGTGAGCCACCGTGCCTGGCCGGTAAGTTTTAATTTTGTGAGTGTTTTCACTTAGCACATTCATCTAAAAGAAACAATGAATAAGATAAATTCTGGATCACCTGGGTGACCAGTCACCATGTCATCTCCATACAGTTTGTGTTTTCCGTCAGAACAGACATACCTCGTTTTATTGCATTCACTTTATTGCACCTCCCAGATAATTGTGTTTTTTACAAATTGAAGGTTTCTGGCAACCTTGCATGGAGCAAGTCTATGGGCACCATTGTTCCAACATCAGGTCCTCACTTCATGTCTCTGTGTCACATCTTGGCAATTCTTGCAATATTTCAAACTTTTTCATTACTATTATACCATTATGGTGACCTGTGAGCAGTGATTTTTTTTTTTTTTTTTTTTGAGATGGAGTCTCTCTCTGTCGCCCAGGCTGGAGTACAGTGGCACGATCTCGGCTCACTGCAACCTCCGCCTCCCGGGTTCAAGCGATTCTCCTGCCTCAGCCTCCCCAGTAGCTGGGACTACAGGCGTGTGCCACCATGCCCGGCTAATTTTTGTATTTTTAGTAGAGACGCGGTTTCACCATATTGGCCAAGCTGGTCTCAGACTCCTGACCTTGTGATCCACCCACCTGGGCCTCCCAAAGTGCTGGGATTACAGGCGTGAGCCACTGCACCCAGCCTGAGCAGTGATTTTTGATGTTACTGTTGTCATTGTTTGGAGGTGCCAAGAACTACACCCACATAACATGGGGAATTTAATCGATAAATGTGCACGTTCTGACCGCTTCACCAACTGATTATTCCTTCATCTCTCTCCCTCTCCCCAGGCCTCCCTATTCCCTGAGACACAACAATATTGAAAACTGGTCAATGAATAACCCTAAAATGTCCTCTAAGTGTTCAAGTGAAAGGAAGAGTCACGTGTCTCTCATTTTAAATTAAAAGCTAGAAATGATTAAGTTTAGTGAAGAAAGCAGGTCGAAAGCTGAGATAGGCTGAAAGCGAGGCATCTGGTGCTAGTTAGTCAAGTTGTGAATGCAAACAAAAGTTCTTGAAAGAAATTAGAAGTGCTACTCCAGTGAACACACGAATGATAAGAAAGCTAAACAGACTCATTGCTGATAAGGAGAAAGTTTGAGTGGTCTGGATAGAAGATCAAACCAACCACAACATTCCCTTAAGCCACGGCCTAATCCAGAGCAGCCCCTAACTCTCTTCAATTCTATGAAGCCTCAGCGAGGTGAGAAAGCTGCAGAAGAAAAGTTGGAAGCTAGCAGAGTTTGGTTCATGGGGCTTAAGGAAAGAAGCCAACTCCATAACATAAAAGTGCAAGGTGAAGCAGCACATGCTGATGGAGAAGCTGCAGCAAGTTATCCAGAAGATCTAAGACTATTGAGAAGGTAGACACACTAAACAATAGATTGTGTTTCTTTGTTTGGGTTTTTTTTTTTTTTTTGAGATGGAGTTTCATTCTTGTTGCCCAAGCTGGAGTGCAATGGCGTGATCTTGGCTCACCGCAACCTCCACCTCCCCGGTTCAAGCAATTGTCCTGCCTCAGCCTCCTGAGTAGCTGGGATTACAGGCATGTGCAACCATGCCCAGCTAATTTTGTATTTTTAGTACAGACGGGGTTTTTCCATGTTGGTCAGGCTGGTCTCGAACTCCCCACCTCAGGTGATCCACCTCCCTCAGCCTCCCAAAGTGCTGGGATTACAGGTGTGAGCCACCACGCCTGGCCTGTTTATTTCTTTCTGAGATGGAGTGTCGCCCTGTCACCGAGGCTGGAGTGCAGTGGCGTGATCTCGGCTCACTGCAACCTCTGCCTCCCGGGTTCAAGCAATTCTCCTGCCTCAGCCTCCTGAGTAGCTGGGACAACAGGTGCCTGCCACCATGCCCAGCTAATTTTTGTATTTTTAGTAGAGACAGGTTTCACCATGTTGGCCGGGCTGGTCTCAAACTCCAGACCTCAAGTGATCTGCCCGCTTTGGCCTCCCAAAGTGCTGAGATTGCAGGCATGAGCCACCACACCTGGCCTAAACAACAGATTTTAGATGTTCAGTGTAGATGCAATAGCCTTCTATTGGAAGAAGATGTCATCTAGAACTTCCATAGCTAGAGAGGAGAAGTCAATGCCTGGTTTCAAAGCTTTAAAGAGCAGGCTGGCTCTTGTTAGGGGCTAATGCAGCGGGTGACTTTAAGGTAAAACCAATGCTAATTTGCCATTTCAAAAATCCTAGGGTCCTTAAGAATTATGCAAAATCTACTCTGCCTATGCTCTAGAAATGGAAAAACAAAGCTGGATGACAGCACATCTGTTTATAGCATTATTTACTGAACAGTTTAAATCCATTGTTGAGAAACACTGCTCAGAAAAAAAATATTTTTTTTCAAAATATTGCTGCTCATTGATAATGCACCTATTCACCCAGGAGGTCTGATGAAGATGTATAAGAAGATGAATGTAGTTTTCATGCCTGCTAACACAACATCCATTCTGCAGCTCATAGATCAAGGAGTAACTTCAACTTTCAAATCTTATTATGGAAAAAAATACACTTCATAAGGCTATAGCTACGATTAATAGTGATTTCTCTGACGGATGTGGACAAACTCAATTGAAAACCTTCTAGAAAAGATTCACCATTCTAGATGCCATTAAGAACATTTGTAATTCATGGGAAGTACTCAAAATATCAACATCAACAAGAGTTTGGAAGAGGTTTATTCCAGGCTTCATGAATGACTTTGAGGGGTTCAAGACTTCAGTGGAGGAAGTGACTGCTGATGTGGAAATAGCAAGAGAACTAGAGTTGGAAGTGGAGCCTGAAGATGGGACTGAATTGCTGCAGTCTTATGACCAAACTTGGATGGATGAGGAGTTGCTTCTTATGGATGAGAAAAGATAGTGGTTTTTGAGATGGAATCTACTCCTTTTAAAGATGCTGTGAACATGGTTGAAATAATGACAAAGGATTTAAAATATTCCACAAAGTAGTGGCAGGTTCTGAGAGATTTATTCTAATTTTGAAAGAAGTTCTACTGTGGGTAAAAGGCTATTAAACAGCATTGCACGCTATACAGAAATCTTTTGTGAAAGAAAGATTCAACTGAGGTGGCAAAGTTCACTGTTGCCTCAGCCACTCCAACCTTCAGCAATCACCACTGTGATCAGTCAGCAGCCATCAACATCAAGGCAGGATCCCCCACCAGCAAAAAGAGTATGACTTGCTGAAGGCTCAAACCATGATTAACATTTTTTACCAATAAAGTATTTTTAATTAAGATATGTACAGTGTTTTTTAGATATAATTCTATTACACACTTAATAGGCTACAGGTTACAGTATAGCATAAACATAACTTCTATATGCACTAAGAAACCAAAAAATTCATGTGACTCTCTTTATTGTGATATTTGCTTTATTGTGGCAGTCTGCAACTGAACCTGCAATACCTCCAAGGTCTGCCTGTACACTCTTCTAATCATCAGGGACTAAAGGGATGGGGGCAGAATTAATGTGCAACTTATGCACTGGGGTTGAAGGAAGACCTAATGGAATTGTAGAATTCTGTTCATGGCTGTGTAAGCCCTGAGTTTGTCCAACCTCAGAGTGGGAAGAAGAGAGTATTCAATGAGAAGACTCTCCATTGAGTCCCCTCTCAGTTTATGCAAGTCCATCCAGGTGGGCAACTGGAATCTTCTCTCTGTTCTCCCTCCTTCATTTCTCCCACAGCTTCCTTGGCCTCTTTCCATTCCTAGGTGTCCCCTCTGGATCCATGCCCCACGCTGGAGGGACATCATCAGATCTTTCAGCTCCTGCATTACACTGAGGGTTTTAGATATCTCAGGTTCTTCAAACTGTACCAATGACTTTTTCTTGCTCATCTTGACAGCTCTTAGAGAATAACTTTCATGTGTTGTTATGCCAATGAATTATCTCCTTTTTATTGGTTCTTCTGGAAGGAATGAGGGAGATAAAGAAAGAAGGAGCCAAGGAAAGAAGAAATCCCTATCTTGTCACCAGTGGTATCACCACTCTTCGCCATTGCTGGAGCATGGCTGAAACTCCATTGCTGGGAGCCGACTGAACTTCCTTACTCAAAACCAGACTTACATCTGAAATTCAGCCTGGTGATGTTGTTGGGAAACACTTCTCCCAGAGTATCTGGGTGGGGTGGAGGGACTCTCACCTCCAAGTGAAAGGGATTCCCACCACCAAGAAGAAAAGTGATGGAAGAATTGAGTCAGCTCCACCTCCACTCCACCCCCAAGATATGTAACATTACCAGTCTGGAAAGAATCCGGGTCATACTTGTCAGTTCCCGATTCATGTTGTAAATAACGGTTTCATTTCAGCAAAATAACATCATCCTTCCCATTAAAGGAATGTTGCTGTTTTAAAATGGTACTGGTTTCATAACATTTTTGTTTTTAATTTGTAAGTGTGGCTTGGTTTTGTAGTTTTATAAAAGCTATAAATATAAGGAGTTTTTATCTACTTTGGTAAGATCTGTAGTCAGGACTGTTACTATCATTTCTATTGAGTAGTGATGAGGATGAAATGAAATAATGCAGAGAAAGGTGCTCAGCTCCCTGCCAGGCACATAGGAAGAACTTATTAATTTTTACTGAATGCTGATGTTGTTTTAGAATCATATATATTACAACAAAAATAATTCAAGTTATTATTGAAGGTCTGCAATATTTGTTTGTTTGCTTGTTTGTTGTTTTTTCAGACAGTGTCTCACTCTGTTGCCCAGGCTGGAGTGCAGTGGTGCAACCATAGCTCACTGCAGCCCCAACCTCCTAGACTTAAGCAATTCTGCCACCTCAGCCTTCCAAGTAGCTGGGACCATAGGCATGCACCACCATGCCTGGCGAATTTTTTGCAGTGGAGGGGAGGGGTCTTGCTATGTGGCCCAGGCTAGTCTGAAACTCCTGGCCTCAAGCAATCTTCCTGCCTTGGCCTCCCAAAGCACTGGGGTTACAGGTGAAACCCACTAAGATCAGTCTTTTTTTTTTTTTTCTTTCTGGATAAGCTACATGAGTCAAGCTTGAGGATGAAGGGGCTGAGCCACTGGGCCTCCAGGAGGCTGGGTCTCACTGGGAGGGAACGAGTTGACCTAAAGGAGTAGCCACTAACTCACGAATGCCCACTACACAATGGGAGGGGTGCCATGTAAAGAGAGGAAGTAGAAAGTGCAAGAGGGTGGAAAGAGAAGAGAAAAGCAGATTAGAGCAAAGGAAGGGCATTAAGAGCACGGAGGGAGCTTTCTTACTCATCCCCGTTGCTCCAGCATGGCTGAAACCCCATTTCTGGGAACCAGTTGAACCTCCTTACTCAAAACTTCAGACTTACATCTGAAATTCTCTCCACCCAGTGATATGGTTGGAAGAGCACTTCTCCTGGAGCATTTTGGTGGAGTGGGAGTTTCTCACCTCCAAGCCTTTCTACCTGCCAGGAACTGTACCTCTACTCCCTATTCACACACACCTAATGAAATTCCACCCATTCCCCCAGATCCTCATCATAAGGAGAGAGCATGTAGGTCTACTTGGAGCTGGTATGAAAATCTCCCCAAAGCCAGGGCATTGGTGGATTGATATTACCATTTCTTACCCTCCCCTTCTTGGTTATCAAGACAGACCGCAGAGTGGAGGCCTAGTACCCTGGGGGGTGGCATCTGCAGGATGGAGGCCCAATGCCCTGGAGGTTGGCATCTGCAGGGTGGAGGCCCAGTACCCTGGAGGGTGGCATCTGCAAGGTGGAGGCTCAATGGCCTAGAGGGTGGCATTTGCAGTGTGGGGGCCCAATGCCCTGGAGGGTGGCATCTGCAGAGTAGAGGTTCAGTACCCCAAAAGGGGCATTGGCAGGGTGGAGGTTCAGTGCCCTGGAGGGTGGCATCTGCAGGATGGAAGTCCAATGCCCTGGAGGGTGGCATTTGCAGTCTGGAACTTCAGTACCCTGGAGGGTGGCATCTGCAGGGTGGAGGCCCAGTACCCTGGAGGGTGGCATCTGCAGGGTGAAGACTCAATGTCCTGGAGGGTGGCATCTGCAGTGTGGGGGCCCAATGCCCTGGAGGGTGGCATTTGCAGGGTGGAGGCTCAGTGCCCTGGAGGGTGGCATCTGCAGGGTGAAGACTCAATGCCCTGGAGGGTGGCATCTGCAGTGTGGAGGTTCAATGCCCTGGAGGGTGGCATTTGCAGTGTGGAGGCCAATGCCCTGGAGAGGTATTCAAGAGATCAACCCACCTCAGCATTCCAAAGTGCTGAGATTACAGGGGTGAGCCATCACGCCTGGCCTTGCCTGGTGTTCTTAAAAGAAGAGATCAGGACACAGACACACTGAGGGAGACCATGTGAAGACACAAGGAGAAGACAGCCTCCTACAAGCCGAGGAGGGAGGCCGCAGAAGAAACTAACCCCCCTACACCTTGACCTGGGACGTCCAGCCTGCAGAGCTGCCAGGAAGCATACTTCTGTTGTTTAAGCCGCTCCATCTGTGGTCATTCGTTTGGCCACCCTAGCAGACTCATACACCTTTGGACCCCAAAAGTCGAGAACTGACGTGAACTTCCCTGTGTTCCACTGTGCTGTCCCTTCCACCAGGCGGATCCTGCCCAGTTGGTCTGAAGAAGGTGGGCAAACGCTGAGCGTCACCCCCAACCCCAGCCACCATTCTGCCCCTTCGGACTCGCCCCCCAACATTGGAGGTGGAAGTGACATGGATCAGCAGAGGGGGCCCGTGATCTGGGCCTCCCTCAGTGCCGACATCAGCAGGAGGGACCTGGGGCAACCCCCGCTGACATGGTTTGGATATTTGTCCCCTGCAAACCTCATGTTGAAATGTGACTTCCAATGTTGGAGGTGGGCAGAGGGAGGTGTTTGGGTCATGGGGGCAGATCCCTTATGGTGGCTTAGTGCCTTTCCTATGGTCATGAGTGAGTTCTCTCTCTGTTAGTTCACGCGAGAGCTGGTTGTTCAAAGGCGCCTCCTCCTCTCTCTCTCTCTGACGCCCTCTCCTGCCACGTGACATTGGCCTGCTCCACCTTCACCGTCCACCATGATTGGAAGCCTCATGAGGTCCTCACCAGATGCACATGGGGCCCCATGCTTCTTGTAAAGCCTGCAGAATCTGAGGTATTCCTTTATAGCAACACAAAACAAACTAATTCGTGCATGCGTCTGCACTGGGTTGGTACTTCGTGGTGTACTTTCCACTGTCGGCCCAGGCACAGAGCAATGCTGGGCGCTGGCCCCTCAGTGACTGTGAATTCCTGCAGGTAGCCAGCCCAGCTCCGCAGCCTCCCCAGAGCAGCCCACCATGCCTCCCCTCACCGCCCGTGCACCCAGGGACACCCACCTCCCAGTCACCTACCCCACTGCAGTGCCTGGCCCTGTGGTGCAGGGCGGGAGGGCCAGAGGCACGGGTGGGGGCATAAGAGCTCCTGGGGCTCAGCTTGGCTTTACAAGGGTCCAAATGGACCGTTTCATTTCCCTAACTAGCCTTCCAGGAACACTTCCACACGGGGCCATAAAAGAAGGTTTAGAACCAGGAACTTTTAGAAGGGCTTTTATCTCTGTGAGTGTCTATTGAGTTTTACACCCCTTCAGGGTATCTGTTGGCTGTGGGCGGAGAGGGAAAAGGCCTCTCATTAAATGTACAAAGGAAGCAGCGGCCAGAAATGCGTTGGACTCTTTGCTCTCTGGCTTTCAGGTAATTCTTGGGAGTTTTAAAACTCAGCTCCCAGGGGAGAGCAGGTGGCAGAGTGAAGAGCAGCGCCCTCTGGCAGCTGATGGTGATTTGAGGCCTAGAGGAGGTCCAGGCAGCGGCCTGCAGCACCCCACCCCCCGCCAAGGCCTCCTGAGGGCCACAACAGGCAGAGACAAGGAGCTGACCCATCGGAGGGGGGCATGCCCAGGCCCACGTGCACCTACAAGCATGCAATCCCCACAGACACCTGCACACACACACACACACACACACACACACACACACAGCATGCTTGCAGTCACTCCCAGGAGCAGGGTCACCCACAGGGACCTGGAAACACCCATCCCACCTTCCTTGGACCTTCTCTTCCCTGGTCACCAGGCCTGCACCCAATTCCACCCCCTGGGCCCTCCTTTCACTCCTCACCTCCCTCCCATCCTCTCTCTCTTCCCATACTCATAGTGACAACAGGCCATTTTCAGAAAAGGTGGCCGGGGGCAGCGCCATTGCTCCTGGCCGCTCTGGCCACCACCTGCTGAGCACATCTGAGGACAAGCTGCAGCAGCCCTCCTGGGACCCAGGCTGGATTCCATAGGGTCAGGCCTGATGCCAGTGGGCAGGTAAGGGATGGCAGGCCTGAGAGAGAGGCTCTCACCTCCCTCCCTTCCAACTTACAGCCAGCCACACCCTCAGGCTCTGGAAGCGAGTGCAGCCAGCTACACAATGTGCCCAGGTGCCCCCAGGTCCCTGCATGTTTCCCCACCTGTCTCAGAACATCCCCTCCACTGCCACCCGTGTGTTAATGCCAAACCATGGGCTCCAAGGCCCCAGCGTAGAAGCAAGGGTTAGAGTAGGCTTAGAGCAGCAGCGCCCAGCCAAGCGGTCACACTAGCTCTGTAGGCCACCCAGTTGGCACACGCCAAAGCCAGGCACGGCAGCATGCTCTTGGGAACACGGGCTGGAGAGCTCTGACTCCAGCTCCTGCGTTACCTGCCCACTGACTCTAAGCCTTTGTTTCTTCATCCGTACAATGGGAGAGAATCACAGAAGTAAGTCGCTTCGCAGGCCTGTTGTAAGAGCAGGCAACACACTGCATAGGAAGTGCTGAGCACCACGCCTGGCCCACGATTTGGCTCTCAACTCCAACTGTCACCATCTTGGCTATCATCCTGGCTACCGCTTTCCTGCTAACATTGCATATCCTACCCAATGTAAACAACCGCCCAGTGACCCGCAAAGGGCTCAGGCTTGTCCAAGAGCCAGGCAATCTACATTTTCCCACCAACCTACGGGGACAGGCAGCAAAAGCACTGGCCTACGCTCACCTCTGTAGCCCCCAACCACAGGACTCCAGCAACATCCGACCCTGGGCCTGGCTGGGCCCCATCTGTCTGGAAGTCTTACCCGGTTCTTTCTCTCACTCTGAGGCCTCCAGATAACCGTGGAGACCAAGACAGCCAGAGCCGAGCTCGAGAAATCATTCCGTTCTGACTAGGAAGGACGCTGACATTCCCGAGTCTATTTCCATCTCGGGGCTCAGAAATTTTCCAGAGACACCCTTCGCTCGGCGGTGAAGGCAGGTGCCTGCCAGAACAGTGCCCACACCCCCTGCCCCTAAAACCCTGCACCCCGAGCCCTCAGTGAACACAGGTTGTAACTTCAAAATCAGGAAACGGAACATTGCTAATTCTCACGGCAGCATTAACTCATTCACTTGCACATATGGGGTACTTGGATCCCAGTAGGTCTTCTATATATATAACTTATTATACAGTAGGTGCAACTTGGGAGAATTAATGTTGCTATAGGAACATTCGGATCAAGGCTGGCTTCCAGAGGGAAGAGAGAAAAAATAAGTTTTCCTCCTCAGTGTACTTCTCTGTTTTGAGTTTCAGAGAGGAAGGAGCGGTGTAATCAAGTCAGATGAGGCAAGGAGGGGCTTCCCTTAGTGGTTTGGAGAAGGTGAGAATTCCTGGAAGCTGCTCGCTGGGGAGAGAAGACAGAAAAGCTCAGAACATGAGCCAAGTGCCCTCGTGGCTAAGAGGACCAGGAAAGGGACTTCAGGGGCCAGATTCC
Source organism: Homo sapiens (assembly GCF_000001405.40). Classification (NCBI taxonomy): domain Eukaryota; kingdom Metazoa; phylum Chordata; class Mammalia; order Primates; family Hominidae; genus Homo; species Homo sapiens. The sequence continues at coordinate 32,254,968 of NC_000019.10, forward strand.
CCCAGCCCTGGCCAGCAGCTCCAGGTGCCAAAGCTGGAACATAGCCTTGGGGTGATCTTCCCCTGAGAACGGGCTGAAAGCCACCTAAAAAACAGCATCCTGTGTACTCAGTCCCCCAGCCCCACACCCCTAAGTCTCATTCCTCCCAACTTTCCATCCTTCCCAACGATAAGGTGAAAGCAAAGGGGAAATTGAAAGTGAGTTTCGTGGTCTACACTGGCTCCTGGATGGACCATTGGGAGGACCCATCCCTGGCTGAAGGTCTTAAGCAGGCAGCGTATTGGAAGCTTGCATCCACCATAGCCTGTATAACTGAGCTCTTTCTTCCGGAGCAGCGATTTTGTGTCCACCTGTGAATGCTCCACCTAAACCAAACTATGTGTTAAAAACCCGGGCACTTGGCTCCAAACCTCACCTATTAGAGGTTTTCCTGATTGGTAAATCTGAACATGCATCGAATCCCCCAAGAGCTATGAGACGTGTAATTCTACTATCTCCTTTGCAGACGACAGGGGTCCTAAATCGTCCTCCCCCACTACCTTCCCTGGCACATCTGGGGATCTCAGCAGGCTATGGGTGTCGTGAAGGTCACAGCACAGCCAGACACAACACCTCACATACACCCCAAACACACACCCCAGGATGACTGCACCCCCCAGGCAGCTGGGCTGGCTCCTCTCAGCTGCCTTAGCAGTTGGCACTGTGCTGGGCAAGAGGAGATGGCTCAGAACGGGTTGGCTGCAGGAGTGGATGTTGAGCCCAAGATGGCAGCAAAGAGGGAAAGAAAAGATCCACATTCCTAACACCATTTTCCAGCTCAGTGTTCGCCAGGTGCCCACTCGTACCAGGTGCTATCTTATGCCTGGGGGATCCAGAGATAAATAAGATACTACCTCTGCTCTCAGGATGCTCACAGGCTGGCGCGGTGGCTCATGCCTGGAATCCCAGTACCTAGGAAGGCACAGGAGGTGGGAGGATTCCTTGAGGCCAGGAGTTCAAGACCAGCCTGGGCAATATGGTGAGAACCCCCCCCAACCCCATCTTTACAAAAAATAAAATTGTTTAACTTAGTCAGGCATGATGGCCCATGCTCACAGTCCCAGCTACTGGGGACGCTGGGGTGGAACTACTGCTTAAGCCCAGGAGGCTGAGGCTGCAGTGAGCTGTGATTGCACCACGGCACTCCAGCCTGGCCAACACAGCCACACCCTATCTCTGAAAAAATAAAAGAAAATAAGAAGATGCTCCCAGTCCACCAAGGGGAGGAAGAAGGAGAGGCCTGGAAATAAATAACCAAGGGTCATGTCTTGCTTCCTGCCTCCCCAGGAACCAAGCCTAGGTAGGGCTGAATAGGCACCTGCAAATGCCCATGCAAGGACCACTGAGATGGCAGAATGGCAGGGACCCGCCCAAGGAGAAGTACCAAGTGTCCAAAGGAGCCTGGAGTGGTGGGAAATTCATTCTGAACAAGGAGGCGTCGTCCCACAGGCTTTGGCCCGTCCCCTCCCACCCAGCTGACCAGAGACAACTTGCAAAGTCCACCAAGAAGCAAAGCCTCCTTTGCCATTCAGTATTTCAGACACATTCCACACACCACGACGGGCAAGGGGCCACTGCCGCCCAGAGCTGCTGCTTTGCATTTCATCTGAAGCTGTGTCTACTTTTAAAAACATATATAACAGTGAAGTGGAATCTCTAAGCGCTTTCCGGGCCACTCCGCTCGGAACTGCGTTGCCAAACATCCTAACCATTTGGAGGGGCTGAGTCCTAGAGATGGGGAGGAAACAGAACAGCCCTCTCCTCGGGGAAGGTGAGCAGAGAGGACATTAGCATTCTTCTCCTTCCTGCTTCTCAGATCGGATCATCTACGCTGTTAAAATAAAGGTGGATTTGCAGCATCCCAGAGTCAACAATTTGCCAAATTTCATGTCACAGACCAGCAAGGGAGATGAGTCTAATACACCCACAGATCCTGGTTACTCTCAGATGGGGGCAGGCAGGTGGTGAAGGGTTACCTGTTTAATCATCAAAAGCCCAATGGGTCTCCCGGGCATTGCTGAGAGAGACCCTCTTCTAGAGCTCCCAGGCCCCTCAGAGCCTCCTACACATTTGTCACTCTGCTCTGTGTCGGAAATTCTTCTCTTTGTTCCCTTAGCTCACTTTAACTCAAGTGTGGCGTTTTTAATTCTGTCTGTGGCATGATTTTCAAATTAAGCAGTTGGTGTGCTGACAGCTGGTGTTACAACTGGCCTATTCCCTCCCCCCGCCACCCCACCCACAAAGAGCCAACGTGGTGGGTGCACAGCCTCGAAGGAACTCACGCACGTTCCAAACACCCATCTCCTCCACGGGGGTGGTGGAGAGTTGTGGGGAGTGCTTCCGAAATGGGTGAGAGTGCTGAGAAGCTAAGATGGGAACAGACTCTCACAGCCCTGGGGACATCCTGGGGTGGGACAGGATGCATCCGAAAAATACTACGCTCCACTTTCCAACACACCTCCTGGGACACAATTCAGGTCCAAAACACCCTCTACACTGTCAGGATACCTCCATGCCCCTCATGGGTCAGGTCACAGGCCATGGCTAAGCACCAGCGCCCCTGCGGTGCCTGTGTGTCCCGTGGGTGTTACAAATGAGAATTCCAAGCAGAGTCCGATTTGAAAGTCCCATTTCTCTTATTCTTTTCTCTTGTTCTCTGTCTCATCACAGCCCTGGGACTGCTATTCACCTGACAACCCTGGACAGGTGAAGGCGTTCAATTTCCTGGGGAGTAGGCATTTCCAGAATTTTGCTTAGACGAGAGTACTCAGAAATGGTCCCTAAACATGGAAACAAAGTTGTGAAGGCAACCCCGAAAAGACCTGGCTTTATGGCATATGGAAGTAACTATGCACACTTCCAAGCCACATCCATGCCAGTTGGCCAGCCACAACCTGTCTCCACTCCCACGCCCCCACCTCCCAGCCCATGCCCATCATTGAGCTCCCCTTGTATGCAAAGCCTACTAACTTTAGAGAGTAACAAACAGAAGTGGTCATGCCACCTACCTCTCAGCCTCTGGCAATCCTTGACATCGTCTAACTTAACCATAGCTGATGGTGCCTTCTTTGTTTTTTCTTTTCCTGGAGGCATTTTTATCACCTTCATAATTTAACCCATTTCTGAAACTAAGCAAATGTTGCATATGCTAGCTGTAAAGTGGAAGTTTTGAAAATAATTTTTTTTGAAGTAAGGAGTATCCTAGATCTCAGAATCTGTAAATAAGTCAACAACTGTCCAGGCACAGTGTTTCACCCCTGTAATCCCAGCACTTTGGAAGGCCAAGGTTGGAGAAACGCTTAAGCCCAGGAGTTGGAGGCTGCAGTGAGCTACAATTGTTCCACAGCACTTCAGCCTGGGCAACATAGCAAGACCCCATCTCTAAAAGAATTTAAAAATTAGTGAGATATGGTGGCACACACCTGTAATCCTAGCTACTCAGGAAGCTGAGGCAGGAGGATCACTTGAGCCCAGGAGTTCGAGGCTGCAGAGCTATGATAGCACCACTGTACTCCAGCCTGGGCTACAGAGTGAGACTGTCTCTTAAAAAATAATAATAAGTCGGTCGGGCACAGTGGCTCATGCTTGCAATCCCAGCACTTTCATAGGCCGAGGCAGGCACTTGAGGTCAGGAGTTCAACACCAGCCTAGCCAACACAGCGAAACCCCATCTCTACTAAAAATACAAAAATTAGCCGGGCATGGGGACAGGCGCCTGTAATCCCAGCTACTCAAGAGGCAGAGGCAGGAGAATCGCTTGAACCTGGGAGGCGGAGGTTGCAGTGAGCCAAGATTGTACCACTACACTCCAGCCTGGGCGACAGAGTGAGACTCCATCTCAAAATAATAATAATAATAATAATAATAATGTCAACAATTAATCTAAGTATCTAACATCTTATTCATATCAATACAAAGCTGAGATTTCTGCATAACAAAGAATGTGTCATTCCTCTTTGCAAAGTTAAATAAAGTGTTCACAAGACCGTTCCTCCAATGGAACTTTTCTTTGGCTCCTATGGCTTCCAGGAAAATGCCCAGAGTCCCACCAAAGCCTACAGAGCCTGCCTGATTGGTCTGTGCCTCCCCGCAGCCATGATAGCCCAGGCCTCCCCTCCCCTGGCCTTTCCACTCCTTAAGCATGCACACCCCTCCCTGCTCTACGGGTAGCCTTGTGCCCACCCCTCTTTCTCTATTTGACCAACTCTGCCTCATTCTTTTCATTCTACATAAATGATGCTCCTTCAGGAAAGCAGGCCTTTTCAGACTCTACTACAGCCTCTAAGAAACCCCACTCTTTTCCTTGAGAGCATGTTTCATTCCTGCAAATATGTAATTACTTGGGAAATTATAATTTTACTACCTGTCTAACTTCATATGGGCAAGAACTATCCATTTTTCTCACCATGGTATCTCCCACCCTAAACAAATCCCTAGTGCATAGCAGATCCTCAGAAAATGTATTTTTTAATGGAGCATGGATCTCCATTATTGAGTCATGCACACAGTTAGGCTTTTAGAAGGAAAGGGGATGAAATTGATAGGTTAGACCTCATCAAAATTAAAAACTTTTGTTCTGCAAAAACTCTATGAAGAAGATTAAAAGATAAGCTCTAGATTAGGAGAAATTGTTGCAAACCATATATCTGACATGACAAAGGACTAGTATCTAGAATACATAAAGAACCCTCAAAACTCAACAGTGAAAAGAAAAGAAACTAATTTAAAAATGAGCTAAAAAACATGAACAGATACTTCATTGACAAGGATATACAGATGGCAGGTAATCACATTGCTACAGGAAAGGGGTCTGGATCCAGACCCCGAGAGAGGGATCTTGGACCTCACGTAAGAAAGAATTCAGGGTGAGTCTATAAAGTGAAAGCAAATTTATTAAGAAAATAAAGAAATAAGAGAATGGCTACTCCATAGACAGAGTGGCCCTGAGGGTTGCTGGTTGCCCATTTTTATGTTTATTTCTTGATTATATGCTACACAAGGGGTGGATTATTCATGCCTCCCTTTTTTAGACTATATAGGGTAACTTCCTGAGGATGCCATGGCATTTGTAAACCACCATGGTGCTAATGGGAGTGTAGCAGTGAGGATGACCAGAGGTCACTCTCATCACATCTTGGTTTTGGTGTTTTTGGCTGTCTTCTTTATTGCAACCTGTTTTATCAGCAAGGTCTTTATGACCTGTATCTTGTGCCGACCTCCTATCTCATCCTGTGACTTTGAATGCATTAACCATCTGGGAATGCAACCCAGTAGTTTTCAGTCTTATTTTACCCAGCTCCTATTCAAGATGGAGTTGCTCTGGTTCAGAAACCTCTGACAACATGAAAAGCAAAGTACACTTGGCAGTAGGTTTTGAAAAGTCTATTTTCTTTATGTTCAGAGATTCTACTTCTGCAGATTGCTCCAAAGGAAATAGAAATGTGAAAAATGATTTCAAGATCCAGGAAGTGTATGGTAGACTGGATAAAGAAAATGTGGCACATATACACCATGGAATACTATGCAGTCATAAAAAAGGATGAGATCCTGTCCTTTGCAGGAACAGGGATGGAGCTGGAGACCATTATCCTGAGCAAACTAAGGCAGGAACAGAAAAACAAATACCCCGTGTTCTCATAAGTGTGAGCTAAATGATAAGAACACATGGACACATAGAGGAAAACAGCAGACACTGGGGCCTATCAGAAGGTGGAGGGTATGAGGAGGGAGAGATTTAGAAAAAATAACTAGTGAGTACTAAGCTTAATAGCTGGGTGACAAAATAATCTGTACAACAAGCTTCCATGACACAAGTTTACCTGTATAACAAGCCTGCACATGTTCCCCTGAATTTAAAATAAAAGTTTAATTTAAAAAATAATGTCAATTGTAGCATTATTTACTTACAATATTTAACCCTCTAAATCTCCAACTACAAGGCATTAGTTGTGCAAATTGTGTTTCATCCAAAAGAACCTAAAGGGCAGGCGCGGTGGCTCATGCCTATAATCCCAGCACTTTGGGAGGCTGAGGCCGGTGGCTCACCTGAGGTCAGGAATTCAAGACCAGCCTGGCCAACATGGTGAAACCCCATCTCTACTAAAAATACAAAAAGTAGCTGGGTGTGGTGGTGCATGCGTGTAATCCCAGCTACCCAGGAGGCTGAGGCAGGGGAATCACTTGAACCCAGGAGGCGGAGGTTGCAGTGAGCTGAGATCACACCACTGCACTCCAGCCTGGGCGACAGAGTGAGACTCCGTCTCCAACAAACAAACAAAAAGTACCTTGAATTTAAACTCCTCCAAGGCGAGGATTTTTGTGTGGGCATCAGTGTATCCCAAATGCCTTCATGAAATGAGCTTCATTAAATATTATCAGATTGGCCAGGCAGTGGTTCATGCCTATAATCCTGTCACTTTGGGAGGCCAAGATAGGCAGATCCCTTGAGCCCAGGAGTTTGAGACCAGGGGCAATATAGCAAGACCCGTCTCTACTGAAAACAAAAACAAAAACAAAAACAAAAAACAAAAAAAAAAAATCTAAAAAAAAAAAAACAAGATAATTAGCCAGGTGTGGGGATGTGCCCCTATAGTCCCAGCTACCCAGCTACCCAGGAGGCTGAGGTGGGAGGATCACTTGAGCCCAGGAGGCTGAGACTGCAATAAGCCATGATTGCACCACTGCATTCCAGCCTGGGCAACAGAGTGAGGCCCCATCTCAAAAAAAAAAATCAATATATCAGATTGATTCAACCTGAATGATGAAACACTCAGCACCACGGAAAATCATGACATGAGAAAATGTTCACAATACAGTAAGTAAAAAAAAAAAAAGAAGAAAGAAAGAAACAGATTGTAAGACTCTACATACATCATAACCACAGTTTTGTTTAAAGGAAAAGAAATATACGTATCTTTGCATATTAAAAGACTAAAGCAAAGTAAACCAAAACATTAGCAAAGACTATCTCTGGTGAATGAGACCTTAGGAATTTTTCTTTTCTTTCTTTACCTTCTTTCATTTCTTTTGTGTGTGTGTATGTGTGTGTGTGCGTGTATTCTATATAAAGTATTCCAAATTTTCTACAAATAACATTTATTCGTTTTTCAAACAGAAAATAAGACAGTAAAGTGAGGCCAGACACAGTGGTTCATGCCTGTAATCCCAGCACTTTGGGAGGCTGAGGCGGGCCGATCACTTGAGGTGAGAAGTTCGAGACCAGCCTGGCCAATATGGTGAAACTTCATCTCTACTAAAAATACAAAAATTAGCTGGATGTGGTGGCAAGCACCTGTAATCCCACCTGCTTGGGAGGCTGCCACAGGAGAATCGCTTAAACCTGGGAGGTGGAGGTTTCAGTGAGCCAAGATCACGCCACTGCACTCCAGCCTGGGTGACAGAGTGAGACTCCACCTCAAAAAGAAAAGAAAAGAAAAGAAGACAGTAAAGCAGTTTGGAATCCATGTGGAGTTGTGATTTCTGAAGCAATAATGGAATTGGCAGGGATTTGCAGGGAACGCCCTGCCCATTGGCCAACAGCACACCTCCCAGCAATTCAGCAGTTTCTCAGACTACAGTCAAAATGGCACCTTCGGGATCTTATGCATAAACCGGCACCTATTGTCCTCTTGTTTACTGAGTATTTTTCCTTAAATTGAGGCTTTTTATTTAAAGACATTTCTTTACAGGGAATCTTGATCACGACCATGAAGGGAAATCCGTATCACTTGTCATAAATAAAATGAAACTGTACAATAGATTTCATTTCTTTAAGTGGCCTTATTTAGCTCTAGCTGAATACTGTCGCCTGCAGAAGGTTCTGAGTCGGAGGCCTGCTCCCTCTTTTGTGACAAAAGAAGATTAGCAAATGTAAGAGAAGTGGGCGTTAAAGACATATCTGCAGCAAAGAAGCGTTTCTTCTGATATTGTCCGAAGGCTTGAAAGTGGATTGAAGGAGGAATGACATGTTGAAGCCGCATCGTTGTCTGGGGTAATACGCAAGGTTCATTGTCCCATGGCCACGGAAAATTGGGACTCAGACACACTAGAGTGGGGTTAAGAGAGGAAGTTTAATAGGCAAAAGAAAGCGAAGAGCTCTCTGCACAGAGAGGGGTCCGGGAGAAAGTGGGTTGCTGCTTCAGCGGTGAAATGCAAGAGGTTTTATAGATGAGCTAGAGGAGGCTGTGTCTGATTTACGTAGGGCATAAACGATTGGTCGGACCAGATGTGTCATTTGCATAAGGTATGAAGAAGCTGACCACCCCACCCTAATCTTTTATTATGTAGATGTGTTCTCTACCTTGCCGGCACCATGTTGCCTGGGTTCTTTTTTTTTTTTTTTTTTTTTTTTTGATGGAGTCTTGCTCTGTGCCCAGGCTAGAGTGCAATGGTGACATCTCAGCTCACTGCAACCTCCATCTCCCAGGTTCAAGCAATTCTCCTGCATCAGCCTTCCAAGTAGCTGGGATTACAGGTGTACGCCATCATGCCCAGCTAATTTTTATGTATTTTTAGTAGAGACAGGGTTTCACCATGTTGACCAGGCTGGTCTCAACCTTCTGACCTCAAGTGATCCACCCACCTGTACCTCCCAAAGTGCTGCGATTACAGGCGTGAGCCACCGCGCCCAGCCAACTGTGGTTCTTTACTGTACATGTGGTGACACAGAAAAGGGAAGATGGAGCCTCCATGTTGAACATACCTGGCTTCCAGGTAGCCCTTTTCTATTGGCGCAGTTACCAGCACTTACCCGTGCAAGCTCCTAGCTTGCTCATTTATGTTTGCAGCTCGATTTTTCAGGCTGCTCTTTGTTGGTTTAGGGGCTGCTTTTTGTTGAAAGGGAACCCTTGCGGAGGACTTGTTTACTCTCACTATCTGCGTAACTAATTTCTTTCCAGCTCCTGTATCAGTTTGATTCCATGTCATTTATTGCCATGTCCCTGTAGTACCCACAAGCATTCCTCAGGCTATCCGTGGTAGGCATTCCACACTCCCGGGCTGACTGGGCCTCACTGCTGAGCCTAAATGAAGCCCTGGGGTGCACCAGCCTCTGCCACGCTGGGGATCCACTGTCCCCCTCTGCACTGTCCCATACCTACAGCCCTACTGTCAGAGGCGTGTGAACAAGAGCAACTCCATCTTGAATAGGGGCTGGGTAAAATGAGGCTGAGACCTAATGGGCTGCATTCCCAGATGGTTAAGGCATTTTAAGTCACAGGATGAGATAGGAGGTCGGCACAAAATACAGGTCATAAAGACTTTGCTGATAAAACAGGTTGCAGTAAAGAAGCCAGCCAAAAGCCACCAAAACCAAGATGGCCATGAGAGTGACCTCTGGTCGTCCTCACTGCTACACTCCCACCAGCGCCATGACAGTTTACAAATGCCATGGCAACGTCAGGAAGTTACCCTCTATGGTCTAAAAAGGGGAGGCATGAATAATCCACCCCTTGTTTAGCATATCATTAAGAAATAACCATAAAAATGGGCAATCAGCATCCCTCAGGGCTGCTCTGCCTATGGAGTGTCATTCTTTTATTCCTTTACTTTCTTAATAAACTTGCTTTCACTTTATAGACTTACCCTGAATTCTTTCTTGTGCGAAATCCAAGAACCCTTTCTTGGGTTCTGGATCAGGACCGTTTTCCTGTAACATTACCACCCTCGGGCTCCAGGTGTGGGACAGTGCAGAGGGGGACAGTGAGAAGCCCAGAGACTGAAGGGGGCGCTGACTCCGCAGGTCACTCTTAGACCTTAAAGAGTATCTTCTCCCACCCTAGGGAAGGAACATAGGTGAGGGAAGCAGCGAGCTCTGCTCTCTCTAGCCTGGTAAAGGTGTGAGATGTGAGCTTCTGGAATGCTGGGCAGGAGGAACTGGGGTGAATGATTTGCAGTCATGTTTGCCAGTTGCAGAACCAGGAAAAATGATCCTTTCTTTCCTCGAGTGCTATCAAGTGAACTGCACCAGCTCCATTAGCGCTGGAAGCATCCATATGAAATTATGGGGCTTATGATGGCTTTGTCTGGGAAACTGTTCATTTCTGATCGGAAGTTCTATTACACATGAATTTAATTCTAAACAGTGTTACCAACAGCCCCAAATGATTTACATTTTAAGCAATCTTCTTTCATTATCTCATACCTTGACGGGGAGCAAAAGATGGATTTTTATGGGCTTCTATGATGAGAAATGATTAATGCCCCTAAATGGGTGCCTGTCTCTATTCCAGCCATTCTGACAAGGGGTCCCTTTCCTCAATTCTGCTTCAGTGGGCATATTTGAAAGCTGAGATCAAAGAAACGGCATGGAGAAAGAACATTACAAACTTTTCTTAAGTTGGATCTAAATAAGGTAAACATTTCCAGTGAGGGCATTGAACACCATTTGGTACCTAACATTGTCTTTCATCCAGAAAGAGAGAGGAAAGAGGGAGAAGGAGAAAGTTTGTCCACTTATAAAGCCAAAGGCTGTAGTGAAAGCTTGAAAATGTATGAGAAAGCCCAGACGCAGCGGCTCACACCTGTAATCCCAGCACTTTGGAAGGCCTAGGCAGGTGGATTACCTGAGGTCAGGAGATCGAGACCAGCCTGGCCAACATGGTGGAACCCCGTCTGTACTAAAAATACAAAAAATTAGCCAGTTGTGGTGGCAGGTGCCTGTAATCCCAGCTAGTCAGGAGGCTGAGGCAGGACAGTCGCTTGAACTCGGGAGACGGAGGTTGCAGTGAGTCGAGATCACACCACTGCACTCCAGCCTGGGCGACGGAGCAAGACTCCATCTCAAAAAAAAAAAAAAAAAGAAAAGAAAATGTATGAGAAGCAATTTGAGTTTAATCTTTCAGGGTCAGGGAGAGAGAGGGCACTACCCTCCAGACAGATGCAAATCTGGAATGTTGCCTCCCATAGTGATGCTGTAACGAGGCACCTCAAAGGTAGGACCAGATGAGGCATGCCAGCTCTCCCGCCTGCTTTACCTCTGCCTTTGGGATCATTCTTTCCAGGGGGCACCTGGACAACCAGCTCAGAAACACCATGAGGGTAAGGTTGTTGGATGAACTGCTACAAGGACACTTTTCTGGAAACCTCTGTTCACGCACCAGAATCAGATGGGACATTCCTCAAGAGACAGATTCTCTTCTCCAGTTCCCTGCAGTGAATTCCTTCCCCTCCTCCCGTCAAAGGAAGGGGCGTCTGTTTGAGGATCGTGGCCTGAGTGAGCCCTTGCCATTGAATGGTTGGCTGAGAGGCTGAGTCACTGGGAGGAAAACGTGGAGTGAGTTGTGTCTGAGACCTCCCCAGAGAGAGGGGCCACTTTAGACTCCAACCAAATCATAGCCCAAGTTCCCAGCCCAAAAGGTAACAAAGTAAACAAGATGCAAGAAATTCAGGTGCTCTGATTTTCAAATTGTAGAAAATATGCAAAAACAGCCTCAGAAAAAAATCATCTTTGCAGCATCAGAAACCCTGCCTTCCTCTAGGATTCTGTGGCTTGGGCGGCCTCAGAGGCACTACCCAAAAATAACCAACCACAAGTCAAGGAACCAGAAAGCAAATTGAGCTGCAGAACGTGAACGGCCTCCACTCAGAGAAGGGGGGGTCATGTCCTTGAAGCAGGGCCCACGGTTACCCTGAGCCCCCTAGAACAGTCCTCCCTCCCCCTACAGTTCATGGTATCTTTAGAATCAAGGCTACAAACTGCATGAATAGCGAGTAATTCAATTAACTCTATAGTCTGTGATGAAAAAAAGGGCCATTTTGCTAGCTCTAGTGGAGCACTAGTTTAACCCTGGTGCTCAGGAAATTCCCAGGCCAGACAGCATATTAAACCAGCTCTTCAACTTAAGAACAATTACTGTCATTTATCAGCCTGAATAGCAATAATGCACAAATCGACACCTTTCAGGAGGCAAAAAGCTAGCGAGGTGTAATGATATGCAAAGCCACAGCACTCTACATTTTGAACTGTCTCCATCCCATCAATACATCTCCTACTACCTACAATTTATCAATACAAATGTGGTACCCAATGAAGGCAAGACCAAGAAGATAAATATGAAGAGGGTGGGGGGAAAAAAGGCTCAGGAATGTTTGAATTTTAAAATGATGAAGTACAGATCACATTCTTAAAACATTTTACATGCAATGACCCGATCACATCAAGTTCTCTCCTGAAAGAAGAAACAGAATAAGGGGATTTTTCTACCCCAAGGTTGCAGGCAGATGCAGCTCTTCTCTTCCATTTCCCAGATCATGTCTTTACGTGGAAGTGTGTGATTCTTTAGGTCTCTGATAAAAGTAAATAAAGATATTGCTAATCATAGTGATGAATTTTCATAGAGCCTTTTTCCTAATTACTTTCACATCTATCTTTTTTTATTTTAATTTAATTTAATTTTTTTTTTTTTTGAAACAGAGTCTCACTCTGTCACCCAGGCTGGAGTGCAGTGGTGCAATCTCGGCTCACTGCAACCTCTGCCTCCCGGGTTCAAGCGATTCTCCTGCCTCAGCCTCCCGAGTAGCTGGGACTACAGGCACGCACCACCACACATGGCTAATTTTTGTATTTTTTAGTAGAGACAGGGTTTCGCCATGTTGGCCAGGCTGGTCTCGAACTCCTGGCTACAAGTGATTCGCCTGCTTCAGCTTCCCAAAGTGCTAAGATTACAGGCATGTTATTTTAATTTTATAATATCTTCAAGAGGTAAGATAAATATTATGATACCCATTTTGAAAGAAGGGGAAACTGAGACATGCTGTGATTAAGACACTCTCTACATCAGTCAGACACTGGCAGAGCAAGGGCTAGAAACTGGGTCCGGACTCCCAGCCTGTCCCTCAAAAGTCACAGCACATCCAGGGCAAAACAAAGGCTTCCCAGAAGTGCTCATGAGGATGTGCAGGAACTTCAGTACATGTAGCACCAGTGGGAGTAGGAGCCGCGAGGCGGGGCAGAGCAGAGACAAACAATTTTACATTTCAGGCCAGGCCTGGTGGCTCACGCCTGTCATCCCAAGCCTTTGGGAGGCCAAGGAGGGCAGATCACTTGAGGTCAGGAGTTCAAGACCAGCCTGGCCAACATGGCAAAACCCCATCTGTAGTAAAAATACAAAAATTAGCCGGGAGTGGTGGTACAGCACCTGTAGTCCCAGCTACTCAGGAGGCTAAGGCAGGAGAGTCGCTTGAACCTGGGAGGCGGAGGTTGCAGTGAGCTGAGATCATGCCACGAACCTGGGAGGTGGAGGTTGCAGTGAGCTGAGATCATGCCACTGAACTCCAGCCTGGGCCACAGAGCGAGACTCCATCTCAAAAAATAAAACAAAACAAAACAAAATTTCACATTTCAAAAACAGATGAATAGAATTTCAAGTCTGCAGCTCACACAGACTGAGCCCCTACTGTGCACCAGGCGCTGAAGGAGGCAAAGACAATGCCAGCCCAGACCCAGGCTCTGCTTGTGGTCCTCCCCTCCCACATACCCAGCCCTCCCCAACACACACTGACATTTTGCTTAGCAGCATCATTTAGCTGGATAGAATACATTTACTTTCTGTGGAGGGAAGCCAAGAAGGGTGGTACCTAAGACAGGAAACATTCCTACAAAGGCAACAGGGACAGGGGGTCCCATGGGAGCTCTTAATGCAAGTCAGGCAAACAAGGACCTCCTTGTTGAAACTCTGCACCCACTAAACACTGGTGCCTCAAGGAGCCCCGAGGGTTGTTTACCACCGCAGTCATTTTTATCCTTCACCTTCCACCCATTTCACAAACCCATCCAGGCCCTCCCAGCCGTTTTATCACAGACGCTCATCATCTCAGTCCAGGAATTTTGTTTTTGTTTTTGTTTTGTTTTGTTTGAGACAGAGTCTCACTCTGTCGCACAGGCTGGAGTGCAGTGGCGCGATCTTGGCTCACTGCAGCCTCCGCCTCCTGGGTTCAAGCGATTATCCTGCCTCAGGATTCTCTTGCCTCAGCCTCCCGAGCAGCTGGGATTACAGGCATGCGCCACCACACCTGGCTAATTTTGTATTTTTAGTAGAGACCGGGTTTCACCATGTTGGCCAGGCTGGTCTTGCACTCCTGACCTCAGGTGATCCACCTGCCTCGGCCTCCCAAAGTTCTGGGACTACAGGCATGAGCCACTGTGCCCTGCCCTCAGCCCGGGAATTTTGAAATGGCGTCCAACTCTAGCATGCAAACTCATGCCCTCTCTCTAAGCAATATTTTCAACCTATTTGAAAAGGAAAATAGTGATTGGTGGTAAAATGTAAAGGATTTGTTTGCTTCTATGTTTCTTTGGAAGATTAGCTGTTTTTTTTTAAATCCACTTATCTTTATTTCTTAAGGTAATACCTACCTAATTTTTCTTTTTCTCTTTTTTTTTTAGAGACAGGCTTTAGTGCAGTGGCATGATCTTAGCTCACTGTAGCCTCAAACTCCAGGGCTCAAGCGAACCTCTCGCCTCAGCCTTCTCAGTAGCTGGGACTACATGTGCATGCCACCATGCCTGGCTAATTTTTTTTACAGACATAAGGCCTCACTATGTTGCCCAGGCTTGTCTGAAACTCCTAGGCTCAAGCGATCCTCCCACCTTGGCCTCCCAAATTGTTGGGAATACAGGCATGAGCCAGTGCACCTGGCCCCTACCTAATTTTAAATCATATACAACACACACACACACACACACACACACACAAATGAAACAAACATATCTTCTAAAAGCACTGAGATAATCATTTGACGAATGACATCTCATGTCTTAATTTTTCAATGGGTAAAGGAAAGCCCTAAACAAAATTCTTATTTTCTGACATCAAATAAGAATGTGGGTGCATTTCCCTCCCTTTATAAGAAATTACACCTTGCTCTTACTATTAAATTAGAATACCCTCTCTTCTTTTCTAAAATTTGGCTGCTGTACAATAAATACATAAATCAAAGAGACATAGGATCCAGACGCCAATTGGCAGACGGCACTATGAAATAAGCACCAGGACACAGGCATGCGGAAGTGTTACAACCTGTTCCAATCTGCTCCCTGTTCCCCCTTAAAACAAAAGAGGAAGAGAGTCCAAACCCTCCTACACACACACATACACACACACACACACACGCACACACACATGCACAGAGCAAAGTTTAGGAGGTTTAAATAGAGCCTAAGCTGCTAAGAAGAAGAGCCACCCAACTGCTTAGGACCTGGGTTTCTCACTCTTGCCGCTGAGCTGCAATATTTGCCGCATCTTGCCAAGTGAAGATGGTGTGAACCTGTCATGCAACTGCTGAGAAGTTTGGGAAAGCCTGGGGTTTTGCCAGTATTGTTATCATCCTCGTCCTCATTGCCATCAGGCCAGAGAAATTTTCCAAGCCCTTGAGCTTGGGGTCTTTCTCAACAGCCATGGGATGGTGGCCATTAGAATTACCTCCAATATTCATGTGACGAAATCCATTCAGAGATACAGGGGAGGCAGAGAATAGGTGGGTGTAGCAATTAGGACACTTTTGGTTGCAAGCAACAGAAAGTCCAACCTGAAAAGGGTTGAGGCAAAAGATAAGATATGGGCTCATGTACGTGAAAGATCCAAAGAGTAAAGTGGCTTGGGGCAGGAATCAGTTAGAAACCTACCATTCCCAACCTCTCCTACTCTGCTTCCTGGGGTAACCTTCTTCCCCAACATAACACTTGGACCAGCGGAAAATGAGTTCAAACCAAAGCTCAGAACTGACACTGATTGGCCCAGACTGCATTGACTTGGGTCATGTGTCCATGCCCGAGCCAATCACTGCAGCCAGAGGGATGGAATGCATCGACTGGCTTAAACTAGGTCATACGCGCCTCTCTGCAGCATGAGGGTAAGATCTTCACCAAAGCATGTGGGCAGGGAGAAGTGATGTGTGAGCCCCAGGCGGCAAAACCAGGAGGACTGGTGTTGGGAGGTCAAATGCAACAAACGCCCACTTCAAGACGCCATCTTTGGTCAGACCAAAAATCTCCAATTCCATTGACCAAGATATCGTACCCAGAGTTCACTCGCAATTTGAGTAGAGAATATAGCCGCTTACTTGTGTTGAATGTCCTATACCTTCTACATCTAGGCTGAATATGGCCCCTGCATCACCAAAATCTGATGGATTCACATAAAGGACTCCTGAAGATAAGTTTTGCACTCACCAGTGTCCGGTATTTTAATATCTGCCATTCTTGAGTTATAAAGCTCAGGCCAGAAGATTAAACAGTCGCTGGTCAAGAACTAAAGAAATGAGGTGAACTGCAGGACCAGTCACTTGCACTTTATACATTTTTTTAAGTTTAATTAAGATTACAGGTCAGATTAAGTAATGGCTTTCTATAAGAGATAGATAAACACAGAGACAGTTGCACCAAGATTGTTTAAAGAAACCACTTAATTTCAACTTCAAGATGTTCTTTTTTTCATCCATTAAACTGTATTTGTTGAAATATAACATACCTATGGGCAAGTGCACAAGTTGTAAGTGTACACCTCAATTCTTATCCCAACATAAACACATTCAAGTAACTGCTATTGAGGTCAAGAAATGGAACATTACTGGTGCCCCAGAAACTCCTTTGGAACCCCCTCCTAATCAGTATCCTCCCCTTTCCACCCAAAGATAACTACTGTCCTGACTTCTAACAACGTAGATGAATTTTGCCTATTTCTGGAACTTTATATAAATGGAGTTACACAGCGTGTACTCTTATGCCTGGATTCCTTCTTTCAAAAGAAAGTCACCCAAGTTGTTACATACAGTACAGCTCATTCATTTTTCTGTTTAATAAATCATTACGTGGATATTCTGAAATCTGCATATGCAATCTATTTGGGATTATCATTTAGGCTATTGTTGTGAATGTTCTTATGCATATGCAGACATTTCTGTTTCTGTTTCTATGCAGGAGGGGAACTGATGCAGTTTCACCTTTGGTAAATAAAGGCAAATAGTCTTCTGACGTGTATACACCAATTTATGCCCCTAGCAGCAGTAAGACCTTCCTGAACACCATTGCCCACTAGTTACTACTGCCTTGATCAGTTCAGCTCTGTTCCTAACTATGACCCCACTAAAAGACGCTATGTGTAGAGCTCGGGAAGCAGCCAGAGCTCAATTTAAATCCTGGCTTTGCCACTTACTAGCTGTGAGTGTTTCTTTGGAGAATTTCACTTAGCCTCAGATTCCTGATCTGTAAAGGGCCTGTAAGCATCATGTTCTTGCAAGAATCAAATTGTATTTTATAAACCAAAGTGCTTTGCAAACTGTTAAACTGAATACCCATGTTAGGTATTAGAAGTGGGTCCCTGAGGCCAATATTACAGTCACCAAGTGTTAAGATAGAATTCTCCCCACAGCATTAGAAAGGTAGACCATAGCAAGTTAGAAAGACCTGGGTTACTATATGACCTTTGAGGAGTCACTCAGTCTCTTTGATCCTCAGTTTTTTTATCTGTGAAATTAGGGCAGCAAGGCTTACCTGAGAGGATTGTGAAGATAAAAAGAGAGAGGGAGAGAAAGGTTGAGAGAAAAAGAGAGAGAAAGAGAATCTAACTGTTGATTAGGTATCTACAAGTGCTCAAATAACCATGGTCATTATTAGTAAAAGTCTAGAAAATATGGGAGAAAACCTGGTTCCCTGAATCCTTTTCACTGATACGCTCATCTTTCATGATAAAGGTGGGTTACATGAAAAATTATCAATTGATAAAATTTGGCTTTTCCGTTTTTGTTTTGTTTTCTGCCTGTTTCACCCATTTAAAGACTCACCATACCCAGGCTTTCTTAAGATCCACCTCCTTAAGAAAAACTTGCTATCAAGCCTGGCGTGGTGGCGCATGCCTGTAGTCTCAGCACCTTGGGAAGCCAAGGCGTGCAGCTCACTTGAGCTCAGGAATTCGAGACAGCCTGGGCAACATGGTGAAACCCTCACTCTACGAATATTAAAAAAAAAAAAATAGCTAGGCACAGTGGTGCATGTCTGTAGTCCCAGCTACTCAGGAGGCAGAGGTGGGAGGATCATTTCAGCTCAGGAAATCAAGGCTACAGTTAGCCATGATCTGCCCTCAAGCCTGGGCAACAGAGTAAGATCCTGTCTCAAAAAAAAGAGAGAGAAAAAAAGCTTGTTATCGGGAAAATGTGAAATGTCAGCATTCAATAAGTCAATCCCAGAATATCAGAGCTAGAAGATACCTGAAGGCATACAACCCATTCAGTTCATTGTACAGATAGTGAAGCTGGGGCCAGAAATCTAAAGTAACACCACTGGTTAGTGGCAGAGCCAGAGCTAGGTCCTGACAACCAGCCCAGGGCTCATTCTTTAGTAGCTTAATACCAACGTTAATCTGTATCTCCAGTGTAAATAAAAGAATTGGTTCTTTCTTAAAGACCTTTCAAGCATTAGAGAAAGAGTTCAATCACATGTAATTGACCCCTAAATTAAACAGGCCCTGCTAAAATTTAACGCACAGACATAGACAAAAACCATCAGTGTTTATATTTTAAATAATATCTTTCTTTTAAAAAATTGGAGAACTGCTTCTACCCATGACAGAATAACTGATATGAGACTTGCCTTCCTGCCAAAAATAACTATAAAACTAGACAAACATATGAGGCAACTGTTTTCAGACACTGAACAACAGACAGTGCATCACTGTAATTTTGAGAAAAGGCATACACATGAGGTGAGCCCCACTGTTCATCTAGCTTTCTGGCTGGAGGCACCTTTCTGTCAAGGCACAAAGATGGGAAGTCCAAATGGAGCAATAGTTGCACTGAGCTGAGGAGGTGGAGATTGGAGTCCTACTTTGTTGAAATGGCTGGATTTTATGAAGCAGAATAACAGAGAATAGTGATCTTCACAAAGAACATGGGGCCTTGGCTGCGGGCACAGAAGTGCATGCAGAGTGAGATTCCAGGAAGCCTAGCAGAAGACTCCTACTATGGAGCTGTGAATGGTATGGTGATACCAGAGGTCATGCACTGCTAAAAAGCACTGAAATTTTGGCTAAGCCAAGGTAGAGAAAGTTCACTGAATGCCCCAAGCCTCCAGCTGAGACCTTGAAAAGGCCATGCCTTTGGGTTAAGGACCAAGGCCCTAAGTGAAGGCAATACCGTAAGACTCAGCTCAAAATTAAAATATATCTGAACAACAAATTAAGCCAACCCTAACAGAGCAGAAAGAATCTACCAATAATGTTACTGACAGAACAAACATTAAAACTCTTTAAAGAAAAATATGACATAATTTGGAATCTCCACAGTGCATTATTCACAATGTCCACTATGCAGTCAGAAATTACTAGACATGAAAAGGAGCAACAAAATATGATCCATAATTTTTTTTTTTTTTGAGACAGAGTCTTGCTCTGTCGCCCAGGCTGGAGTGCAGTGGTGCTATTTCCACTCACTGTAAACTCCGCCTCCCAGGTTCATGCCATTCTCCTGCCTCAGCCTCCTGAGTAGCTGGGACTACAGGCGCCTGCCACCACGCCCAGGTAATTTTTTTGTATTTTTTTAGTACAGATGAGGTTTCACCATGTTAGCCAGGATGGTCTTGATCTGCTGACCTTGTGATCCACTCGCCTGGGCCTCCCAAAGTGCTGGGATTACAGGTGTAAGCCACAGCACCCAGCCTATAATCCATAATTTTTTAAAAGCATTCAATAGAAAATGACCCCAAGAATACCCTCATGTTGAAACTAGTAGGAAAAGTCTTTCAAACAGCTACATAAATATGTGTTCAAGGACTTAAAAGATAACCATAATGAGTGAAGAACAGAGATATAAAAAAAAAAATTTTAAAGAACCAAATGGCAATTCTGAAGCTGAACAGCACAATGCCTAAAATGAAAGCTCTGCATAAACTTAATATAAAATTAGAGACTACAAATGAAAGTTAATGAACTTAAAGACAAATCAAACCAGAGAACACAGAGAAAAATATGGGCGGGTGGGGAATAAACGGAGGCTCAGAGACTTGTGGGGAAAATACAAGCAGTCAAATAGATATGTAATTGGAGTCCCAGGAGGAAAGGAAAGAAAGAAGATAGGAAAATATGTGAAGGACTAACAACTACATTTATATAAATTTTGTGGTAAGTATGAGTTTATAGAGCCAAGAGGTCAATAAATCCCAAAAGACACAAACACCAAGAGGGCTACATCTAGATCACGTCAATGTCAAACTGCTGAAAATCAAAGTTAAAGGAATGTCTGGGCATGTGATTACACCTGTAATCCCAGCACTTTGGGAAGCTGAGGCAGGTGGATCACTTGAGCCCAGAAGTTTGAGACCAACCTGAGCAACATGTGAAATCTCATCTCTACAAATATATGTATAAATTAGCTAGGTGTGGTGACACGTGCCTGTAGTCCCAGCTACTTTGGAGGCTGAGGTGGGAGGATCGCTTGAGCCTAGGAGTTTGAGGCTGCAGTGAGCCATGAATGTGACACTGCACTCCAGCCTGGGCATTGGAGTGAGACCCTATCTCAAAAAATAAAAATAAAAAACAATCTTAAAAGCAGCCAATTAATAAAGGCTCATAGCTTACAGAAGAACAGTGATATTAATGACAGCTGACTTATCAGATTGGAATTTAGATCTATAAGAAGGAATGAACAACCGTAGAGTGGTAAATATGTGGGTAAATATAAAAGAATACTTTTCCTCTGTTAATTTTTTAGTAAAACAACTGTCTAATCAAAATTAGTAACACAGTGTCATGGGATTTATTAATTATTACTAAAAATATGACATTTTTAGTCATAAATGTACAAAGGATGATTCAGTAAATGAACCAAAGCACAAAGGATGGTTCAGTAAATGAATTTTTCTATTGTAAGGGTCTTATGCTTTACGTGAGGTGGTACAATATTAACTCAAAATAGACCACGATGAGTTAAGAATACACATCATAATTCCTAGAGCAACCACCTAAAAAAAAAAGTTACAAAGAGGTAGAGCTCTTTGTAATAAAATATATAAAAAGATGGATTACAATGAAACCAAAGTACAATAATGCAAAAGTATTCAGAAAAGGAAGAACAGATAAATGCAAATCAGATGGAATAACTAGAAAATAAATTGTGATATGGTAGACTTGTAGACAGTCAATCACTAAATTAAATACAATGGACTAAACTCTCCAGTCAAAAAGCACAGATTGCCAGATAGGATTCAGAAAGCTATATCCAACTATATGCTGTCTACAAGAGACATTTTAAATGAAAATAAATAGGTTAAATGTAAAAGGATGGAAAAAAAGACAATAAGCAAACAAAAAAGCTAGTTTGACTATATTAATGTCAGACAGACTTCAGAACACAGAATATAAACACAGATAAAGAAGGACTTTTATAGCAATAATGATTTCATAGTGAAAAAGATAATTTATCAGGAAAACATAACAACTCAAAATATGTTACAAACAAATGTAACAATAATATATATAGTTATATATTATTATATATAGATATATAACAATATATATTGTTATATATGTTGATATATATATCAACATAAATATCAACATGATATATATATCAACATACATATCAACATGATATATATATCAACATGTATAACAATAAATAACAAACCTTCAAAATACATGAAGCAAGACCAAACAAAACTAAGGGGAAAATAGACTAATCCACAATTATTACTGGAGATTTTAACACTTGTCTCTTGGTAATCGCTAGAACAATTAGAGAATAATAATAAATATATAGAATATTTGAAGAACATTATCAATGAATGTGACCTAATTGACGTTTTTAGAACACTGTACCCAACAATTGCAAAGTGCATGTTGTTTTTAAGTGCACCTCGAAGGTTTACCAAGAAAAATCATATTTTGGGTCAAATTGAAATCTCAATAAATTTCAAAACATTGAAATTTTAAAGATTTAAACAATTAAATCTTTAAACAATTAAATTTAAAGATTTAAACAATTAAAATTTCACCACAATCAAAAAGCTGCAAATATGTATAAATTCACAACATGCTTCGAAATAATGCATGGATTAAAGAAGTTACAAAAAAAAACCTTGCAAAATATTTAAACTAAATGATAATGTGTTCTTACACAGCATATGAAAGTTTGTGGGATGCTGCTACAGCAGTAATTAGAGAAAATGTATAGCCTTTAATGAGTTATGTTAGAAAAGAAGAAAGTTTTAAAATCAACAATTAACGTTTCCATCTTAAGCTGGAAAAAGCAAATTAAGTTTAACCCAATGTAAGTACAAGGAAGACAGTAATAAAGATGTCTAATAATGTCTGGTAATAATGAAGTCAAAAGATAGACAAATATTTGAGAAAATTAGCAAAACCACAAGTGTCTTTGAAAAAAATTAACAAAGTTGATGAATCCCAAGAAAAACTAAGAAAAAAGACACAGTAAATACAAATTTTCAATATCAGAGATGAAAAGGAGGACATCACTACAGATTCCACGCACACTGAAAAGATAACAAGGCAAGATTATGAACAACTTAATTCTCGTATATTTGACAGTGTATATGAAATGAACAGATTTATTGAGGATTTTGATTCATCAAAAGGGATATTAGAAGAAATAGAAAATCTGTAAAAGTCTTAATTCCATTAAAGAAGTTGAATTTGTAATCAAAAGCAAACTTGAGGACTAATGGTTTCACTGGTGAATTCTATTGGATATTGAAGAAAAGAACAATCCCAGTCTTACATAAACTCTCTCAGAAAATAGAGGATGAGAGAACATTCCTTCACAAGTTTTGTAAGGATAGGAGAATACTGATTCCAAACCTTACAAAGAAATTACAAGAAAGGAAAATTACCAGCCAATATTCTTTATAAACACAGCCACAAAAATTGTCACAAAATATTAGAAATAAAATTCTGTAATATAAAAAGAGAATAATACATCATGACCAATTAGAGCTTTTCACAGAATTTCAGGTTTTTTCAACAGTCATATATAAATCAGTGTAATGCACAATATTAACAGAAAAAGGGAAAGAAAAAATAATCTGACTAAATACAAAAAAAAGAACTATCAAGAATCAATATCCCTTTGTAGAAGAAATAAATTTTAACTAGAAAAACAAAGGAACTTCATCAATCTGATAAAGGACTTCTGATAAATCTACAACCAACATTATGCTTAAGGGTAAAATACTAAATATGTTCCCCTAAACATTGGAAACAAGACAAAGAAATTCTCTCCTACCATGTCTATTCAACATTGTCCTGGAGATACTAGCCAGTGCATTAAGAAAGAAAAAAGCCAAGATCAAAAAAGAAGTAAAACTGTATTCATTTACAGATAGTATAGTGGTTTATACAGAAGACCCTAAGGAATCTACAGAAAAATTGCTAGAACATCAGTAAACTTAGCAAGGTTGCAAGGTAACTCAGTATACAAAAATAAATAGTATTTCTATATACTGGCATCAGCAAACAATTGGAAATGAAGTTTAAATAATTTCAGTTATATTTTACATTTTTGCATTAAAAATATAAAATGCTTAAAAATACATGAACAAAGTAAGTACAAGATCTTTGAAAACATTAACAAGAGAAATTAAAGAAGTAAAGGTCAATGGAAAGGTGTACCATGTTTATGAATTGGAAGACTCAATATTGGTTGACTTCTAGTACTGGAGGACTCAGTACAAAAGGCTCAACAACAATATATAACTTCAATGCAATCCCAATCAAAATCCACAGACTAAATTCATTACTGAAATGAAAAGAATCTGTAATAGCCAACGTTGAAATAATTGAAAAATAAGAACAATGTTGGAAGACTAATACTATCTAATTACTAAACTAGAGTAATGAAGACAATAAGGTATTAGCATTAGAATAGATGAATAAATCAATGGAACAGAATAGACCCATAGGTACTGATTTTCATCAATGACACCAAGGTCATTCAATGAGCAAAATAAAGCATTTCAACAAATAGTGCTGAAAGAACTGAATAAATATATGGGGTAAAGTGAACCTCAACCCCTACTTCACACTATACACAAAAAAATCAAATTGAAACAGACTATAAGCATAAATATAAAAGCTAATACTGCCAGGTGCTGTGGCTCACACCTGTAATTCCAGCACTTTGGGAGGCTGGGGCAGAAGAATCACTTGAGCCCAAAAGTTCAAGACCAGCCACAGCAAGACCCTGTTTCTACAAAAAAAAATTAAAATATTAGCTGAGCATAGTGGCGTATACCTGTAGTCTCAGCACACTGGGAGGCTGAGATGGGTGGATCACTTGAGCCCAAGAGTTCAAGGCTGCAATGAGCTATGATTGCACCACTGCACTCCAGCCTGGGCAACAGTGTAAGAGACCCTGTCTCAAAAAAGTATAGTTTTATAAATACTATAATATTTACAATATTATAGTAATACTGTAATAATATAATCGGAGAATAATTCCATGACCTCTGGTAGACAAACATCTCTTAGAGAAAATACAAAAGGCACTCACTTTACAAGAAAAAATGATTAACAAATTGAACCTCGTGAAAGTTAAGAATTTCTACTCATCAAAAATTGCTGTTAAGAAAATGGGAAGACAAGCCACAGACTGGGGAAAAATATTCACAATTTGTGTATCTGACAAAGCACTTGTATCCAAAATACATAAAGAACTTAAATAAATCAAAAATAAAAGATTTGAGCAGACTTTTCCAGAAAAGATGTTTAAATGGCCAAAAAGCACATGAAAGGTGCTCAACATCATTAATCCTCTAAGAAATACAAATTAAAATTACAATGAGATAGTACTTCACAACCACTAGGATGGCTAAAATTAAAAAGACTGAGAATACCAAATGTTGGCCAGAATGTGAAACAACTGGAACTCTCATACATTGCTAATGGGGATTAAAATGGAACAACCAATTAGGAAAACTAGCAGTTTCCTGGAAATTTAAACATACACTTACTCTATGACCCAGCAATTCCACTTTCAGATATTCTCCCAAGAGAAGTGAAAATGTATGTTCACACAAAACTTGTCCACAAATGTTCATAGCAGCTTTTGTCGTAACAGCCATACAGCTGGATACAACCCCAAATGTTCATCAACAGAAGAATGGATAAACAAACTGTGGTGTATTCATGCAATGGAATACTACTCAGTTGATATGTACAATAACATGGATGAACCTCAGAAACCGTATGCTGAATGAAACCTGCCAGGCACAAAAGGGTACACGTTATGTGATTTTATTTATTTGAAGTTCAAGACAGATCAAAGCAATCTATCATGATAGAAATCAGATCCACTATGGGTGGTGGGAATTTGCTGGAATGGGGCACAAGGGAACTTTCTGGGGTG
Organism: Homo sapiens; assembly: GCF_000001405.40. Taxonomy (NCBI): domain Eukaryota; kingdom Metazoa; phylum Chordata; class Mammalia; order Primates; family Hominidae; genus Homo; species Homo sapiens. The sequence continues at coordinate 32,280,354 of NC_000019.10, forward strand.
AGGGAAATTTCCATATCTTTTTTTATGTATTCAAGGGATACATATGCAGGTCTATTACCAGGGTGTATTGTGTAATGTTGGGCTTCTATTGAACCCATCACAAAAATTAACTCAAGTTGGATTAAAAACTTAAATGTAAGACCTCAAACTATAAAAATCCTAGAAGAAAATCTAGAAAAAAACTCTTCTGGACATTGGCCTAAGTAAAGAATTTATGACTAAGCCCTCAAAAGCAAATGCAACAGAACCAAAAATTGACAGTTGGTCCTCCATTAAACTAAAGAGCGTCTGCACAGCAAAAGAAATAATCAACAGAGGCCGGGTGCAGTGGCTCACGCCTGTAATCCCAGCACTTTGGCAGGCTGAGGCGGGTGGATCACGAGGTCAGGAGATCGAGACCATCCTGGCTAACACGGTGAAACCCCGTCTCTACTACAAAATACAAAAAATTAGCCGGGAGTAGTGGCGGGCGCCTGTAGTCCCAGCTACTTGGGAGGCTGAGGCAGGAGAATGGCATGAACCTGGGAGGCGGAGCTTGCAGTGAACCGAGATCGTGCCACTGCACTCCAGCCTGGGGGACAGAGCAAGACTCCATCTCAAAAAAAAAAAAAGAAATAATCAACAGAGTAAACAGACAACCTACAGAATGGGAGAAAATATTTGCAATCTATGCATCCAACAAGGGTCGAATATCTAGAATCTATAAGGAACTTAAACAACTCAGCAAGAAAAAACAAATAGCCCCATATCTTGATTGTGGCCTTGGTTCCAGCTGTATGGTTTTGTCACCACTTGTGGAATTGTACAATTAAAGTATGTGTATTTCACTGTACACAGACTTTAACTTCAATTTAAAAAATGTAAATACACATTCCACTTGTACTGAATCTTGCTAATGCAAGACTCCAGCGCCTTACTAAGTCTCAACGGTGTTTTCTGAAGTTCCCGGAGTAGACTATGTGTGCTCATGAACAAGTCCTTCAGGCTTCCGTGCAGCCCCTGCTGTCATTGTGGCTTCTGCAGGCTCCTGGGGCTTCCCAAGCATCCCTGACTTTCCTGGCCTGGCTGCTGCCTCCCTTCCACTGCAGTCTCCCCTGTCTGTTAGATCTGGCTCCTCACACCAAAAAAGCTGTGGTTATTTATCTGTGATGACAAGCCCCTAGCAGGTCACTCATAACTCTCAGTAGAAGACTCCCAAGCAGTGTTACTGTGAGAGTTCTGCCACCATAGTCATCATGTTTCTCTGTTGTTGGCCCCAATGTTTGATCGATTTTGCTGTTATTAATATTGTTTTTCTGGAAAACTGCTCTTTCAGCTTTTTCTTTTTTTTTTTTATTATTATACTTTAAGTTTTAGGGTACATGTGCACAATGTGCAGGTTAGTTACATATGTATACATGTGCCACGCTGGTGCGCTGCACCCACTAACTCATCATCTAGCATTAGGTGTATCTCCCAATGCTATCCCTCCCCCCTCCCCCCTCCCCACAACAGGCCCCAGAGTGTGATGTTCCCCTTCCTGTGTCCATGTGTTCTCATTGTTCAATTCCCACCTATGAGTGAGAATATGCGGTGTTTGGTTTTTTGTTCTTGCAATAGTTTATTGAGAATGATGATTTCCAATTTCATCCATGTCCCTACAAAGGACATGAACTCATCATTTTTTATGGCTGCATAGTATTCCATGGTGTATATGTGCCACATTTTCTTAATCCAGTCTATCATTGTTGGACATTTGGGTTGGTTCTAAGTCTTTGCTATTGTGAATAATGCCGCAATAAACATACGTGTGCATGTGTCTTTATAGCAGCATGATTTATAGTCCTTTGGGTATATACCCAGTAATGGGATGGCTGGGTCAAATGGTATTTCTAGTTCTAGATCCCTGAGGAATCGCCACACTGACTTCCACAATGGTTGAACTAGTTTACAGTCCCACCAACAGTGTAAAAGTGTTCCTATTTCTCCACATCCTCTCCAGCATCTTTCAGCTTTTTCTTAGACCCATCTTTCTTCCCAAGACGTGTGGCGGCTGGACCAGGACCAGTGATGAGCAGGAGACAATCTACTGTCCTTAAGACCACATCTCACTCCAGGGCTCACAGCCTTTCAAGGTCTTCCTTTGCAATGACATCCCTGCCCCACCCCACCTCTTGAGAAGACAGACCATCCTGGACCCTCTCCTTCTCCCATATTTCGATGTGGATACCCAAGGAGAGCTGATGTGCTCTTTTTCTTAATTTTTTTTTTATTTCAGTAGCTTTAAGGGTGCAAGTGGTTTTTTGTTACATGGGTGAATTTGATAGTGATGGAGTCGGGGATAGTGGTGAAGTCTGCACCCATCATCTGAATTGCACATTTTGTACCCAATAGGTAGTTTTTCACCCCCAAACCCCCTCCCACCCTCTCCCCTTTTGAGTCTCCAGTGTTCACCATATCACTCTGTCTGCCCTTGTGTACCCATAGCTTAGCTCCCACTGACAAATGAGAACATGCAGTATTTGGTAACTCCTGAGTTACTTCCCTTAGGATAATGGCCCCCCAGTTCCATTCAAATTGCTACAGAAGGCTTTATTTCATTCTTTTTTAAGGCTGAGTAGCATAACACGGTGTATATATACCACATTTTCTTTATCCTGTGATTGGTTGACGGATGCTTCAGTTGATTCCGTATCTTTGCAATTGTGAATAGTGCCGCAATAAACATACACGTGCAGGGGTCTTTTTGATATAATGACTTATTTTCCTTTGGGTAGATACCCAGTGGTGGGATTGCTGGATTGAATGGTAGATCTGCTCTTAGTTCTTTGAGAAATCACCATAAGCTCTCTCACAGAGGTGACACTAATTTACGTTCCCACCAGGAGCGTATAAGTGTTCACTTTTCACCACATCTGCCTGTTGCTGTTGCCCGTCCCACTAGACCTCTATGAGCTCCTCTTATCTCACCTGAGAAAATCTTATACTCCTTCCTATTATTCCCCAGTTTTTAGTAAAGTTCGTTAAACACAAGTTTATGCTAGCAGGGCTTTGGGGAAATGAGAGGAAGCCTGTCCACTTTGCCCCATGTGTAAACTCCAGACCTCTCCCCATTTCTCAAAGCCTTCCAAGCATGAACTGAGTGTTTCACAAACTTTACGAAAGACTGGGGATAATAGGAGGGAACATACAGCAGAAGAGGAAAAATTTAACATTGGACACCAGATCTCTTGATTCCATCAGCCAAAATCTTTTCTCCAGGGATCCCTGATTCCCTGGAAGATGACACACTGCAGGGGTCCTCTGTAATCCTCTTTCTCCCCTCTACCCAAGTTTTGTCAGGGGGATTCAAAAGCAAACAAAACAAACAAACCAAAGATCTCTGTTAATATTGCGTGATCTCAGTGAGAGGAGGCCCTGTCTGAAGTCTGTGCATCTCAGTTACCCACCGTGCTTTGACCCCCAGTGCTTCAGGGCCCCTCACTGCTCTCTACCTCAAAGTTGCAGACACAAGCTGCTGGGAGTTCTCAATGGACACATAGAGTCTCTTCCCACTTCTCCAACCCCTCAGCTTCAGGCATCACTGGGTTGAATAAACCTTGGTCCTCTCGACTCCTTCCCACTACCTCTCTGCCCCGGGCTGCACTAGGCTCCCAAGTCAGACAGCCGGGGCTGCAGCCCCTATCCCTTGCAATGAGTCTTCTCCAGGGAGGGCCCTCATTTTGGGGTATCAAGAGTGTCCACAGCGTGGATGCAGTGAACAGGTAACACTTATACACTGCTGGTGGGAATGTAAACTAGTACAACCACTATTGAAAACAGTGTGGAGATTCCTTAAAGAACTAAAAATAGAACTACCATTTGATCCAGCAATCCCACTACTGGGTATCTACCCAGAGGAAAAGAAGTCTTTATATGAAAAAGATACTTGCACATGCATATTTATGGTGGCACAATTCACAGTTGCAAAAATGTGGAACCAGCCCAAATGCCCATCAATCAACAAGTGGACAAAGAAACTGTGAGATATAGATATATATAGATATAGATATAGATATATATAATGGAATACTACACAGCCATAAAAATGAATGAATTATGGCATTTGCAGCAACCTGGATGAGATTGGAGACTATTATTCTAAGTGAAGTCACTCAGGAATGGAAAACCAAACATCGTATGTTCTCACTCATAAGTGGGAGGGAGCTAAGCTATGAGGACAGGACACAAAGGTATAAGAATGACACAGTGGACTTTGGGGACTCAGGGGGAAAGGGTGGGAAGGGCGTGATGGATAAAAGACTACAAATTGAGTGCAGTGTATACTGCTCAAGCGATGGGTGCATCAAAATCTCACACATCTCCACTAAAGAACTTACTCATGTAACCAAACACCACCTGTTCCCCAATAAACAATAGAAAATTTTTTTTTTAAATTTTAAAGAGTGCCCACAGGACACACACATCTTATGCTTAGCCTTGAACATCCAATGCCCCTATTTCAATAACTACCCTGTTGATGTTTGCATTGCTATGGCTGTGTCCATTTTACCTCACAATCAATTTTAGATGATTGCAGAACCAAAGCAAATGATTTGCAGTAGGGTTTGGGGTTTAAAGGTTTGGTTTAAAGGTTTGGTTTGGTTTGGATAGAGCTATGCTCTATCGTTGGGTTTTCAATGAGTAGCTAGGTGACCTCAGGCAAGCTACAGCAGATTACCTTGAAGTTACTTCAGCAAGTTACCCCACTATGCCTCATTTTTCCCATCTGTAAAATAAGGATAATAACAGGATCATGGGGTGGGGTGAGGATTAAATGAGTTAATATGTGGGAAGGGTATATAATCGAACAGTGTCTGCAACAGAGTAAGTGCTATTTAAACGTTTGTTACATAAATTATGAACATTATATAAATTGTCTTCATGGACTTCAAAAGCAGGACATGACATACGGTGGGAAATTAGTTGAAGAAACCAAAACTTGTATACGTTCTTTTAGATACGCCACTTGTGTGAATATTTTTAATTCAGCTAAGGGGTAAATTATATAGATGTGCCCACAAGGTTGCTTTTAGCTTAGTCAACAAGAGCAGAAGCTTCAAGATGGCAAATAAAACAACATCCAAGACAACGTTGAAAGAAAGGTGAATGATATAATTGGGGTCAAGCCGTCTTCAATTGAGGGCACTCTCTTGGCTCCACTTCCCCTCACTGTAAGAAATACAGCTGGAGGGATAAATACAAGGACACAGGCCCCAAAGATGTCTGAGTGGCCAGAGAAGAGAGACCCCCAAGGCTGGCTTGCAGGCTGCGGGGCTGGGGGCGGAGGCGGGGGAAGGACCTTCCTCGGTGTCCTCTTATGAGGCAGAGGGGACCAGACTATCCATCACAGCATCATAATGCTTAAGTGGCATGAAGTCGTAAAGCCCACAACGAAGCAGGGATGCTCCACTGCCAGCGGAATCTCTCTCTCTCTCTCTCTCTCTCTCTCTCTCTCTCTCTCTCTCTCTCTCTCTCTTTTCCCTTCCCCCAGTCCCTCCCCAACCCAACAGTGGAGGCAGGAGGCCCTGAGCAGCCAGCCCTCCAGCTCAGTCACTGGTCAGAGGGATCTCCTGAGGATGGGCTCTCTGCCCTGCCCAACAAGGCTACAAAGTCCGGGAGAAAGCAACGTCATTCGTTCATTCATCCACTCATTCATTAATTATGTACTGAGTGCCTATCACGTGTCAGACCCTGCCCCAGGCATTGGAAACATCAGAGACTCAAACCAAAATGCAGTACAGGCCAGCTGTGGTGGCTCACGCCTGTAATCTCAACACTTTGAGAGACTAAGGTGGGAGGATCGCTTGAGCTCAGAAGTTCGAGACCAGCCTTGGCAACATAGTGAGACCTCATCTCTACAAAATATCAAAAAATTAGCCAGGTGTGGTGGTGCATACCTGTGGTCCCAGCAACTCAGGAGTCCGAGGCAGGAGGATCGCTTAAGCCCAGGAGGTCGAGGCTATGGTAAGCTGTGTTCACACCACTGCCCTCCAGCCTGGGCAACAGAGTGAAACCCTGTCTCAAAAAAAAAAAAAAAAAACTGTAGTACAACCGCATAGTGAAATATTATCCAGCCTGAACAGAAAGGAAATTCTGAAACATGCTACGATGTGGATAAACTTCAAGGACATTATACTAAGTGAAGTAAGCCAGGCACAAGAAGACAAATATTCTGTGATTCCACTTATATGAGGTCCCTACAGTAGTCAGTTCTATAGACAGAAATTGGAATGGTGGTTACCAGGAGCTGAAGGCGGGGTGAACAAAAAGTTACTGTTTAATGCAATGGTCCCCACCCCAACTTTTGTGGCACCAGGGACCAGTTTCATGAAAGACAATTTTTCCACTGATGGGGCAGAGTGTGTGAGGGGGGAGATGTTTCAGGACGAAATTCTTCCACCTCAAATCATCAGACATTAGTTAAATTCTCATAAGGAGCACACAACCTAGATCCCTCGCATGCACAGTTCACAACAGGGTTCACGCTCCTATAAGAATCTAATGCCACTGCTGATTTGACAGGAGGCAGAGCTCAGGCGATAATGCTCGCTCGCCTGCCTCTCATCTCCTGCTATGCGGCCCATTTCCTAACAGGCCACGGACTGATACCGATCTGCCACCCAGGGGTTGGGGACCCCGGTTTAATGGTACAGAGTTTCAGTTTTGCAAGATGAAAATAGTTTTGGAGATGATGGTGGTAATAGTTGCACATTGCATAACAATGTGAATATACCTAAGACCACTGCACTATACACTTAAATATTGTCAGGATGATAAATTTAGCGTTATGTGTATTTGACAACCTTTTAAAGCAAAACAACAATAATTATGATGAAAGAAGGTGGAGCTTGAGTAAGCACTTGAAGGAGGTGGTGCGATTAGCCAAGCAGTCCCCTGGGGTAACAGCAGACCAGGCAGACGGAAGCAAAAGGGAAGAAGGCACTGAAGTGGGACCATGTGCTTGATGTGGTGAAGCCACTGCATCCCCCCAGACTTCATGCCACGCTGGTGACATTTTATGCAGAGCACAGAGAGTTAGGAGAGAGAACAGCACTTTGTGCTCCACAAAGGAAGAAGGTCCTTGAGCTATAAGCCCCAGAGGCTCAGTGGACTATGTTGATTTCATCAGCTTTGGTGATAAATAAGCTTTGTCATTCCCCAGTCTGCTAATAATTGGGTCTCAGACAAATCAGTGATCAAACTTTAAAAGACAGTCTGTGAACCACTAAATCCCACAGAAGAACAATTGCACAAAAGTTTACTGTAGCCATATGAAGGGAATTTTTATGAACCTTTTAAATCTGCTGATATACTTGGGAAGCAAGCGCATCGGTGGTGCGTTTAAAAGTCTATGTGGAAGTAAACATTTTACGGCATGTTTGGGAGGAAGGGAAAAGTTAGCCAAGATTCATATTTTTCTAGGGCAAATGAGGTCATGCACTGGGTTGTGGCTGATCTTCCCTCCCATGGGATCCTGTAAAGATTCGTGAAGGCCCCAGACACTGCTGTTTTGCTACTCCCGGAGATTTGTGGGATTTGGGTTAAACGCAATAGTAAGCATTCTTCCTCAAGACAGTCCAGGAGGCAACAGCCAGAAGATGGCGCCGTAGCTACGGAAACGAAGACAACAGTGTCCATGCGTGCCCTCCCACAGCCTGAGGACTTGGGACCCAGGAACTGAGGCAGATGCATCCAGAACGAGGCTGGACCTTAATGCCCAACTGGGGTCTAAGCAGCGGTCCCCAAGCTTGGTTGGCACAGTGGCTCACACATGCAATCCCAGCACTTTGGGAGGCTGAGGTGGGAGGATCGCTGGAGCCCAGGAGTTCAAGACCTGACTGGGCAAGACCCGGGTCTAAGCAGAAGGCAAAAAGAGACCCCTTCTTCCTTCTCCTGATCCACAGCCCTGCCTGGAGCTTTCAGCAGAAGCGTAATAGGATACCAGAGTTGCTCTGTGTTTCTGTGTGGTCTCAGCGGGAAGGCAGTCCTTGTTCAAGTGGACATTCGCCATTTAGACTGTTAAAATTGCTTCTTCCTCTCAGATCCTGGTTTTCTTTAAGGCACTTGTGTCCCCTTGTCCGGGCTTGACCCATCAGGATCCTTAACCCAGGCCCTGGAGGGAGCCCTCTCATTGCAGTCCTGGTGTCTGGACTTGCGGCTACCACACCACATGATGTCTCAAGCCACCCTGCTTCCTCTGTTTTTCCCAAGCTTTGTTCTCTTGCCTCTCTTGAGTTGTCTGGTAACCTTCCAGTAAATTGCCAACGTGCTGGTACTCACTGGAATTTGTTGCAGTTGCCTGTCAGCGAAGAATCTTGATGGGTAAAGATGGGTATAGCTCCAGGATGTGCTACTAAGACAAGCATCAGAAGTACTTGCACCACACATCTCCAGGCAAACACTCTGCCTCCAGAGGTCCGTGATGGTTAATACTGTCAACTGGATTGGATTGAAGGATGCAAACTATTGTTCCTGGGTGTATATGTAAGGGTGTTGCCAGAGGAAATTAACATTTGAGTCAGTGGACTGGGAGAGGGAGACCACCCTCAATCTGAGTGGGCACCATCTAATCAACTGCCAGCGTGGCTAGGATAAAAGCAGGCAGAGAGACGTGGAAGGACTAGACTGGCTGAGTCTTCCAGCCTCCATCTTTCCCCTGTGCTGGATGCTTCCTTCCCTTGAATATCAGACTCCAAGTTCTTCAGCTTTTAGACCCTTGAACTCACACCAGTGGTTTGCCAGGGGCTTTCGGGGGCCTTCAGCCACAGACTGTTGGCTTCCCTACTTTTGAGGTTTGGGACTCAGGCTAGCTTCCTTGCTCCTCAGCTTGCAGACAGCCTATTGTGGGACTTCACCTTGTGATCAAGTAAGTCAATTCTCCTAATAAACTCTCCTTTATATATTCATCTATCCTGTTAGTCCTGTCCCTTGAGAGAACCCTGACTAATACAAGGTCCTACTGAAAAATGGCCTACTGAATGGCCTACTGAAAAATGGTCAAATAAAGCCATGAGGAACTATGATTTCATTATTTCAAAAGACAGAAATAATCCTTGGGATTCTAAGCCTTCACAGAGACAGAGGATAGACCCTATGCTCTTGCTAGGACCCTTTCCCAAGCAGGATTCTCAGGTTAGAAGTGTCAGGAGCCATCAAAACCAAAAGGCTACTGTGCAGAATCCTAGATTTACTTTTATTTTATTTTATTTTTATTTTATTTTAATTGTAGTAAAACATACATGACATACAACTTACCGTTTTAACTATTTTTTAAGTCTAAAAAATGGCATTAAGTACATTCATATTGTGTGCAACCATGACCACCATGCATCTCCAGGGTTCCTTTCATCTTCCGCAGTTGAAACTCTGCACCCACTAAACGCTAGTTCCTCATTCCTCTTCCCCATCTCCAGGCCTGGGCAACCACTATTCTACTTTCTGTCTCTATGTATTTGACTACTCCAGATACCTCATATAAGTGGAATCATATAGTATTTGTCTTTTTGTGACTGGATTATTTCACTTAGCAGAATGTCCTCAGGGTTCACTGATGTTGTAGTATGAGTCAAAATTTCCTTCCTTGGCTGGGCATGGTGGCTCATGCATGCAATCCCAGCACTTTGAGAGGTAGAGGAGGGAGGATAGCTTAAGCCCAGAAGTTTGAGACCAGCCTGGGCAAGATAGGGAGACCCCATCTCTACAAAAAGTAAAAAAATGAGGTGGGTGTGGTGGCGCATGCCTTTGGTCTTAGCTACTCAATAGGCTGAGGCAGAAGGATCTCTTGAGCCTGGGAGGTCAAGGCTGCAGTGAGCCATCATTGTGTCACTACACTCAGCCTGGGTCACAGAATGAGACCCTGTCCCCCCGACCCAAAAAAAAATCCTTTCTATTCCAAGCTGAATAATAATCCCTTGTACAGATATATCACATTTTGCTTGCTCATTCGTCTGTCAATGGACACTTGAGCCACTTCCACCTTTTGGCTATTAGGAAGAATGCTGCTGTGAACATGGGTGTACAAATATCTGCTTCAGGCCCTGTTTTCAGTTCTTTTGGCTGAATTTACTCTTGAAGGCAGCTGAATGTGAGTTGCACAGCCTTGCCATTTTACAGGCAATCTACTTGAATAATGTCTATCTGAGCACTTCTCATGTGCAGGGCACTATGACAGGCTCAAGGGACAACAAGATGGATCTACATGGGCATGGGTCCTTCCCCAGGCCCCACCACGAAGAGAAGAGTCTCCGGCACAGAAACGTCAGGAATGATGCTTACCCAGCTCCCACAGGATCCCAGACAGGAGTGCAAGTAGCTCCTCTAGGAGCTCTGAGAACAGAGGGGCTGGCATGAGCTGGCGGGGCACTGGGGATGGGCCATGAAGGGTGTCAGGACATGGAGCAGCAGGAACCACCCTTCTCGTGGTAAGAGCCTGATTGTCCCATTAGACAAGCTCCAAGATAGGCCTTTCAAAGGCTCTCACCTGGAGTGCCCAAGGAGGCTTCTGCCTTGCACCCTCATGGGCAAGGACTTTACATGTGGTCTTGAAGGCTGGCAGCAAACCTCCCAGTGGATGTGATCTTGGGTAAGTTACCTATCTCACGTTAAGTTGACTGAGCCTCTATCACCTCATCTGAAAGCTCATAGAGCGATTGTGAGAACTCAGTGAAATCATGCGTGTTAATATTTTAGCTCAGTGACTGGCCTTAGGAATGCCCTGACACAGCATTGACTATTTCTCTCTAACCTACTAGCTCCATCTGAGCGAGAATTCTGTTTTGCTCATCACTGTATCCCTGGGAACTAGCATAGTGCCCAACACTTAGTAGGTACATAGTAACTATTATCAAATTTTCTAATCTTCACATTTAAGCCACCAAAAAAAGGTAGGCATAGGTGAATTTACAAAACAAAGTGTGTTATCTCTCAGCAAAAAATCACCCTGCTATGCACACTTCTCTAGCACTGGGGCTAGATGCCTGAAAACTGCATTTTCCATATTCTTTTGCTAGCTGACTGACTTTGGGCTAGGTTTCACTAATACAAAGCGCTGGGGATAAAAATGAAAGGCATGAGAAAAGGTGAAACTATTTTCCAGACGCTTCTGTGGCAGAAGTAGCAGTAGCAGCAGTGGAGGAGGGTCAGCAGGGAAGGGGACAGTAGCCAAGGCAGGAACAGTTGTGATGGCAGCAGCAGGCCAGAAAATGCAGGCTCAGGTTCCTGCTCAGGCAGCTCATCCTTAACAGCCATGGTCTCAGGGGCATCCAGCCATGGGATTGCAGCTTCCATAGCTGTTACTCATTGGGTAAATTCACTGCACCTTTTTTCCCTCCTGTCACTTTTCTGACACCTTTGTAACCAACTCCTTAGATTAAATGCCCTGTTTTGAAAGACCTGGGGGGTGTCTGACTGATGGGATTTGAACTGATACAGTTAACTCATTCTTGGAGCAAGTGTCTAGGGGAGTCAGGGCAGCCCTTCTCCCACGGCCATTCTAGCGATGGTCCCACCTTTTCATCTCTGCACAGGAGAGGCTGTTATGAAGAAGCCTCACAGTCTTCCAGGCCCCACCTGAGACATGCCAATTCACATGGTTAGGCTGGTTGTTCATTGCACAGAAGTGCCCTGCTAAGGGTACATGCGTAGCTGAGACCTGTTCTCCAAGCCTGTGCCCAGACTGTGGCACTCACCTTGTGGGTGAGGGAGGCCTTTCTCTAAGATATACATAGGTAGATGATAACCCTGCTGAGACAGGTGGGGCCAGCTCTTTTCCAAAAAGCTCAAAGCCCCTAGCGCCCTCCCAAACACCCGCAGGGTCGCTTTCTGGGCTGACTCGGACATTTCAGAGGAAAAGCATTTCGGTCAGGATTAAAGAATAATTCCACTTAGGCAGAGGCCAGGCCAGACTTAAGCAAATTCCAGACACAGCAGAGCTTCTGATGCGGCCTCAAACCTGGCTCTCCATTGCTCAAAACATCTCCAGGCCTCCCTCCTATTGTGTATGAGTTTCCACTGGGAAATTGACCTATTTCTGCCCTCACAAAGCTCCTCAGCAGTTGGACCTGCAGCAGCCAGAAATCTGTCTCCATGTCTCCTCTTACTAAATGAAGAACCCAGAAGACTGTACCAAGCCCCCCCTCCACCTCAAATCACTAGCTCCCCAGGCTGGGCCTTGGTAGCACCCACTGTTTTCCAGGCATCTGTGTCCACACTACATTTTTGAAGGGCTTCAGGTGCCTCTGATAAAATGCTATCAAATGAAAAAAGCCACCCATCTTTGGGCTCCCTAACCCTTGCAGAACTCAACATTTCTTTTCCTGTTGATGGGGAGAAGCAACACCACCCACTGAGTTCACTGAAACCGAGGCTTCCATATTCCCGCAGGAGAGTGCTCGTATGCTTAAAACCCTCGCCATATGTGTCGATTTAAATGGAAACCAAACGGGGAAGGATTCTGACGACAGTCTGTCACTGACTGGAGCGCTACTTCCTCCAGTTAATTTATGTCTTCCGTAATCACATTGAGGCTTTTTAAAAGGCTCTACCTGTGACGGCATTTTTTTTCCCCCATACGTTCACATTCAAAGGTCCCTGGCCCATGCGCTAATCGTCATTTTAAGACACCTCACGCTCCGAGCACTTTATCTTCCCAGCTCTTTACCTGTATTAATTAATTAGTGCTATAAATACAACCAGCACATGACTACTCTGGAGCTAATCAGTCACTGACACGGCTCAGGACCTGGAGGAAAATTAGGAAAATTGAATCTTTCCAAAAGTTGGGCCTATGCGAGGTAACTTAGTCAATCGTGTCCTGAGGGTCAGTGGGGACCAACTGATTTAGGCTCCGCCTGGGTAGAAAAGCAATTTCCTGAACAGCAAGTCAGCAACGCTAGTTAAAGTGATTCTGACCTGTTATAAGTAAAGCATGAATTCTGTTTTCCTGCTGGTTGGGTGCACGACCACTTACTGAGGGCCTGGTGCTGGCACAGCCCTCATCCTCGGCTGTACAAGGAATGTCAGAAGACAGTGTCAGGCCTTTCCCACTACCTTTTTATGGTGGAGTTAAAGAGAGCCACCATGCATTCTAGGGTTTGAAACATCAATCCCAAAAACCAAGCAAGGGAAATCAGGGGACTTGGGGTTGACATAAAGTATTAGAGATTCTCTGAGTCATTCAAAAAAATATTGAACATCTACGATGTGTTGCATGGCCAAGACGCTAAGATACTTGATGTCTATTCTTTCTTTTACTTATTTATTTGAGATAGGGTCTCACTCTATAACCGAGGCTGGAGTGCAGTGATGCAATCATGGCTCACTGCAGCCTCGACCTCCGGGGCTCAGGTGATCCTCCCACCTCAGCCTCCTGGGTAGCTGGGACTACAGGTGCACGCCACCATGCCTGGCTAATTTTAGTTTTTTGTTTTTTTGTTTTTTTGTTTTTTTTCGTAGAGATGGAGTTTTTGCCATGTTTTTCAGGCTGGTCTCGAACTCCTGGACTCAAGTGATCTCCTACCTTGGCCTCCCAAAGTGCTGGGATTACCAGCCTGAGCCACGTTGCCCAGCCTTGATACATATTTTTAAAGGGCTTACAGCCACTGAGGAAGACAGATTTGCAAACCACAAGAAACATACCCAAGAATCCACAATGCTCAGAATTCAAGGTGTAGAATATCCAACAAAAGGATATTCTTTTTTTTTTAATATTTTATTTCCTTAGGTTATTGGGGAACAGATGGTGTTTGGTTACATGAGTAAGTTGTTTAGTGGTGATTTGTGAGATTTGGGTGCACCCATCTCCCAAGCAGTACACACTGCACCCAATTTGTAGTCTTTTATCCCTCATCCGCTTCCCACCCTTTCCCCTTGAGTCTCCAGAGTCCACTGTGTCATTCTTATGCTTTTGCATCCTCATAGCTTAGCTCCCGCTTATGAGTGAAAACATACGATGTTTGGTTTTCCATTCCTGAGTTACTTCACTTAGAACAAAAGGATATTCTAAACTGCCCAATTTATCTGGTCATTGGCCTGCCTAGAAAGGAGGCTGGAAGAAAAGAACTCTTGATTCGATCATAGGCCTCGAGGACTCTTCTTAGTGCTATCCAGCACTGTTTATGTTTAGCTTGCACCTTCACTCTGAGTTTCTGGGTCCAAATTCCGGGTTTGGCCCTGGGGAGTTCTCCTCCACACTAAGCTTTGGCCTGGCCTACAGACCTCTTGTCCTGGGGCTGGCCTCCTTGTGGGTCACAGGCAAACAGGGCTAAATGGGAGTGAGATCTAGTGAGACTGAATCCCTGAGGCTGATCTAGGAACCTCATTTCTCTAGCTCAGTTTCTTAATTTCTTGTTAACTGCAAAATAAAGAGCTCATCTCACGCAGAGTTTTCACATGAAACAGGAGCTGCAGGCTGTTGTTTATATCTGTGAGTAGATCACAGATCTACTGCATCTCAAAAAATAAATAAATAAATAAAAATCAACAACAGTGTTAAGTTTAGTTTAAAAGAAGCCTTGAATGTACAGGGTGGGAGAGCTGGATTCTGCCTGATTAGGGTGGAGAGTGGAGGGGGTGGGCAGGAGGTCAAGAGGAATTTTGGAAGAGGTCCATTTCCAACAGGCAGGGTTAAGCAGTGCTAGGGGAGGGAACACTGCAGGGTACAGGAACCAATGTGGGCAAGGACAGGAATGGGCAGGGCATGCTGAGGAGTGATGAGTGGGAGCCCACTTTCAACACCCATCCCGAAAAGGCTCTCGGACTTCCGCACTTTATAGATTTCATTTCCTCCTTCAGTGTCCCAATCCCTCATTCCTCACCCAGTCAAGTGTCTTACAACAGCAGTGAAAGCAGCGACAGGTTTCCCTGGGAGCCAGCCTGCAGGGAAATGATCTCTTTATGTCTCCTGTGGCTTCCTGCCCTTCTGCACTCTCATGGTCCAGCTCTATTCTGAGGCAGTCCCTCTGGGTGGCTATGAATAGGTGTGTTTTATTCTTGCATCCTTGGTGCGACAAGCCACCCTCCGATAGTTTGCTTCTGCTCCTCATGAAAGAGTCCAAAATGTCCAAAGACAAGGGTTCCACCCATCCACATAGAAGGAAAAGTCCTACGACTGGACAAAGGCATTCTGAGCAGGTACAGGTTGAAGACTGTGAAATTGACCAAGGAAGGTGCCAATTTGAATTTTCTTAAAGTTTTTCACTCCACTGTAACAATGTATTCTCAGGCGAGAGGGGGCTCTAGACACCAAGTGGAGCTTGTGAGAGACACCCATTGAGGCTGTTCAGGAAACAGACACCACAGCCTGCCTGTGGATGCTTCCTCAAATTTCACCTTCTTGGAAAAGACACCATTCTGTTGGTGCACAGCCAAGGCCGCCTCTGCTTTCTGGAAGGTGACTCTCTCTTTTAGGGATCTTTAGGAATCCCAGCAACTGCCCTGTGCTGTGCACAAACCTCAACATCCACCAACACACAGAAATCCTGCTACCTCCTGGCCACTTTTCTATTCCACATCCCATAGCAAAAAAATTTATTGAAGTAGGATTGACAAACAGAAATTGTATATATTTAAGGTATACAACATAATGATTCATATATATATTTATATTTATATATATATATACATATAGTGAAAATATTTCCACAATCAAGCTAATTAACAAATCCATCACTTCCCATAGTTACCCTTTTGTGTGGGGGGTTGGGGGGGTGAGAACATTTAATATCTACTCTCTTAGCAAATTTCAAGTGTGTGATACATTATTATTAACTAGTCACCATGGTGACTATGGATTAGTCTATGGTTAGTCACCATTCTGTACTATGGTGACTATGGATAGTCACCATGCTGTACGTTAGATCCCCAGGACTTATCCATCCTATATAACTAAAATTTTATACCTTTTGACCAATATCTCCCCCTTGCTCCCACCCCTCTAGCCCCTGGTAAGCACCATTCTACTCTCTGTTTCTATGTGTTTAACTTGGTTAGATTCCACATATAAGTGAGGTCACGCGGTATTTGACTTTCTCTGCCTAGCTTATTCACTTAGCATAATGTCCTCCACATTCATCCATGTTGTGATAAATGGCAGGCTCTCCTTTTTTAAGGCTGAATAATATTCCATTGTACGTAAGTATGTCTGTGTACGTGTTGTATGTGTATGTGTGTATACACATGTGTATGTATATACACATACAACAGACATACATATACACATTGACATACAAGACACACACAGCAGTTTCTTTATCCATTTAACTATTGTCTTAGTCTTTTTTCTCTTGCTATAACAAAATACCACAGACTGGGTAATTTACAATAAACAAAAATTTATTGGCTTACAGTTTGGGAGGCTGCAAAGTCCAGTATCAAGGTGCTGGCATCTTGCAAGGACCTTCTTGATACATCATCCCATGGTGGAAGAGCAAAAAGGCAAGAATGGGTGAGAGAGGCAAAAGAAAGCCCAACTCATACTTTTATAAGGAACCTGCTTTCGCAATGATAAATCTACTCCCAAGATGGCAGCATTAATCCATTAATCCAATAGAATCCTCATGGCCTAATAACCTCTCATTAGGCCCCACCTCTCAACACTGTTGCATTGGGGATTAAGTTTCCAACACATGCTTTTCCAACACATTCAAACCATACCAACTGTCAGTGGACACTTCCAGATCTTGGCTTTTATGGATAAAGTTATTTCCAGATCTTGACTTTTATGGATAAAGCTGCAATTAAGTGGGAGTGCAGATATCTCTATTAGGTCATAATTTTCTTTTCTGTTTTTTTAGATGGAGCTTCACTCTGTCATCCAGGTTGTAGTGCAGTGGCACAATCTTGGCTGGCTGCAAACTCCACCTCCTGGGTTCAAGCCATTCTTCTGCCTCAGCCTCCCGAGTAGCTGGGATTACAGGTGCCCACCACCACACCTGGCTAATTTTTGTATTTTTAGTAGAGTCAGGGTTTCACCATGTTGGCCAGGCTGATCTCAAACTCCTGACCTCAAGTGATCTGCCTGCCTCAGCCTCCCAAAGTGCTGGGATTACAGGCATGAGCCACCGCACCCAGCCAACGTTGTAATTTTATTTCTTTCTGGGTCATATAGTAGTTCCATTTTTAATTGCTTTAGGAACCTTCATACTATTTTCCCTAATGGCTACACCAATCTACTTTCCCACTAACAATATACAAGGGTTCACTTTTCTCCACATTCTTGCCAACACCTATCTCTGCCTTTTTGATAATAGCCTTCCTAACAGCTATGAGATAATATCTTATCGTGATTTTGATTTGCAGTTCCCTGACAGTGATGTTAAGCACCTTTTTATATGCCTGTTGGCCATTATGTCTTCTTTGGACAAATGTCTATTCAGGTCCTTTGCCCATTTTAAAATCAGGTTATTTGTTTTTTTACTATTGAGTTATTGAGCCCTTTATATATTTTGGATATTAACCCTTTATCAGATATATGGCTTGTAAATATTTTCTCCCAATACATATGCTACCTTTTCATTTTGTTAATTGTTTCTTTACTGTGCAGAAGCTTTTCAGTTTGATATAGTCCCATTTATTTAATTTTCTTTTATAGCCTGAGCTTCTGGTGTCATATCCAAAATAATCATTGCCAAGACCCATGTGAAGAAGCTTTTCCCCTACATTTTCTTTTAAGAGTTTTATGATTTCAGGCCAGGCGCGCTGGCTCACGCCTGTAATCCTAGCACTTTGGGAGGCCGAGGCAGGTGGATCACAAGGTCAAAAGATCAAGACCATCCTGGTTAACATGGTGAAACCCCATCTCTACTAAAAATACAAAAAATTCACCGGGCGTGGTGGCACGTGCCTGTAGTGTAGTCCCAGCTACTCAGGAGGCTGAGACAGGAGAATCACTTGAACCCAGGAGGCAGAGGTTGCAGTGAGCTGAGATCATGAGATCATGCCACTGCACTCCAGCCTGGGCAACAGAGCAAGACTCCGTCTAAAAAAAAAAAAAAAAAACGAATTTTATGATTTCAGGTCTTATGTTTAAGTCCTTAATCCATTTTGAGTTGATTTTTGTGTATGGCATAAGAATAAGGATTCATTATCATTCTTTTGTATGTGAATATTCAGTTTCTCCAGCAACATTTAATGAAGTGATTGTCCTTTCTCATTGTTTATTCTTGTTGTTTTTGTCAAAGATTAGTTGATCATATACTTGTGAGTGAATTTCTGGGCTCTCTATTCTGTTCCATTGATTTATGTTTCTGTTTTTATGCCAGTACCATACTGTTTTGATTACTATAGCTTTGTAATATAAGTTGAAATCAGAAAGTTTGATGCCTGCAGCTATGTTCTTCTTTCTTAAAACTGCTTTAGCTATTTGGGATCTTTTGTGGTTCCTACAAATTTAAGATTGTTTTTTATATTTCTATGAAAAATGCCATTGGAATTTTGATAGGGATTGCACTGAAATTTTAGGTCACTTTGGATATATGGACATTTTAATAATATTAATTCTTCCAATGCATAAAACACAGGATATCTTTCCATTTATTTGTGTCTTCTTTAATTTCTTTCATCAACATTTTATAGTTTTCAGTGTACAGATCTTTCACCTCCTTGGATACATTTAGTCCTAAGTATTTTATTCTTTTTGATGCTGTCATAAAAGGAATTTTTTTTAATTTCTTTTTCTAGTAGTTTGTTTTTAGTGTATAGAAACAATTGATTTTTGTATGTTGATTTTGTATTCTGCAACTTTACTTAATTCATTTATTCTAACAGTTTTTTGGGGATGTCTTTAGGGTTTTCTATATATAAAATCATGTCATCTGCAGAGAAAATTTAACTTCTTCCTTTCTGATTTGGATGCCTTTTATTTCTATTTCTTGCCCAAGTGCTCTAGCTAGAATTTCCAGTACTTTGTTGAATAGAAGTGGATAGAGTGGACATCCTTGTCTTATTCCTGATATTAGAGGAAATGATTCAGCTTTTCACTGTTGAGTTTAATGTTATCTGTGGGCTTGTCATATATGGCCTTTATTATGTTGAGGTGCATTCCTTCTACACCTAATTTGTTGAGAGTTTTTATCATGAAATTATGTTGAATTTTGTCAAATGCTTTTTTGCTCTTATTGAGACGATCATATGGTTTTTATCTTTAATTCTGTTAATATCATGTATCACATTTATTGGTTCGTGTACATTGAACTATCCTTGCATCCTGGGGATAAATTCCATTTGATCATGGTATATGAGTTTTTGTGTGCTATTGAATTCAGTTTGCTAGTATTTTATTGAGGATTTTGGCATTTATTTTCATCAGAGATGTTGGAAAGTAATTTTTTCTTATAATCTCCTTGTCTGGCTCCTCTATTAGGTAATGCTGGGCTTCTGAAATGAGTTTGGAAGTATTTCCTTTTCTTCAATTTTTGGTAGAGTTTGAAAATTGCTATAAATTCTTTTTTTTAAGTTTGGTAGAATTCACCAGTAAAGCCATCTGTCTATGGGCTTTTCTTTGCTGGGAGATTTTTCATTACAGATTCAATTTCCTTGTTTTTCATTGATCCATTCATATTTTCTATTACTTTATAATTCAGTCTCAATATGTTCTATTGTTTCTCTAATCACTATTTCATTTATTTCTGCTCTGATCTTTGTTATTTCCTTTCTTCTGCTTACTTATGTTGGGCTTAGTTTGTTCTTTTTCTAGTCCCTTGAGATAAAGTTAAGTTGTTTATTTGAGATCTTCACTCCTTCTTAATGTTAAGTAAGTATTTATCGATAAAAATTTCCCTCTTAAACTGCTTTTGCTGCATCCCATAAATTTTGGTATATTTCATTTCCATTTTGTTTATCTCAATTTTTTAAAAAAATTTCTTCTTTAACCCATTGGTTGTCACTATGATCTGAATATTTGCATCCCCCTTGAAACCCTAACCAATACCAATATGGTATTGGGCGGCGGGTGGGAGGCCTTTGGAATGCAGAGCCCTCATGATTAGGATTAGTGCCCTTATAAAAGAGACGTCACCAAGCTAGCTAGCCCCTTCCTCCATGTGAAGTTACAGTGAAAAAACATTAGTCTATGGAGAAAGCAGGCCCTCACCAGACATTGAAACTTTCATTGCCTTGATCTTGGACTTAACCTCCAGAACTGTGAGAAATATGTTTATTGTTGATAAGCTACCTAGTTTATGCTACTTTACTAGAAATGCCTGAGCAACCTAAGACAGTTGTTCAGAAGTGGTGTTCAATTTCCACATATTTGTTAATTTTTCCAGTATTCCTCTTGTTGTTAATTTCTAGTTTTATACCACTGTAGTCAGAAGAGATACTTAATATGATTTCAATATTCTTAACATTTTTCAAGACTTGTTTTGTGACCTAACATATGATCTATCCTAGAGAATATTCCATGTGTGCTTAACAAGAATGTGTATTTGGTTGCTGTTGGATACAGTGTCCTGTATATGTCTGTTAGGTTTATTTGGTCTAAGGTTCAGTTTAAGTCCAATGTTCCTTATTTATTTTATATCTGGATGATCTGTCTGTTTTTTTAAAATGGGGTATTGAAGTTCCCCTTCTATTATTGTATTGCTGTCTATTTCTCCCTTCAGATCTGTTAATATTTGCTTTATATATTTAGGTGTTCCAATGCTTAAGGCATATATATTGTCATATTCTCTTGATAAATTGATCCCTTTATCATTATATAATGACCTTATTTGTCTCTTGTGACAGTTTTTTACTTAAAGTCTATATTTTTCTGATTTACCTATAGCCACTCCTGCTTTCTTTTGGTTACCATTTGCCTAGAATATATTTTTTCATCCCTTCACTTTCCGTGTGTCTCTTGTAGGCAGCATATAATTAAATCTTTTTTTTTTTTTGAGACAGAGTCTCAGTCTGTTGCCAAGGTTGGAGTGCAGTGGCATGATCTTGGCTCACTGCAACCTCTGCCAACCAGGTTCAAGCGATTCTCCTGCCTCAGCCTCCCGAGTAGCTGGGATTACAGGTGCCTGTACCACAGCACCTGGCTAATTTTTGTAGTTTTAGTAGCGATGGGGTTTCACCATCTTGGCCAGGCTGGTCTTGAACTCCTGACCTCGTGATCCACCTTCCTCGGCCTCCCAAAGTGCAGGGATTACAGGCATGAGCCACGGTGCCTGGCAAAATTAAATCTTTTTTAAAAAAATCCAGTCAGCCACTGTATGTCTTTTGATTGGAGAAATTAACCCACTTACATTTACAGCAATTATTGATAGGTAATTACTTCCTATTCCCATTTTGTTAATTGTTTTCTAACTATTCTGTAATTTTGTTTCTTTCTTCCTCTCTTGACATCTTCTTTTGTGATTTGATGGTTTCTATAATGGCATGCTTTGATTTCTTTCTTTTTATCTTCTATGTATCTACTAAGGCTTTGCTTTGTGGTTACCATGGGGCTTACATGAAACATCTTATAATTAGATAAATCTATTTTAAGCTGATAACAACTTAACTTTGATCACATACAAAAACTCTACACTTTTACTTCTCTCCTCACATTTTATGCTTTTGATGTCACAATTTACTTATTTTTATATTGTGAGTCCATTAACAAATCATTGTAGCTATAGTTATTTTTCATACTTTTGATTTATACACCACCATTACAGTATACAAGTATTCTGAATTTGAGTACAGATAGTCCCTGACTTACAATAATTCAACTAATGATGCTTCAACTTTACAGTGGTCCAAAAGCAATACACACTTAGAAAGAAAAATAAAACAAAACAAAAAATTTCAGTATAGTATTCAAGCAATTACATGAGATATTCAACACTACTATAAAATAGGCTTTGTGTTAGATTATTTTGCCCAACTTTAGGCTAACATAAGTATTCTAGATATGTTTAAGCTATAACATTCAGTGAGTTGAGTGTATTAAATGCATTTTCAACTTATAATGTTTTCAACTTTTGATGGTTTTATCAGGACATAACCCCATCATAAGTCAAGGAGCATTTATATATACTTACCTTTACCATTAAGTTTTATACTTTTATACGTTTCATGTTACAAATGAGTGTCCTTTCATTTCAGCTTGAAGAATTTCTTCAGTTGTTTTTTTTTTTTTTTTTTAGACAGAGTCTCGCTCTGTCACCAGGCTGGAGTGCAGTGGCATGATCTCGGCTCACTGCAGCCTCCACCTCCCAGGTTCAAGTGATTTCTCCTGCCTCAGCCTCCCACGTAGCTGAGACTACAGGTGTGTGCCACCACGCCTGGCTAATTTTTGTATTTTTAGGAGAGATGGGGTTTCACTATGTTGGCCAGGATGGTCTTGATCTCCTGATCTCGTGATCCACCCACCTCGGCTTCCCAAAGTGCTGGGATTATAGGTGTGAGCCACCGCACCTGGCCTTCTTCAGTATTTCTTATAAGGCAGGTCTAGCAGTGATGAACTCCTCCAGTTTTTGTGTGTCTGGGAAAGTTTTTATCTCTCCCTCATTTCTGAAGGATAGCTTTTCCAGGTAAATTGTCCTTAGTTGGTAGGTTTTTTTTCTTTTAGCACATTGAATACAATATATTTGACTATATCCTACTCTCTCCTGGTCTGCAAAGTTTTTGCTGAGAAATCTGCTGATAACCTTATGGGGGTTCCCTTGTATGTGACCCATCTATTTTCTCTTGACTCTTTCAAAATTCTCTTTGTCTTTGATTTTTGACAATTTGACTACAGTGTTCCCCACTGAAGTCTTCTTTAGATTGAATCTGTTTGGGGACCTTTGATCACCATGTATGTGGCTGTCCATATCTCTCCCACTATTTGAAAAGTTTTAGCCATTATTTCTTTAAATAAGCTTTTGCCCCTTTCTCTCTCTCTTTTCCTTGTAAGATTTCCATAGTGTGGAAATTTTATTTCTCTTGGTGATGTCTCATTAATTCTGTAAGTTTTCTTCATTCCTTTTCATTCTTTTTTCTCCTCTGACTGGATAATTTCAAATGACCTGCCTTCAAATTCACATATTCTTTCTTCTGCTTGATCAAGCCTGCTGTTGAAGCTCTCTATTGCATTTTTGCATTCCATTCATTGTTTTCTTCAGCCCCATAATTTCTGTTTGGTACTTTTGTGATTTCTTTCTCTTTGTTGAATTTGTTCGGTTCATGTATTATTCTTCTGATTTCATTGAGTTGTCTATCTGTATTCTCTTATAGGTAGGTGAGCTTTCTTAAGACAATTATTTTGAATTATTTGTCAGGCACTTTTTATAGATCTTCATTTCTTTGGGGTCAGTTACTGGAAAATTACTGTGTTCCTTTGGTGGTGTTATATTTCCCTGGTTGTTTGTTTGTTTGTTTTTTATGTTCCTTTAAGTCTTGCATTGATGTCTTTCCGCTTGAAGAAGCAGTCACCCCTCTGACTTGCTTTGGGAGACAAATGCCTTCACCAGTAAACCTGATTAGAAATTCCAAGCCCTCTCAGACATTTTTAATGAAAGCATCCATTCCACCCTTCTTGTTTCCTCTTAGGTTGGATGGAATTCTTAAGATTGTATGCCTTCTTTCAATTTTAAAGCCATGCTGGGTGTTGAGAACCTCCCTCATTTCCCATATGACAGTGTTTTGAAATGCTTAAATTTGTGTGCCTTCTCCCAATTTCCCAGAGTCAAGCTGGCTGACTATACATGCTTGTTAGCCAACTGCAAAGGCTAACACTCACTTTCCAGGGGTACACACAGGGAGCCAGCCATGGGTGGAGAGATAGGTGAGGTGTTTGGAGCATTGAGGTGTCCATGGGTCAACTGGAGGATCTGCAGGTGAGGCATCCCAAACAGCTTGTGGGCAGGCTTCCTGATGGATTCTGCAAAGCAGTTAGTAGGATTGTGGCCCTTTGTTGAGTCCCATGTCCTAGTTACTGTGAGTCTCCACCTCTTTTTCCTACTCCCAGCTTCTCCCAGCTACTCACCATACTTATGTCCTCAGTATTCTAGACAAGTATGACAGGCAAGAAAAAGATGAGCCTCTTGGACAGCATTCCACGCAGCTGTGGAACCTGGGCACTCACTCATTGCTCTCATTTTTTCCTGTGGGAGGAATTGCAGGTGAGGGAATCTCTTCTGTCATTGAGCTGTGACCCCATGGTGGAGGGAAGATGCTGGTAAAGTAAAGATGTTCTTACCCTCTTGAATGCATCTGTTCTCAGATTTTATGATTCAACTGTGTGCTGGAACTTCTCCCACTGGACTCTCAGATTCCCACAGAGGTACTCTTATCTTTGGGTGACTGTCAAAATCAGTGCCCTATAGATAAATGATGATAGAAAATTCCTATTCCACCATCTTGCTGACATCATTGTCTTCCATTTGTTTTCTGTTCTGAAGTTTCCTATGCTCTCTAGGGCTGCTTCTCAAGGCCACCTGCCCACATCATTGGTGCCTTCTCTCAACTGCCCATGGTTTCTGCAAGATTGCCCATGAAACTGTGTTGTAGTCCAGCTCTTATGCTCTCAGAACAAGAAACCTAGAATAATAAAAATACCAGATTTAAGCCCAGAATCCACTTCAGCAGCACTCAGATCTTCCAAATGAAGAAAGCTAATTATCTGCACCCACTCTTCCTTAAAACAGCAACATTCAAAAAGAAGTGAGCAGCTCCTCTCCAAAGATGTGTAAGCAGAGGCACAGGAACTATCTGTTCTCAGCCAAAGATATTCTAGCCTTGTGCTACTACCAATGTGGTCCATGGACCAGCTGCATAAGCATCACCTGGGATGCATCAGAAATGCAGAATCTTGTTAGAAATGCTCCCTCCACTCCAGATCTACTGAATTAGAGTCTGCACTTTATCAAGATCCCCAGATGATGCATGTACATATTAAGGGTTGAGAAGTGTTAGTTCCCAGCCACAGCAGCACATTAGAATAACCTTGGCAACTTTAGTTTTTAAACGTCAACACCCAGGCCCCATCCACAACCAAGTAAATCAGACTCTCTGTGAGTGGGGCCCAGACATCTGAATTTTAAATGTTCCCAATGGGATTCTAATGTGGCCTGAGTGAGAACTTCCCATGAAGATTCCTTCACTTCATACCCAGCTAGACTTGAGAAATTTTCCTTCTCTTCTTTGTTGCTTTTTCATAGGTAATATGTGCACATAACTTTTTTAAAGTCAAAGAATATAGGCCGGGCATGGTGGCTCATGCCTGCAATCCCAGCACTTTGGGAGGCCGAGTCGCGCAAATCACTTGAGGTCAAGAGTTTGAGACTAGCCTAGCCAAAATGGTGAAACCCCGTGTCTACTGAAAATAAAATAAAATAAAATAAATTAGCCAGGTATGGTGGTGCACGCCTATAGTACCAGCTACTTGGAAGGCTGAAATGGGAGGATCACTTGAACCCGGGAGGCAGAGGTTGCAGTGAGCCAAGATCTCACCACTGCACTCCAGCCTGGGTGACAGAGAAGACTCTGTCTCAAAATAAATAAACAAATAAATAAGTAAATAAATAAAAGTCAATATAAACTAGTGTACAGTGAAAAGAAAGTCTCTCTCCATCTCTAAATTTTAGTGCCCCAATTTCCTCTCCAAAATCAACCACTGTTACCAGTTTTTGTGTCTGTGTGTGTGTGTGCCCTTCCAGAGCTTTTCTGCTTTGCTTTTTTCTTTTCTTTTTTTTTTTTTTTTTTTTTTTGAGACAGAGCCTTGCTCTGTTGCCCAGGCTGGAGTGCAGTGGCGTTATCTCAGCTCACTGCAACCTCCACCTCCCAGGTTCAAGCTATTCTTCTGCCTCAGCCTCCTGAGTAGCTAGGACTACAGGCAAGTGCCACCATGCTCAGCTAATTTATATATATATATATATATATATATATATATATATATATATATATATATATAATTTTTTTTTGTATTTTTAGTAGAGACGGGGTTTCACCATATTGCCCAGGCTGGTCTCAAACTCCTGACCTTGTGATCCTCCCACCTCTGTCTCCCAAAGTGCTGGGATTACAGGCGTGAGCCCCCGCGCCTGGCCCTCCCAGAGCTTTTCTATGAATGATCAAACACAATCAAGTACAGACACCCTTCTTCTTTATATATAGTAGTATTATACTATATATGCTGTTCTGTATCTTGCTATTTTCACTCAACACTCTATCTTAGACATTGTCCCACAGCAGTAATTGTGTCTCAATTCTTTTTGACAGATACATACTATTCTATTGTATCAATGTAGCATCATTTATTAATCAATCTCCAATTAATGTACATTCAGGATATTTCCAATTTTTTCTTACTACAAATAATCTGCAATGAATAATACATAAAACAGTACACACTTAAGTCACTCTTTCCCTCTTTTCCTACTTTTTTTCAAAGCACTCGTCAACACCACCTCAGGGTAGCCACATCATTTATCATACAGACTGGAACACTTCTTTTTTTTTTTTTTTTGAGATGGAGTCTTGCTCTGTCTCCCAGGCTGGAGTGCAGTGGCATGACCTCGGCTCACCACATCCTCCACCTCCCAGATTCAAGCAATTCTCCTGCCTCAGCTTCCCTACACCTGTAGCTGGGACTACAGGTGTCCACGACCATGCCCAGCTAATTTTTGTATTTTTAGTAGAGACAGGGTTTAACTATGTTAGCCAGGCTGGTCTTGAACTCCTGACCTCAAGTGATCTGACCACCTCAACCTCCCCGAGTGCTGAGATTACAGGCGTGAGCCACCGTGCCTGGCCCAGACTGGAACACTTCTGAGAGCAGAAAGGGGCACTAACAGTTCTACTAGAACATACCTATGACTATGCCAGGCAACTGGGATACATGGGCATCCTATATGATTTATTATGCATTCCCTATTTATTTCTTTATTGTCTGCTTCTCCCACTCGAATGTAAGCTCCTGGAGGGTAAAAACTAGTCTGTCTTCCTCATAACTGTTTCTCTAGAGCCCTGAACAGTGCCTGGAATGCAGTGGTACCTCATTAAATGTTTGATGAATGACTAAACGAATTAAAATTAAATATCTCTGAATAGCATCATTAGCACATGTGTAAGAATATCATTAAGATAAATTCCTAAAAGTTGAATGATTGCATCAAAAGGTATGTGCTTTTTTTTTTTTTTTTTTTTGAGATGAGATCTCACTATGTTGCCTTGGCTGGATTGGCTCTGAACTCCTGGGCTTAAGCTATCCTTCTGCTTCAGTCTCCCAAGTAGCTGGTAGTATATGCATCTTATATTTTAGTAAATATGACTGTATTGTACTCCATGGAGTATGTACTAATTAGCACTCCCACCAACAATGAGAGTGGGACATCTCCCTCCCTCAATCTGCATGGCCTGCGTGTGTGCATGTGTGTGCAAATGTGCATGTGTGTGCAAATGTTCACGTGCTCACACATCCATACTCAGTGTGCTCCACACACAGGCACACAGAGACCTGCTACCACAGTGCTGCCAGGACAAGCACTGAAACTTCTGACTCCCCAGGGACACAGATTCTGGTGCTGGGAGAGGAGAAGGAGGCCCCTCACACTCTCGATCAAGGGTGTTTGTTCATCCTCTCTTCTCTCCCCGCCACCGTACACTTCCCAGACAGGATCAACATTTGCAAATTACCTTCCAGGACTCTGACTATGAGACACAGCATGGCAGCACCTAGTTCAGGCCTAGCTCAATAAATGTTTAATTAATTAATCAATCAAGCCAAATCAAAGATTAGGTTGATTATCCAGATATCTTTATCTATGTGGAAGTAGGCAACTGGTTAATTGCTTTTTCTCTTTTGTAAAATTTTGTACTGAAATGATAATAATATATTTGAGAATTGCACAGATATGACCTCAAAGGTCAAAAGCCTGGTAAGTATGAAATATTCCCAGGGTGTCCCCAGGGGCAGACTGCTGCGAAAGCAATTATCATTATCCTAGGAGTCAATGCCTTGGTGTTGCCATGATGCTGAGGTAGAAAATTCTCTGGCTTATGATGGAATAACTAAAATCCACAAATATGGTCTGTTACAGGAAGGGGTTCCGATCCAGACCTCAAGAGAGTGTTCTTGGATCTCGTACAAGAAAAAATTCAGGGAGAGTCCACGGTGCAAAGCAAGTTTATTTAAAAAGTACAGGAATAAAAGAATGGCTACTCCATAGACAGAACAGCCCCAAGCACTGCTGGTTGCCCATTTTTATGGTTATTTCTCGATGATATGCTAAACAAGGGTGGATTATTCATGCCCTCCCCTTTTTAGACCATAGAGGGTAACTTCCTGACGTTGCCATGGCATTTGTAAACTGTCATGGCGCTGGTGGGAGAGTAGTGGTGAGGATGATCAGAGGTCACTCTCATAGCCATCTTGGTTTTGGTGGGTTTTAGCCAGCTTCTTGACTGCAGCCTGTTTTGTCAGCAAGGCCTTTATGATCTGTATCTTGTGCTGACCTCCTGTCTTATCTTGTGACTTAGAATGCCTTAACCATCTGGGAATACAGCCCAGTAGGTTTCAGCCTCATTTTACCCAGCCCCTACTCAAGATGGGGTTGCTGTGGTTCATACGCCTCTGACGATTTTCCCCACTGTGGCTGTCCATACATATGCTGATCATGAGGACAAAGGAATGGGTTATTGCATAAGATTCTTAACCGTGCCTCTCCCTGTGGGATTCCAGCAGAATCTGGGCATGCCACAGCTCTGTGAGAAAATATTAGGTTGAGGCCGGGTGCAGTGGCTCCTGTAATCCCAGCACTTTGGGAGGCAGAGGCAGGTGGATAATTTGAGGCCAGGAGTTCAAGACCAGCCTGGCCAACATGGCGAAACCCCATCTCTACTAAAAATACAAAAATTAGCCAGGCGTGGTGGCACGCATCTGTAGTCCCAGCTACTCAGGAGGCTGAGGCAGGAGAATCGCTTGAACCCGGGAGGCGGAGGTTGCAGTGAACTAAAATCGCACCACTGCACTGCAGTCTGAGCAATGAAGTAAGACTCCATCTCATAAAAAGAAAAGAAAAAGAAAAAAAAGAAAATATTATGTTGGGTAAAGTGTAGGAAAGTGAAAATCTGGTCATCAAACAACTGCAATGAGGAGAGATGCAGTGTGGTTACTGTGCTTCATAGATTTCCCACGGAGAGTGGTGATTTCTACGAAACCCCATCCAAGAGCCCTGTGGGCATCCCATGTTCGTATCCCTAAGTTCCTCATGTCGTCACTTAAGAGCCATAAATTATCTGCCTTACTTTCATTTACAGATCAGAAGGTGCTAAGATTTTTGTGCCATTGCATTTTGCTGCAGGAACTAGACTAGGGCTTTTTGGATATTAATCTGGTTAAAATTGTGCTCTTGGCGGATTTGGGATGGAATAAAATAACAGCATCCCGAGGGCCTTCTCTGCAAAATCCACAACCAGGCGCCCAGGGCGGATACATCCAGAACCTGCCACTCCCCTGTCGCCGGCAGCAGCTCAGTCTAAACTGGCCCGGGACCTCCGGAAGGTGCAGTCTGCAGAGCGGGAAGCCCTAGCAGGTTCAATACAACTAGAAATTTTGGGGTAACTTCCAGAAGCTGGAAAAAATAATTCACAAGTTCCCCTTACTTTCTAAAGATTTGCCTTTGATTTTTAAAACGCTCTTTTGGGTCGAGTTGGATCACTCACTCACACATTCGTCTGGGAGGCAGTGATCTGGCAGCAGCCCATGCCTCAGAGGCTGCCAGGAGGACTCCAGCGGCTCATCGAGGCCTCCGATTCCTTGCAGTCTGAGCCGGAGCGCAGAGATGCGTGATCCCGACCATAAGCGCTGCCTTCACAGGCTGTCGGGGAGTGTGAACCGGGGACAGCAGAGCTGGCTGGCAGCCCCGCAGTAGCCACTTCCTCCTCCACCCGCACGATGCAAACACTCAGAAAGATCAATAGCTGTTGCTTCAGAATTTCCCTCTGCTCAACGTTGTCAACACATGTTCAGCCACACTCAGTGTGTGTATAAGTCCACAAATACCCGAGCCAACAAACACATTGATCACACGTCGATCTTCACGGTCGACTCAACACCTTTCAATGGTGCAACACATCCCAGCGGAGGGCAAACTTGGGCCCAGCTAAGGATGGATGCCCGCAGGCTCCCAAGGGGTCCAAGTCTAATCAAGATTCACTAAGGCTTTGGGGATGCTAATCTGGGGACATTGCAACCATGCAGGGACATTTGTGCCATCTTCAGGCCCGGATCGCTTATGAGGGAACATGCCTCCAGGGTCTGGATAACAGATCACATATCAGAAAGCACAGAAGTAGGCCAGGCACAGTGGCTCACACCTGTAATCCTAGCAATTTGGGAGGCCAAGGCGAGTGGACCACTTGAGGCCAGGAGTTCAAGACCAGCCTGGGCAGCATGGTGAAACCCCATCTCTACTAAAAATACAAAAATTAGCCAGGCATGGTGGCACATGCCTGTAATCCCAGCTACCCGGGAGGCTGAGGCAAGAGAATCACTTGAACCCAGGAGGCTGAGGCAAGAGAATCACTTGAACCCGGGAGGTAGAGGTTGCAGTGAGCCGAGATCACGCCACTGCACTCCAGCCTTGGCAACAGAGCGAGATCTGTCTCAAAAAAAAAAAGAAAAGAAAAGAAAAGAAAAGCACGGAAATAGTGTCCAGAGAGGCAGCACCTGGAGGCATGGGCTCTAGAACAGGCATATGCCTTCTGGAGAACTCATGTTTTTAGCCATGACGCGTCTTCCATCAAGTGCCACAGGACGACCTCTTAACAGGTGGCAGCTCCAGAACAACTCGGTTCCAAATTACCTGTGTCTGTCTGTGTTAAAAAGAAGAGGCAGCACTGTCTTTCCTGGGGACTCTAACCAACAGCCTCATGAGCACTATGGAAGGAACCCAACTTTGGCAATACATAGGCTTGGGGTCCAGCTCTGGCTGTGCCGTAAATAGCTGGGTAGCCTTGACCAGGTTTCAGAACCCCTTGGAGCTTTGATTTCTTAATCTCTAAAATGGGGATGATAGCATTCACTCCCTCTAGTTTGTTGTGGGAATTAAAGAAGACGCGTATAAAACGTTTAGGACTCAACAGGAGGGCGGCACGTAGAGGGGCAGGAAGAGGCCAACAGTCAACCCACTGTGCAGGGAAACTCGGCCTTCCTGTGGTCTTTCCTCCTGCAGGGCAACCTTCCCCAGGACCCTCTGGAAAGCAGAGGTCAGACCAATGTGCTTCTGTAAAGTATCATAGCCTTGAGATTGACCTTGAACGTAAGAGTGCATCATGGACATGCAGTGAGATTGGGGATAAGGTAGTGCATGGGCAGCATGCAGAGGAGGCTTGGGTTGGGAGGAATAAGAAGAAAACCTTGTGCTAAGTGCACCCATCCCACACACGCAGCTCATAGACAGGAACTGATGGGTGACCTCCTGGAGGATGCTATCGTGGTGCCTACGAATCTCACTGGAGTGTCCTCAGCAGACACTCCCACCCCTGATCTTCACGCCCACATTATGGACCTTCCACAACAGACCCCACATGCACAACAAGGCACGAGGAGGGTGAGGACTGGCCCTGTGCAGGTTGCCAGCCAGCTCCCCTTATCCCTGCAGTATCTTCCTTTTTTTTTAATTTTTATTTTTTTGAGACAGAGTCTTGCTCTGTCATCCAGGCTGGAGTGCAGTGGTGCAATCTCGGCTCACTGCAACCTCCACCTTCTGGGTTCAAGCGATTCTCCTGCCTCAGCCTCCCAAGTAGCTAAGATAACAGATGTGCAGCACCACACCTGACTAATTTTTGTATTTTTAGTAGTGATGGGGTTTCACCATGTTGGCCAAGCTGGTCTCGAACTCCTGACCTCAAGTGATCCGCCCGCCTCGGCCTCCCAAAGTGCTGGGATTACAAGTATCTTCTGAGACTGCTGTAAAACCAGTGGGGACTCCTGGACACCTCGTATGGCCCCAGGGAGGAGCTCCAGCCCTGCACGGGGATGAACTGAGTGGACTTTGGCACACGTAGGTGGGGTACACACACCCCATCACACAGGCAGTTGAGAACATCGCCTATCATCGCTGTTCAGGTCCAGGAGGTCGGACTTGGACACACGATGGGGAAGCTGCCAGGCAAGTTCCCAGGGCAGAAAAGCAGACATTGAAAGACGCTTCTGAGAAACCAATTTGGGAATCTGTGTGATATGATATAGATGAGACAAAAGGGAGAAATGTCATTTTGCACTTCTTCCTGGAGAAAAACTAAACGTATTTAGAGGAAAGACTTTGATAAGCTGCCTATGGTTTGGGGATGACACTGCAGAAGCCTGTTGAAGTAATAAAGATGGCATTTTGAAAATAATAATAAAAACTGGCCAGGCTCAGTGGCTCAGGCATGTGATCCCAGCACTTTGCGGGGGGTGGATCACCTGAGGTCAGGAGTTCGAGGACAGCCTGGCCAACATGATGAAACCCTGTCTCTACTAAAAATACAAAAATTAGCAGAGCGTGGTGGCATGTGCCTGTAATCCCAGCTACTCAGGAGGCTGAGGCACGAGAATCGCTTGAACCCAGGAGGTGGAGGTTGCAGTGAGCCGAGATCGCACCACTGCATTCCAGCCTGGGTGACAGCGTGAGATTCTGTCTCAAAAAATATATATATAAATAAATAAATGATAAAAATAAGGATGGCAATCAATCTGCCTCCTAAAGAGAATCCTGTTATCTGGGGCGGGTAGGGGGAGGGGCAGGCAGTGCTTTGTTTTATTGGGTTTAGGATTGTGAGTTTGAGGATAAGACGGAGGGAAGAGCTTAACAGTTGGACATAGAGAGTAGAAAGGCTTTGCACCCTGGCACGATGAAGAGCCAGGTGATTGGACACTGTCTAAAGGACAGTTGGGAATGACCAAGAGTGGCCATTGGTAGCCAGGAATTTTCACTGAGGATGTTACAAAGTCTTTGAGTCGTGACCCTAAAAACAAAACTTTTTCCCTACTCACAACATTTCTGGCACAAAATGTGTGCATTTTCCACATCAAGTCATTTTCCAGTTCTCTGAAGACACCAACTGGGTACCCAGTGATTCATTTCAATTCTGACCTTAGCTACCTGGAGATGATATCAGACCTCATACGACTGCCTCCCACGTCACACACCAATTGCAAGTAGGGGGTCTTCAGGTTGCCCACACTTCTTTCTGTCTGACTTGGCTACAAATCAGGGGTTCCCATAGCCCCCTCTTCGATAATTCAATAATTTGCTACCATAATAATAATAATTAGAAAATAAAGGTTCAATAATTTGCTGTAACAGCTCACAGAACTCAGGGAAACGCTTTACTTACTGTTACCAGTTAACTATAAAGCATATAAATAAAGAGTCAGATGACTAAGTATGTAGGGAGAGGTCTGGAAGGGGCAGGAAGTCCGTAGGAGCTTCTGTCCCCATGGAGCTAGCTGGGGTATGCCACCCTCCCGGCACATGGATGTGTTCATCAACCCAGAGGCTTGTCAGCTCCCATTGTTCAAGTTTTTAGAGCTTAACCTCCAGTCTGCTTCCCAGAGGTCAATGTGTGGGAATGAAAGTTCCAGTCCTCAAATTACTTGGTCTTTCTGGTGACCAGAAAAGCTGATCTTTCTGGCAACCCAAGCTAAGGCTGTCTAGGGATCCCAGACTAAGCTACATCATTAGCATAAATTCATGGGACCAAAGAGGCTGATTATGATTAACAAAAGACTCTCCTATCACTCAGGAAATTCCAAGAGTTTTAAGATCTCTGTGCCAAGAACTGGGAACAAAGACCAACTATATTTCTTATACTATCGCCTTCTCTGCCGACCAGGGATCATTCATGCTTTTGTGGGTAAGGACTTTTGGAGCGTGTGGGAACAATGTCTAGGTTGATGTGTGAGCAAAACACACACAACATGCCTAGACACAGGAGCCAGGGGATGAGGGCAGAGCTGCTATCTATGCTGTAGCAGGAGCCAGAGGCTTGGATACAGACCCAGCTCTGCAGCTCATGATTTTCATAAGCAGCCGAAATCAGACCACTGCACTCCAGCCCGGGCAACAGAGTGAGACTCTGTCTCAAGTAAATAAATAAATAATAAAAATGAAGATGGCCTTCAATCTTCAATCAAAAAATCATCTGCCTTCTAAGGAGAATCCTGTTAACTGGGGCGGAATGGGTGCTTTGTTTCATTGGGTTTGGGATTGTGAGTTAGAGGATAGGACTGCAGGAAGAGCTGAACAGTTGGGCAAAGAGAGGAGAAAGGTTTTGCACCCTGGCACAATGAAGAGGCAGGTGATTGGGCACTGTCTAGAGGACAGTTGGGAATGACCAAGAGGCTCTGGAAAAGCCCCTTCCCCTCTCTGGGTTTTATTTATTTACTCAACCCTAAAATGGGCTCATGCGTTTCCAACCATCACATTCTAGGATTCTGACTTAAGTTCAGCACTCTCCACAATGCAAAGTGGGGTGATAGCATTTATTAACAGAGCATTTGTGCATTGATATGGAATGTACTTGCTGCATCCCCACATAATGAATTTTCTCACAAATTATATATGCTAAGAACTGCTCAGATTAAACTGTAAGATCACATCAGATGCACTATTGATTTTCGTTATTTTAGTTTTCTCCATCCCTGAGTTTTCTGCAATTTATCCGCCAATTTCAGCAGAACAATCTCTGCCTCCTCTTTCTAGTAATCAGTTCATAAAACTTCAGAACTTGGGAGTTTGAGGAACTAGGCTAGTTTGGATACAATACCTGTCCTTCTACAGGGATGATGACTGTGGACCTCCTGGAGTCAGTAGGGATTCCTCTGGCTAGAGCAGTAGATGTCTTTCAATGGCAACGTGAATCAACAGCCATGCCTGTATACACACTCTTCTTATGAAATAAGGAAGGCTGGACACTGTGGCTCATACCCATAGTGCCAGCACTTTGGGAGGCCGAGGAGGGAGGATGGCTTGAGCCCAGAAGTCTGAGACCAGCCCAGGCGACATGGTGAAACCCCACCTCTACAAAAAAATACAAAAATTCACCGGGCATGGTGGCATGAACCTGTAGTCCCAGCTACCTGGGAGGCTGAGGTGGGAGGATCGCTTCAGCCTGAGAGGTTGAGGCTGCAGTGAGCCAAGATCACGCCATTGTACTCCAGCCTGGTCAACAGAGCAAGACCATGACTCAAAAAATAGTAATAAAATAAAAGAAAGAAAGCAACTTCTGTTATGAAAAAATATCCTGCTAATGCACAAATGCTTTATCCCTCTATTATTATAGCTGCCCACTGGGGAACACTAGCAGCGCTTCTCCATGGACGCTCTCTGGGGTGCCCAGTTTCCCATCCATTTTGCCCTTTTGACCCTGTTTCCTTGCAATGACTAGGCCGTACAGTTTCTAGGCAGCCCCAGTTCCCTCAAAAGGGCAAGCAAGGTAATTTTCCAGCAAAGGAGGCCCCTCCTGACTTTGCAAGGGCCATGTAGGGAGCTGAGATCCTCGGGTGTCCTTTTCAGAATCTCTCCTCTGATTCATTGTCATCCCAGAACAGATTAGCTCTGCAAACAAACACCAAATTATTAAAATTGGACACTGCTCTGCCTCTGACATGGGAAACGGTTACAGATAGCTTTGTATAGAATGACTTCTATGACAGAGCAACAAGATGTACAACTCCAAGGCTATTAAAAACAAAGCAAGATGAAAAGCAAAACCAGAAGGGCTGCTCACCCAAAAACTTTCACGGGAACAGCAAAGAAGTCAAGGGATTATTCATGAGAAAAAGACCACAAATAGAGAAACACTCAATGGCTTAAAGTGTGAGCCTTGGAGACTTGCAATGAGCTCATTCATCACTCACTTACTTTTGTACAAAGGGCCGAGCGCTGTCCTAAGTGCTGGATCCCCCACAACTGAGAACAACCAACAAGATCCTAACTCCTCTGACATTTAAATACCTGTAGGGGGCCAGGCGCCATGGCTCACGCCTATAAACCCAGCACTTTCTTGAGTCCAGGAGTTTAAGAGCAGCCTGGGCAATATGGAGAAACCCTGTATCTACCAAAAGTACAAAAAAAAAATTGCCAGATGTAATAGCATCCACCTGTAGTCCCAGCTACTCGGGAGGCTGGGGTGAGAGGATCACTTGAGCCTGGGAGGTAGAGGTTGTTGTGAAACAAGATCAAGCCACTGCACTCCAGCCTGAGTGACAAAGTGAGACCCTGTCTCAAAAAAAAAAAATCAGTAAGAGGAGACCAACAATTAAGTTGTAAACATATCATAAACAAGATGACTTCAGGTTGGACATGGTGGTCACACCTGTAATCCCAACACTTTGGGAGGCCAAGGCAGGAGGATCACTTGAGACCAGTAGTTCGAGACCAGCCTGGGCAACATAGTAAGACCCTGTCTCTACAAAAAATAATTTTTAAAAATTAGTTTTTAAAAAAGATAACTTCAGAAAGTTGTAAATTCTATTAAGAGAACACAACAGAATAGAGTGATTGAGAGATATTGGCAGGGTCACAGACGCCACTCCTATACCCTGGGTGTTTAGGAAAAGCCTCTCAGGATGTGACATTCAAGTGGGGTGCAGAGAAGCAAAAAAACTCAGGCTAACTCCTGGAGGATTTTGGCTTGAGCAACTCCAGTGAAAATGAATTATCAGTGTGTCAGGATGAATGATAAACCCTTTCCATTATTCTTGGGAGGGACACAAAGTATTCTTTTTGTTTTGTCGGGAGTTTAGGAGCCAACTCGTTAGAAATGTAAGCGGTGGCAACATTCCACTCTGCAACCTGAGAAATACTTGAGCTCTTCTTTGCATATGATGATTTTTAACCTATTTCTTCAGAAAAACAAACTCCAAGCAGAGGTTCGAAACAAATGCTGGCATAAGTGTCAACATCCACTTTGTGAAGGCTCAAAGGCAGGCCCTTTCTCTGCCAGAAATGTGTTTCTCATCTGCAAAGGGCAGGAGAGGCCTTAACCCAACTGTCTGGTTGATGATCCAGACTTCAAACTTAACCCAGTGGGTCTTGGAGCCAACTTAATAGAGAATGGAGTGTCTTTGTTGAAAACTCTAGTGTGTTTTGTGGAGGGGAGTGTGCAAAAGCCAGCTGAATGTGCAAGGGAGGGATGAGATTATAGAAGAGGCAAAATATCAAGGAAGAGAAACTGCAAACAGATTCGTGAGACTCGATTGGCTGCGTAGCAGCAAGTATCATTTCTGTGATTCCTGTAAAGGAATCACACGACGACTTCCAAGTGCATCTGCTTGCTGTGTGGATGGCCTCTAATGAGACACAGTTTCTAGCCAATTGGGTTTCACACCGCTCAGTGCCAGCTTGGCGATTTGTTTTGCATTAAACACTGCAGCCTGTTAACCTGGTGAGTAACTGTTCTGGATGGGCAGCCAGAATCCCTCACTGAACTGCCCTTTTTTCTTAAAAGAAAAAGAAAATGATGATGGTGGGGGTGGTGATGATGATGATGAAAATGCGATCAATCAGGTTACCATCTTAAAACTTGAATTCATTGAGTTAAAATGACCCAGATAATGGGCCTTTTAAAAATATTTTCGGCCGGGCGCGGTGGCTCACGCCTGTAATCCCAGCACTTTGGGAGGCCAAGGCGGGCGGATCACGAGGTCAGGAGATCGAGACCATCCTGGCTAACACGGTGAAACCCCGTCTCTACTAAAAATACAAAAAAATTAGCCGGGCGAGGTGGCGGGCGCCTGTAGTCCCAGCTACTCGGGAGGCTGAGGCAGGAGAATGGCGTGAACCCCAGGGGGCGGAGGCTGCAGTGAGCCGAGATTGCGCCACTGCACTCCAGCGTGGGCGACAGCGAGACTCCATCTCAAAAAAAAAAAAAAAAAAAAAAAAAAAAAAAAAAAAAAAATATTTTCTGGGCCAGGCACGGTGGCTCATGCCTGTAATCCCAGCACTTTGGGAGGCCGAGGCAGGTGGATCACTTGAGGTCAGGAGTTTGAGACCAGCCTGGCCAACATGGTGAAACCCTGTCTCTACTAAAAATACAAAAAATTAGACGGGTATGGTGGCAGGTGTCTGTAGTGTCAGCTACTCGGGAGGTGGAGGCAGGAGAATTGCTTGAACTCGAGAGGTAGAAGCTACAGTGAGCCGAAATTGTGCCACTGCATTCCAGCCTGGGCAACAGAGCAAGGATCCATCTCAAAAAAAAAATTCTGGAACATTCCAGGGTAGTGCTCAATCCTCAATCCATTTTTCAGCCTTTCTGTGCCCTCTGCTCTTGCTGGGAGAACTAGGCCTCTCCGTTTCTTTCATTTCAGTCTCAAGATAATTTAGAGTTCTGGAGTGCGCAACACACTTGGGAATTCGACCTGGAGGTGACTGAGCTGGGGCCTGGGGGCAGTGGAGGGGAGCAGTATAGGAACAAAGACATCAGACTTCATAAATCTCAACTGTAAATGTAAAAGTCCTCCTGTGTCTGACACCACCAGAATTGTAGGATTTTTCTTCTTTAGGTGACAAAAATGAACGGTCCCCAGCAGAAGCAGTCTGTCCATGGTCTCTTTCTCATTGGTCCAAATAAACTTAAAACCTTGTGCTAGGCCAAGAGTCTGGATCCCAAAGCACACTCACCAAGGCTCCATTTGAGCCCCCCATTTACCCTGAAAATACTGTGGTCACCCTCCCCGCATTCCTCCTACCTCTTTCCACAGCAGAAGGGAGGGGGTGTGTCAGCTGTGATACCATCAGCCACCAATGTGTGTCACCGCTCCTTCCACAATGGGACGCTTGCTGGGAAAAACAGCTCATTCTCAAGCCTCCTTCCCTCGAGGTCAGGGCAGGGCAATGGTGGGGATCAGTCTCTGCAGAAGAAGAATCTTGATTTTCTGGATTTCAGCTGCAACTTCTGCTTCAACAAGAACTATGTAGAGCCCATCAGAACTATTAGGCTGCTGAAATGAGTTGATGAAAGCTATGCCCCATCCACATGTGAAACTTACAGGGTGATAATAAAAGGTTTCCGTGGCAATGACAACAAATGTTTTGTTTCTTTGTTTGTTGCTTGTTTTTCTAGGCACTTCCACCAGGGGATGCAATGAATGTTTTTGACCTACAATGAAAAAAAAAAGTCTTCTTAGCTTGCAGAAGTCAGGAAAGATTGTGTGCACATGCATATGTGTTTGTAGGTGTTTGCATAGTGTACATTAAGTGTGAGGTGTGTGTGTGTGTGTCACTTTCAAAGTACCAGAAGCCAAATCATCTGTTGATTTTCTGACAAGGTACATGGTCCTTTTCAACTACCAAAAATAGAAAGATGACCATAAGCAGATGAATATTGTCAGAAAGCACACACCAGACAGCCCTGAGCATTTGATTCAGCTGACATTGGCAACTGTTCACAGTGAGTTTCTGCTCCCATCGTGGTCAAGACAATCCTCCAAGCACTGTGGCCCCTAAGGCCAAGCCCAGAAGTTGCAGGGCTCATTGGTTTGACACCAATATGTGCTGATTAAGAAGCTGCACCCTGGAGAACCACAAATTGTTTTAAGCATTTTGTGATCTAACATCTTTTTTTTTTGAGACAGGGTCTCACTCTGTCGCCCAGGCTGGAGTGCAGTGCTGTGATCATGACTCACTGCAGCCTCGATTCCCCTGGGTTCAAGCATTCCCTCCTACCTCATCCTCCCAAGTAGCTGGGAATACAGGCATGCACCGCCATGCCCAGTTATGTTTTTGGTTTGGGGTGGCTTTTTGGTTTTTCATTTTGTTTTTGTGGAGACAGGGTCTTGCTATGTTGCCCAGGCTGGTCTTAAACTTCTGGGCTGAAGCAATCCTCCAGCTTTGGCCTCTCAAAGTGCAGGGATTACAGGCATCAGCCACCACACCTCGCCTGTGATCTAACATCTTAAGATTTCAAGCAAATATGATTACTTTCCAAAAGAGAATACTTCCCCAGTGCTTCTCTCAAAGAACCCAGGGTTAGCAAGCCATTTGAGACTTGTTTGGTGAAGTGTTTGTGAGATGATTCCATAACATATAAAAGAAACTTAATCAAGGCAATATGAGGCTTTGTGAAAATTAACAGACAAATAACGGGGGCTCTAGAGTTCAATGCAGAGGACTGGGCTGTGGCCAGACTCCCAATTGCAAGAGGGTGACACACATCAGTACACAAAGAAGCAACCAGCAGGCAGGTCACGTCTGAAATACATAAACCCATGCTGTCCGTAATGCAATTCAAAGAACTTGTCGTGCTAGACCATTTTACATAAATATTTTCCAACATATTCAATCAGCCCCCTCAAATTGACACTGTCACCAACATCAAATCAATACTTCTTGGGAGGGAGGAATAAGTATCTTATCTAATAATCAACTTATTTGAGATCTGCAATGCTGGCTGCTATTACCGAAAGACATTTCTCAATTATTTACATTTAACTATACATTACTTTGATTTTTGTCTCAGCTGCATTCAGATAAAATGTGAGCTTCTAATTTAATTTTTGTCTGGATTTCCTGTGACATATCTATTTATGCCAATTTCCCAGGAGGAAATGGACATCAGTAATAAAGATAGTTATAGAAAACACTTACAAAGCACTTTTAGCATGCCAGACTCTGGTCTCAAGCCACCATCAGGATTGTCCACTTCAATCTTCAGGCAAGTCTATGAGGAGGCCACAGATTGATATCCCCATTTTATGGATGATGAACTGGAGCTGAGATTAAGTGTCTTATCCCTGAGATTTGACCCCGGCAGTCTGACTCTAGAGCCCTGCTACTGGCAGGACATGGTGATTCCCACTTGAAATCTCCGCACTTTGGGAGGCCAAGGCAGGAGGATCACTTGAGCCCAGGAGTTCAAGACCAGCCTAGGCAGCAATGCACGACCCTGTCTCTACAAAAAATTAAAAAGTTATCTGGGCATGGTGGTGCGTGCCTGTAGTCCCAGCTACTTGAGGGGCCAAGGATGGAGGATAACTTGAGCCTGGGAGTTAAAGACTGCAGTAAGTTTTTATTTATTTATTTATTTATTTATTTATTTTTACTTATTTATTTATTTTGAGACAGAGTCTCACTCTGCTGCCCAGGCTGGAGTGCAGTGGCACGATCTCAGCTCACTGCAACCTCTGCTTCCCAGATTCAAGTGATCCTCATGCCTCAGCCTCCCAAGTAGCTGGGATTACAGGCGTGCACCACCATGCCTGGCTAATTTTTGTATTTTTAGTAGAGATGGAGATTCACCATGTTGGCCAGGCTGGTCTTGAACTCCTGGTCTCAAGTTATCCACCCACCTTGGCCTCCCAAAGTGTTGGGATTACAGGCATGAGTTACCACACCCAGCCCTGCAGTGAGCTTTGATCATACCAGTGGGCAACAGAGTGAGACCCTGTCACTAAAATAAATAAAATAAAATAAAAATAGATCCCTGCTTCTAACCACTGCACAGTCCCACTTCACAGTAGCATGAGTAATTCCAAGCAGAGATTTCCATACCATTTTCTGCTCTGAGTCAGCAGATAATAAGAGGGTCATGATGTTAACACCAGAATGGACCTAAGTGATGACCCCATCCCTGAAGAAGGTCAAAGCCACTTCCGTCTGCTGTTCTGCTCTGCCGTTTGATTTCCTTCTAAGATGTTTGCCCTTCTCTAGGAGTTTTGTACAAGACTTGCAGCCTCTGTCTATTGCATTCTTTAGACAAACGGTGTTTTCTGAGTTGGACTAGAAGCTAAAGAAAGGAACATGTGGATGCAGTGTGGCACACGGATGAAGCCTGCCTGCATCAAAACCCCAGCTCATCCTCTATTAACGATGCCTTCCAGTGGAAGGATAAAGTCACCGTACCTCAGCGTCTTCATCTGTATAATGGGGATGATCATAATTCCTCTGCAATGTGGGGTTAGGAAGAGGAGGACAAGAAACCACACATGTTGGCCAGGCACTGTGGCTCATGCCAGTAATCCCAGCACTTTGGAAGGCTGAGGCAGGCTGAGGTCAGGAATTCGAAACCAGCATGGCCAACATGGCAAAACACTGTCTCCATTAAAAATACAAAAAAAATTAGCTGGGCGTGGTGGTGCACATCTGTAGTCCCAGCTACTTGGGAGGCTGAGGCAGGGGAATCACTTGAACCCGGGAGGCGGAGGTTGCAGTGAGCCAAGACCATGCCACTGTACTCCAGCCTGGGCAACAGAATGAGACTCTGTCTGAAAAGAAAAGAAAAGGAAAGAAAAGAAAAGAAAAGAAAAGAAAAGAAACCACACCACACATGTAAAGAGCTCACCATGCTCCTGGCACAGAGTAACTGCTTAGTTCTTGGTTATGGGTCACAGTCACCCCGGAGACTCTCCCTGCACCACACCCTGCACAGCACCTGCTCTGGGACTTTGTTATACACTCTCTTTCTCTGCTGTTCTGTGACTCACTCACTGGCCTGGGTTGTGCCTCATTCATCTCAGGAGCCCCAGCCCCAACACAGTTCCCAGCCCGTAGCTGGCACTCGTGAATGTCTGCTGATTGAGTGAGTGACTGCATATATGCACTCGCTGCAACCCCAGCTCACTGCGCAGACGAGGCGGCAAGTTCAGAGGGACCAAGCCTCTAACTGGGGCCATGGAACTGGATGGTGGCACAGTTAAAGGGCGACTGAAGCTGCTTGACTTCCAGTCCAATGTCTGCACACCACAGCACCTTAACTTCTTGCTCAGTCACCCAGGCTGGAGTGCAGTGGCACGATCCTAGCTCACTGCAGCCTCAACCTCCTGGGCTCAAGTGATCCTCTCACCTCAGCCTCCCAAGTAGCTGGGACCACAGGCAGGCTAATTTTATTTTTTTTATAGAGATAGGGTCACCTTATGTTGCCCAGGCTGGTCTCACACTCCTGGGCTCAAAGAGATCATCCCACCTCGGCCTCTCAAAGCGCTGGGTTTATAGGCACGAGCCACTGCTCCTGGCCTGCAATTTTCTTTAAAATGTTTTTTTGTTTTGTTTTGTGTTTTGTTTTGTTTTGTTTTGTTTTTTCTTGAGACAGAGTCTCGCTCTGTCACCCAGGATGGAGTGCAG
Source organism: Homo sapiens (assembly GCF_000001405.40). Lineage (NCBI taxonomy): Eukaryota > Metazoa > Chordata > Mammalia > Primates > Hominidae > Homo > Homo sapiens. Next base: position 32,323,370 of record NC_000019.10, read on the forward strand.
TGGCGTGATCTCAGCTCACTGCAGCCTCTGCCTCCTGGGTTCAAGTGATTCTCCTGCCTCAGCCTCCCCAGTAGCTGGGATTACATGTGCCCGCCACCATGCCTGGCTAATTTTTGTATTTTTAGCAGAGACGGGGTTTTGCCATGTTGGCCAGGTTGATTTCGAACTCCTGACCTCAGGTGATCCACCTGCCTCAGCCCCCCCAAAGCACTGGGATTACAGGCGTGAGCCACCACACCCAGCCTAAAATGATTTTATCACAGACTAAGATCAAACGGATAACCAGAGCATCATTAATATCAAACTAGGGATACGTTCACAATCTATTTTTCCTACTTTCCATAATTTACATGTCAGCAATCCATCACAAAATGAAAAAAAAGTTACAAAAATACGGACCTAAACATTTTTAGTGTCTTGCATTTTAACTAATTACACAGTAATACTATGATAATCTAATTGCAATTGACAAGATAAAAATGCACAGTAATCATGTATTGCACCTGATATAGGCAATATTACATGACCTAATATCCTGCCTTTTACGTGCCTATTTCATTCCTTGGAAGCTCCCTGGTAATAAATATGCTATTAAGCAGGGCTTTTTTAATTTGCATGTTTCCCTTATAGTGATTCATCAATAAATTTTTCTGATTTCCTTCATAAATAAGTTTCATTATTCCTCATTATTTAAAAAAACAACCACTTTCTCCTGTCCTGAAAGGATGTCATATATTAGATGACCTTCCTATATAAAATCACAAATGAGAGAAGACCAGACAACCTGCAAGAAAATAAGTAATCAGACAATCGGGCATTAAATACAGCTGGGCAGACAGTAGGCATTATGGTATAGTCTGCAAAAAAGGCCAGAGGCAGTGGCTCACACCTGTAATCCCAGCACTCTAGGAGGCTGGGGTGGGTGGATCACTTGAGGTCAGGAGCTCAAGACCAACCTCCCCAACATGGTGAAACCCTGTCTCTACTAAAAATATAAAAATTAGCCGGGCATGGTGGCGGGCGCCTGTAGTCCCAGCTACTTGGAAGGCTGAGGCACGAGAATCGTTTGAGCTGGAGAGGTGGAGGTTGCAGTGAGTGAAGATCACACCTCTGCACTCCAACCTGGGCAATAGAGTGAGACACCATCTTAAAAAAAAAAAAGAGTCTGCAAAAAAAAAATTTTACAAAGCAAAAATCAAAAGAGAATTTAGTTTTACTACAGCATGAGTTAAGTCTCAGCTTTTGCACAATTTATCCATGATTTCTTCATTTTGTTGTTTTAAGCATGCTTTTAAGACATACTGGATAACTAGTAAAAATTGTATACAATTTCAAATGACATTTCAGATAAGTTTTATTGACTTAATGCTCTGATAATAAAATTATAACAATCAGTATTATTCTGATTTATTGCAATTTTTACTTTCATTTTGTAATGGACTTGGTGCATTCCAGCATTGAATGTAATGTTGCTGCCATCTCAAGGTCACTCACTGAAAATGAGGTGGCTCACTCCAGTTTAGTGCACTAAAGCACATCAGTAACCGAGGGCTTTATGGATGAAAATACCACTTTGTGGTCACGTCGCAGTAAATCTAAACTTTTATTTGCAATGAAACAATGGGTTTTATACACAATTTTAAATGAAAACATACTCCAGTCATGCTACTATGGCAATGTGAGTACCGGATCTGTGAGAGAAAAGGCTTTTATATCGCAGTCCAGGGGAAGAAATGTCAGTGCATGAAATTGAAGAACCATCTGTGCCACTGGCATATTGACACAGCGTCATCCAGATACAGTGGTTTCTTTAGAAAGAGACATCGTCCTTGAGTTTATTTTTCGTTCGTAAAGCACGCTTGGCTATTTTCCCTCCCTCTTCAATCTTTCCCAGTTGGTGACCTCCACCACCCTGACACTCTTCCGTCTGGATTTATCAAAACTACCCTTAACATGAATAAACAGTTCACGGAAAAGGAAATGCCAATGAGCCGATTCAAGGAGATACATGTTTTGCCTAACAGATTGTCAAAGATCAACTTTCGATCACACTGGTTTGGCAAGGTAGTGCTGTAAATTAAAAAAGAGGAATATGTGGTGATAGTTTCCAAATTTTAAAATGCATATACCTTCTGACCAGCAATCTCATCTCTAAAAATGTATCTGTCAGATCTATACATACGTGTGCACACAGAGATGTATGTACAAGGAAATTTATCACAGCAAAAGACTGGAAACAAACTAAATGTCCATCAACAGAAGAGATGTAAATTATGGTCAATCCATAAAACGGAACACTGTACAGCCTTTGAAATCAACAAGGCAGCTCTGTATGTACCGATATGGCACAATTTCTGAGATCATACAGTTAAGTAAAAAAAAAAAAAAAAAAAAGCAACTGCAAAACATTGTGTATAGTGTGCTTAGGGTGTACGTATTTGCATAGAATCTCTGTGGAAAACACAATCAGCCACTAACAATGGTTCTTTTGTAGGAAGAACTAGGGGACTGGTAACAGGGTGGGAGAGACTTACAATTCATTATAAACTCATTTTGTTTTGAATTGTATACCGTATATAAGTATTAACTACTTGAAATGTACACATAAAAATAAGACACTTCCAAAACTGCTTTGGATTGTAATTCAAATAAAAAGTCAATATTTACGAAGAAAAGACTGGCCAGGCTCAATGGCTCACATTTGTAATCCCAGCCTGTTGGGAGGCTGTGGCAGGAGGATCACTTGAACCCAAGAGTTCAAGATCAACTTTGTTTTGGACAACAAAGTGAGACCCGTCTCTACAAAAAAATATAAAAATCAGCTGAGCTGGTGGTGCACACCCGTAGTCCTAGCTACTCAGGAGGCTGAGGCAGGAGGATCGCTTCGGCCCAGGAGGTCGAGGCTGCAGTGAGCTATGATTGCACCACTGTACTCCAGCCTGGGTGACAGAGCAAGATCCTGTCTGAAAAAAAAAAAAAGAAAGAGAGAAAGAAAGAAAGAAAAAATAAAGAAGGGAGGGAGGGAGTAGGGGAGGGAGGGAAAGAAGTCACAGAGGAGAGGACAGAAGTAGAAGGATACAAGAAGGGCGGGTGGGGGCTGCCACTGGGGGACAGGGGCTTGCTTCCCTTCACCGTCCTTCCCGCATCCCCCCTTGACCATTTCTCTGTTCTAATCCAGCCTGGATTCACATTTCTTTTTCATTTTTTTTTCTTTTTTTTTTTTTTTTTTTTTTTGAGACAGACTCTCACCCTGTCACCCAGGCTGGAGTGTAGTGGCACAATTTCAGCTCACTGCAACCTCTGCCTCCCAGGTTTCAAGCAATTCTCTTGCCTCAGCCTCCTGAGTAGCTGGGATTACAGGCATGTGCCACCACGCCCAGCTAATTTTTGTATTTTTAGTAGAGATGGGGTTTTTCCATGTTGGCCTCACTGAGGCTGGTCTTAAACTCCTGACCTCAGGTGACCCACCTGCCTCAACCTCCCAAAGTGCTGGGATTACAAGCGTGAGCCACCGTACCTGGCCTGAATTTGCATTTCTTCCTTAATCTCCTCACATCTTCCATTCTCCTCTCACTTCCCATTTATTCTCCTCTGCATTTCCATTCACTCTCCTAGTGGTCAATTCTCATTTCAATTTCTCTGGTTTCTCATGTTCTGCCTGTCTCTGAGGATTCTCCCCAGCCCCCTCCATGAGGAGGACCAGAGCCAGCCCTTCTGTGCTCGTGCCAGTGTACAACCGGGCTTGCCAGGTACACACTGCGTGCACCCGGGACGCCCAAATAGTGTGAACAAGCCGCGTTGCGGTTAACAGCCCCATCTGTCATCTGCCCTCTTCTGGAACTCAAAGTGTTCAGCAGAGAGTTGTCTGTGTATCTTCTTCTCTAAGTCCAGATACCACAGTGATGAACAATATATCTGCCCCTTGACCAGCACTGGCCAACATGTAGAAGAAATGCATCCAGGATGGGGTCTAAAAATCTGGAGATATTTCACGCATTTGGGGTGGGTCTCAGATAGGGACCCAGGAACACCCAGTACTAGCTGAATGTCTGTACTGAATACGTCAGCAGAGGTGGTAAGAGAACTCCACACACAGAGGAGAAAACGGAGCTGAAGGAAGGAGGTGAGTGCCTCCAACTGTTCCGCATCATGCGTTTACTGCATTTAACTTGCTTTCCCTTTTTCCTCTTTTATTAAAGCAAATCTCCTGCTATGTTTATAACTCCTTTCAACGGTACGTCAACGGTGAAGCCAAAATTCTATTTAACATTGCTCAATAATTCAAATTCCATCAAACATCCATCAAAATACTTTTATAAGCCGCTGATATGAAGCATTTCGAAAAGGTGCACATTTCATCTCTCCAAACCCACACAGGAACTGGTTGGTTTTCTTTTGATATTAATTTGAAATGCTACAGTCCAAAAGATTAGGATTCCTGCACCGACTTAGTGAGTTTTTCAACTTGATCCACCTTGAAAACAGACACATTGTTTTTATTCTATTTGATGGTTATTGCAAAAGTTACAAGCAAACCAATAAACAGTTTATGTCATCTTAAAGAGATGCCTTGGCTGGGCGTGGTGGCTCACGCCTGTAATCCCAGCACTTTGGGAGGCCAAGGCGGGCGGATCACGAGGTCAGGAGATCGAGACCATCCTGGCTAACATGGTGAAACCCTGTCTCTACTAAAAACACAAAAAATTAGCCGGGCGCGGTGGCGGGCGCCTGTATTCCCAGCTGCTCGGGAGGCTGAGGCAGGAGAATGGCGTGAACCCAGGAGGCGGAGCTTGCAGTGAGCCAAGATAGCACCACTGCCCTCCAGCCTGGGCGAAAGAGCGAGACTCCATCTCAAAAAAAAAAAAGAGATGCCTTGGCAGATTTCTGGCATATGGAAATCCTTCTCCATTTTTCTCACAGAGACCCTCCAAGAGAAGGTGAACATGGTAAGCCCTGCCACACCATGTTACAGAGATTCTCCAGAAAGGAAAATGGTGCAGAAACTGGGCACTTGGCAGGATGGTTGAGCCCAGGCCTCTGCTCCGTGAGCTCCCAGCTGCACCACCTCTCTGCTTTTCCCATCCCTGAGACCCTTCCAGCTCTAAAATTCTACGACATTACCTCTGAGATAAACAACAGAAGAAGAGCAGGACAGCAAAAATGGAGAGCAATGAAAAGTATGGCCAGGCACGGTGGCTCACACCTGCAATCCCAGCACATTGGGAGGTGGAGGCAGGAGGATCGCTTGAGCCCAGGAGTTCAAGACCAGCCTGGTCAACATAGTGAGCTCCTGTCTCTACTAGAATATTTTTTAAATAGGCAGGCATGGTGGTACCTGCCAACAGTCCCAGCCACCTGGGAGGCTGAGGCAGGAGGATCACTTGGGCCCAGGAGTTTGAGACCAGCCTGGGCAACATAGTGAGATCTATATCTCTACAAAAAAAATTAAAAATTAGCCAGGCTTGGTGGCACATGCCTGTAATCCCAGCTACTCAGGATGCTGAGGCAGGAGGATCACTTCAGCCCAGCAGCCGGAAGCTGCAATGAGATATGATCATGCCACTGGACTCTAGCCGGGACAAAGCAAGACCCCAACTCTGAAAAAAGAGAATAAGAGTATACAATGCATGCGGGACTTAAAATCTAGATGATGGGTTGATAAGTGCAACAAACCACCATGGCACATGTATACCCATGTAACAAACCAGCACATTCTGCACACGTATCCCGGAACTTAAAGTAAAATAAATAAAAAATAAAAAATGTTTTTAAAAAAGGAACTGTGTTAGAATAAAAGACACTTGAGAGACTGAAAAACTATAGAAAAAAAAAAAAAGAAAGAAAAGCTTAAATCAAGCCTGAGTCCCAATCAGAGACAGGAAATGGACTTCCATTGTCTTCCCATTTTTTTGGGATTTTACACAGACACGAATTAAGAGAGACTATTTTTCTTTTGCCTCCAGATCCCTTCTTCCACCTTCTGTGTAATCATCTGCAATCATCTCAAGCATATAAATAGACACTTTTAAAAGCACCCCCACCTCAGGAGGTGTCCAAACTGGGTTTTGAAATGGCACCCTGGAAATCCAAGATCTCCTGAAGATGCAAGGCATGACATAAAATGAGGACGCAGTGGGCAGATGTGATCTCTGAGTAATGGCTGGGGCTTCAGGAAGCTGACCCCTGAACCAAACAAGCAAGCATGGTGGCTGCAGAATTATGGCCCATGAAAGAGCCAAAGGGTGGGATTAAGAGACAGATGGACTCCCGGCTGGGTGCCATGGCTCACGCCTGTAATCCCAACACTTTAGGAGGCTGCGGTGGGAGGCTCCCTTGAGCTCAGGAGTTCAAGACCAGCCTGGACAACATAGTGAGAGACCCCATCTCTACAAAAAAATAAAAATAAAAATTATCTGGGCATGGTGGCACATTCCTATAGTCCTAGCTACTCTGGATGCTGAGGCAAGAGAATCACTTCAGCCCAGGAATTCAAGACTACATTGAGCCATAATTGCCCCACTGCACTCCAGCCTGGACAACAGAGCAAGACCCTGTTCCAAGCTGGGTTTTGAGATGACACTCTAGAAATCCAAGAAAAAATTTTTTTTTTTTTTTTTGTAGAGAGATGGACTCCTAAAGACAGTACTTGGGAGTGGAGAAGGAATTATCTACAAGGGAAGAATTAAAGAGAATGAATGCATGGTAGGGCACTGACCTCATCAACCAAGGAATCTGAGATGAGGCCTGCCATGAACAACACTGGTGACCACCAATCTGATATGGGGTCTCCCTGTTGACTCTATCCCAGCATTGTACAGAAGTGGATTGGACAGAATTACTGCAACCACCGGCGTTACAGGGTTTCGAAGACTTTTATTCTGCATTTAAGAGATTTACAGGAAATCTCCAGGCAGTTAAGCTGCGGGGCTGAGCGTGCCTCTCAGCTGGCTGGAAGCCAATCATTTGGAGGGTCGTTCTAATTCCTGGGATATGCAGTCATACAGTCAGGAAGCAGCCCTGACCCCGCTAAGGTCAGTGTCGTGGCCAACTACCCTGAGCTCAATTTAGAGACATAACTATGGCAACAACTGTGCCCAATCGGTTATTAGAGGAGATTTATTGACGGATATGCTTGAATAGCAGAGCCATTAATTGCAATTACCAGACAAGACACTTTGTTCATCTCGGGGAACTGAATGCCAAAATGCCCTAACAACTTTAAAATCGCATTTGCTCTTGGGCGCTCCGCTGGTGTCACTGCACCTGCCCAGCTTCCCAGTCCTGAGATGGAGAGGATAAGGGGCTGAGCCTGACATGGCACCAGCTGGAGAAATCCACAGTGCTGGGTCCTGAGGCACGAGGCAGAGGAACCTTCCATAGACCCTGCAAGGCCCTTCACAGAGGTGAGGGAAGCATGAGCTGTCCCGCTCCACCCAGCGCCCCTTCTCCAGGTCTGTTCTCACACTGCTATAAAGACATACCTGAGACTGGGTCATTTACAAAGAAAAGAGGTTTAATTGGCTCATGGTTTTGCAGGTTGTACAGGCTTCTGCTTCTGAGGAGGCCTCAGGAAACTTACAATCATGGTGGAAGATGAAGGGGAAGCAGCCATGGGAGCAGGAGGAAGAGAGCAGGCTGGGTGCAGTGGCTCACGACTATAATCCCAGCACTTTGGGAAGCCAAGGCCGGCAGATCACTTGAGGTCAGGAGTTCAAGACCAGCCTCGCAAAAATGGCGAAAAGCTGCCTGTACTAAAAATACAAAAATTAGCTGGGCACGGTGGTGGACACCTGTAATCCCAGCTACTCGGGAGACTGAGGCAGGGGAATCGCTTGAACCCAAGAGGTGGAGGTTACAGTGAGCCAAGATTGTGCCATTGCACTCCAGCCTGGGCAACAGTGAGACTCCATACCAAAAAAAAGGAAGAAAGCGAAGTGGAAAGTGCCACACACTTTTTTTTTTTTTTTTTTTTTGAGATGGAGTCTTGCTCTGTCGCCCAGGCTGGAGTGCAATGGTGCGATCTCGCCTCTCGGCAACCTGCACCTCCCAGGTTCAAGCGATTCTCCTGCCTCAGCCTCCCGAGTAGCTGGGATTACAGACGTGCAGCACCACACTCGGGTAATTTTTGTATTTTTAGTAGAGATGGGGGTTTCACCATGTTGGCCAGGCTGGTCTCAAACTCCTGACCTCAGGTAATCCACCCACCTCAGCTCCCAAAGTGCTAGGGTTACAGGCGTGAGTCACCACGCCCGGCCCAAAGTGCCACACACTTTTAAACAACGAGACAGTACTGGCAGGGGGGTGCTAAACCATTAGGTACCACCCCCATGATCCAATCACTTCCCACCAGGCCCCACCTCCAACACTGGGGAATACAATTGCACATGAGATGTGGGTGGGGACACAGAGCCAAACCATATCAGATCTCACCAACAGAGCACTGGAATATCTTCTGCCTTTGCTCTGCCAATCCACACCTGTCATTTCCTTTGAGATTTCCCTAAGTGGCCTTGCTATGTTTGGTGGTGTTCGGCCCTGGCTCTAATCACTTTGTGGTCCCCTGAGCCTGGAAGAGTCAGTCCCTGGATATCAGCCTTCTGGTCTTCCTCAGGGCAGCCTCCTCTGAACACCCCATTTCTCTAAAACAGGAACCTCCACCTCCCTCATGTACCTTCCATCCCTTCACTCTGTTCTAGTTTCATCCAGCACTGAAATTACACTTCGCATTGGTCTGCCTCTTTGCCTGTTTATTTCCGTCTCTTTCACTAGATTCTAAGGTCCAGGAGAGCAGAAATTTGGTCTATTCCTTCCACCACTGTATCCTTGGTGCCAAGTACAGCACCCGACACACAGCTGGTACTCAAAAAATACTTATTTTTTTGTTTGTTTGTTTGTTTTTCTCTGTTGTGTTCTTGTTTTTGAGACAGGGTCTCATTCTGTCGTCCAGGTTAGAATGCAGTGACATGATCACAGCTCACTACAGCCTCGAACTCCTGGCCTCATGCAATCCTCCCACCTCTGCCTCCAAAAGTGCTGGGATTACAGGCATGAGCCACTGTGCCCCTTGAGAAATATTTGTTGCATGAATGAATGGACTCAGTACATTCTGAAGTTGTGCTTACAGGGACCTTCTCTATCCAACTAGATCATGGCTTCTGTGAAAGCAGGGATTCTCTCCCTACTCATCCCTTCTTCCTCAGCACCGTGCATAACTTAGATGCTTTAAAATTTAAGCAAGTGAGGCCAGGTGCAGTGGCTCACGCCTGTAATCCCAGCACTTTGGGAGGCCAAGGCAGGCGGATCATGTGAAGTCAGAAGTTCGAGACCAGCCTGGCCAACGTGGTGAAATCCTGTCTCTACTAAAAATACAAAAAAAAAAAAAAACCTAGCCGGGTGTGGTGGCTGGCGCCTGTAATCCCAGCTACTTAGTGGGGCTGAGGCAGGAGAATCTCTTGACCCTGTGAGGCAGAGGTTGCAGTGAGCCGAGATGGTGCCACTGCACTCCAGCCTGGGCAACAGAGCAAGACTCCATCTCAAAACAAACAAACAAACAACAATAAAAAAAAGTAAGTAAATGAATGACATTGTGAACCACAAACACTATCCACACATCAGAATAAGAAAAAGCACATGTCCACCACTTTTCTAGGGAAAAATAAGAGCTAACACTTAAAGAATGCTTTCTCCCGGGAGAGTTGTAAGTGCTCTCCAAGGTATTCATTCATAAAATTCACAGGACAACACTAGGAGTTGGGGGATAGAATTTTCTGCTCGTGAAAGGTGAGGACTTGGAGTTACACAGCTAGCAAGTGACAGTGATGGAAACAGGTCCAGGCACTCCAGACAGAATCTCTGCCCTTAACCCCCATACTAGGCTTTCTCTTTCTTCTGACTTTGAAAACTAGGATAAATTCAAAAACAATTAGAAAAACATCCCAAGAGAGGACTTTGGGTGCTAACCCTCTGCTCTGCTCCCTTGAGTTTATCTTTTATTTTTTCTTTCCAAGTAGATTGCAAGTTACAAATCCCTGCTCCAAATTAAGATGTCACGTGATAATCTCTCCCTTACAGGTTAAACTTCAAGACTATGCTTAACCTGCGGTTAGTGAGGCACATGAAGGTCTTTCCAAGAGAGAGTTGAATGCAGCTCTTCCCCGAGCTGTAAGAATGCAACCCCAGATTAAATTGGCAGAGCGAAGGCGGGAGCAGGCAGAGACAGCTTGGACTCTCTGCCAAGGGTGTAGAGTACAAGAATTTCCAGCTAACAAAGATGAACTTCTCCACTGATGCAAAACTGGCCCCCTCAGGTGTCCTTGTGATTTACATCATTTCAGTGTTAATATGCAGGGGGGCCTTTGATAAATAAGACCCTTTAAGTAACTGGAATTTTCTATACTCAACACTAATGCCCACTAATGTTAATTAAGTATTTATTGAAATCAAAATTTCTGGCCAGGCGTGGTGGCTCATGCCTGTAATCCCAGCACTTTGGGAGGCTGAGGCAGGTGGATCACCTGAGCTCAGGAGTTCAAGACCAGCCTGGGCAACATGACAAAATCCTCTCTCTACTAAAAATACAAAAAAATTAACCGGGCGTGGGGATGCACACCTGTGGTCCCAGCAAGGGAGGCTGAGATGGGAGGATTGCTTGAGCCGAGGGAGGTGGAAGTTGCAGTGAGCCAAGATCGCACCACTGCACTCCAGCCTGGGCAACAGAGTAAGACCTTATCTCAAAAAAAAAAAAAAAAAAAGAAAAGAAAATCAAGATTTCCTCAGTGGATCCAACAACCCACATAAATATAACCTTTGATAACCCATAGTGTCTACCATCCAGTTCTCTATTTTACACAGTTAAATGGAGCAAAGTGATATTGGGTAGACAGATCTGAAGTACTACAAGAATCTACTAGTACCATGCCAGATGCTGATACAACATTGTGGACGACCCCACAGAATCCACAGTCTATAGAAGGGAGTGGCCATTCATCCCCAAACTACACAGATAAACTGCAACTATAGCAAGGGGCACATGGTGTTAAGAGAGGGTAAAGAGATTTTAATCTGGTCACAGAGGTCAATGAAGGCATCCCTGAGAAAATAGCTCTTTCGTTAAGACCTGAAGGAAGAGTAAGAGAATGAATGGGGAGTAGGGAGAGACAGTGAGGACACGGAGCTTGGTGCAGCTGGAAAACCAAAGTGTAGATTGGTGAGGATGGGCAGGTGTGATGGGGCTGAGGCTGGGGCAGTGCCCAGGGACATCAGGCTGGACCTCGAAGATGAAATAAATGTCTGGATCTTTATGAGCAGCCACTGGGGACCTTTAGGCTCTTTCAGAAAGGGAAAGATTCGAGGATTATGTAGAAGGTGAAACTGACAACCTGCTATGCATCCGTTCTGCACACTTGCTGAGGCAGGAGACTGGACAAACACACTAAAGAGAGAAAAAGAAAGGTCAACAGCAAGGGCTGAAATAAAAAGGACTTGCTGGCCCATCTTAAGGTAAACAGAAAAACACTGAGGGCACACATCTCCAGAGTGGTACAGTCAGGCCAAGTTTTGCTACTCTCAGCTAACTGCAAATGTACACTTCTGCAAATGGCCCAGAAACGAATCTCAGAGCTTGATAACAATGAGTCAACCCATCTTCAACCATGGAGATGGGTTCTATTTTGCACTGCTCTCACTAAAACAAAACAAAAATCTAGGCGGGACGTGGTAGCTCACATCTGTAATCCCAGCACTTTGGGAGGCCAAGGCGGGCAGATCACCTGAGGTTAGGAGTTCGAGGCCAGCCTGGCAAACATGGTGAAACCCTGTCTCTACTAAAAATACAAAAAAAAAAAAAAATAGCCAGGCATGGTGGCACGTGCCCGTAATCCAAGATACTCAGGAGGCTGAGGCAGGAGAATTGATTGAAGCCGGGAGGCGGAGGTTGCAGTTAGCCAAGATCGGGCCACTGCTCTCCAGCCTGGGTGACATAGTGAGACTTGATCTCAAAAAAACAAAACAAAACAAAAAATCCAAAAATCTATAACATAGCTATTATTCTTGCGATGACACCAACATTATTATGCATCCGTAGAGCAGGATACTTGTTTTAATCTGCACAAAAATCACAGCATGTTCATGCTGGGAGGAAACTTAAACATTATCTGAATATTTGTGTACTTTTCCAGTATTCTCACAGATGTTTTCATATATAGTTTATTTTCTGTTAACATGTATGTTTGGTGTCCCCTAATTAAACTACGCGTGTTTTTCATGTGGGCTATACCATGTGTACTGCCTTTCAAGTTACCCTCATTCCCATCTAAGCACCAGTGGAACACACACACACACACACACACACACACACACACACCCTTCCCCACCCACACACACACGACTGTACTCAGAGGAGCTTAATCAACACTGTTAGTTGACTGACTTACTGACAACAGACCAAAGGCTGCCTCTGAGACTGATGGTCAAAGCCATGAAGGCAAGAGATGTATTTAGTCTCCATTTAAAAGAATCTGATTCGGCTGAGCTCAGTGGCTCATGCCTGTAATCCCAACAATTTGAGAGGCCAAGGAGGGCAGATCACCTGAGGTTAGGAGTTCAAGACTGGCCAACATTGTAAAAGCCTGTCTCCACTAATATAAAAATCAGCCGGGCATGGTGACAGGCCCTGTTATTCCCAGCTACTTAGGAGGCTGAAGCAGAAGAATCACTTGAACCCAGGAGGCAAAGGTTGCAGTGAGCTGAGATCATGCCACTGCACTCCAGCCTGGGCAACGGAGCAAGATTCTGTCTCAAAAAAAATAAAAATGAAATGAAAGAATCTGATAAAAATATAAGGGAGCCAGGCATGGTGGCTCATACCTGTAATCCCAGCACTTTGGGAGACCGAGTCAGAAGGAGTGCTTGAAATCAGGAGTTTGAGACCAGGGTGGGCAACATAGCAAGACCCCCATCTCTACCAAAAAAAAAAAAAATTAATTAGCCAGGTGCAGTAGCATGCACCTGTAGTCCTGGCTACTCTGGAGGCTGAGGTGGGAGGGTCACTTGAGTCCAGGAGTTGGAGGCTCAGCTAGGAGTCAGTAGGTAGGATCAGGCCATTGCATTCCAGCCTGGGCCACAGAGAGAGACCCTGTGTCAAAAAAACAAAACAAAACAAACAACCATAGGGGAGAGATGAAATGAACCGCCAAAGACTTGCTCCACCGGCTCTTCAAAGGATGGGAAAAACCAAAAGCGGCTAGAACCTGAGGCCCCAGCCCCTCTCCGTGCAGGAAAGTTGGTTCTGTCACTCATGGGAAGAGTGGACCTGGATTAAACAGGAAAGCTGAGAAGGATGCCACATCCCTGGTTAAAAGGTCAGGGGGAAAATGAGTATATCAAGCAAACTGAGAGGTGTTGCAATTTCAGAAGCAAAGTAATTTTCTTAGATGACAGCATAAGCCACTTTCAGCTTTTTCTTTTCTTTGATCCATCAGCGTTGCCCTGGCCACCAACCAAGTTCACACAGTCCAAGCAGACATTCTGGATTGCATCAACATGTTAGCACTCTTCGTTTTCAAAATGTAGACCATATATAGCTAAGATTAAACCTGTAGCAACCAGCCCCTAGATGTCATTGTTGCTGCTGAAATATCAACTCTTGAGTCTTGGAATTTTTACATCTGAAGAGATAGCAGTGTTCATCTGAATAAGCCCCTTAAATAATGCAAATTCAATTCACTTTCGGTTTTTCAAAGCCAAGTCCAAAGTCTTCTGGACTTCTTAACCAAAATGCAACTAAATCTTAGGGTGTTAGCACACATTCAGTTGCCAACAAAATCCGCATTCAGGAAAAATAGGCTGAAAAACCCACGTAGTCGTATGTGACATTCCTAACGTGCTCACATCAAATTCCACGACATAAGCTGATTATGGAGTCGCTGGGCGATTCTGCCCTTCTTCTTTTCGTGTGTTGTCTGACTTCTGTGCCTGCCTCTGTCATCGGTGTCTGGAGCTCAGAGCCGTCTGTGCCTTGCGAACAGCAGCTTCCAATCAAGGGCGCGTGGAAGAGCAGAAGCGCCCACCCTGTTTCCAACAAGCCATTGAATGCGACATATTCTTTGTTCACAGTGTCCTTCAACTCCATCTCTTCCTTCCATTTCATATCATTCCAGTCCCAGTCTTTGCAAGAACAATACTTTATTGTTTACTGATTGCTTTCTATGAGTCAGACACACATTCGGTTCTTTAAACTTTTCAATGGCCCTGTAAGGTAGGTATGAAGTAACTGAGGCACAGAGAGGTACAGTAACTTGCCCAGGACACACAGCTAGTGAGTGCTAACAGGTTTTGAAGCACAGGGTCAATGAAAACCGGTCCACAGACTAGATTCTTAGGGCCTCTCTGTGGCCAACTCCCTTGTCTCTAACTGGATGCCACGTTTATTCTCTTTCCAAGCCTCCGGCCCTCAATCTCACACCCTATCTTCCCAAAAGATGCTTTTGAGTAGCTCCTCCAATAAACTTTATGCTTGGGAGCATGTCTGCTAAATGAAATCACTTTTTTCTTCGATCATTCAGTGTTTACTGAATGTAGCTACATTTTAGGCCCTGTTCTAGGCCGGAAGGGCAGGAGAGATATTGATGAACAAAACTGACAAGCTCCCCTGGGCTCTTGAAGCTCATTTCCCACCAGGGTAGACACGTGTTGAGGCAGTGATTACACATGGAATTAATGACAAGAGAGTGAAGTCCACAAAGACGCAGGAAATCACACAAGCAGAGCGCCCGACATGGGCCCTCCAACAGAAGGCCCTCAACAGAGGCCTGCTGCCTGTCTCTGCCTGGCCCAGTCCCAGCCCCAATCTGCCTTTCTGGCCAGAGCTCTTCCTGCTCCCCATACTGAGTCCTCCAACCCCAGCAGAGGGGTCTCCACGATCCAGATAGATGCCCTGTGTCCGTGTGCACCTCCCTGCTCCATTCAGGTTGGTCCATTTTCTTCCACGTGCCAAGGTGACCCATTCTTGAACTTAGGTAGCTCAGATTCTGCTTTCCCATTACCTGGTCCTAGGGATGTCCCTGCAGGTGGCCTAGAGATATGAGTGGAAGGAGGAGGCCTGATGCAAGAGGGATGGACATGGCAGCCTGACCACCTAATCATGAAGCTTCATGCACCCCACAGCTCCACTCATGCCTAATTCTGGATGCACCACTTATATCTGGCGACAGATTTCTACTGGGCCTTCCTGCCTTCTGGCCTTGTGGAGCTGAAGATGAGGCCAGAAGGGGCATGCAATTTGCTATTTGCAGTGTGGATGATACGGTTTGGCTCTGTGTCCCCACCCAAATCTCATCTCAAATTGTAATCCCCATATGTCGGGAGGGTCCTGGTGGGGGTGATTAAATCATGTGGGCGGACGTCTCCCTTGCTGTTCTCATGATAGTGAGTGAGTTCTCATGAGATCTGGTTGTTTGAAGTTTGTGGTACTTCCCCCCTTACTCTGTCTCTCTCCTGCTCCAACCATGGTAAGATATGCTTGTTTCCTCTTGCCTGATGCCATGATTGTAAGTCTCCGGAGGCCTTTCAGTCACGCTTCCTCTTAAGCCTGCAGAACTGTGAGTCAATTAAACCTCTTTTCTTCATAAATTACCCAGTCTCAGGTAGCTCTTTAGAGCAGTGTGAGAACGGACTAATATAGTGAACTTTCTCTGGGTACGATATGCATTTTTTCCTTTCCTTTATCACTCATGTCTCTTTCTCAGTGAAAGAAACATCCCAGGCTGGGCATGGTGGCTCACGCCTGTAATCCCAGCACTTTGGGAGGCCAAGATGGGTGGATCACTTGAGGTCAGGAGTTCAAGACCAGCCTGGGCAACATGGTAAAACCCCATCTCTACTAAAAATACAAAAATTAGCCAGGCATGGTGACATATGCCTATATTCCCAGCTACTCGGGAGGCTGAGGCAGGAGAATCGTTGGAACCCAGGAGGCAGAGGTTGCAGTGAGCTGAGATTGCACCACTGCACTCCAGCCTGGGTGACAGAGCGAGAGTGTCAGTGTCAAAAAATAAAAATTAATTAATTAATTAATTAATTAAATAAACATCCCAGAAGGTCAAATACTATACCATGTTCCCTCTGCTTGGTCTTCCCCAGTATACGAAGAGCTCAAGCTGGGAATCTTAGAAGATAGACTCCTTGCAATCTGCAGTTATCCATTTACTGATGTCTTAAGCAAGAAGTAGAACTCCCAGCCAGTCGGTGATGATGCCAGCAGCTCCTCCTAGTCTATCACCTCAAAAGGAGCTGTCAAAATAACAAATGACATATTTTTAAGTTGCAGGATTACCCCTTAGCTGGGCTTTCTTGGTTTGATTAGCAGTTACTTTTCCTTTTAGTGTCTTTCTTCATCTTCTCCTCCTTCTTCTTTTCATTTTCTTCCTCTGCTCCACTCATCAATAAAGGCCACTGTTTTCAGGAAACTGCTTCCCTAGGAAGAATTGAACAGTATACTATTACAATCATATTGTCTTGTTCAGAAGCAGGTGGTATTACCTGTCAACAGGGGTTTGGGGCAGAGCAAATAGCTCCCACCCAGCTCGGTGAAGCCACTCCCTGGCTCCTGGGTAGAGAAAAATGGCCAAAGAAGAGAGCTCTTTGGAGGCCTCAAAATCTCATTTTCATTCCCTTTGCAGAGAAGAGACTGACTTTATTGACAAAGACGACTGAAAATTGCTTGAGCGTTCCAATAACCAGTCTGCGTTGAGGCAGAAAGACAGTCTGGCGGAGGCAAGCTCCCTGCTCCACCGCTAGCTCCGCCGAGCCACGCTTTCCTGCAGCACCAGTCTGTGGCATATGCAGACTAGACTGAAAGGAGCCTCCTGTCGGCCTCAAAAGCAGCCCCCCTCCACCTCCACTCCCAGCCTGCTGGTGCGTTTCCTGGATCCCAATCACAAATCAACACGAATGCAGGGAATCTCTGCCAGACACCAAACTCTTAGGCTGATTCAGGAGCTTGGGGTCAGGCCTAAGTTGGCTTGGACCAGGCACAGGTCCCATTTTCCACTGGAGTGCCCTGTGGCTTGGCTGCACATTGCGCGTGGGCCACTAGATGTCACCATTATTGATTCTTGTCCTTATACCCAGGTCCTGAGTCTAAGACAGGGTCTCAGGGCTAGGAGAACTCTGGAGAGAATTCCATCGCAGCGTTGACTGCAGGGCTGCTATATTTGCTATGTCTGAGTTCCTCGGTGGGCCTTTTCTAAATAAGTTAGCATCTCAGCCCCAAAACAGCTGAGCTGCAAATTAAGCAAAGACCAGTATTAGCCAGAGCCAACCCTGATTTTCACAATCACGTCCCCTGCCCTTTCTCCTCCTCTTCATCGTCAGGGTTGGTCATTATGCATCCTTCTGGTTTACTTGGGCCCTCAATAAGAAATAAATTAATATGTATGCCTCATAGCACCAAGGATTTTAGATGTTGATGTGCTGTTGAAGAAACATAGGTCTGTGGCTTTTAGCAGAGAATGAATGACAGAGGGATAATTTATGATGGTCCTTGAGACCTGAACTACAATTATGAAGTATTTCTAGGTGTATATTCAGGATGCAAAGTGCAAGGAACCCAGAGCTAATGTTAATTTATTACTGACAGCTGTATATATAATAATATATCACGTCTTTTCATCTTACATTCCTTCTGACTTACATCAAGCAATCTTTTCATTCATTAATAAAATCAAGTCTTGCCATTATTCTTAATGATGAAGTCCCATCTTGAACCCAGAGGACTCCTATCATTAAACTCCGTGCTTCTATATACCAGTCATCTGAAGCTCAAAAAAAAGGATAAATTGAACTTCTTGTTTTACAAGCAAGGTGAAAACATCGGAAAGATAGAGCCCACTTGCTCACAGTCCCACAAGGGCTAAGTAGCAAAGTCAGGGACAATTTCGGGGTTTATTTTTCTCAGCTCGCACTACCACATCCTTTTTTGCCTTTTAGCTCTCTTGCCTCCTCTCACCTTTCTACAATCTCTCCTTTTTTGAGGCAGTATTTTTTTTTTTTTTTTTTTTTTTTTTTGAGACGGAGTCTCGCTCTGTCGCCCAGGCTGGAGTGCAGTGGCGGGATCTCGGCTCACTGCAAGCTCCGCCTCCTGGGTTCACGCCATGCCTCAGCCTCCCAAGTAGCTGGGACTACAGGCGCCCGCCACTACGCCCGGCTAATTTTTTTGTATTTTTAGTAGAGACGGGGTTTCACCGTTTTAGCCGGGATGGTCTCGATCTCCTGACCTCGTGATCCGCCCGCCTCGGCCTCCCAAAGTGCTGGGATTACAGGCGTGAGCCACCGCGCCCGGCCGAGGCAGTATATTTTTTAAAGGTCATGATAAAAATTACACCTTAAAGAAATACGGGCCACACGTCTCGTCCAATTTTCGGTTCTGTGCCAAAGACTTACATGATTAATCCCTTCAAAACAAATCTAATCTAATCTTATCACACCAAAGACAAGGTGTCCTTCATAAGTATTGTGGCTGGAAACAAGTAGGTCTTCCTCCAGTTTCAACTCGTTCAATGTCTCATTCAGTTTACAACCAGTCATCACCTTGGCAACTTACTCGAGGCACTGTCTTCAGCGTTCCCAAAACGTAAGTAGTGCTCCAGTTCAGCTTGTAAAATCATCAAACTCCGTGGTCACTTTAGGAGATACAGAGACCCATGATACTTGTAGATAAAGCGAAACCTTTAGCCTCATCGACTAATTAATGGCCTCAAAGTAAAATAATGAGGTGTGTGGAGATAGGGATTCAGTTACTGGGTCATCTCTCATCTGGAGACACAATCAGATTCCACTGAATAGGCGCTAGATAACTGAATAAGCGAGTTTCCTATCTATAATACTAAATCTTACTAGGATTGTTTAATTAAATCATGATAAATAACACTCTGTGGCAGGTGAGAGGTGCTGAGAAGAGCTTAGGTGAGATGTCCACAAGTTCAATGGAACTACATCTGAATGCCTTTGCATTCTTCTGACTTAAAAATGTTGACTGTAACTTTCCAGAGAGTTCTTTTCTAGGAAAGAGAAATACTGAGGTGCTGTGTCCCAGGCTTTTTGAAGTTGTCTTGGTTTTCCTATCAGATTCTGCATTGTATACTTTCTCAGTCTTCAGGAATGAAGGTCCTAATTCCTTCATTATCATTCCTTTCTGCCTATAATGATTTCTTCCTAATGGCTCTGGCTGTTCCAGGTACATCAGAGTAGGGAGTGGGTATCAGTGGCTGTGTCATGCTACAGTAACAAGCAGATTTCTCAAAGAACTAACATTAGAACTACCATTCCACCCAACAATCCCACTACTGGGTGTATACCCAAAGGAAGATAAATCATTTTACCGAAAAGACACCTGCACTCATATATTTACTGAAGCACTATTCACAATTGCAAAGACATGGAATCAACTGAAGTGCCATCAATGGTAGACTGCATAAAGAAAATGCGGTACATATACAGCAAGGAATACTATGCAGCCATAAAAAAGAACAAAATCATGTCCCTTGCAGCAACATGGATGCAGCTAGAGGTCATTATCCTAAGCAAATTAACACAGAAACAGAAAGCCCAATACTGCATGTTCTCACTTATAAGTGAGAGCTAAACATGGGGTATACATGGACATAAAGAAGGGAACAATGAACACTGCAGATCCCAAAAAGGGAGAGGCAGGGAGGGGGGCAAGGTTTGAAAAACTACCTATAGGGTACAATGTTCACTATTTGGGTGAGGGAATCAATGGAAGCCCATACCTCAGCATCATCTAATATACCATGTAACAAATCTGCACATGGACCTCCCTAATCTAAAATTGAAGGAAAAAAAAGGCCAGGTGCGGTGGTTCATGCCCGTAATCCCAGCAATTTGGGAGGCCAAGGTGGGTGGATCATCTGAGGTCGGGAGTTCGAGATCAGCCTGGCTGACATGGTGAAACCCCATCTACTAAAAATACAAAAACAAGCCGGGCGTGGTGATATGTGCCTGTAATCCCAGCTACTCTGGAGGCTGAGGCAGGAGAATGGCTTGAACCCAGCAGGTGGAGGTTGCAGTGTGCCGGAATCGCACCATTGTACTCCACCCGTGGCGACAGGGTGAGACTCTGTCTCAAAAAAACAACAACAAAAAATCAGCTCCAAAATCATCAGAGACTTGCTCACCCTACATATCCACCACCATGGGTCAGCTGGGGACTCAGCTCATCATTGTCCCTCTAAGATGCTGGCTGACGGGATGGCCGCCACCTGAAACACTGCCAGTCATCAAGCCAAAGGGAAACATACTCTGGAGGGAACTGCACTGGCAATTAAATGCTCCAGTATGAAGGGAATGCCCTCACTCCCACACACGATCCATTAGCCAACACCAGTACTGGCCACACCCCCGAGCCACAGGGTCAATGGAAACTAACCTTATGCCAGAAGAGGGACAATGGGAACTAGCTGGTGAATACCAGTAATGACCACCACAGGAACTTCAAACGAAGATACACTTTCGTTCGCTTGTTTTAAAAGTTCTTTATTATCCCTAGATTATATTTTCTCTATTGTGTTTCTGCACTCTCCCTTGATCAAATAATTCTGTCATTTCGTCTGTCTACTTTCAGATTCATGGACATTACACTTAAGACATGACTAACGAAAAGCCTCTCTTCAGATAATGATAAGTTAGGATTGTTTGTGCCAATAGCCCAAGGCAAGGAATTTCTCATATTACTTGTTTGTTCTCCCTTTCAACACTTCGTATTTCTGGGTTTTCTTCACTGTTTTTTCTTTCCACCCTTCCATGCTAGTCTCCTGCTCAATCTCTTACCTTTTATCGAAAAAAAAATTACTCAACATTTTATTTTTTCACAGCTATTTGGTCTAATTGGCAAAGGATTCTGTGGAATAGCAGAATTCTAACTTTGCAGCCGGGCGCGGTGGCTCACGCCGGTAACCCCAGCACTTTGGGAGGCTGAGGCGGGCGGATCATGATGTCAAGAGATCGAGACCATCCTGGCCAACATGGTGAAACCCCGTCTCTACTAAAAATACAAAAAAATTAGCTGGGCATGGTGGCACGCCCTGTAGTGCCAGCTACTCGGGAGGCTGAGGCAGGAGAATCACTTGAACCTGGGAGGTGGAGGTTGCAGTGAGCCGAGATTGCGCCCCTGCACTCCAGCCTGGGGAGAGAGTGAGACTCTGACTCAAAAAAATAAAATAAAAATAAAAATAAAAATTCTAACTTTGCTGGTTTCCTAACCCCCAAATTCAGATGAATTTGAATTCTGAAATACAGTAACAGGAATTATCAGCCTGTCTGATTCTAAATTTTGTTGGATCTTCCTCCCAGGACCGTGGACAGCCCAGCCAGCTGTAAAGGCCTCTAAAAAGATCTGGAACAGATCCCCAAGAGGTATCTCACCAAATGAGTCCATTCCACTACAATGGCCAGAATCTTCAGTTTTACACCCTTGCTCATGCCCACCGCTCACCCGGAGTCCAGACCCAAGCACCATGCTGCGTAGTTCCTAATACGGCAAAACTATCCAGCATTTTTGGTGAAATTGGCTGGAATGCTTCACTTAGTCCGTTTTTCACTGTTAGCAGGAGAACCACCCTAGTATCTTTCATAGAACAGATCCGAATGACAAACACCATCGTGCCCTCGGAGGGCTGAGCTTGTGTTACTGGGTCTGGTCCTACAAACCCTGAAAATCCTGAATCTCTCAAGCAAAGAGATTCCCCAGGGCCAGCTCTGGCCCTTAACAGGCACCCCTTAACGCCAAGCTGCGAATCTGGCTAGGACCTCTATATTTTAGCCAAGAACACCTTGAAATGTACAGTCCTACCAAAGGAACTAATACAAATCCAGAAGCACAAGGCTAAAGAAAAAAAAAAAAAAAACCCCAATGCCCATTGTTGAAAGCCAATTGCGGGGTGAGTGGGGTGATAAGGCTAGCCCACAGCGGATTTAGGCGACGTGGGGAGATGCCAAAGTGAATACACGGTGACTTCTAAATCTAGACGTCTGGAAGGGGCCATGAGAGCCAGACAACTGGGCCCGAACCCCGCCCGGGAGCCAGGGTTTGCAAGGGGCTAAACCGGCTGGGGAGCCTCCCTCTCGCGGGTCCAGCCTCGGCGGCCCGGGACGCCGGTAGGCGGGGCCTGAGCCTCGCCCCGCCCCCGCTGCCCGCCATTCGGGTCACCTGACCCACCCGCGGCTCACGTGATCCGTCCCCAGCGCCGCCATTTTGGAGCTCCGGATGAGGAGGGGGAAACCGGGGGAAAAGAGGGAAAAGAGCCGGGAGAGAGGTGGGCAAGGACGAGGGCGAGGGCACGGCCGGGTCCTGGCTGGCCAAACGAGGCTCGCGGAAGCAGCAGCCGCCGCCTGACCGCAGGTACCGCGCCCCGGGGCCGCCCCTCCGCCCGCTGTTAGCGCCGCCGCCGGCCATGTGCATCCTCCCCTCAGGCCTCTGCCGGCGCTCGCTTCCTCCTCAGCCGGCCGACCCCCGCCCGGTGCTAGCCACAAGCCCCAAGTTCCGTGTCCCGGTTCTGTCTTCTGTGCAGCAAGGCCTGCGGAGACTCTGGGCTTGCCCTGCAGCTGGGGGTGGGGGGAACTTGCTGCTCCCTGCATACTGTCACCAGCCCGGCCCGCCCGCAGGCGTTGCTTCCTTCTCCAGGCGTTGCTTCTTTCTGCAAATGTGAGATCGCTTAGGCCAGCCGGGATGGACCCAGCCACGATGTTCTCACAGCATCTTTTGATTAATTTTCTAAGCTCCCTCATTCCCGACCCATCACCTCAGTCCTTTAGCCAGTGCGTGGTGTAGAAAAAGCTACTACAGAAACGCAGCCCTGGTCTTCTGCATTTATTACCATCCTCTGGAGATAGAATGATGTCTCCAGAGATCACGGAGACCATCAGGGAAAGTTCCCACCTCTTAAGACCTGGGGGCATCGGAATGAATGGTTTGTGTAGAAGGCCGGGATGATTAATAAGGTGGCGGCCACTTTCCCAACCCCAAGGCGGTATTTTTAAGTTTCTGCAGTGGGCTGTAATTTGCTATCAGTCTGCATCGCTCTTCTCAGGCAATTACTGGATTTATCACCTCTTTGAGTTTGCACTTTCTCCAGTACTCCCCTCTCACTCAGAGTATGGGTTGCATTATTGATTAAAAGAAAGCCTGGCCCTTCATTCCTTTACCTCACTAACTCGTTGAAAATTAACTTCAGGGGAGCCCTAAAGATGTTTTTTCTGCCCTGGCAGTGAGCTATTTTACTTAACCGTAATCGATAAGGTAGTTGCATTCTAGGTGAAACGAATAAGCATTTTTTTATCTTTTAGATTTATTCCAGCCAGTATAAGAAACAGTGGCAAAGAAATGTAGGACCAGAGTAGGAAACTGCGTTAGAAGATATATAGGTCACACCACTGTGTCATATCTTTTTATGCTGTTTTTCTGCCTATTGTGCTTGGTTGCAGAATCACTCGTTAGATTGTATTTTTAGTTTAGATTAAAATAGCAATGTGCAATTTATTGTTCCATTCTCATTAGAAAATGTTGTCAGTAAAACCAATAGTGTTGAGTCCAGTACCTAAATTCTGAGGTAAAACAAAATACACAATTATTGGGAGAAGTTTCCAGAGCTATTTTTTCCTAACTTCTGCAAAATCCTCAAGTCGGCTTGTTAGATAAATTATTTAAATTTGCATTACGTAATAGGGTTGCATGAACATTCCTCTGAATTTCTTTTTACATGGAATATTGAGAAATTTTTCACTGCCAAAAAAAAAATCATTACTTTGTTTCACCAAGAAAGAGAAATGTTTTGATACTATATACTTTCGTTCTTGGCCACAGCTGGATTTTGAAGATTGATCCAAGGGACTGTATTAATTTCAGGAATTGATTTGAAAGACACTGGCTCTGCCACTTAACAGCCATGTAACCTTGGGTAAGTCACTTAAACCACACTGAGTGTTTCCTTATTTATAAGACTGTATAACACCCACCTAGCCTGTCCTAAAGAGTTATGAGGATCAGATACCACTAACATGTTTGATAGAGCCTAGCTGTAAGGAGCTGTTACTCTTTTCAGTATTGATATTTTGTACATTTTTATTCTCATTGAGAATTAAGATGAAAATTGGTGTATTAGAGAAAGCATGGTTTTAGAGTGAGATTGGCCTGGATTCCTGTTCTTAAACCAGTTACCACTTTGTGTCTGTGAGTCTCAGGTTTCTCATCTGCAAAAAAAAAAAAAATACACAAAATTTGAATATTACACAAAATCTACAGAGGCATTACTCCCTAGACTTGCACCTCATGGGCAAGGATTTCCTCAGTCATTTTTGTAGTCCCCAGCATTCTGGTTGGCACATTATAGGTGCTCAATAAATGACAGTAAATCTGAATATTGGTTAATGTTAGTTAGACCTTATGTCTTCATTGCAGCTGCCAAATTAGAATATTCTCTCAGGCTATGTGCCAACTAAGAAACTCTAGACTATGAAACTCCATATACTTGTGATATTTATACTCATTTTTTTCTTAGTGGTAATTAATAATTACCTTGGGCTCAGAAGATTTTAAATCAAATAAATTGTAGCCAATATAGTGAGGTAAATCTATAAATAATGTGTAAGCAGTTTCCAGGTAACTTTATAGACAGTTTATAATTCAGGGACCTGAAAGTTCATCTAGCTTCACCCTCTTGTTTTACATCTGAGCAATCTAAAACTCACAGAGACAGTGACTTGCCTAAGGTCACACAGCTAATTGAGGGCACTTTAGGGGAGGGACCCTTGAGCTTATGTCCCCTGCCTTCTTTTGGCTGGAGCAAAATAAATTTGTCATATTTTAGAATTACAATAATCTGGAAGAATGGGGAATTTATTGGCCATTACTTTTATAGCACAATTTTTTTTTTTTTCCCATTTTGGAAAAAACAAATTCTTGTTCTGAAAGAGAAGGTTCTTTTGTATCATATTGTACTTTTCTTCATATAAACACAGAAAATTACAGCCTTTTCTCCAGGCCCACATGAATTGTTCAACTTGATTTTACTCATGATGACCATACTACTGTAATTATAAAGAACTAATTAGATACCCAAATAACCAAATAGCAAATTATAAGGAAATAAAGACAACTGAAATAATTTGGCTCCTAACTTTTTGTGAGAAAGATATTAATTAGAAGCATTTGCCTGTGGAATACTGTTGTCAAGGAAAGATTTGAGAGAGTTGGTGGAAAGGGTTATAGAACTTTTCTGGTTTGGGATACAACTTTTGTTTATTACTTATTTATTGGTAACAATTTAATATATTTAATGTTGTTATGTCTAAACATTACAAACAAGAAATCTCCTGTTTTGCTAATGCCTGTCGTCTTCTTTCCTCCTGGTGAACTTTCCTATTCAGCCATATCGATCTTTTCACTCACCCCCAGATAGCATGCTTATTCTTACTTCTAAAAATATAGTCATGTCATGGCTGCTTTTCTGGTCACTGCTACCCTTGTGTCAACTTGTATCAGCAGTATTCCAAGGAAGCAAATGGCACGTTGAAATGAGGATAATTCAAGGAAGGTATATTTACAAAGATATTAGTAATAAAGGTGTTGGACTTCAATAAGCAAACCACAGCATAATGCAGTTATCTGGAGCTAGCAGCATTAGGAGAGGGAGAGGCATCAGAATCAGAAGAAGGGTCTTGGAGAGCAGCCTACCTGGAAAGAAATAGCCTTCTATTGAGGAACACAGCCAATCCAAGGTGACCTAGAGGTAGAGAACCAGGACGATGAATATTCTGATCTCACTCTGCTACCTCCCTCTGATCTGTCATGGTTCTTCATTGGCTGACCTCAACCAGAAGGCAGAGGACAGGGGAGCCTAGTGATGTAATCCCTCTGACAGAGAGCAGAATGGAAAGGAGGATACAGTGAGCCTAGAGGGCAAATGGATGATGTCTGGCATGCTGCCCATCCTTTGGGAACCAGTGGACATCTTACCTCTCCATGAAGCTTTTGCTTACCTTGCTAGCCCAAAAGAGCTCTTCAGTATCTTTCAGGATTTAGTCATTGACTGTTGCCTTTTATTTTACCTTGTGTACCATTGCGTTGTTTAAATGCTGTTACTTTTTAACTTCCAAATGTTTGCCTTATCCACTCAACTCAGTTTTAAACTGCAAGTATTAAGAATTTAAAATTTTTCCTGATACTTTGCCTTGCGCCTTGCACATAACAATTTGTTTGTTACACACACACACATATTTGTATTTCTGCATTAGTGGTCTAAATAAAATTTCTGTGATTTTAAGGAATCAAGAAAGTTGAAGGATTGGCCTTAAGGTAACTTCCCCTCTGTGTATACTTTATTATGATCTGTTTAGCCTTTTTATTATGAAAAATGTTAAACATTTACATAAGTAGAAAGAACAGTGAATTCCTAGGTACTCATCATGCAACTTCAATTACAGAATTAGTCATTCTTTCTTTATTCTCATCCTATCCACCCCACCACTGCAGTATCACCAAGGTAATTGTTTTAAAGCTGTGCTTACACTGATCTCTTGGAGGCCAAGGAGAGTATGCAGATTGTCATAGTTTATGTTGTCATCACTATTGAGCCACTGACATTGTATGTATACTCCTTATTTCATCTCTTTTGTTCAGATTTGCTTCACTTGACACACAATCTCATATATATGTATTTCTGCATTAGTGGTCTAAGTAACATTTTTGTGAAAATTGAAAGAGTTGGCCTTACAGTAACTTCCCCTCTGTGTATACTTTATTATCAGCTGTTTATCTAACCTTTTTTTTTTTTTTTTAACAGAGACTTGTTTTTATGAGATTAACCTGTGCATTGATTTTGCATGGGGACCCAAACTGGTTTTTCAGGTGTTTCCTGACGTATTTCATGTTGTCATATCTGTTTTATAGCTGCCATTACTGTACTTATCCCCAAATGTATGCAGCCTTTAAAATGAGATACTTACATAAATGTTCAGGGAAAATTGGAGCA
This sequence comes from Homo sapiens, assembly GCF_000001405.40. Taxonomy (NCBI): domain Eukaryota; kingdom Metazoa; phylum Chordata; class Mammalia; order Primates; family Hominidae; genus Homo; species Homo sapiens. The sequence goes on from NC_000019.10 coordinate 32,350,411, forward strand.
TCTGCTGCAAATTTCCATTAGCTCTTAATGCCTGAGCCGACACAGCTTTAAAAATCTGAATGTTTTGTCAGATTCTTTTGTATTAGTCTTTTTCTTGAGTTAAGATGAACTCCTCCTTCTCTTCATTTCACTTTCTTTTTAAGGTACACACTGAAATATCCACAGGGAGCAATTTGCACTGGTCTGTGTCACTTCTCTTATTAAGTAGAAGAAAGATAACATGAGTCACCTTTGTAACCCTACGGGTGTGCAAAGTCTCTTGAGCAAACATTCACTTGTTAACCTCCAGATGATCAGTCAGCCTACATGGGTGTTACATTTCATGGGGAAGGAGACCTTAGATCTACAGCAGAGAGCCGTATCGTGTTCAGGAGGATTCCTATTATTAAACTTATTATTTAATCAATTTGCATTTAACCATTGAACTGACAGACATAAGGCCTTAAGTTAATCACCTTAAAGGGAAATCAGTAGTCACATGAAGAGCCACAGCTCCTCTTGGCCTAAAAATGTGGAATTCTAAGACAATAAAGTGACTTAGGAAGTCACAAAAGGGTTTTTCTAAGGAAACAAATTGTTCCCCCATTGGTCTCCTCTTTAATGACTTACAGCTGAGCGTAGAGATCTAAAAAGACTTTTGTTCCTTCTACCTGAGAAAGATGAAACAGAACTAGTCTTTTGAGAGATTGTTTAAGGGAGAGTGGCTGAAGGACCACGGGCCTTTGGGAGCCAGGGTAGCTGTCATTGTTGGAATGGCCATGGAATGCATGTGAGGGCAGTTAGAGACAGCTAGTAGCCAAGAGAAAAAAAGCTGATGCCATAGGGCAGAGTATTATTAGGAAGAAGGGAAGAAATAGTACTGAAGAAGCCAAGAGTAAAGTGTTTGCATTTTTGCCTGATGTGGACCTAGATCTAGAAAGCTGGCTTGCCAGAAGGAGTAGAAAATCAGGAAGAAAAGCCATAGCTGCTGCCCAGAGTTGTGGGCGACCTGGCACTGAAGCTGGTCAGCTGTGTGTGTGTGTGTGTGTGTGTGTGTGTGTGTGTGTGTGTGTGTGTGTGTGGCGTGGGGGGGCGGGGCCTGTTTTTGTGTTTGTGTATATGTGTGTGTGTGTGGCGTGGGGGCGGGCGGGGCCTGGCAGGACATTAGGTATCATCTTGGCAGGGGCTGAAGGGCCCTTATATGTTGATTCAACCATGCGGGGAAGAACAGCCATGATTCACCACCTAAAATAAGAATTCAGAGCCTGGGACTGAAGTTTAAGAATAGTGTGGTCTTTGGTCTATAGCTAGTGCCACTAAAAATTTTGTTGGCATTTATTGAATGTTGTGAGTAAGATTCCAGAATGCACCTAAAATGTGGAAAAACAAAACTTGTTGCTGGAAAAAAGCCTAAACTTAAAAATGTGATCCAAGTCAACAAATTAATCTCACTTTAAGCCAAAGGAAATGTTTGAAATGAAAGTACTGCCAGGAAATAGAAAGAGTATTCTAGACTTAGGCAGAAAGATTTATGGGTATTTTATGTTTAGTGACTTCCTCAGCCATAATGCATTATTAGAACGAACAAATAACCTCTTCTAAGGACTCTGTTCATATCTGGAACTGAAACACAACTGGGATATCAATTTTTTCCTTCTCTGATGTCCCTTACCCTTTCAGGGAAAAAAAAAAAAACCATATATGTGGATATGAGTAATAGTTGACCACTAATATGACCTCTAAAAAAAAACCACAGCATAGTTTGTGGTTTATCTTCAGGAAGATAAAGGAAGTAAAAGTAGGAACTAGATTATTGCTTTTATTTAATTTCATTTATATAGTACTTTCCCAAATTCAATATGCCCTGTACAAACTACATGACTATAGTTTCACAATTTCAAAGATTTGGGGAGAAAAAAAACAAATTTGTGATTTTAGTAATAAAACTGCAGCTATATTTGGTATAAGAAATACTCTCAAGAATTGTATCAGTCATTGGCTTTACAGAGTGATGTTTCACAGTAACTGGAGGGGTTTCACATGCCTTGAGAATGGCTGTGCTCCTTTAATCAAGGAATAGGAGTCTTTTTTTTTTTTTCTTGGCATTGTGCAAAAGGGAGGGAGTACTTTTGGTCCTGCTGGATGCTGAAGGCAAAGAAAGTGAAGAAAAATGGAGAAAAAGATCATCATTTCCGAAGAAATAAGTGATAGAGGGGAGTATCTTCATCATTAGTCTTGATAGAAGATTGCATTGTAAAGAGAAATTCTAACCAATTTAAATCTATACTGGGGATCGCCGGGTGTGTGGACATGGAGCTTCCAGCTTAGAAAATACTTAGATGAGATTACAGACACTAACATTCTCTTATATTTTCCAAATTACATGCCTGTAATTATCCTGTAACCTGGTATTTTTCTGTTTTACATTATCCTTTTTAGATATGGAAGAAAGTAGCAGTGTTGCCATGTTGGTGCCAGATATTGGGGAACAGGAAGCTATACTGACTGCTGAAAGTATCATCAGTCCTTCATTGGAAATTGATGAACAAAGAAAAACTAAACCAGATCCATTAATCCATGTTATCCAGAAGTTAAGCAAGATAGTGGAAAATGAAAAGTCACAAAAATGTCTTTTAATTGGGAAGAAACGCCCACGTTCAAGTGCTGCAACACACTCTCTTGAAACCCAAGAACTTTGTGAGATTCCGGCTAAAGTAATCCAGTCACCTGCTGCTGATACTAGAAGGGCTGAGATGTCACAAACAAATTTTACCCCTGACACTCTTGCCCAGAATGAAGGGAAGGCTATGTCTTATCAGTGTAGCCTTTGTAAGTTTCTATCATCATCCTTTTCCGTGTTAAAAGATCATATTAAGCAACATGGTCAGCAAAATGAAGTGATACTGATGTGCTCAGAGTGCCATATTACATCTAGAAGCCAGGAGGAACTTGAAGCCCACGTGGTGAATGACCATGACAATGATGCCAATATCCACACCCAATCCAAAGCCCAACAGTGCGTAAGCCCCTCCAGCTCTTTGTGTCGGAAAACCACAGAAAGAAATGAAACCATTCCAGATATCCCAGTAAGTGTGGACAATCTACAGACTCATACTGTCCAAACTGCATCTGTGGCAGAAATGGGTAGGAGGAAATGGTATGCATACGAACAGTACGGCATGTATCGATGCTTGTTTTGTAGTTATACTTGTGGCCAGCAGAGAATGTTGAAAACACACGCTTGGAAACATGCTGGGGAGGTTGATTGCTCCTATCCAATCTTTGAAAATGAAAATGAACCCCTAGGCCTGCTGGATTCTTCAGCAGCTGCTGCGCCTGGTGGGGTCGATGCAGTCGTCATTGCTATTGGAGAGAGTGAACTGAGTATCCACAATGGGCCATCAGTGCAAGTGCAGATTTGCAGCTCAGAACAGTTATCATCTTCATCTCCTTTAGAACAGAGTGCAGAAAGAGGAGTACACCTAAGTCAGTCAGTTACCCTGGACCCCAATGAGGAAGAAATGCTAGAAGTGATTTCTGATGCAGAGGAGAATCTGATTCCTGATAGCCTGCTTACATCAGCACAGAAAATCATCAGCAGCAGCCCCAATAAAAAAGGGCATGTTAACGTGATAGTGGAGCGATTGCCAAGTGCTGAAGAAACCCTTTCACAGAAGCGCTTCCTCATGAACACTGAAATGGAAGAAGGGAAGGACCTGAGCCTGACAGAAGCTCAGATTGGGCGCGAAGGAATGGATGATGTTTATCGTGCTGATAAATGTACTGTTGATATTGGGGGATTGATCATAGGCTGGAGCAGTTCAGAGAAAAAAGACGAGTTAATGAATAAAGGCCTGGCTACTGATGAGAATGCCCCACCAGGCCGGAGAAGGACAAATTCTGAGTCTCTTCGATTACACTCATTAGCTGCAGAAGCCCTTGTCACAATGCCTATAAGAGCTGCAGAGTTGACAAGAGCCAACCTGGGGCACTATGGAGATATAAACCTTTTAGATCCAGATACTAGTCAAAGGCAAGTAGATAGTACATTGGCAGCGTACTCAAAAATGATGTCGCCACTTAAAAACTCTTCAGATGGATTAACTAGTCTTAACCAAAGCAACTCCACCTTGGTAGCACTCCCAGAGGGTAGGCAGGAATTGTCAGATGGGCAGGTTAAGACAGGCATCAGCATGTCCTTACTCACCGTCATTGAAAAATTGAGAGAAAGGACAGACCAAAACGCTTCAGACGATGACATTTTGAAAGAGTTGCAGGACAACGCCCAGTGCCAACCCAACAGCGATACAAGTTTGTCCGGAAACAATGTGGTGGAATACATCCCGAATGCTGAACGACCCTACCGTTGCCGCCTGTGTCACTACACAAGTGGCAACAAGGGCTACATCAAGCAGCACTTACGAGTCCATCGACAGAGACAGCCTTATCAGTGTCCTATCTGCGAGCACATAGCGGACAACAGCAAAGATTTGGAGAGTCACATGATCCACCACTGTAAGACAAGAATATACCAGTGCAAGCAGTGTGAAGAATCCTTCCATTATAAGGTAAGCATTGGTTCAGGAAGTCTTTCAGAGGACCTTCGCATCTTAGAGTGAGAAGGGAACTTTGTAGATCTAATCCAATCACCTCATTTTATAGATAAGGAAACTGGGTCCCAGAAAAGTTTGATAAGTTGCCCAAGGGGATCCCAACTTACCAGTATTAAAGTTGGGACTGTTCAGAATTTCTGCTGTAGAATCCTTTTCCCTGCCTGCTGCCTCCTTGACAGCCTCTGTGTTTTAGTGTGTATAGTTTAAAGTGTTGATTTTCTGTTGCAAGAGAATTGTAGGGAGTGTATAGTGGATTGACATACGTTTGACTTAACGTATTGACATACGTTTGACTTAAACAAATTTAACCGTACATCATCACAACAAAAAAATACATATTTTTCATCTTATATGGCCCCAGAATGCCAGGCATTCAGTTCAGCTTCTACATAACCAACAGTGATGTGTATCATTGCAGAAGGAAAAATGGGCTATGGCGGACCTATTAAAAGGTACTGTCATGGAAATAGAGCCATGTGTGTCATGTTTTATGGGCAGGGTAAAGAACTTTCAAGAGTTATTTTGACTGTCTGATTTTTATCTTAAGTGCTGACCTTATCAAAACCAATATCCTGTATGAAGTGCTATTCTTTTATAAAGGAAACGTTGAATCATTGGTTTAGAACTTTTCTTCAGTGGGCCAGGTGACTCCTTGAAAATGTATTACAAATGTTATCCTAAGGGCTAACTAGGAGGTAGACTTTTTCCCTCAGATTACCGAGAGCTGGGGTCTAGCTGTGGTAAAAAGGTCACAGGAGGGAGGCCGAGGCGGGCAGATCATGAGGTCAGGAGATTGAGACCATCCTGGCTAACACTGTGAAACCCTGTCTGCTAAAAATACAAAAACTTAGCTGGGTATGGTGGTGGGCACCTGTAGTCCCAGCTACTCGGGAGGCTAAGGAAGGAGAATGGCCTGAACCTGGGAGGCGGAGCTTGCAGTGAGCCAAGATCATGCCGCTGCACTCCAGCCTGGGCAACAGAGCGAGACTCCATCTCAAAAAAAAAGGTAACAGGAATAAGAAAGCCCTTGAGTCTGAGGTTCACTGCTTCTCAGATTACACTCATGAAATTCCAAGTAGGATGTCCACATAGGCTGCAAAGACAAGTTCCTGAAGTCTCCAGGAGTTTCTTTTGCTACTGAGCTCTTGATTCATGGGAATGGAAGTAGAGGAGACAGGATGTCCTTGGAGGAGCACTTCCAGTTAGATCTCTTACACATTTAGATATTTCAATGAAAAATTAGGAGTCTGGTGATTACTGATTGGATTTTTTTTTGTGAAGTTGCATTATTCTGAACACTCTGCTCGTTCCTCCTCTGGGCCTACCAGTGTTTCAGTAAATACGGACACGCCCTGTGTAATCACCTAAGAAAATGGTGACTTCCTTTCAGAGAATATGAAGAGGAACTGTCCGTTGAATGTGATTATGATTTGCTAATGTACTTCTTTCTATAAATTGTCAAATGTGTCAAATGATCCTTTAGCAGACTTGATTTTAAAATATGGTAATTCGTTGTACTAGGCCATGAAAGCAATGAACCTGTTCTTCTACAGCCTCCTAAGAGTTGGACATGTATATTTATTGAAAATTACATATTTCTTTCCACTTTTTAGAGTCAATTGAGGAACCATGAGAGAGAACAGCACAGTCTTCCAGATACCTTGTCAATAGCAACTTCTAATGAGCCAAGAATTTCCAGTGATACAGCTGATGGAAAATGTGTCCAGGAAGGTATCTATGTATTTTGTTATGCAGGCTGCAGTGACTTGCACATGACATAAAAGTGCCCTTAGTTGTCATGGTTGGTTATTTTCAGGGCAAAAGCCTATATTCTCCTCCATTTTTGTACCATGGATGTGAGTGAATCTGATCTCTGTTTCTGAGGAAATGCCAAGTACTGAATGAAGCAGATGATTACTAGGTCCTAGGTGAGAAGCCCTAGATAGTAAGGATTCATCTTCAGTTGAAACTTAAGAGCCCCTTAGAAGGTGATGTACCAGCAAGCCAGAAAAGCAAGCCAGAAAAGCTACAACATGGAAAACAGGCCTCCCCTCCCTCTCTCGGCACCAGTTGACCTACTGAGAACAGAGCTTTTGCAGATGGTAGGCCCCCACCCCAAACTTTAACTGGGGCTCCCCGCTGTGATCTTATTCTTACCCAAGTATGACTGCCAGATTTCATCTGCATTATTAAAAAAAAAAAAGCACACACACAGACACACAAGATCTTTTTATGTACTAGTTAAGTAGCAGTCAACCGAGTTTCTGGTAATAAGAATATTAGAATCAAAAGATTTAATTAGAGCTCCATGAAAAGGCGGATGCCACATCCGGAGAATTAAGGATAAAGTGTACTAAGCTGTGCCGCTTTGGTTCAGCTCACTTAAATTGATATACTTTAAATGTCTCCAGTGTGGCACATAATGTTTATGGGAGATAAGACATATTGGGGTGACTTTCCCTTTTAGATTTGCTAAGAATTAAAGTTAGAAACGACTACAGAGTGAAATGTTTTACCATAATGTTTCATTAAATTATACCCCAGAAAGCATAACTGATTCTAGAATGCTTCTGAAAGAACTGATTTTGACACCACTGTAGCACCAAAATTCTCATGTCAAACAGATGTCATCCCTGTAAAACTCTCTGAAACAAAAGGAGTTTATGATATAGCATCTGTTTTTGCAGTAGATGGCTGAGCTAAAACAGTTTTGTTTCCTTTTTACAAAATAGCCCTAAATGCCTCCTTTTATTTTAATTCATTATGTTTCCATATCCCCTTTAAAGGAGACATTAAAACGTCTGATATGATTGGACCATAAATCCCTAATGAAAGGATGAAGTAAATACTACTCAGTAGCACCACCTGCAGTTAATATCAGTGTTGGAAGATGTCTTTTTTAGCACCGTCCTAAAAAGCAAACATTTCAAACTGTCCAAATGAGTTAACATTAAAATTCACAATTTTAATAAAAAGATTAAAGTGTCAGCTCAAAATTAAAATAACCACTTCAGACTTTACAGTATTAATGAATGTTTACTAGATTTTATGTTGCAGCATCTTTTCTTTGTGGCTCATGCTTTTTTTTTAGGGTTACATGCATGGATTTTTAAATTGCCTGCCATGCCTCTTTTCCTCCACCTGGCTCCATTTGCTTTTTTCTCTCAGTACTGTAGCAGTTCAAATGGCTGCATACTTATACCTGGATGGGTACTTTATTAACTCAATATTAGATATTTTGAAATCTGGTTGTCAGGCCAAAGAAAAAATTTTTAGCTCACAAATAAGGTAATAATAATTCATGCTTTGTTAAAACTTCTTTACCTATTTAGTAAACTTGTTAAACAAGAAGAGAGATTTGTGCCTCTGTGATCCTCAGTCTCTGCCATTCAGATAGCACAGATACCTTAGGGCATGTTTCAGCTTAACATTTGCTTGGCCAAAAGGCATGGCCTGCCTGTCTTGAGCTAGATACTGTGTTAGGTGCTGGGAGTACAGTGAAAGGCATCACTGCCCTTCAGGAATCCAACTCAGTGAAGAAGACAGAACGAGGCTGATGGGTATGTCAGCAGATACCGCAGGAGCTCAAATAGAGCCGCAAGCAAAGCCCTTTCGTATGGTGTTACTCCATGAAACCTAATTAAATTGTTTTTTATTGGAAACCTATAATTTGCCAAGCGCTGGGGATTCAGTCTAAACAAAACAAGCAGATCCTTATCCTCAGGGAATAGACAGCTTAGTGGCAGGGCAGAGATTTTACCCAGACATGCAGGTAAAGTACAGACTTTGCTAAAGGAAAAATATAGGACTTACTAAACTATGCTGTGAGGTTCTAGCATTTCCAATTTGTAGATGAGAAAACTGAGACTTCAAGAGGCAAAATAATTTACCCATGATCATACTGGTAGAAAGTGGCAGAGCGAGGACTAAGCCCAAGTTTTTGAACTTTAAATCCAATATTCTTTCCATTGGAAACAGTTGCTTGAAGTAGCACAGGCTCTCATTCTGTGCTATATTAAGTTTTTCCATCTGTCAGTTTTATTAGTTGTCATTGATCTGTAATATTTCTCACACAAAACCATTATCCAATATTTCACACTTCATTTTTTAGGGTTTTTTTAAAACTGTATTTGGAACAGTGCCATTTATAATCAAGTCCAAGTTTTTAACCTACCAATTAAGAGCAATACTTAGATTATAATTATGATTAGTGTGTATATTAACGTTATAGATTTATACCAGGAAATTAGGACATTTTGTTCTGCTTGGCAGTAGTTATTAGCAAAAGAAAATTTCAATTTTAGAAACCGTAAATTTAACTTAAGGATTTTCTTTGTTGAAATTTCAGTGTGGGTTTTCCTTTGTATAATACCACGGATTTTACTTTTATGCGGTGTATACAGGTGTTCTACCTAAGCTTTCTTCCTGCCAAGAGACACACAGTTCTTCCTGCTCTGCCTTTTTCATGAGCTTCCATGCTTGCTTTGTTTCTGAATATAAAGCAGAGTGTGAATAGCCTGTGGACTGTATGCTGACAGACAAGTACATGAAGCGTTGAATATCTTCAAGAAATCGTTTTATATGATCAAGTCACTCAACTCGTGTTGACATAAGCTTACCCCAACTTGAATTACTCAGCCCTGTTGTTGCAGAGTGAGTTTAGTAACATGGCTACTTTTCGTTGGATCCATGTCTCCTGCGTTTCGGAGAGCTGCATATTCATGTCAGTCATAACCTTTGTCCCTGTAACCTGTCAGTTAACTAGAAAGAATTATACATTGCATAGCACTTAAAAATTTGCGGCCGCTTTTCCTTTCTTGTTGCGTTGGTAGCTGACGTTTAGTGGTAAACAAAGAAAATGCACTGGGTGAAAAGGCCTTAGGCTTTTTTTTTGTAGGGTGAGAGTGGGGGAGAGATCTCTTGCTCTGTTGCCCAGGCTGGTCTCCAGCTCCTGGCCTCCGGCAGTCCTCCCACCTCAGCCTCCCAGAGTACTAGGATTATGGGCATGAGCCACCACACCTAGCCAGGCTTTTTATATTGAGTTGGTTATATATGCTTCATAGCCACACTTTATAATATTGGAGTATAGTATTAAATTACAGCTTGTTGTCAAGTCAGTGTTTCTGTAAGACAGTATATCCAATATTGGTTAGAGTAACACCTATTTGGTGATACAGATCAACAGGGTGTCTCTGATTAATTTAGCTCCTACATAGCCAGAAGCAAGTTCATTATGACTTAGAATATTGTACATGGTTATGCAGGAATCATCCCAACCTATCTGTGTTTATAGGTCAGATGATGTTCAGTTTATATCTGCTGATAGTGTATATGCAGGAAAACCTATAAAACCACTTCAGACTTGTTAAAACAGTGAGAAAGCCGTGATTGAAATATTAATACAACTGTGTGGTATAAATTTTCATTTACAATGGAATGTAAATGCTGTCATTTGAATCTTGTCAAAGCCTGCTACTAAAACTCTGAAATACCTTGTCTAGGGAATAAGTCTTCAGTCCAGAAACAATATAGATGTGATGTGTGTGATTATACAAGTACAACATATGTTGGTGTCAGAAACCACAGGCGAATCCATAACTCTGATAAGCCGTACAGGTAAGTGTTATGATTCTAGAATTTTAATGTTTGTATTAAAATATTTTATATTAAAGAAATAAAATGAAATAAAAATGTATAGCACTTACTGAAACACAGGTTAAGAAGTAAGAAATTTTCACTAATTGGTTTTATATTTTGTTGTTTTATATATTTACTTATTTATTTTTTGAGTCAGTGTCTTGCTGTATTGCCCAGGCTGGAGTGCAGTGGTATGATCACAGCTCACTGCAGCCTCGAACTCCTGGCCTCAAGGGATCCTCCCACATCAGCCTCCCAAAGTGCTGGGATTGCAGGCGTGAGCCACTGCACCTGGCTGGTATTATGTCTTGTTTGATTTGTTAAGATGTGAACTTTAAGCTTGAATCTTAGGACAGTAGGCATTTTGTCTAGTTGATACATAGGAAATTGTCTTTATCTGTCAATTTTATGTTTTCATTTCATATGGGTATAAATTTCATAGCAATTTTCAATGCCTTAGAGTTCATTTCAGTAATTTGGCAGTAAGGTACTCAGTATTCAGCAAAAGATCCTTAAAACTTAAAGGCAATAAAATTTTCTATGAAAGAGTCCATTTTTCAAAATTAAGCTAGTATGTGTAGAATAAGTCATTTAATTTCATTACTTGATTTTTCCCAAAAGCAAATTCAGATATATATTTCAGAAAATATAGGCATTCTCAGTGATAGTGCTAGGCAATGCGCATGAACTTTCACCCCCTTGTCAAAACTTAGCAGGTTTAACTCTCTCCCCAGATTCTGTAGATATGATACAAGTGAGTGTGGGAAAGTTATTGTATTAATCTCAATGAAAACCTGACAGATTGTGCCATAAAAGGTCATTGTTTAATCCCAAAGTGTGGTGATCTGTGTATGGTTTCGAATATTTAATATGTGCTTAATTTGCAAACCAGCAGACTTACTTATAATCACTCTTCAGAAAGTACATCTGTTTGCAGAGTCTTAAAACTCTGTGGAAGGTGTTTGACCTTGCCTCAGTCCTCCTCAGTGTCTTCCTTCCTTCCTTCTTTCCTTCCTTCCTTCTTTTCTTCCTTCCTTCCTTTCCTTCCTTCCTTTCCTTCCTTTCCTTCCTTCCTTTCCTTTCTTCCTTTCCTTCCTTTCCTTTCCTTCCTTTCCTTTTCTTCCCTCCCTCCCTCTCTCCCTCCCTCCTTCCTTCCTTTCCTTCCTTCGTTTCCTTCCTTCCTTTCCTTTCTTCCTTTCCTTTCTTCCTTTCCTTCCTTCCTTTCCTTCCTTTCCTTTCCCTCCCCTCCCTCCCTCCCTCCCTCCTTCCTTCCTTCCTTCCTTCCTTTTTTTCTTTGACAGAGTCTCGCTCTGTCATCACCCAGGCTGGAGTGCAGTGGAGTGATCTCACCTCACGGCAACCTCCGCCTCCCGGGTTCAAGTGATTCTCATGCCTCAGCCTCCCAAGTAGCTGGGACCACAGGCATGTGCCATGATTAGCTAATTAGAGACGGGGTTTCGCCAGGTCTTGAACTCCTGGCCTCAAGTGTCCGCCCACCTTGGCCTCCCAAAGTGCTGGGATTACATGGTTACACCATGTCCAATCAGTCTATTTAATAGGTGGGACTGAGTATATTTACATTCGTGATTTATACTGGGAAATGTTTAGGAGAATGTGATGGAAACAGGGAACACTAGTTTACCTGATAGGAGGAGAAAGCTTTGCCTTTATATTTTTGGTATCCTTGAATTTAGACATACCGTGCCAGATTCATGTGATTTAAGTAAGAAGAAAATAACATTTCTCCGGGTCCAGAATTAGATTGTTCTTTCATTCATGGAGAAATATTTATTGAGCAAATATTATGCTTCAGGGGCCGTGCTAGATTCTTGGACTACAGTCATAACAAAACAGACGTCATCTTTGCTGTCATGGAACTTGTAGACAAACAATAAGCAAGTAAACCCTCAAATACTTAGGAAAAAGGTTAGCGATTCTAGTTCTGTTGAAGGTTTTACATCTGCTTTATTAGATCAGTCTTGCAGCTTAAAGATTCATTTTGATAGCTGTCAGTGTCTCAGGGATGTTTTCTTGTGTTCTTAAAATATTCACAGATTCATAGGATTCATTGCAGTTGTCCTAGGGTCTTCCTACCAACGGGCAACATCCCGTGAGCATCCTCTTTGTGTAACATCAGAGAACTCTCAGTCTGTTATTTTCCAAATTTATTCACACTCCACTTTGTCACTGGGTTTGGTGTGGTTATGCCTTAGATACAGTTTTGTCATATCTCCCTCTTTGTACTTATTATCAGTTTTTCCTCATAAGTCTTATTTTCTAATGTCATGGCTCTCCTTTTAACTTTCTTTAAATACTCACCATCCTTTGCCTTCATGGGATTTCTGGTCGCAGAGCATTACGGATTAACATGTTCTATTCCAGGATGTTTCTAGGACTTTCTCCTCGTTGTCCTATACTGTGTGCTTTAAGCGGAGCTGGTAGCGTAGCCTTTATAATGTCTGACTTAATTCAAGGATCACAGGAGTTTCTCTGGCTCATTTCATGTCTGCTTCATTCAGTTTCGTTGCCTGGTGCACTTATGGTCAGAGTTTGGGCTTGGTTTCTCAGAGTTCATGCCATATCCTATGCATTTCTGATTCCCTACATTTTGTTAAGAAACATGCTCACAGGCAGCAGTAATGAGTTCTTAAAGAGCTACAAGGCCTTGTTGCACAACTTCTAAACTTTGCACAAGGGCACAAAAGATTTATTGTTTATTTTAGTGTGCCTATTACATAACAAGTTTTCTGTAGTGGTGAAACCTGTTCCTTTCTCGTGCTTTTGCTTTTTATGCTGTCATTCCAGTCCTTCAATGACCCCATCCTTGTGGTCTGGGCAGTACGGCTTCATGGATCCCTGGTTCTGGGGGCAGATAGTCCTGGGATTGAATCTGAGCTCTCCCACTTGTGAGATTTGTGATCTTGCGCAAACTGTTTCACCTCTCTGTGCTGCTTTTGTCGTTAATAGAATGAGGATATTAAGGTTGTGAGGGTGAAATAAAATACCTAAGGTACCAGCACATAATAAACAGCCAGTAAGTGGTAGCTGGTAGTTACTGGGCCCAGCTTTTATCTTCTCAATAATTCATTATCTAACCAAAGAAAAGTACTAAAAGGCTGATGACCTCTAAACACTAGGGAAACAAAGAAGAATTAATTCTGTGCCAGGGTAGGCAGGCAGAGCTCATTTTACAAAAGAGATGCTGGGCCCAGGCAGAGTGCTGTCCCTGCTGAGGTCCCCATGCTATGTCTGGCTGCTCTGGAGTCACTCTAGTATCTTGGGAGCATCACAGGCCTGGACCACACAGTTTCTGTGCCCCACTGGGGACCTTGGGAATGTTATGCCATACTAAGCCTCTTTTCCCATACGAAACTCGGGAGAATACTTCCCCGCTCATAAGGCTTTGTGAAGATTAGGTGAGATTATATTTATGAAGTACCCAGCATGTTACTTGGTGCATTGAAGGGGCTTGTTCCCATTTTCTGCTCATGAAGTTGTCAGATTATCTCAGAAGCCCTGTTCTTACCCAGAAAAAAAGAGAGCTGTTTTCCATTCCTGTGGAAGGACAGGGAAAGATTAAAATGACATCATTCTATCCCAGTGCCTACCAATGCAGCTATTAATAACTTTGTTCTTACTCTGTGTAAACCATACACCAATTATAGTTATACCTGACATTTCTTTTTTTTTCTTTTTTAAATTTTATTTTTCCATAAGTTGTTGAGGTACAGGTGGTGTTTGGTTACATGAGTAAGTTCTTCAGTGGTAATTTGTGAGAACCTGGTGCATCCATCACCCGAGCAGTATACACAGCACCATATTTGTTGTCTTTTATCCCTCGCCCTCCTCCCACTCTTTCCCCCCAAGTCCCCAAAGCCATTTTATCATTCTTATGCCTTTGCGTCCTCATAGCTTAGCTCCCACGTATCAGTGAGAACATACGATGTTTGGTTTTCCATTCCTGAGTTACTTCACTTAGAATAATAGTCTCTAATCTCATCCAGGTCACTGCAAATGCTGTTAATTCATTCCTTTTTATGGCTGAGTAGTATTCAATCATATATATATATCTCCGAGTTCTTTATCCACTCGTTGATTGATGGGCATTTGGGTTGGTTCCACGATTTTGCTATTGTGAATTGTGCTGCTATAAACTTGCGCGTGCAAGCATCTTTTTCCAATAATGACTTCTTTTCCTGGGATTGCTGGATCAAATGGTAGTTCTACTTTTAGTTCTTTAAGGAATCTCTACACTGTTCCATAGTGGCTGTACTAGTTTGCATTCCCACCAACCGTGTAGAAGTGTTCCTTATCGCCACATCCACACCAACATCTACTGTTTATTGATTCTTTGATTATGGCCATTCTTACAGGAGTAAGGTGGTATCACACTGTGGTTTTGATTTGCATTTCCCTGATCATTAGTGATGTTGCATTTGATTTGCATTTCCCTGATCGTTAATGATTTTTTCATATGTTTGTTGGCCATTTGCGTATCTTCTTTTGAGAATTGTCTATTTATGTCCTTAGCCCACTTTTTGATGGGATTGATTGTTTTTTTCCTACTGATTTGTTTGAGTTCATTGTAGATTCTGGATATTAGTCCTTTGTCAGATGTATAGATTGTGAAGATTTTCACCCACTCTGGGTTGTCTGTGTACTCTGCTGACTGTTCCTTTTGCTTTGCCAAAGCTCTTTAATTAGATACAGCTATTTATCTTTGTTTTTATTGCAATTGCTTTTGGGGTTTTGGTCATGAAATCCTTGCCTACGCCAGTGTCTAGAAGGGTTTTTCCAATGTTATCTTCTAGAATTTTTGTAGTTTCAGGTCTTAGGTTTAAGTCCTTAATCCATCTTGAGTTGATTTTTGTATAAGGTGAGAGATTATACCTGACATTTATAACATTGGCCCCAAAGTTTTACTGAAAAGTTCCACTCAAAATTTTTCATATTAGATGGTCCTTGGTTTAGTTCAATATTGCACTGCTGGACCTGCCCTGATTTACATCTCCCAGTACCACTTTTGTAGAGAACAAGATGGGAGAACAAAACATTGTCCTAAGAGTATCAGTTTCTTTTTAACCATAAGGCATGGAACCCATTTTCCCTTAGAAATACAACTGTACTGTGCTTAGGTTCTGAAACTGTACTGTGGCAGGGGGACAGCATGATGTCAAGGGAAGTACATGGGCTTTGGGCTCAAGTACTCCACACACTGCCCGGGACATAGTAGGTGCTCGGTAAATGTTGACTGATAGTTGTCCATATCCCTCAGTTCTTCCCATCTATAAAATGGGTCTGATTCTATAAGCTTTTTGTGTAAGTTTAATTTGTGCTTGAAAATAAATGTGTAGTGGTATTATTACGCCTTTTCTTCCTTAAGTAGAATAGCTGCCCAAATAATATAAGATGAATTTTTTTTAATACCCAGTCCAAAAATACCCATTTTCCCCTAATTGTTTCAAAACATACTTTTGGAGGTAGCTTTTTCATATTGAGAACCAAACAAGGTCCAGCCGCTCTATTAAGAGAGTATCTTAAGTCTCTCTCTCCCTCCCTCCCTCTAAATTTTTTAAATAGATTTTATAATTGATGTTACCATGCCTCCTGAAAATTGCATAAATCATAAAGGTACAGCTGATGAATAATCACAAATTAAACTCATGCTTGTAACACAAACCATTATGAGCTCTTCAGCAGCACCCCTTCGTGGGCCTTCCAGTCATTACCCACCCCTCCCCTCTGTCTGGTATCCACTATCTTGACTTCTAACATTATCAATTAGTGTTTTCTGTTTCTGAACTTAATAAAAATGGAATCATACAGTACATATTCTACTTTATGTTCAGATTTTTTTGCTCAACGTGTGTGTATGTGTGTGTCTGTATAGTTCCACCTAGCAGAATTGCATTTCATTGTTACATAGTATTCCACTGTTAAGACCACCGCAATTTATTCATTGTTCTGTGAATAGACATTTGAGTTATTGTAAGGTTTTCCTCCCTGATATGATCTGATACCATTTTAACATTCTTTTACATGTTTTTGGGCACATATATGAAATGAGTCCATTTCCATTGGGTTTATACCTAGGGGTGGAATTTCTTGGTAATTGGACATGTATATGTATTCAGCTTTGGTAGACAGTGTCAACAGTTTTCCAAAATGGTTGTACCTATTCACATCCTCACCAGCACTTTGTGTTGTCAGTCTTTAATCTTTATTGTTTTGGTAGATGTATAGCAGTGTATTACTGTGCTTTTGTTTGCATTTCCCTGATAATTTCTGAGTTTGAGCATCTTTTCATTTGTTTATGGGCTATTATTGCCCACTTCTTTTTTGCATTGTCTATTGTATTAGTTTGGCATTGTTATAAGGGAATACCTGAGGCTGGGTAATTTATAAAGAAGAGGTTTATTTGGCTTATGGTTCTGCAGGCTGTCCTCTGCTTCTGGTGAGGGTCTCAGGAGGCTTCCAGTCATGACAGAGGTGAAGCGGGAGCAGATATGTCACATTGTGAGACATGGAGCAAGAGAGAGGGGAGGAGGTACAGGCTCTTCTTAACAGTCAGATCTTGCAGTAACAGACAGAGAACTCATTATTCATGAATGGCTACACCAAGCCATTCGTAAGGGATCCATCCCCATGACCCAGTCGCCTCTGCCCAGGCTTTACCTCCAACATTGGGGATCAAATTTCGACATGAGATTTGAAAGGACAAATATCCAAACTGTATCATCGGCTGTTTTCTTACTGATTTGCAGGAGCTCTTCATGTATTCTGAGTACAAGGCCTTTGTGGGGCGTATTGCAGATGTCATCTAACTGTGGCTTGCCTTTCTACTTTCTTAATGATGTCTTTTGATGAACAGACATTTCCAGTTTAATATAGTCAAATGTATTAATCTTTTTCTTTGTGTTTAGGACTTTTGTGTTCTTATATTCTGAAACTAGTTTTGATTTTTTGAAATAGTCTGTTGAGTAAGGTAGACGATGATACAGAAATAAAAATGTGTGCTGATTTTCAGGGATGGCACATCAACTATGCGTGCTTAGGTATTACTGAGCCTCATTTACTAATATGGCACTAAAGCTAAAAAAATCTAAACAGAAAACATTCCAGAAAGGCTTTCAGCAGGGGGAATGACAGTTTGGAATGGAAATGATAAGGTTGTCTCTCAGTGTAGTCAGTTATTGTATGGGATTTGTATAAATAGAAGTATATTAGAAATGATGATAATAGCTGATATTTTTGAGAAGATTGTTTGTGGGCCAGACCCGGTGTGCTAAGCATTCAATACGTGTCAGTTCAGTCCTCACAGCAGCCCAGTACTTAGGAATATTACTACCCCAATTTTGTAGACATGGAAACAGAGGCTGGGCTAGCTTAAATAACTTTCCCCATGTCTCAGAGCCGGGGCCTGAACTCTTGCTCCTAATAACTGTGTCATCCTGCCTGTCTGTGCTACACCAGGGAGATCTCTTTATGAAGTGTACTGCTGCTGCATGCCAGCAGCCCACACCAAATCAGGGTGTGAAACAGAAGCAATTTCATTATGCTCAGGGATTCTGTGGGTCGGTCAGGAATTTGGAAAGGACGCAGTAGAGATGGCTTGTCCCATACAGTCTGGGGTCTCATCAGGGAAGGCTTGAAGGCTGGAAGTGACCCAGACAGCTAGGGTGACAGTCCTCTGAATGCTGCCTCAGCATAGGCTGGTGGCTGTGCTGGCTGTTGGTTGGGCATCAGCTGGAACACATACATGATTTCTCCTTGTGGACTTTGCAGGTCTGCTAGTCCCCAAAATGAGCTTCTTAGATAAGAAGTAGGCAAAAGCTCTGTTGCCTTTTATGACCTAACCTTGGCAGTCACAGCCCATCACTTCCACCAGAGTTACAGGCTTCAGTCTTTTTTCATCTGTAGGCATCGTGATTCTTTAGTCAATGTGTTGGCTTAGGGAAAAACTTAAGTCTTTAGAAAGCTTCAATTTGTTTAAGGAAAATAGTGAAGGAGATAGTTTTATCAGGAGGAAAAAATATATATTTTGTTTTGAAGAGATGAACTGAAAGAGTTTGTTTTTCTCAGTGGCATAAAGATCTCTCAGGTTCATCACAAAATTTGAAGTGGCTGTTTTGTGGGGGCCTTAGTTATTTCTTTAAAAGCATAGAAAATGAATTGAAGGTCATAAGATAAGCTCTATTGCAAAATTTCTATTGAAATCGTTGTTTATGTGTTCAAACCAGACTCAGGTCACCCCAAATCTTGTAGGACATCCATCTGCTTTTTTCCATCTAAGCCCTCAAGGCAGTTGACCTGGAAACTAACCTTGGTCCCAGGCCAGGAAAGTGGGGGGTTTTAAACCAACATCCTTATCTCCTTGGGGTTCTGAGACCGAAGTAACTGACTTAGTAACAGTTGGAGAGTCTGTAGAAAAATTCAGTCTCAGGCTTTTTAGCCAAGTTATAAGAAGCCTTGGGTTTCTACATTGGCTTTCTTTGGGTTGCCAAAGTAGCTTCTTTGCATTGGGAAGAAATCATTTTTTATACAGATACAGGTTGGGTGTTATTGGTTAACATAGAAATTGTGCTGCTTTGGACATTCCAAAGCCTGGATCTAGCAATGGCCATATTTACAGGCCACTCTAGGAGTCCAGCAATCACACTGTTAGGGTGTTCACTTCTTTCCCCATGTCATGTGTATGACTTTGCCTTGGTAGACTTGAATAATTGAGTCCCAAATGGCTCTGTCATCAGGAGCATCCAGCAATTCCACCAAGGAAGCAAAGCAGAATCGTGACAGGTGGTGTCATGATCAGTGTGCTCTTTTGTCATGTGGTTTCGTTTTGGTTTAAGACTTTTTTTGGCCAATGGATGGGTTGGGATAGGAAGGAGCAGTTTACCCTACGTGGAAATATGATTGTTGCTGGTCTGTTGGTGAGGTGGTTAGAAATGATTTGTTAGACATAGCCTCTGTTTCAAAACATACTTTCTTTTTTTTTTGTTTTGTTTTTTAATACATGTTATTGTATATATTGGAGGTTAACAATATGATGTATAAGATGTAGATAGTAAAATGGTTACTATAGTGAAGCAAATCAGCATATCTATCATCTTACGTACTTTTTTGTGGCAAAAGCAGTTAAAATCTACTTATTTAACAAAAATTCCTAATACAGCACATTTTGATTACAGTCCTCATGCTGTGTATTAGGTCTCTAGACAAGTTCATCCTATATACCTGCTGCTTTGTATGCCGGAATCTTCTCTCCCTCCCCACCCCCAGCCCCTGGTAACCACTCCTTCCTTCTCTGTGTGTGTGTGTATTGGATTTTTAAGTAAGATTGAACAATATTTGTCTTTCTGTGTCTGGCTTGTTAGCATGAGGCCTCCAGGGCCATCCATGTTGTGGCAAAAGGCAGGCTCTCCCTTTTTAAGGCGGAATGATTGAGTATGTGTGTGTGCGTGCATACGTGTGTGCGCACGCGCGTGCACGTCACGTTTTCTTTATCCGTTTGTCCGTCAGTGGACACTTAGGTTGTTTCCATACCTTGGTTTTTGTGAGGAATGCTGCACTGAACATGGAAAGGCAGATACCTGGTGAGGTGGCGATCTCATCTCCTACACAGAAGAGGGATTTCTGGGTCGTGTGGTAGTTCTGTTTTTAATTTCTTTAGGAACCTCCATACTATTTTTCATGGCCGTACCAATCTACATTGTCACCAACAGTGTAGTAGGATTTCCTTTTCCCTACACCTTTGCCAACATTTATTCTCTCTTTTGTCTTTGATAATAGTCATCCTAACAGGTTATCATTTCCTAGTGGTTTTAATTTGTGTTTCCCTGATGATTAGTGATGTTGAGCACGTTTTCATATCACTGTTGCAGTTTTTATGTCTTTGGAGAAATATCTGTTCAGGTCCTTTGCCCATTTTTTAATCGAGTTATTTGTCCTTCTGCTATTGAGTTATAAGTGTTCTTTATAAATTTTGGATATTAACCCCTTATCGGATATGTGGTTTGCAGATATTTTTTTTGCAGTCTTTAGGTTACTCTTTCATTTTGTTGATTGTTTTCTTTGCTGTGCAGAAGTTTTTTGGTTTGATGTTGTCCCATTTATTTATTTGTGCTTTTGTAGCCTGAGCTTTTGGTATCATAACCAAAAAATCATTGCCACTGCAGCGAGATTTTTCCTTGTATTCTCTTCTAGGAATTTGATGGTTTCTGATATTCCATTCAGCTATTTTACCCATTTTGAGTTGATTGCTGTGGATGATGTAAGATATGGGTCCAGTTTAATCCTTTTGCATGTGGATATCCAGTATTCCCAGCACCATTTATTGAAGAGACTGTTCTTTCTCCATTATGTCCTCTTGGTGCCCTTGTCAAATATTCATTGACTGTGTATTTTTAGATTTATTTCTGGGCCATTTATTCTGTTCCATGGATCTGCACTTCTGTTTTTATGCCCTTACCATACTGTCAAAACATATTTTCTATCATTTCTCCTTTTTCTGGGTACTACATGTACAGATCAGAGCCTTAAAAATGGCTGTGCCCAGCCGGGCGCGGTGGCTCACGCTTGTAATCCCAGCACTTTGGGAGGCTGAGGCGGGTGGATCACCTGAGGCCGATAGTTCGAGACCAGGCTGACCAACATGGAGAAATCCTGTCTCTACTAAAAATACAAAATTAGCCAGGTATGGTAGTGCATTCCTGTAATCCCAGCTACTTGGGAGGCTGAGGCAGGAGAATCACCTGAACCTGGGAGGGGGAGGTTGCAGTCAGCCAAGATCAATTGCACCATTGCACTCCAGCCTGGGCAACAAAAGCGAAACTCCCATCTCAAAAAAAAAAAAAAAATGACTGTGCCCGTCAGCCCAGGAACGTTCTTATCTCTGGAAAGGAAGGGGAGGCAATTGAGGTGAGGCACACAGGGAGTCTCAAAGGTATATTGGTAATGTTCTGTGTCTCAACTAGGAGTGTTAATTGTTTATTATTATTATTATTATTTTTTTTTTTTTTGAGATGGAGTCTCGCTCTGTCGCCCAGGCTGGAGTGCAGTGGCGTGATTTCGGCTCACTGCAAGCTCTGCCTCCCAGGTTCACGCCATTCTCCTGCCTCAGCCTCCCAAGTAGCTGGGATTACAGGCGCCCGCTACCATACCTGGCTAATTTTTTATATTTTTAGTAGAGACGGGGTTTCACCGTGTTAGCCAGGATGGTCTCAATCTCCTGACCTCGTGAACCGCCTGCCTCGGCCTCACAAAGTGCTGGGATTACAGGCATGAGCCACCACGCCCAGTCCATTCTTTATTATTCTTAAGGAGTCTTGCGGGGGAAATGAACTCTATCCTAAAAAATAATCTGCAGTGCATTTATATTGATGTGCAAGATAATTTGTTATAGCATTGTTTATAATGTCAAAAAGATCAAAAACATTCTAGCTCTATGCTACTTAGTAGAGTGTATTTTCATAGGATGGAACATTATACCCCATTGAAAATGCATAATTTTTAACTTGAGAAAATACTCATGGAACATTGTCAAAAGTAGGATTAAAAATCTATAGTATGATTCTACTTTTGCTTCAGATCTACATATGTACATTAAAAAAGACCAGGAAGCTATGCAAGTAATTTTTTAGAATTTGTCTTTATACTTGCCTATATTCCATTTTTGTGCAAGGAATATAGATTATATAATCAGAAAAGGGTTTAAATAAAGAGAGAGCGTTTGCTGACCAGTTGAGTGGACAGGAATTGGCTCAGTAATTTAAACTAACAATCCATAAGCAAGGGGCTCTGATAGCATGGCAAACCAGATCACCCACAACGCTCCACATGAAGAAAAGGCGTTTTTTTCAGCTGTCAGTTCTGCAGGCCGAAAAGTTTGAGGGCCTGGCCCTGGCTTCTGGTGAAGGTTTTTGTGCTATGTCACAACATGGCAGAGAAGGTCAAAAAAGGGGGGACACATGCGAAGAACGGAAGAACTGAGGGGCGTCCTGGCTTCATAACACCCCACTCTCAAGAGAACTAACTCATTCCAAGAACCAGTCCAGTCTTGGAAGAGCAGGAACTCACCCACCACCGAGAGAAAAACACCAACATCCCATTCATGAGGGATCCACCCCCAAACACAGAAACCTCCCACTAGGCCCTGCCTCCCAGTACAGCCACATTGGGAATCAAATTTCAACGTTAGTTTTGGTGTTGACAAACAGACCATATCTAAACTGTGGTGCTGTGTGTCTTAGTCCCTTCAGGCTGCTATAACAAAGTGCCTTAGACTGGGTAATTTATGAACAACAGAAATGTGTTGCTTACGGTTCTGGAGGCTGGGAAGTCCAAGCTCAAGGTGTCAGCAGCTTTGGTGTCTGATGAGGGCCTGCTCCCTGCTTCATAAATAACACCTTTTTGCAGCATCCTGACATGCTGGAAGGGGCAATAAAGCTCCCCTAAACCTCTTTTATAAGGGCATTAATCGTATTCACAAGGCCTCTGCCCTCATGACCTAGTCACTTTCCAAAGTCCCCACCTCTTAATATTATCCCTTTGGGGATTAAGTTTCCACATAGGAATTTCGGGGGGGGCACATACATTCAGATCATACCACTCACATTCACAAGGTCTCTGCCCTCATGACCTAGTCACCTTCCAAAGGCCCCACCTCTTAATACTATCCCTTTGGAGGTTAAGTTTCCACATAGGAATTTCGGTGGGGGGTGGGTCACGTAAATTCAGATCATACCACACTGTAATTTAAAACTTAGGAACTTTGAGAAATAAAATGTTTTGTCTCTTTGTAAGAGACTTATCGAGTGGTTTGAACAGTGCTTGCCTTCTCATTGTATCCTTTGCAGTCTAGAATGAGCATCTTTCCTATGCCTTTGGCAAGTGGTCAGTTGTCCTTTCTAAGTAATTGTCATCATCATGAAATGTCTCCAAGAGTTCCTTTAACACAAACTTTTTGGCCGCCATAACTTCCTTCAGGAACTACATACCTCGTCATTAAATTCACTTTCACTGAGATCCTCTGGCTGCATATCCCAAGTTTTCTTCAGTGGCAGCAGTGTCAACATTCCTGTGGCCAATTATTTATTTGTTCTAGAATTCATTTACATGTATGTCTAATTTTGCTTCCAGCATTATCACTTTGTGGGTTTTTGCTGCACTTCGATTTTGTTGGCCAGTTCCTCTCTTGTGACTATCCATTTTCGTAACACGTCCTGCAGGTTTAGCATTGGGAGATAAGGATGCAGCATAACTACATGTTTTGCTGTCGGGAAGTGAACTGCATAGCACAATGACCAGTCACCAGCTTTGAAAGGCTTGCTTAGTCACTGGGCATGATGCATCTCTGTTTACATAGTAGACTGAAGAGCTGCCAGTGAAGTTTGTTCTCTGCAGTTACTCACAGTTCGTATTCCCATAGTAGTTAATAACTGAAATTTGAACCATCCTGTCGGGGGACTGATAATGTTTAACTAAGCCATAGTAACTGAAATTCATGCAGCTCGGAACCGTGCAAAGCAAGGAACACACACACACACACACACTCTCTCTCTCTTTCTCTCACTCATTGTTAGGCTTCTTCTTGTGTATTTTATTTTATTCCATTGCTGTTATAAATAGTTTTTTCCTTCTTGCTAGCATTTTGCTAGCATTTTAATATTGTTTCCATATAAGAAAGTTGTTGATCTGGACGGAATGTTAGTTTTGTGGCTTTATTGAGTTATTATTTGTAACAGTTTTTAATTTTCTATTGGATTGTTAAGGTATATCATTATATTATCTGCAAATCATTTTCTCATACTTTCCTTTCTATTTATAGCTTTTCTTTCTTTTTTTTTTTTTTCTTGAGACAGAGTCTTGTGCTGTCACCCAGGCTGAAGTGCAGTGGTGCAGTGGTGTTATCTTAGCTCACTGCAACCTCTGCCTCCCGGGTTCAAGAGATTCTCGTGCCTCAGCCTCCTGAGTAGCTGGGATTACAGGCACCCGCCACCACACATGGCTAATTTTTGTATTTTTGGTAGAGACAGGGTTTTACCATGTTGGCCAGACTGGTCCCAAACTCATGACCTCAGGTGATCCACCCACCTCAGCCTCCCAAAGTGCTAGGATTACAGGCATGAGCCACCACACTCGGCCTATACCTCTTCTTTCTTTCTCTTGTCTGATTGTCCTAGCTGGTACCTCCACAACACTGCATAGCAGTGGGGATAGTAAATGTCCTTGTTCTGTTCTTGAACTTAATGGAAATGCTTCTGGTGTTTCCTAATTAAGCTTGATACTAGTTTTGGAGTTGAGAAAGTTATATTTTTATGATATTGAAGAATTATCCATCTACTTTATTTTGTAGAGAAGTTTTATTAGGAATGTATATTGGGTTAGGTGCTATTGGTTTAAGTGCCTCCTGAGTATGGCAGTAGGAAATACACAGCTATACCCATGGAGTATATTTGTAAAAAAAAAAAAAATTAAATATGACCTTGAATCTAATGAAACATGTAGCTCATTGGTTCCCAACTAAGGGCTTTTGCCCCCTCAGAGGACATTTGCCGATGTCTGGAGACATTACTGCGTTTGTCACAACTGAGGGAGAAAGCACTACTGGCATTTAGTGAGTAGAGGCTAGGGATGCTGCTGGACAACCTGCAGTGCCCCAGACAGCCGCCACAGTGAAGAATTATCTAGCCCCAAATGTCAGGAATGCAGAGGCCAAGAAACTCTTCTAGATCTCACTCCCAGTTCACAAGAAACATGAAGGACACAGGGACGTGATAAACGACATCACCAGAAAGTCCTCAGTGTAGTCCATGCTGTGAGAGATTCTGCAAGACAGATGGGCCTGATATCTTCAACAGATACATGCATGAGGGGTGACGGGAAAGAAAGAAGAGATATTATAGATTAAAAGAGACTTAAGAGACTTACCAACCAAATATGAAATGTAGATCTCATTTGGATCCTAATTTGAATAAGACATGTCTGCAAAAATCAGGCAACTTTAAGTTAGAATACATGAAACAAGATTAGCAAAATGCCGACAATCAGTTAATTGAAACTGGATGGTACGGATTCATCACTTTTATTTATAATTTTCCCTTTGTTTAACGATTTCCATAATCAGAAATTTAAAAATGAATATTGATTTTTTTAGATTTAGTCTCAGCAACACCAATGAAAATATGCCTTTTTGCTTCCAATCCTTTCAAATGGTGACTCATAATAATGAAGCTCCTAATACTGAACTGTCTGTATTCCTAGAATAAGCCTCCCCTAAAAGAATGAGCACATGCTGGTGCACAAATTAAAGTTTATAAACTGTGTTCTCAGAAGCTTTAAGTGCCTAAGATTTTTATACAAAGATGATTGTCAATTGTCAGAATTATATATTCTGCATAAAACAATAGAGAATTAAATGGAATTCCACCAATTCCATCCAATGTGAAATGCTAGGCAGCTTATTGTAGTCATTAAATACTTTATTGTAGAAAGTTTAAATTATAACAGTAGCCTTCCATAATTCCAATTTTATAAAAATATATGTATTTTTAAATACTGAAAAATAGACCTCAAAATAATAATAATGGTTATATCTAGTGATAACGCTATGAGTGATTTTTATTTTCTTTTTTTTCCTATATATTTCTAATTTTCTACAGCGAATTTTTGAAATCAGGAAAAAAGTTATTTACAAAATTAAAGCAGTTCACCTGTCACCCAAATCTTGGTTTCTGATACCTTTCTCCAATAAAAGAACTGGAGAAATTATCAGTCTAGTCTAGGACTGTGGTGGGGAATATGCAAAGTGATCCTGGAGCGTCTCAGGTCCAGCATGTAAGGAAGTGCTTAAGAAACAAAACTTGAGGTGTGGCAGCAGGACACGGGACCCAACCACAGAGGCCCAGGGGGCAAGGCTGGAGGAGTTTGAGCAACAAAATAAATAGTGCAATACAGAATTTGCACCAATGTAGGGACCAGCCCCACATGATCGGTGGGTTTTTCTCCCTGTGTGCAGAGACGAGAGATTGTAGAAATAAAGACACAAGACAAAGAGATAAAAGAAAAGACAGCTGGGCCTGCGGGACCACTACTACCAAGACGCGGAGACCGGTAGTGGCCCCAGATGCCAGGCTGCGCTGATATTTATTGGATACAAGACAAAGGGGCAGGGTAAGGAGTGTTGAGTCATCTCCAATGATAGGTAAGGTCACATGGGTCACGTGTCCACTGGACAGGGGGCCCTTCCCTGCCTGGCAGCAGAGGCAGAGAGAGAGAGGGAGAGAGAGAGAGACAGCTTACGCCATTATTTCTGCATATCAGAGACTTTTAGTACTTTCACTAATTTTGCTACTGTTAACTAAAAGGCAGAGCCAGGTGTACAGGATGGAACATGAAAGCAGACTAGGAGCGTGGCCACTGAAGCACAGCATCACAGGGAGATGGTTAGGCCTCCAGATAACTGCGGGCGGGCCTGACTCATGTCAGGCCCTCCACAAGAGGTGGAGGAGTAGAGTCTTCTCTAAACTCTCCTGGGGAAAGGGAGACTCTCTTTCCCAGTCTGCTAAGTAGCGAGTGTTTTTCCTTGACACTGACGCTACCGCTAGACCATGGTCCGCTTGGCAATGGGCATCTTCCCAGATGCTGGCATTACCGCTAGACCAAGGAGCCCTCTGGTGGCCCTGTCCAGGCATAACAGAAGGCTCGCACTCTTGTCTTCTGGTCACTTCTCACTGTGTCCCTTCCGCTCCTATCTCTATATGGCCTGGTTTTTCCTAGGTTATGATTATAGAGCAAAGATTATAATAGTATTGGAATAAAGAGTAATTGCTACAAACTAATGATTAATGATATTCATATATAATCATATCTATGATCTATATCTAGCATTAACTCTTGTTGTTTTATATATTTTATTATACTGGAACAGCTCGTGCCCTCGGTCTCTTGCCTCGGCACCTAGGTGGCTTGCTGCCCACATCCCAAAGTATAAAATAACCACGTGTCCATACTGATGTATATAAATGGTTGAATAGGTGGGTGAGAATAGACACACCCCATGCAAAAGAATTCCATGTAATTGACGTAGATACCCCTCCCTCAAGGAGGCAGTTGATTATCCCAGCTCTTACGTGTGGGCTGCACCCAGTGACCCCCTTCCCAGTGGTACACTTTGGAAACCGGGTTGAGAAAGAGGAACTTGACCCTGGAGAAACCTGACCTCAGCCAGGGGAGGAAGGTCAGGGGTGAGTTCTCCTGAGAGTGGGATGTGGGGAGGATGGCCCTTTTCCTTTGTAGCCTTTCTCCCAAGAACCCATCAGCTCAGTCTAACCATGAAAAAAAACAGCAGACAGCCCCAACCTGAGGGACATTTTACAAAATATCTGACCCATGTTCCTCAGATCTGTCAAGGGCATTAAAAACAAGGCAAGTTGGCCGGGCTTGGTGGCTCAGTGCGTGTAATCCCAGCACTTTGAGAGGGTGAGGCAGGCGATCACCTGAGGTCAGGAGTTAGAAACCAGCCTGGCTAACATGACGAAACCCCATCTCTACTAAAAATGCAAAAATTAGCCAGGCGTGGTGGCACACACCTGTAATCCCAGCTACTCGGGAGGCTGAGGCAGGAGAATCGCTTGAACCTGGGAGGCGGAGGTTGCAGTTTTCCGAGACCACAACGCTGCACTCCAGCCTGGGCGCCAGAGTGAAACTCCGTCTCAAAGAGACAAGGCAAGTAGGAGAAATAATTGCAGTCTAGAAGATCTTAAGGAGACGTGAGGACTAAAAGCCATGTTGTCCTGGATGGGGTCGTGGAACAGAAACAGGATGTTAAGTACACACCAGGGAAATCCGAATAAAGTGTGGACTTCAGTTAATAATGATGTAAGGAACATTGGCTCCTGATTTATGGCAGATGTACCCCAGGAAGGTAACATGTTAACAGTAAGGGAAATAACTTTTCTATATATCTGTATCTATACCTGTAACTATTCTAAAATTAGAAGCTTTTTTTTTTTAAAAAAAAAAGGGAAAACAGTAAACAATAGCTCATCACTCTTATTTTTAAAAGGTTGGAATAACATTAGAGATGTTCTATAGGATCAATTTGAGATTTCTGGAGTTTACTTTCTGACCCAGTTTTCTCAAAAATATGAAATTCTTGTTGCATAAGTCTGACTTGTCACTGGGGGATCATTCCAGATAAAGAATTTTCTGGTGAGGCCTCGGGACCACATCTGAATGAAAGTGAGGAGGCGAGTGTCTGAACAGCCAGCATTTCGTGTCTGTTTCCCCTCTGCATAACATAAAAATTAACGTATGATAGCACAACATATGTAAAGTCACCTTGGTAGAGGCACTAGGCGGAAGGGAGTGGGCATCTCTTGGCTGGCAATGAGCTGGGTGCCCAGCCATCATGGTGCAGGGCAGTTGCCCTTCTCAAGCAACTGATCCAGAGACATTTGAGCAGGGGACTGTGACCACACTACAGTACACACCACGACCGTGTGACAGTCACAGATACAGACACTGAGTTTAATGGCTTGGGGGTGGAGAAGTTGCCAGTTGCCCACCCTCTGATAAAGATGTTAGTGAAAATATTATAGATTTATTGAGGTTTGTCAAAAAATTGCTGCATCTCAGATATAAATGGGCAAAATAAAATGAATTAAGGTTAGGGTTTTTTTGTAGATAACCAAGAATAAAATGTAGTGATTTTGTTTTATTATGCCAGCTGTAATAAAGTCTTAAGGAGAATGCAGGCTGTAAAAGCTTAAAGAGAATAGGGGAACAATTTTTTTAAATATTTAATGAAATGTCAAACATTTTACCACATTTTGAAGAAATAAAACATTGTAGATATAGCTAAAGCCTCACTTTCTTACTTCTTCACCCCTTCCTCCTGAGAGGTAACCCATTGTCTTGACAGTGATGTGTATCATTGCAGGTATTCGTGAATAACTTTTCTATGTATATAACATATGTATGTGTATATACATACATATGGATGTATTAAGTAATACATTCTGTTGGTTTTGGTGTTTTAACAATTTATTTAAATTAAAAGCTTAACAGATCTGTTTATTTTTCTTTTCACTGATCATTATTGGCATTGGTTTCTGGTGCTAAGTGTAGATCTCATGGGGGTTTTTTGGTTGTTGTTTTTTTTTCCACTTTGTAACATTCCACTATATGAAAATAAACCAATTTGTTTTCATATGCTTGTGGAAGAACAGTCACTGTGGGTTGTATCCTTTTTTGGTGTTCATGGCTAGGATGATTCTTGTATGTGTTTCCTTGTGAACACCAGAATTGTGGGACTACAGGTGTGTGCCACTTCAGCCTTAATAGATATTGCCAAATTGCTCTTCAGAGTGCCATACATAAAATTTGTACATTTCCATTTTTCCACATCTGTGAAAAATCTTACCAGATTTATCAGATTCCACATTTTATCAGACTCACTTATCTTTGCCAGTCTGAGGGGTGTGATACATTTCCCTGATTGTTAGTGAGATTGAACATCTTTTCATATAGTTGAATTTATTAGAAGTCCTATCAAGAATTGCCTATTTAGGCCGGGTATGGTAGCTCATGCCTGTAATCCTAGCACTTAGGGAGTATGAGGTAGGAGGATCACTTGAGTCCAGGAGGCCAAGGCTGCAGTGAGCCATGATTCCACCACTGCACTCAAGCCTGGGCAACAGAGCAAGACCCTGTCTCAAAAAAAAAAGAACTAACTGCCTGTTTATTGCCTGTTAAGTGGGCTGGTATTTCTTAGAGACCTTTGGCCTTGGACCTGATTCCTCAGAGTGTATGATAAAAGAATACAGCTGCATGCTATCACAAAGTTAAATTGGAGGTGGGTGAGAAAAAGAGTTTAGTCTTTGACCGTATTTAATTGTTTTATTTACTCCTATGCCGTTTGATTTTCTTTGTGCCTCGTTATTGCTGACTGTGTCTCTTATTGGTGTAGGAAAGAGTTCAGGTAAGTAAGTTATCTGGTTTGTTAGGTTTGTAATTAAGTATTTAACAAAAATGTCTTTGGAAAAGTGCATTTGCAGTTTCCTAAAAAGATGACAGTTTTACAATACGACCCAGCAATTATGCTCCTGAGTGTTTGCCCAAATGATGACAACTTTTATCCTTATAAAAACTTGGGCTTTCCTTATAAAAACCTGCGCTTGCTGGGAAGCTGAGGCAAGAGGATTGCTTGAGCCCGGGAGTTTGAGACTGTAGTGAGCTATGGTCATGCCACTGTACTCCAGCCTGGGCAACAGAGTAAGGCCCAGACTCAAAAGCAAAACAAAACAACTTTGCACATGAATGTTCCTATCACCAATTATTCATAATTGCAAAAAACTGGAAGCAACCAAGATATTGTTCAGCAGGTGAGTGAACAAACAAACTATGATACATCCACACAATGTAATATTACTCAGCAATAAGAATGATCAAGCCCTGAAAGACATGTAAAAACCATACATGCATATCGCTATGATTCCAATTATGTGATCTTCTGGGAAAGGCAAAACTATGGAGTCAACAAAAAGATCAGTGGTTGCCCGGGATTCAGGGGCAGGAAGGAAGGATGAAAAGGTGGAGTACAGGGCATTTTTAGGGCAGTGAAACTATTCATATGACGCTGGAATGGTGGATTCATGGCATTATACCTTTGTCAAAACAGAATTGGCTGGGCATGGTGGCTCACACCTGTAATCTCAGCACTTTGGGAGGCAGGTGGATCACTTGAGGCCAGGAGTTCAAGACCAGCCTGGACAACATAGTGAAACCCCATCTCTACCAAAAATATGAAAATTAGGCAGGCGTGGAAGTGCATGCCTGTAATCCCAGCTACTCAGGAGGCTGAGGCATGAGAATCGCTTGAACCCAGGAGGCAGAGGTTGCAGTGAGCCAAGATCACGACAGAGCAAGACTGCACTCCAGCCTGGGAGACAGAGCAAGACTCTATCTCAAACAACAACAACAACAACAACAACAAAAAACCCCACAGAATTGTACAACACAAATAGTGGACCCTAATGTAAACTATGGACTTTTGTTAATAAAAATTTATCAATATAGATTCATCATTTATAACAAATACAGCACACTGATGTTAATAATGGGAGGAATTGGGTGCAGGGGAGGAGGGGTTATAGGAGGACTCAGTTCTATCTGACCAGTTTTTTCTGTAAACCTAAAGGCATCTAAAAAATAAAGTCTATTAATTTTTCTAAAAATCTTTCATTGTTAAATTCAGATTTTACCAAGTGTACTCAAGTATGTGGAACAATTATGTTTTCTAATAGAAACTTTTTAAGATTATTTGTTTTATTTATGAAATCTAAATTGCTGAAGCTTTTTCAAGACGACTGCTTCCATTTTTTGTGGATCTATAAAGAATGCACAGTTCATGTTGAAAATCATTTCGTTCCTTTTTGCTTTCTCAAGTAGTAGAGTGGTACAAAGTATTAATTGTGTAAGTTTTTCTTTGTATGATTAAATAATTTAGAGCAAATATTTTGCATATTACTACATCAAAAATCTTTCCAAATATTGTAATAACTAAAGTAATCTGGAATGTTTGTCTTGATTCTTACTAATTCTTTATAATATAAAAGACCTTCTTTCATTGATTCTAGGACTTCCATTCTAGGACCTCTCTGAAATCAGTGTACCTCTTAGAATCAGTAACATCTTAGATTCAGTGAAATACGATATGTCTAATAAGGGTTCGGAGGAAGGGCTATAATAATTGTTACAGAATCATGATAATTTTTCACTGATGTTATGGGACCGTTCTGATTTTCCCTTGCCTGCCTGTCTTCCAGATGCTCTCTGTGTGGGTATGTGTGTAGCCATCCTCCTTCTTTGAAGTCTCATATGTGGAAACATGCAAGTGACCAAAATTACAACTACGAACAAGTAAACAAGGCTATTAACGACGCGATTTCACAAAGTGGCAGGTATTTCATCCTACCCCCTCCCTTTATTGCTATATGTAAATTAAAGCCAGGATTAAATCTACTAGTCCTACATTGTAGCCTCCTCACGGTGTGCTGTGTTTGTTTTGTTTTTAAGAGTTCTGGGGAAATCCCCTGGAAAGACTCAATTAAAGAGCAGTGAAGAGAGTGCAGATCCCGTCACTGGAAGTTCAGAAAATGCAGTGTCATCTTCAGAACTGATGTCCCAGACTCCCAGTGAAGTTCTGGGTACCAACGAGAATGAGAAACTGAGCCCTACAAGTAATACCTCATATAGTTTAGAAAAAATCTCCAGTCTGGCCCCTCCTAGCATGGAGTACTGCGTTTTACTCTTCTGCTGTTGTATTTGTGGTTTTGAATCAACCAGCAAAGAAAACCTCTTGGATCATATGAAAGAGCACGAGGGTGAAATTGTAAACATCATCCTGAATAAGGACCACAATACAGCTCTAAACACAAATTAGGTGGAATAATGACTCGAGCAGGAAAGCAGTAGAAGAGGATTCCTTCACCACAGTTTCACCTTTACGCTGTCAGACAACTTCCTGCCACAGAAGAAGTCGTTGATGTGATTTTTGAGGAAATGACAGATGTGACTTTGGAACCAAACTTGTAATAAAAGGAATTCCAAATGGACAAGCAGTAATGATATTTAAATATTTTGAGTGAGGGGGAGTGGGTCAAAGAGGAAGTAGAGGTGTAATCCTGTATTAACCCTCTGTCACCCCTTCTTAGTGTCGAGTGTATTTATTAATAAAAGCTTATTAGAGTGTAGAAATGCCAGCAAGAGTTAAGAAAGGGCTTTTCAGGAACTATTCTAAAAGTCATAAAAGGGTCACAGTCTTAAGCAGAGCTTAGTTTTCTTCTCACTTGTCAAATGCAGACTGTGAGGCCTCCAGTGAGAAATGGGAGGCAGTTCTGGGAGGGGGTTTTTTCAGTGTCACCAACAGAGTCAACAAGGAAACATAATTAGAGGGCTTTGAAATGATCTACTGAAATACCTAAATTGATAGAAATTAATCATACTCAATCTAGGACATGTTCCTTTACTCCTTAAAAAAGAAAGGAAAGATCTCTAAATTCAAAGCTAGATTGTAAATAGGCATTCAAGAAGTATTGTCTTAAATTTACGATGAATTTCTTGTGAGCAGAGGACGAAACAGGTGAATTCTCACCAGACTCAAACCAGATCTCAATTCGTAGTAATGCTAAATCGTCTTCCGTGTTCTCAGAGGTTCTTTTCAGTGTCTGTCAGAACTTGGCATACTTTCTCCATAGTACGTAGACCTTCTAATACTCTGCTAAATGAAACCACACTTGTTATCTGAAAGTGTGTGAAAGAAACAATGTATGAAAATTTACATTTGATCATCCGGCATTGGAAATAGTTTGAACTATTTCCAAAAATCCCTTAGGGGATGAGGGGTGAAATTTAAAAGCTCCTGAAAATGAGTACTGCTGTGTTGAGCTTTTCTTTCCTGGGGTATATTAATTTAGTTATATTTAGCAGAAGAGGAATATAACCAAATGTGACTAAAATATAGCAGAAATTCAGGTTGTTTGTAAAAATTTTAATAACAAATAGCATTTGGCAAGTCTATAGGATTCTTCCTATCTGGAAATTCTATTTTGTTAGAGTGCGATAGGACATATGGAAAACCAACACAAAGTGCTTTAGCATTAAAACTCACCATCAAATAGATGTAATCTTATTAATTACACATTTTGTATTTTAATTATTTCAAGGAGTGAAGAAAACAGGGTGTTTTTGTTTTTGTAGTTCTGATTACTCATTTATGCATTGTTTTGTTTAAGTAAATTCTGCCTACAAGTGAAAAGGTCGGTGCGCTCTTCTGTGCACCATCCTCACGGTGCTATTTCCGAATATCTGAATATTGATTTCTAACACCTGGATGAGGCTGTGACCGATCAACTTGGAACACTGTAAAGGTTTTCGAATGGGATACGCTGTAGGCACGTTTTAAGAAGTATTCTGTTCCTAAAGTCCAGGTATGATTGGATTAATATTTATAAAATTATTATTAGGAATTATTTAAGTGGGGCCAGGCATCTTGCAACATTTTCTGATTTTTTTTTCTTTCTTTCTAATCTCATTTTGGTGATATTTAAACAAACATAAATGATTGTAACTTTGCAGCTTTTTTATTTAGGTAGCTTTAATTTATTTATGAAAGTTAATCCATTTCTGATACGTGGTTTTTAAAAATATGAAATGGATTTATATATACTATATTCCTCAAATCCACTGTATGTGGACTTATATTCATTTTCTCCTTTTTTCGGAATTGAAACATTTTAATTTCAAATTCAAATAGAACATTTAAAATGATTTCATTATTATTACCCATACTGTTGCCACTCATATTGTAAGTCAGTTTTTTCATTGCTGGTACAATGACTCAGTATTTCTTTATAAAAATCTGTTGTTCTGAAAATCAACAACCTTAGAAGGATTTTGTCTTAGAAAATTTCCTTGGCTTTAGTTTTATATCATATTTAGAAAATAATAATGAAAAGCATCCCCAAAATTTCAATGATGTGAATTTTTAAATTACCTTTATTTCTTTAAACTAATTCCATTGATTGTTACTTAAATTTTCCACCTGGAATCATGGATTTAAAATTTCCCCACCTCATGGGGAAAAAACTAACCCAGAAGTTCAAAGCCTTTAAAGTTTCATCTGATTCTGGCCTTAGAATTGTCCTTAAAAGCTTTCTCCTGGCCGATAGGAGGAAGCATATATCAAGGAGGTTCTTTCCCTTCCCATTATCATTTTGTGGCAAGCCTTAAGTTAACAATGTGTCTACCAAGAACAATTGAGTTTTCTAAAAGTAATAATGAAGATTATGCAATTCTAACTGTAGAAGAGATAGCTATTAAAATAATCAGTAGCCTGGGCATAGTGGCTCACACCTGTAATCCCAATACTTTAGAAGGCCAAGGCTGGAGGACTGCTTGAGTCCAGAAGTTTAAGACCAGCCTGGGCAACACGGGGAGACCCTGTCTCTACAAGAAATTAAAAATTAGCCAGGCATAGTTGGCACGTGCCTGTAGCACCAGCTACTTGGGAGGTTAAGGTGGGAGGATCACTTGAGCCTGGGAGATAGAGGCTTGCAGTGAGCCGTGATGGCACCATTGCACTCCAACCGGGGTGACAGATGAGGTCCTCTGTTTACCTCCCCCCCCAAAAAAAAAATTCAGTAGGAATTCCTTCATAGAATAACATGTTATTTATTGGTATTGACTTCTTATTAGACAGAGCTCATAGTATTTGTTTTCTGCTCCGAACACTTAAAAAATACTAAGACGTGATAGTGAAAATAGCTTTGAAAAGAAACTACATATGGCAAAGGTGGGGAGGGGGGAAGATGATGCATTCTGATCATTATAAAGAATACTTTTCAGGGCTCTATCATTTTCTCCCTTTCTCTAATCATCCAGAATATGGCGGGTGTCCCAGTGTTCAACAGTATCATGCTAATATTCCATTTGATCGGTAGTCCAAGTTCTTTGGCCAGATAGTGCAATGTTGTGACACCGACCGAAGCCTTTGTTCTGGATCTTTCTTCCTATTGAAGGTGGCTGCTGGTGGCTTCATAATTTTCTGTTTTTTTTCTCACAAAGTAAATGGTGGGCATCCATGTTTACATTGCACCTTCCCGTGCTGTAATTGGCTTGACAAAGACAAGCAGGCTTCTCTGTTGAGACTTATTGTGTTTTTAGTTTTCATAGACACTTATTTAATCTTTTTAAATTGTACAGCAAGGTGCTCTAAGTAATATTCGATAAAATATATTTAATAGAAATTTGCGTTTGATATTCATGAACATGAATACATGTATTTTTTTAAGAAATAAGTATTGTGTAACACTATGGCATTGCTTCTATAGCCAAAGTATAAAAATTTCTGGAATACTGACATGTAAAGACTACAGTTAATTCTGACACTGTATCTTATTAAAATAGGATGATTTGCATTTTGTAAAATTATCCTGCACATCAAGCTGCATGCCTTAAAGCGGAAACTCTAGGACTGTGTTCATGGGAGAGCAGTTCATCTGTTCAGAACAGTGAGGCAAGGTCTGTAGTGCTTCTTTAACTACCTTTGGAAATACTGTACAATGTTAGAATAATTTATTTTGCTTTACAGGAGTTTGTCATGTATTGACTTTAATATTGTATTTTGGTAATAAATTTTTTGTTAAAAAAAACTTGGCTCCAAGTTCTATTAACCACAGGTTGTGTTCATTCTTTTCCTGGAAATGATGACTTTATTGCTTAGAAAGTTGTAAATAATTAAAAGCTTCCCAAGAGTTAAATGAAGGTTATGATGACTCTTGATAACTTGTTAATCTGTTGCTGACTAGCATTAGACTGTTACACGAAGATAAACTGAATAAGCATTTAGCTTTTTAAATCATTTTAAAAATTAAGTCTAATTTTGAAGCTTTTTTCCTTGCTACCCAGTTCAGTTTCTCTTCCAAATGTGACACGCTTATATGCTTTCAATTCTGATATAGTCAAAGTGCTAAAGACTAGTTCTGCTATTGACGAAGGAATTAGCATTCCTTAGTGAAGGCCAAAAACTACAGTGATATGTTCACACCTTGATCACTCTGTCGTCTATACAGACAGCTATTGACATATTTGTTGCATTGACGAAGCTAACATCATCTGACTGTATCGTGGGTCTGGTTATCCATTTGTGCCCTAGAATCCTGGGTCACCTCAGTTGAAAGTGACCAAGGCCAAATATTTCGTCCCATGCTTCCCAGGGACAACATAATCATATCCCCTGTCTTTGAAAAACCCAATCTGAAACTGTGTCACTAACCTCCAAATTAAAGAATCCGAGCATGGAAGCTCTAGAACGTATGGTCCAGTGTGGCAGCCACTATAATATCTAAGTGTAAAATACATAGCAGTTGCAAAGACTTAGTACAAAAAGAATGGAAATGTATTAACAGTTTTTTATATTGATTACATGTTGAAATGATATTTTGGTTTAAATAAAATATTAAAATTAGTTTTACCTGTTTCTTTAGCTACTAAACAGTTTTAAATTACATATGTGGCTTACATTATATTTCTTTTGGACAGCGCTGGTACAGAAGAGAGATTAGCAAACTAGGGCCCTCTCTTCAAAGCCAACCTGCCACCTGTTTTGGCAAATAAAGTTTTATTGGCACACAGCCATGCTTTTGTGTGTGTACATATCATATATGGCTATTTTCAAGGTACAACAGCAGCACTGAGTAATTGTGACAGAGACTCTATGGCCCACAAAACCTAATTTACCACCTATCTGATAGAAAAAGTCTTCTGACTAGACCTCTGAACTAGAACAATGGTATAATTTGTGCTCTAGAGCTACCAGGAAGAAAACGGCTTTTTACAAAGAAAGCTTTTTATAGTAGTGCTTTATAACTAAATTAGTTTCTTCCTTTGTAATTTTTATAGTCTACCTGTCTACAGATTTTAACCATATTTTATGACTTTAACCTATTCCATCGCTGATATTTAAAGCCAGTTTGAAATAACAATGCATAATTAAATAATAAACTAATTCAAAATGCAGCTATAAAAAGTCTCGCTTGCCTCCTGACAGCTTTACGGTGTTGATGTTGGCCCCCACGGCTTCACCCTGTCAGTGGTGTGGGACTACAGCACATGGCCTGCAAATGTAACCATGGTGCAACGTAACCCCAGTGACTAATCCACTTGGCTGGGGTGACAGTTGAATTGAATAATCCAGGATATAAAGAAAAGAGTCTTAAATGCACCTCTTTATAATGAATAGCATGTGCAACTCCAAAGCCAGCTTCAAAGGTAGGGAGGAGGTGGTAGTTGGCTTTGGTCTAGAGCTGTTGATTAAACTGGCAGAGCTACGAAAAAGTCCATACTCTTATACATAGATTTCTTCCAAGTCAATCAGTGAATATGTAAAATGAGAACATTTTTGGCCCTGTAAATTCATAGAGAAGTTACTAATTGGTGCCATACGATAGACTGACTTAGGTAGTGTGTTTTGGTGTGTATCTCAGAATCCAAATCAGCGGAGCATGAAATGCTGAAACCATTTCCAGAGACCTATGTGTACAGCACAATCCAGTTTGCATGCTGTGCTAGGGGACTATAGACCTCATTTTTCTAGTGGTACATTAATAAATATACTGTATCTAGTTTTATTTGAACTGTTTATAAGATTATGACAGCTTTGGTTTCTTTAATCTCCTGATTTTTTTTCCAATAATGGGTAATCAGTTTAAAGCGTTTGCCTTACCAAAGTAGATTATGTAGGTAAGAAGGTTTTCTTTTGAATTAAAAAGTTTAATGTCAGGCATCTAATATAAATTCTTACTGGCATATAACAAAATCGTATCACGTGTTGGTGGCTTTTTGCTCCCTAACTAACTAAACCAGATTTACACCAGTTGTGTTACTTAATCCAGATAGAAAAGGTGTCATTCTGTAATAATTTGTAAAAATGCATATAAGACAGGTACTTCTACAATGGGGTGTTTGTTTTAAAAGGATTCTACATATTAGGTAAATGTGGAAAAAACATCTTAAAACATCTTTAAAAAAAAAATTGTCACCAGACGCAGTGGCTCACACCTGTAATCCCAGCACTTTGGGAGGCTGAGGTGGGCAGATGACTTGAGGTCAAGAGTTCAAGACCAGCCTGGCCAACATGGTGAAATCACATCTCTACTAAAAATACAAAAATTAGCCGGTTGTGGTGGCACACGCCTGTAGTCCCAGCTACTTGGGAGGCTGAGCCTGGAGGATTGCTTGAACCTGGGAAGCAGTGGTTGCAGTGAGCCAAGATCACACTACTGCATTCCAGCCTGGGCAACAGAGTGAAATTCCATCTCAAAAAAAAAATTTTTTTTGCACAAATCAGAAAATCATGAATCCTTAGCCATGAGCTCAGACCCAACTAGTTCACCTTTCTGATTTCTCAGCTTTGTACTTTGTTAAAAGGAAAAACAAAAAAGAATATTTATAATTACCCATGTTACTACCATGGATTCATCAGTAATAATCAAGTATGGTTTTAAAATGAGAAAGTATGTTATCTTAAATGTATACACAATGGAAAGCTGGACCTGAATAGACCCTCAACAAAATAAAACATTCATTTTTCAGGACTTTTATTAGCACCTACTAGTGACGTTTAAAGGCTTATTGTCACAACTGTGCACATCTCCAATTTTTTTTCTACTTGTCATCTTTAGTATCCATATTTCAGAAATAATGTGGCTGTGTTTTACTGAAATAGGCACATCAATCCACATCTTGTTCTTTTTGTTTATATCTGCAGTCCCATTTAAATTCAGTATTTCCAACCACAAACGGTGTTAGAAAATTCTATTTCCAGCTTATGAGAAAAAGTACAGCAGGATATGGTTCAAAGCTTAAGCTGTATTTATTTCTGCTCTTCCAGAGCTAGCATTCCACACAAAAAAAGTTATGCTGAAATAAACAGTGGTAGGAAACCAATGGTTTCAAGGCTATCTGCACTTTCTAAAACCCTTCTCCATGTGAAACCTGGGAACACAGTTGGTGCGGCTATGCCTCCCTGGAATGATGATACTGGAGTCCACCACAGTTCCATCGCAGAGGTGAAAAACTCTAACATGAGGCTCTTCAGCATTTGGGCCCACCTGGAGCAACCCTGTGCTCAGCCTGCAAATGCAGACAAAAACTTCAGTGTACTAACAGTTGTTTTTTAAAGTTCCAGGGTACATGTGCAGCATGTGCAGACTTGTTACATAGGTAAACATGTGCCATGGTGGTTTGCTGCACCTATCAACCCATCACCTAGGTATTAAGCCCTGCATGCATTAGCTATTTATCCTGATGCTCTCCCTCCTCCCACCCCACCCCACCACAGGCCCCAGTGTGTGATGTTCCCCTCCCTGTGTCTATGTGTCCTCACTGATCAGCTCCCACTTATAAGTGAGAACATGTGGTGTATGGTTTTCTGTTCCTGCGCTAGTTTGCTGAGGATAATGGCTTCCAGCTTCATCCATGTCCCTGCAAAGGACATAATCTTGTTCCTCTTTATGTCTGTATCGTATTCCATGGTGTATATGTACCACATTTTTTCAGTCTATCACTGATGGGCATTTGGATTTCATGTCTTTGCTATTGTGAATAGTTCTG
Source organism: Homo sapiens (assembly GCF_000001405.40). Classification (NCBI taxonomy): domain Eukaryota; kingdom Metazoa; phylum Chordata; class Mammalia; order Primates; family Hominidae; genus Homo; species Homo sapiens. The sequence goes on from NC_000019.10 coordinate 32,390,814, forward strand.
CAATGAACATACACATGCATGTATCTTTGTGATAGAATGATTTATATTCCGTTGGGTATATACCCAGTAATGGGTACTACTGCATCAAATGGTATTTCTGGTTCTAGATCTTTGAGGAATTGCCGGGCGTGGTAGCATGCACCTCTAATCCCAGCTACTTGGAAGGCTGAGGCAGGAGAATCATTTGAACCCGGGAGGCGGAGGTTGCAGTGAGCCAAGCTTGCGCCACTACACTCCAGCCTGGGCAACAAGAGTGACACTCCATCTCAAAAAATAAAAAGTAAATAAAAATAAAAGTATACCTGCAAACCAGTCCAAATGCTAGTCAGGTGCCATCTTCAAGTCAGGTGCTATCTTCAAGTCAGGTGCCATCCTGCAGGCCCAAGGCATAGCTTACTAGTTCTATCGAGTGGCCTCGTGATCAGGTAGGAAAACCAAATCAGCACTTGTCTTTAACCATAATCCACGATGAAACTTACTCTTGAAAGATAAAGTGGAACAAGGCATGGCGCAGTGGCTCACACCTGTAATCCCAGCACTTTGGGAGGCCAAGGCGGGTGGATCATTTTAGGTCAGGAGTTTCAGACCAGTCTGGCTAACATGGTGAAACCCCATCCCTACTAAAAATACAAAAATTAGCCAGGCATGGTGGTGGGCACCTGTAATCCCAGCTACTCGGGAGGCTGAGGCAGGAGAATTGCTTAAACTCAGGAGGCAGAGGTTGCAGTCAGCCGAGATTGCACCGCTGCACTCCAACCTGGGCAACAGAGTGCGTGAGATTCTGTCTCAACAAAAAAGATAAAGTGGAACAAGAGCTTCATAGCCATATTCCTAACTAGGTTATACCTTACAAAACTAACAAGAATACATATGGACATGAGATACAAAGGGCATGATCGCTAATTAAAACCCTAAAACAGTAACACCTATCTACTGTAAACAGACAAGTCAGCTGCACCTATACATTGTATTAAATACCGTAAGAGTTTTTGAAATTCAAGAAGACATCAGGCCAAGTACAGTGGCTCACTGTAATCCCAGCATTTTGGGAGGCAAAGGCAGGAGGATCGCTTGAGGCCTGGCGTTCCATACCAGCCTGGGCAACATGGTGAAACCCCATCTCTACAAAAATAAAAATTAAAAAATTAGCCTGGTGTAGTCCCAGTTACTCGGGAGGCTGAGGTGGGAGGATCGTTTGAGCCTGTAGTGAACTGTGATTGCACCACTACACACCACCCTGGTTGATAGAGCAACATGAAAGAAAAGAAAGAGAAAGAGAAAAAAAAAAAGGAAAGGAAGGAGGGAGGAAGGGAGGCAGGGAGGAAAGAAGGGGGAGGGAGAGGAAGGAAGGAAGGAAGAAAGGAAGGCAGGCAGGCAGGCAGACGAGGGGAGGGGAGGGCAGGGGAGGGGAGGGGAAGGGAAAGAAAGAAGGAAAAAGAAAGAAGAAAGAAAAGAAAAAGAAAAAAGAGAGGGAAAGGGAGGGAGGGAGGAAGAAAGGAAAAGAAGAGTGAGAAGAAAGAAAAGGAAGAAAGGGAAGGAAGGAGGAAGGGGAGGAAGGGGAGGGAGGAAGGAAAGGAAGGAAGGGAAAGGGGGAGGGAGAGAGGGAGGGAGGAAGGAAGGAAGGAAGGGAGGGACTAATGGTGTGCCTGACGCCATACACATCAACCTTAACCTTCAAAAGAATGTACTTTTCACATGAGTAATGGCAGGTACTGCCAGTTGTTCCTCAACATCCATTCTTCTATGATCACAGAATTTTTAGCTGGGCACAAAGCTGCCCAGGTAGGCTGTATTTCCCAGGCTTCCTTGTAGCTACATGAAGCCATGTGACCAAGTTATGGTTCATGGGATATGAGTAGTGATACATGAAACTTCTGAAGATATCACGCCAGGCACAGTGTCTCATGCCTGTAATCGCAGTACTTTGGGAGGCCAAGGAGGGAGAATCACTTGAGGCCAGGAGTTCAAGACCAGCCTGGGCAACATGGTGAAACCCCATCTCTACAGAAAAATACAAACATTAGCCGGGTGTGGTGACACACGCCTGTAGTCCTGTTACAGTAGGCAAACAGCTAGACATGAGCAGGAGGGGGAGCCCCTGAGAAAAGGAAGGTCTGGGAAGCCTCATGCCCAAGGACCACCCAAAATTTGCTAATTATTAACATCTCTAATGGTGGAGGGGGTGGGCAATGAGTCCAGTGTGAGCAAGGAGGAGGGTAAATACCTATGCAGAAAGGAGCACCCCTTAAGACTCCTAGTAATCACCCACTCTTCAGTTAACCTCTCAGAATGTCACTAGCTGTGTGCTGATAAGGAGGGAAAGAGGGCAAAGCAGAAATTCCTAAGAGATACCAGGTGCAATAAATATAGATCTGACCTCTATACAACCTCCTGGGGTGGCGGCAATGAGCAATGCAGCCATTTGGTAGAGTTCATACCCAACACCGGCCACACATACCCACCAACTAGTAGTAAGAGAGGGTCCCGTGAGCCTGGGAGGGAATGCGGCAGGGATAAAGGCAGGGACTTAAGGCAGAAGCAGGGAAACTAGACAAAGAAAAAAGGCAGGGACTTAAGACAGAGGTGGGAACTTCCAGAAAAAAATCTGACATCATTAAAACCCACCGCAGAATTCTCGGGGTGGCTGCTGGCTCATTCTGTCTCCACAGCTGGCTCTGCCTCATCTTTCAGAGTATTCTGTCTCTCTAAATAAACTCTCTGCTCTCTATTTTCCTTCAATCAATTCTCTCTTTTTTGGCTAAACTGCCTCGTGGCCAAATTCCTTCTCCCAAGGAAGACTAAGAGCTGAGGACTCTGCCCTTCCAGGTAACACCCCCAACTACTCAGGAGGCTGAGGTGGGAAGATTGCTTGAGCCCAGAAGGTCAAGGCTACAATGAGCTGTAATTGCACCACTGCACTCCAGCCTGGGCAACAGAGTGAGATACTATCTCTAAAAATAAAAATAAAAAATATTTTTCTAAAAAAGAGATTAAATGAATCTAGGATCACAGAGTTCAAAGTTGGCTGAGAAAATATACCAGTTGTCCTTGAAACATTCACTGTATTTGATGGCTATCTTTTCTCTAAACATATTGTAATGCAAATATAAAATTGTTTTGTTTTATAAAACAATAGAATACATCAGCTGAAGTTACCCCCAAAAGAAATGAAAGAAACTTCTGGGTGTGCCCTCAAAATTAAGGGGAGTTCCACCTCCCCTTCTTTCTCTGTTCTGCCACCTGTTATGTAAATGTTATGATCACTGACTATGAGAACAAGCACAGGACAGAACTCCTAAAACTCAACAACAAAACCCAATTCAAAAACGGGCAAAGGACTTGACTAGACATTTCTCTAAAGAAGATCTACAGATGGCCAACAAGTACATGGAAAGATGCTCAACATCACTAATCATTAAGGAAATGGAAATCAAAACTGCAATGAGATACCACCTCATACCCATTAGGGTGACTACTATCAAAACATAAAAAAGCAGAAAATAATAAAGTGTTGGTAAAGATGTGGAGACACTGGTACCCTTGTGCACCATTGGTGAGAATGTAAAATGGTACAATCACTGTGGAAACAGTATGGTGGTCTAATGGGCACAGAGTTTCAGTCTTAGAAGATGAAGAGTTTTGGAGGTATATGCTGGTGATGGTTGCACAACATTATGAATGTAATACCACTGAACTGGACATTTATAAATAGTTAAGATCAGGCAGGCGCAGTGGCAATCCCATCACTTTGGGAGGCCAAGGCGGGCAGATCACTTGAGGTCAGGAGTTTGAGACCAGCCTGGCCAACATGGTGAAACCCCATCACTACTAAAAATACAAAAATTAGCCAGATGTGGTGGCGGGCGCCTGTAATCTCAGACACTTGGGAGGCTGAGGCACAAGAATCGCTTGAACCCAGGAGATGGAGGCTTCAGTGAGCCGAGATCACAGCCTGGGCAACAGAGCAAGACCTTGTCTCAAAAAAAAAAAAAAAAAAGGTTAAGAAGGTAAATTTTATGTTTTTTTGCCACAAAAGAAAAATTTTTTAAAAAACAACTGTGACATTTTTGTTGGAAGGACCCTGGGTCCCTGACATTGTGGAACCAGACTGCTTACATGACAGAAATAAACATCATTTCAGCCACTGTCTTTTGGGTCAGTACTGAACCCTCAGCTCTTATTTCCAGTCTGCCCCACCATTTACATATAGAGAAATACATTAAAGGGAAAAGTAAACCACCAGGATTCTGCAAGGATCCAACCACCAAACCCTAGTCTACATCGGTGTTTCCACCTTTATTTCATTACCATCCTCCTAAGCCCTTCAAGGCATTTTTCCCAATTAATTTCCCCACCCATGACACAGAAGTACTGTATTGTTTATCTTTCTAGGTACTGTAAGTGTATCTATGCTTTTTCCTTTTTTCTTTATTTTGGGACGGAGTCTTGCTCTGTCACCCAGGCTGGAGTGCAGTGGCGTGACATTGGCTCACCACAACCTCCGCCTCCAGGTTTAAGCAACTCTCTTGCCTCAGCCTCCTGAGTAGCTGCATCTACAGGCACGTGCCACCACACCTGGATAATTTTTGCATTTTTAGTAGAGACGGGGTTTTGCCATGTTGACCAGGGTGGTCTCTAACTCCTGACCACAGGTGATCTGCCCACCTCGGCCTCCCAAAATGCTGGATTACAGGCATGAGACACAGCGCCAAGTCTGTACATCTATGCTTTATACATAAAAATAGTAATTTTTTTCAACCCCCAGGGACCAGTTTTTTCCCACTGGGGGGTCATATTGCCATAGGGAATTCACCCTTGTATTTAAATGAACTGGTTTAATGAAGATAGTTACAGGAAAAGCTATTTATTTCAAACCTCATTTCCTGGTATCTTGACTGAACATCCAAAAGGGTCAAGAGATTGTGATGAGAAACCTGTGAGAGGAGGCTGGATTTGTTACCTCTATCACGTGGAGAATCACTAAAGTACAACAAAATCAACTCAGTACAGCTAGACTCCATCTAGCTGTTGGGATAGTTTCCATCTCAGAGCTTTTGGACCTGGACAGTTGCAATCAAACCTGTGGACTTTATGCATAAGGAGTCCTTTGGGTTAGCTCATCTCTGTCCACCAGTTGACTCAGGAAGGTTTGTGGGGAGCACTTGATAAGTGTTAGTGAAAATCCAGCCCTGCACTAGATTAGCCATAATTTAAGGCATGATAAAATGTCTGAATTCGAGAGTGTTAGAAACACATCCTTTTCTGGCTGAAAGTCCTGCTTACAACAGGGAAAAAAAAAAAAAAAAAAAAGTCCCAGGCCTGACAATATGCCTTGGCATCTATTAGTGGGAAAAATCTGCTGCTGAGATTTGTGGACACATGTGTACATGCCTGTTTTGCAGGAAATGACATTACAGCAGTCCAAGGAAACAAACCAGAAGGACCAGCCAAGGACACTGATTCTCGGACTAACATCTAGAGAATCAGCACATGTGGCAAAAGCTTATGCAATAAAACATCATCATCTGCTTTAACTGAATACCTTACCTATTCGTGTCCTCATTCAAAAATACACAACAGTTATTCTAACCATGGAAATGGAAAAAAGTGTAGGTGGTAACCATGGAAATGAAGAAAGTACAGACAAGTAGAGGTAAGCAGAGAAGCAGGTGTTAAAGAAGAAAATGAGGCCAGACACAGTGACTCACCCCTGTGATACCAGCGCTGGGGGATGCCAAGGCAGGAGGATTGCTTGAGGCCAGAAGTTTGAGACCAACCTGGGCGACATACTGAAACCCCACCTCTACTAAAAATTAACCGGGTGCAGGGGCTCACACCTGTAATATCAACAATTTGGGAGGCCAAAGTACGTGGATCACCTGTGGTCAGGAGTTTGAGACTAGACTGACCAACATGGTGAAACCCTGTCTCTAATAAAAACACAGAAAAGTTAGTGAGGCGTGGTGGTGCATGCCTGTAATCCCAGCTACTTGGGAGGCTGAGGCAGGAGAATCACTTGAACTCAGGAGATGGAGGTTGCAGTGAGCTGAGATCGCATCATTGCACTCGGTCTGATGACAAGAGTGCAATGGATGACAAGAGAGAAACTCTGTCTCAAAAATAGTAACAATAATAATTTAAAAGAAAATGAAACAAAAATTCCATATGTAAATACTTTGTGAACTTTACATTTTATAGAATCCTTGGATTTGTGCACCTACGCTAATCTGTCTAAAAATTTCACTATTTTAAAGCACTACAAATCTAGTTAATATAAAGTTGAACAAAGGAAGAGAAAAAACACAAACAATATTTCATAATGCTTTTTCTGAATGTTCCCGGACCAAATCGAGGGTCAGGCTGCTTATTCTCACAGCCCAATAATGAGACGCAGATGAACTGGGAAAGGAGGGAGTTTATTTCTGTAACTGGATACAGGGAGAAGGCCTAGAAATTATCCCCAGACCAACTCAAAATCACAGTGTTCCAGAGCTTATATACCTTCTAAGCTATATGTCTGTGTGTAAGTGTGCATTCATCTACAGACATAAGTGGTCGACTTTTTCTGATCTCTAACTAAGATCTGAGTCCTGAAGACCTTCCCCTGGAGCCTCAGTAAATTTATTTAATCTAAATGGGTCCAGGTGCTGGGGTGATTACCCTTATCTTGTTTCCTGCTAAATCATGGTTTGGGGAGTTCCTTCAGACCCCAATAAACTTGCCTGTGGAGGCCTGGGGAGTTTCTTCAGACCCCCAATAAAACCTGTATAATCCCAAACGGGTCCTGTGGAAAATTCCTCATTATCTTGTCATGCTTCAAGGCCCAGGAAAGGCCAGGGCAGAACTCTTGGTGGGCTTTTGTTACATTCCAGCATTTGTATAGGGCACTGGCTCTATCAGCTTTTAATATTTAACTTCGCCACTCAGTCAGTACTGAAACGGTTGTCATGGAGGCCTGCATTAGTGAGACCTGGCCTGCCACATGAAGACTCACAGAGGAGAAGCCATCTATTGACAAACATTTTAAAGGAGGGAAAGAGGAATCCAATGTGATGTCAGTGACTGTGGGACTCTGGAATGATGCGAGCATAGAGGAAGCTCATCCCTGACACTTGGCCTGGGTTCCCTAAGACCCACGCATGCCAAGCCAATCTCAGAGGACTGCCATAGACAGGCCCCACCTCTGTGGTCTCTGACATGAGTCATACACAGTGTGTGTAAAACAATCCAATGGAATGTATGCAGAAAACACTAGGATTTCCACGTGTAGTCACTTTGCTTAAAAATATGTTTATATGGGCTGGGTGTGGTGCCTCATGCCTGTAATCCCAACATTTTGGTAGGCCAAGGCTGGAGGATCACTTGAGCTCAAAAGTTCAAGACTAGCCTAGGCAACATGGTGAGACCTTGCCTCATTTAAAAAAAAAAATGTTTATATGTATACAGAAAGAGAAGACAAAATTTTTTTCTGATAAAAGTTTGGAGGCTGGGCGCACTGGCTCACGTCTGTAATCCCAGCACTTTGGGGAGACCAAGGCAGGCAGATCACTTGAAGCTAGGAGCTCAAGACCAGCCTGGCCAACATGGTGAAGCCCCATCTCTACTGGAAGTACAAAAATTAGTCAGGTGTGGTGGTACACGCCTGTAGTCCCAGCTACTCAGGAGGCTGAGGCATGAGAATCGCTAGAACCCAGGAGGTCAAGGCTGCAGAGAGCCAAGATCGCGCCACTGCACTCCAGTTTGGGAAACAGAGTGAAATCCTGTCTCAATAAATAAATAAATAAATAAATAAATAAATAAATAAATAAATAAAAGAAGTTTGGCGACCATTGCATTGACTTTTACCAAGATACTTGAAAAGTCAACTAAATTGGATGAAAGTACTGTTGGAAAAAAATATATGTAGTATACCAAACTGCCCCATACATGTTTCTGTAAGGGAATACTCAGCATTGTAAATATCTCATTTCTCCCAAACATTTCTAAACACTTTATATAATTCTAGTAAAAATTTCCATGGATTCTGTTTTAGAACTTAGTAAATGATTATAAAGTTTATCTGAGCAAATAAATATGCAGAAATTGCCAAAATATGTGGTTAAAAGAAGTGTAATGAAGGGTCAATTGCCCTCTCAATATGAAAACATTCTATAAAATAATTAAAAACATGTAGAACTGTTTCAAGACTAATTACTTTTTAAAATCATTTAAACATAAGTGTCATCTTATAATACAAAAATTAGCCAGGCGTGGTGGCTATAGTCCCACCTATAGTCCCAGCTACTTGGGAGGCGGAGGTGGGAGAACTGCTTGAGCTCAGGAAGTGGAAGTTGCAGTGAGCCGAGATCATGCCACTGCACTCCAGCCTGGGCCACAGGGCAAGACCCTGTCTCCAGAAAAAAAAAAAAAAAAAAAGAGTGAGCTTATAAATAAGCCATATACATATGGGAATTCAGTATGTGGTACAGGTAATTTAAATCAGTAGAGTAAGGATGATGGTGAAATAATCAACTATCTAATTTAAAAAAAAATTGTCAAGTCTCTCCCACACCATATTAAAAAGTTATAATATTTTTAAATACTAGCAGAAAGAATTAAAAAACATTTACAATCTTGAGATGGGGAAGGTTTTTCTAAGCATGATGGAAAAACCCAGAAGGTATAAAAGAAATTTGACAATATAAAAATGGAAAATCCCTGCATAGCAAAAGACATCATACCAGATACACAATAATGAGAAACTATCTGCAGCATATATGACAACAGATTAATAAATACCCATAATCGGCCAGGCGCAGTGGCTCACACCTGTAATCCCAGCACTTTGGGAGGCCGAGGTGGGCAGATTCCTTGAGCTCAGGGGTTCAAGACTAGCCTGGGCAACATGGCAAAACCCCATCTCTACAAAAAATTGTTTTAAATTAGCCAGGCACACACCTGTGGTCCCAGCTACTCAGGAGGTTGAGATGGGAGGATTTCGTGAGCTCAGAAGGTTGAATCTGCAGTCAGCTGAGATGGCGCCACTGCACTCCAGTCTGGGCAACAGAGCAAGACCCTGTCTCGAAAACAAAAACAAAAAAAACTCATAATCTATAAATAATCCCGTCACAGCAAGATTAAATAGATGGTGAAAGAACACAAAAAGACAAATTATACAAAAGAAATGCAAATAGCCAATAAACTCCTGATATATTGTCTTCACCTCATTAATAAAGAATGCACACTAATCATGTATTATTTGTCACCTAAGATTGGCAAAGATTTAAAAACTAATTGTTGGCAATGGCATGGAGAAATAAGTGTCATAATACCCACTGGTGGAAGAGAAAAACAATAGAATCTTTAACCTTTTTGGAATGTAGTTTACCAATGTTTATCACAATTTAGAATATGAGTTCTAGGGCTGGGCATGGTGGCTCACAACTGTAATCCCAGCACTTTGGGAGGCCGAGGCGGGTGGATCACTTGAGGTCAGGAGTTCAAGACCAGCCTAGCCAACATGGTGAAATCCCATCTCTACTAAAAAGACAAAAATTAGCCCGGCATGATGGCGGGTGCCTGTAATCCAAGCTTCTCAGGAGGCTGAGGCAGGAGAATCGCTTGAACCTGGGAGGCAGAGGTTGCAGTGAGACAAGATTGCGCCACTGCACTCTAGCTTGGGCGACAGAGTGAGACTCTGTCTCAAAAAAAAAAAAAAGAATATGAATTCCAACAACCCTGTTTCCAGAAATACATCCTAAAGAGTTACATAAATATAAGTATGTTCTTACAGCATTCCCTGAAATAGCATAAAACTAGAAACAACCTAGATGTCCAACTAGATGGGAATAAATAAATCGTAACACATACATACGGTGGATATTGTATTGGTTATCTATCATTGTACAAAATTACCCCCAAAACTTAGTGGCTTAAAAAAACAATGTACATTTATTATCCTCATAGTCTCTGTGTGTCAAATACTTGGGAGTGGCATAGATGGGCACTTCTGGCCCAAGATCTCTTATGCCGCCATCTGAAGGCTGACCTGTAGCTGGCCGATCTATTAGGTTGGTGCAAAAGTAATCTTGGTTTTTGCCATTACTTTTAATGTCCCACCAACCTAATACTTCCAAGATGGCTCACTCCCATGGCTGCCAAGGTGGTGCAGGCTGTTGCCTACGTGGCCTTCTCTACAGGCAGTTTGAGTGTCCTCACTACATGGTGGCTGGCATCCCCGCTAAGTGAGCAATCCAAGAGAGGCTAAGGCTGAAACTGGGATGTCTTTTATGACTTAGCCTCAGAAGTCCCACACTGTCACTTCCACGGTATTCTGTTGTTCACAAAGAAAAACCATGATTCTGTGGAACCGGATACTGTATGAGGATAAACATGAGGCAGCACAGATCGTGTAAGCTGAGGTCTAAAGGCTGAAGAGTACCTAGTCAATTAAAGAGGGTTTAAGACTTTTTATAAGCCACGTGACAAACCTCTGACAGAGGTTTATGTGAATAGAAAGTGAAGGAGAGGTTGAAGAGGGAAACAGAGCCTGATTCGTGGCAGTCCTTACAAGCTGTGTCATGGAGCTTAATTTTTATAATAAAGCCAAAACGCCTCCAAGGGATTTATATTTTAGTAAGATCACTATGGTTATTACATACAGGTAAATGGACTACGGTGGTGGCAACAGAGATGAGCAAAGTGAACAAGATCTGAGGTATTTACGAGATAAATGCCAACAGGACTCAATGGATGATTGGATGTGTGGATTACACAATAGAGAGGAATCAAGGATGGCTTCTAGGCTCTTGATTTGAGCAATAAGGTAAATGGAGCACACAGAAGGAACCGCAAGTGTGGGGATTAGAAAAAGGTTTAACATGTTGAGTTTGAGGTGTTTACACACATGGAAATGTCCAATAGGCAGTGGACATATGGCACCTGGAGACCAGGAGATACACCTGGACATAAAAACAGGAGTTATCAGAGTATCAGTGGAAATCAGATCCACGGGCCACAGAATCATTGATTTTTAAGAGGAAGAGGAGGCCAGGCATGGTGGCTCATGCCTGTAATCCCAACAATTTGGAAGGCTGAGGCAAGAGGATCGCTGCAGCCCAGGAGTTTGAGACCAGCCTGGGCAACAGAGAGACCCCCTGCCACCCCCAATCTTTACAAAAAAATTTTTAAAAAATTAGTCAGGCATGGTGGTGCATGCCTGTAACCTAGCTATTCTGGAAGATGAGATGGGAGGATTGCTTGAGCCTTTGAGAGCAAGGCTGCACTGAGCCATGATTCAGCCACTGCACTCTAGGCTGGATGACACAGTAAGTCCTCTTTCCAAAAAGGGAGAAGGGAGGAGAAGAAGAAAGAAGAGAGGAGGAGGAGGAAGAACAGGAGGAAGAGGAAGAAGAAGGAAGAGGAAGAAAGAAGAAAAGAAGAAAGAAGAGAAAGAGAAGGGAGGAGGGAGGAGGAGTAGCTGCATGAAACTTAAAAGGAATGCCTGAAAGGTAGACAGAGGAAACACGCACAGTCTGTTGTCACAGAAGGCAGGAATGATGGAGAGTGTTTATACTAAGTCAAACAATTGAAAAATGAACACTGGGCTGGGCGCAGTGGAGGACACCTGTAATCCCAGCACTTTGGGAGGCCAAGGCAGGTGGATGACTTGAGATCAGAAGTTTGAGACCAGCCTGGCCAACATGGTGAAGCTCTGTCTCTACTAAACATACAAAAATTAACCGGGCGTGGTGGCCAGCACGTGATGCCAGCTACTCAGGAGGCTGAGACAGGAGAATCGTTTCAATCCGGGAGACGGAGGTTGCAGTGAGCCGAAATCACCCCACTGCACACCAGCCTGGGTGACAAAGTTAGACTCTACCTCAAAAAGTTAAAATAAATAAAATTTTTAAAATGGACATCATGTATCAGACAGGAAAAAGCCAGTAAGACGGAAGAACTCACACCCTCGGGATCCCAAGACAAGATACTTCCATGGGATGGATGTAATGAACAGTGTTAAAAGATTTCTGGTGCAGTGCTTCTCAAAGTGTGATGTACACATAAATGACCTGGGGGTCATATTAAAATGCAGATTTTGGCTACACAGGTCTTGGGTAGGACCTGAGACCTGGCTTTTCTCAGAAGACCCCAGGTGATGCCCATGCTGCACAGCCCACAGACCACATGTTGAGTAACAAGGTTCTGCTGTGGTTCCCAAACTTTTCCGAGCACAGAATTATCTGGAAAACTTCTGTACTAGTCCATACAGCTATACATACTGCTATAAAGGATACTGCTACAAAGAATGCCCAAGACTGGGTAATTTATAAAGGAAAGAAGTTTAATTGACTCACAGTTCAGCATGGCTGGGGAAGCCTCAGAAAACTTACAAACATGGCAGAAGGCAAAGGGGGAAGCAAGGCACTTTCCTCACAAGGAGGCAGGAAGAAGTGCTGAGCGAAGAGGCAAGATCCCCTTATAAAACCATCACATCTTGTGAGAACTCACTATCATGAGAACAGCATGGGGGAAGCTGCCTCCATAATTCAATTACCTCCACCTGGTCTCTCCCTTGAAAGGTGGGGATTATGGGAATTACAATTCAAGATGAGATTTGGGTGTGGACATAAAGCCTAACCATATCAACTTCTTAAAGATTAGTGGTCCCCTAGCCCTACAGATTCTAAATTGAGTAGGCGTGGGGTAGGGCCTGATAACATGCATTTCTTAACAACCTCCCAAGTGATGGTGACAGTGACGCTGCAGATCCCCAGACCACACTTTTGAGATGCACAGCACAACTATTTGTGGCCCTGGCAGAGACAACCAGGGAGACTATTTAGGCTTCTAAACCTACTGCAAACCGGAAGTCTTGCTATATACCACCACTGCAGTCACAGTCCATTACAGGAGCCCATTCCTTTTATAGTACCTCCCTGGCTCCGGGCTCATATGGCCAGAAGTGTGAGCAAGGACCTACACTCATTATCCATCACCTCCATGGTTACTTTATCAGAACCAAAGACTCATTCTTAATTGGCTTATTCTCCCCAAGACTTACTCTCAGCAGTAGGTCCTACTTAGGAAAAGTCTCAAAGCTTCATCTTGCTTAGGAATGTCTTTTCATAGTATTAAAAAAAGCAGCTACTGCTGAATTCTACTTTCTTTTTAACTAAGCGATGATATTTCACAATGGTCACATTTCCCCCAGAGTGAAACAACTTGAGAGAAAAAAAAAAACCTATAAAATAAGAGGGAAATCCTATTTAAGGGGAACTCAATTCACCTATGTATTCATGAAACAGACACATGCACATAAAGGCATCTTAACGTGAAAAATAAACATACAGTCCTTGCCCTCAAGCCAGGCGACAGAAAAGCTACCAACAACCAGGCTGAAACAAGACAAATGCCATCTGAAAAAACAGCTGACATTTGTTTCTATCAAAGCCATCCAGCAGATACCTCAACATCTTTCCACAGAACGTGTGCTCTTTACTAACAACCGACACACAAAGGAGGACGATCTCCAACAGAGGTGACTAGGAAAGGCTTCCTGGATGGCGTAATTTAGTGTTGGAGTCAGACCAATGAGCCGCCTTTTCACGGGTGGAGGTCCCAGATGGCCATCCCTTTAACAAAAATCAATTAACATGTAAATTATGTACTGACAAATACAACGTTTGATGGGCCCGCTGCAGTGGCTAAAGCCTGTAATCCCAACATTTTGAGAAGCTGAGGCAGGAGGCCTGCTTGAACTCAGGAGTTTTAGACCAGACTGGTCAACACAACGAGACCCCATCACTATAAAAATTAAAATGAATCTCAGCTACTCAGGAGGCTGAGGAAGCAGGGTCACTTGGGCACAGGGGACTAAGGTTGCAGTGAGCTACGATCACACCACTGCACTCCAGCCTGGACGACAAAGCAAGACCCCCATCTCTACGAAAAATTTAAAAATTAGCTGGGCATAGTAGTGCGAGCCTGTGGTCCCAGCTACTCCGGAGGCTGAGGCGGGAGGATCGCTTGCGCCCAGGAGGCCGAGGTTGCAGTGAGCCGTGATAGCACCACTGCACTCCAGCCTGGGCGACAGACTGAGAGCCTCACCTGTAAAAAATAATTTTAAAAAAGGTTCCACCTAGTGTTTTCCGTGGTGTGACTAAGAAAAGTATCTAGAAATAAAGCACAGTCAGTACCTGCTCTCAAAAAACGGCTGCCAATCTAGTTTGGAGACAGAAAAATATACCCGACTGAGAACACAGAGGAGCCTGTTTTCGGAAGAGGGGCGTCTTTGGAGACGCAAAATCCTCTCCGCGGGACGCTGACGGGCAGTCGGTAAAGGACTTCCAAGCACTGGTCAGTGACAATCGGGCGCTGGGGCTTTGCCAAGGCCCGGAGGCGGCGCGCCAAACCGGGCAATGCGGGAAGCGGGGCAGGCCCGAGTGGCCCTACTGCTGCCGTCCCTACTGATCCCTGCGCATCCGCCACAGAGCAGGGAACGGCAGAAAGGAGGAAGGAGGGGGAGTTCCGTAAATCAGGCCCTCAGGGGCTCCCAGGCCCGCACCCCTCTCAAGCCCCGGGGACCACCGCGGAGCCGCTGCTCCGGGCCGTGCGGCTCGAGGCGAACCTGCCTCAGAGCCGCCGGGCCCTCCTATCCCGAGCCGTATCTCTAGCTCCGGCCTGAGGTGGCCGGCGACTGCGTGCGCAAACACAAGATCCGCACCCCACTCCCCGCCACTGCAGCTCCGCGGCCGCGCTCAGAGTCTCCGGAACAGACCGGACTCAATGCGGACCAGGCAAGCGGAAGTGTGCCGCTTCCTTCCGGCCAGCGCAGCACGAGACGAGGCGGGGAACCGCGGGAGGAGGCGGGGCCTAGTGTTGACGAACAGCTCCCGGGGCCTATGGGCGCGGGGGCAGCCGCCCGGCCTCTCCGGCGCGCCCCCTCCCCGGGGCTGTTGACGCCCCCCAGCCCCTCATTTCCACAAAGCTCCGCGGCGGTTCTGCCCTCCTTGTACCCGCGGCGCGCTGCGGCCCGTGGCGCGGCCCCGTTCCCGCCTAGCCCCGTCGGCCTCCTTCCCCTCCCGGAGCCGCGCGTGAGGACGGCTGAGGCCGCAGGTCTGTGGCGGCGCGCCGGGACGCGCGGGCGAGGGTCTACCGAGAGGGCGGGCGGGCGCCGGCGGAACCCTCGGCTACAGCCCCGAGCCCCTGGGGCCGCCCCTCCCCGCCGCGTGGCGCAGTCGGGGGGCGCGGCCGCGGCGTCGGGGCGTCGGGAGGGGCGGAGCGCGGGAGTGTCTGCCGGGACGCGGGCCGGGCTGGGCTCCGGAAGGACCAAGTTTGCGGAGCGGCTTCTGCTCGTCGGCCGTGCGGCGAGGCAGGGCCTGGGCTGCGACCCCGGCGGCCGCTCGCGGTCTTGGGAGAGCTGGGGCGCGTGCCTGAACTTCCCGGCTGCCCCTGTCCTTGGAGACCTACCTGATGGGGACGCCAGGTGTGCAGGGGCGTGGCGCGTAGGTAAGCGGACCCGGTGCCTGCCTCGTCCAGGGGATGCTCACTAGAGCGCTAGGCTTTTTTATTTTTATTTTTTAGAGACAGGGGTCTCGCTGTCTCGCCCAGGCTGGAGTGCAGTGGCGTTATCACGGCTCACTGCAACCTCGAACTCTTGGGCTCAAGCGATTCTCCCACCTCAGCCTCTGGAGTAGCTGGGACCACAGGCATGCACCACCGAGCCTGGCTATTTTATTGTATAGATAGGGTCTCGCTCTGTTCCCCAGGCTGGTCTCAAACTCATGGTCTGAAGTCATCCTCCTGCCTCAACCTCCCAAAGCGCTGGGATTACATGAGCCGCCTCGCCCGGCTAGCGCTAGTCGTCCTTATTAATAAAGAATCGCTTCTGGTCCCTTTTCAGTTGTTTACAATGGCATTCCTTTTGATCTGATGGAGGAACTTTTTTTCTTAGTTCATGGGACTGTTGCAGTGCCTGACACATAATTGGTACTTAAATATGTGTTGGTTTTCTGCCTTAACATATTAGAATATATGAATTGTTTAAAAAAGTCCTCTCACACTTAGGGAGGACTCTAGGATGAGGTCACATGGGGGATAAGCCCATCTGTGGCTGTAGGACTTTGTTAAACACTCCTCTTCTCCCTCTCTGTTCCAGATTCTCCATTTCCAGTGCTTGAAAGCACAGTACTTAAATCTGGCTTCCTGCTTTTTTTTTTTTTTTTGGTATGAATGAATACATGAATTGTATAATGTTAGTTGGTTTGTTCTGTAGAGCAAGTTACCCTTAGGAATTAATAAACTGTGGAAACAATCATGTCAGGCTACTAGTCACATTTAAGAAATAATTAGTAAGAGGCTGTTCATTATTCAGAGGAGTGAAGCAAGATGTTCTGGAGGACTGGAACCCGCTTACTCACTGCCACCACTCCCCCGCCTCCCACTTGCTGCTGCCAAACCAGGCTCCTGCTCCCCCCCACCCATTACTCCCACCGACGCTCCCTGGGATAGCAGCTGCCCTGATTGGCACACCCCCGCAGTCATCACCACTGAGGCGTATTCCTGAAGCTGCCAGTGTGAATTGTTTTATAGAACACTGGTGTTAAAATTCAGGTACCTGAGACAAAACAATATTTTAATTCTTCAAAATCCGGTTGTCAACACATTTACTATGGAGTATCTCCCACGTGGCCACTTCTGTGGGAGGTACTGAAGACCTACTACCGCCTATGGAAGTAGAAAATAATATACAACTGTGTAGTTACGTGACGCATTGCGTGGTAACTGCTATGGCTCAGGGAGGGAGAAGATCAGCCGGAACTGGAATGTCCCAAGATGTTCTGGAAGAAAAGCAGTGGCTCGTTTGTGTTGCTTACCTGTATTCCTGACTCCTGGCAGGGCCTGCTGTAGAGCACATGCTTCATGAATAAATATGATTGAGTTGAATAAATATTTGAATTGTGTTTTGAGTGTAGCTTTGAAGGCCAGCAACGATTTAGATGGCAAGATCGAGGGCAGGCTGGGCACAATGGCTCATTCATGTAATCCTAGCACTTTGGGAGTCCAAGGCGGGGAGGATCGCATGAGGCCAGGAGTTCAGTACCAGCCTGGGCAAGATAGGGAGACCCCATCTTTACAAAAAATAATTAGCCAGGTGTAGTAGCACATGCCTGTAGTCCAGATACTCGGGAGGCTGAGGTGGATCACCTGAGCCTGTGGAAGTAGAGGCTACAGTGAGCCGTGATGGTGCCGCTGCACTCCAGCCTGAGTGACAGTGAGACCCTGTCTTGGGGGGAAGAAAAAAAAAGGGAGGGCATGCTAATAGAGGGAAAATGGCATAAGTAAAGGCATTTCAGCATGGATGAGCACGGGGTGTGTTGGGGAGAAGGCACTGACGTTGATGGCCTGTTTATTGCTATCTAGGAGTGATTTGGAGAACAATGCATGTAAGTCTGACATCATGATGTCCATCCGGCAAAGAAGAGAAATAAGAGCCACAGAAGTTTCTGAAGACTTTCCAGCCCAAGAAGAAAATGTGAAGTTGGAAAATAAATTGCCATCTGGTAGGTGATTTAAACTAAAGCAGCAATTTGGGTTGCTTTTATTTCTGCATATTAAAATGTCACTCTCCAATAGGATAAAAATTTGGTGGGACCTAACAATTGAAACTTGTTGTAGTACCCTGATATTCTAATTGCAATTTGATTAGATTGATTTTACAGTTATGATTTGACAAAAGATGAAAGAGCTTTGATTAGAAGTGTTTGTCAGCTGTCTGTTCATTAACTTACGGTTCTTCCAATCTCATCCTTTGACTCTCTAGAGTAATGGTCCCCCCACCCACACCCCAGATTTTAGTCTCTCTCTAATTTTTCTGGTCGTGTATACTATTTACACCAGGCAACCTTACCTTGGGTGAGTTTCCATTAAGGTAGTGAAAGGTGGATCAACATTTTTTAAAAATTCTTTATAATTAGTCAAATTCCTGAAGTTTTCTTTTGCTTTTTTTTTTTTTTCTTTTATTGGTGGGAAAAGTAATCAGAACTTGGTCAGTTGTTTGTATAATGGTAAAGACTTGCTAAGTGATGCATCAGATAGCATTAATTACCAACTTCTTGCTTCCTGAGTAGCTTTTGTAACTAAAGCATGGTCAGGATTTTAAAAGTTAACATGAAAATCTTCATACCCATTAACCATTTTGGATATCTGACAGAATTTACATTATTTACAGCCATGTTAATTCTTACCAGCCAGGCTAGTAAAGCAATTCAGGGAAACAGTTTAACAAAAGTAATCTGTAATGGGAGGTCATGACACCTGGCTCAGCCATTAGCGAGTGATTAACACGTTTTGGATAATAGTACTTTCTGAACACCTTAAACAATGCAAAGAAAAAGAAATATACTCCCATCCTGAAACTAACACCAGTGGCACTGTCTTGCTGTCTTAATGTCATATTCTGCACATGTATACCCATAAGCATTCGTATACAGTTTTGCAAAATTGGGATCCACGTGCTGTTTTGTAGCTTGCTATTTTTCTCTTATTATGTTATGAACATGTCATAAGCCAGTTAACGTATTTTTGAAATATCATCTATGTAAAGTATTTTTATAGCTGCCACTGTAGAAGTGAAAGGTTTTCTTACCATTTGCTAATACAGACAGAACTGTGATCAATTTCCTTGTGGCCATATGTTTGTTTAAAACTTTATTTCCTTGGGGCATGTCTTAGTCCATTTCTGTTGCTATAAAGGAATACTTGAGGCTAGGTGATTTATAAAGAAAAGAGGTTTCTTTGCCTCAGGGTTCTGCAGACTGTATGAGAAGCATGGCACCAGCATCTGCCTCTAGTGAGACCTCAGGAAGCTTCCAGTCGTGGCAGAAGACTTAGGGGAGCCAGTGTGTAGAGATCACATGACCAGAGTAGAAGCAATTTCCAGGGAACACAGGATGTCAGGCTCTTTTTTAACCAACCAGCTCCCCTAGGACTAACAGAATGAAAACTCAGTACTGCTAGAATCTCACCAACCTGTTTATAAGGGCTCTGGTTCCATCACCACACCACCTCCCATTAGGCCCCACCTCCAACATTGGGAATCACATTTCATCATGAGATTTGGAGGGGCCGAATAGTCAAACCACAGCAGGGTACATGCCTAGATTGGGAATTACTGGCCAAATGGGATGCTCATTTTGGTGGCTTTTACTCACTGCTGCCATGTTGCATTCCAGAGAGGCACCAATTTATTCTTCTAGCAGCAATGTTTGAAGATGTCTATTTTTTATACCCTTACCAAAACAGTATTAGCATTTTGAAAGCTGTCAAATTGGCCAAGATTTAAGTATAACTCACAGTTTTGATTTGCATTTCTTTAACATTAATGAATTTAAACATCTTCAGTCTGTTATTATTATTGGCCACTTTTTTCTATTGTACATTGCCTGTTCATGTCCTTAATCTTTTTCCTACTGCAGTATTCATCTTGACAGGACAATAAATTGTCCTGAAATAAAATAAATTGTCCTGAAAGTATTCATCTTATGTTAAGGGTATTTAAGCTTTCTTATATGTGCTATCCATATTTTGCCTAGTTTATATGTCCTTTAACTTGAGTTATGTTGGATTATTTATTCTGTGGGTTTTTCCCCCCAGAGCATTCCTGCAAAACCTGTGGGTTTAAAAAAAAAGTTTTAGGTAATCGGCCAGGTGCAGTGGCTCATGCCCGTAATCCCAGCACTTTAGGATCCCAGCTTGGGTGGGTGAATCACTTGAGGTCAGGAGTTCAAGACCAGCCTGGCCAACATGGTGAAACCCTGTATCTACTAAAAATACAAAAATTAGCCAGGCATGGTGGCATGTGCCTGTAGTCCCAGCTACTCAGGAGGCTGAGGTGGGAGAATTGCTTGAACCTAGGAGGCAGAGGTTGCAGTGAACCGAGATTGCACTACTGCATTCCATCTTGGGCAACAGAACAAGATCCTGTCTCAAAAAACAATAATTATTTTTTAGGTAATCAAGTTTTTAAAATAGCTTTTAAAGAATAAGCCACCAATTGTACCTAGATTATCTAAAAGATCGATTACGTCCTAGACACGTAACACATTTAGTCATCCATTTAACAGACTTCATAGTTAAATTACGGTTGTTAAACTGTGCCGGACAGAGGCCCTCAGTATTAAACATGAATAAGATAATGTATTTGTCTTCAAGAAGCTCACGTTGTAGTTGGCAGAATGGACACATGGACAGTTAGATACGGGGTAACAGTTGTAATAGAATGAAAACAGGTCTGTGGAATCAGAAAGGACCCTCCGCTGGAGACAGGAAAAGCTTTCCCAGTGACAGGCAGCTAGACTTAGCTTACTTGATAATCTGAAGTAGAACTATTACATTCTGATTTTTTTACTGACTTAGTTATTTATCTGTTCCATTTTTCCAAAAGGTTGTACCAGTAGAAGATTATGGAAGATTTTGTCATTGACAATTGGTGGAACCATTGCCCTTTGCATTGGACTTCTTACATCTGTCTACCTTGCCACGTTACATGAAAATGATTTATGGTTTTCTAATATTAAGGTATGGAGTTTCTTTGACCATTGTATCATTCACTCAGTGGGATCTCCAGTAGTAAGCCATGTGGATGAATGACCAAGGCAACACAGTTTTGCCATAAAGAATCCAATCTCTAGAAAGGTTGGACTATAGAGTGAAATAACTTTTGTGTTTATTATTTTAAAATAACATATTAGAATCTTTTTTTAAATTTTTCTTTATTATTTATTTATTTTTGAGATGGAGTCTCACTCTGTCACCCAGGCTGGAGTGCGGTGGCGCAATCTTGGCTCACTACAACCTCTGCCTCGCAGGTTCAGGTGATTCTTCTGGCTTAGCCTCCCAAGTAGCTGGGACTATAGGTGCGTGCCACCACACCCAGCTAATTTTTGTATTTTTACTAGAGACGGGGTTTCAGCATATTGACCAGGCTGATCTCGAACTCCTGACCTTGTGATCTGCCTGTCTCAGCCTCCCAAAGTGCTGGGATTACAGGCGTGAGCCACTGCGTCCAGCCAGAATCTTTATTTTTCATTTTAATTTTTTGAGATAGGGTATTGCTCTGTCACCCAGGCTAGAATGCAGTGGTGCAAACATGGGTCACTGCAGCCTCAACCTCCTGGGCTCAAGTGAGTATCCTGCCTAAGCTTCCTGTGTCACTGGGACCCCAGGCATGCACCACCTCACCAAGCTAAATTTGATTTTTTTGTAGAGACAGGGTCTCACTTTGTTGCCCATGCTGGTCTCGAACTCCTGGGCTCAAGCGATCCTACTGCCCTGGTCTTCCAAAATATGAGAATGAGCCATAGCACCCAGCCCAGAATTTTTATAATCAAGTGAGTTTTTTCTTTTTCATTAACTTATTCCATTTATTTAGCAGTTATTCTAAATTAGTATTTTTCAAGTTATAGATTGTGAAATTAGTGCAGTAGGTCATGAGTAACATTTTTCTTAATGAAATCAAAAAGAAAGAATACTATCACATCTAGTAGGGTTGAGGATTGTTTTGTGAAACTTTTAATTTTATATATATATATATATGCACAAACTGGGTCACAGTATACAAGGTACTTCCTTTTCTTTTTTTTCTTGTTGGCTACAACAGGAAAAAAAAAAAACAGAAAAGGAAATAAAAAAGCCACTGCTTTAAATCATGGGGTCTAAATGTGGCTCCACAGAGGGTCCTCAGCATGTTCATGACTATCTAATACTCTGTGCAAGTGGTTTTGCAGGGCATAGGGCGATGGGGAAGCCATATGTTTCCAGGGAAAGGAACTGTAATTTTAATCAGATTTTCAGGAGGGTTAGCCGGGCGTCACGCCTGTAATCCCAGCACTTTGGGAGGTCGAGGCGGGCAGATCACTTGAAGTCAGGAGTTCAAGACCAGCCTGGCCAACATGGTGGAACCCTATCTCTACTAAAAATACAAAAATTAGCCGGGCATGGTGACACACACCTGTAATCTCAGCTACTCAGGAGGCTGAGGCACAAGAATCACTTGAACTCGGGAGGAAGAGGTTGCAGTGAGCTGAGATCCCACCACTGCACTCCAGCCTGGGCAACAGAGCAATACTCTTTATCAAAAAAAAAAAGAAAAAAGTTGAGGGGGTGGTCTGTGACTCTTTAAACACGTTTCCTTGTTTTCTTTCTCTCTCTCTTTTTCAACATTTCTAGAACTCCTCTTGGCATTGTTTTCAGAACTCGTATATAACTTACATGTGGAAATTTGCATCCAAATATACCTTACATTTTAATCTAATATGTCATGATCTTTAACCTAAACTGTGGTGTCTAATGACTAGTTGCTTGTAAAAATAAACAAACACCTTCAAAGCCAAAGATGTGTATCTATAAGAATGTTCGAAAGAAGTGACTGATGAAGGATCTGAAGACATTTTCCAAAGAAAGTTTTCCAAAACATTTTGAGCTTTGATTCTCTTACTGAAATGAGCCTCGAAAGGATATTACTTTGATGACAAATCTAATTTATAAGAATGACCTCTAGTGTGTTTATTTTTAAAACTTGCTGTGTTACTTTATGGGTACAGTATATATATCTTTATACAAATTATCATAGTACCAAAGAAGAATAATTCTTTTTTTTTTTAATTATTATTATACTTTAAGTTTTAGGGTACATGTGCACAATGTGCAGGTTAGTTACATATGTATACATGTGCCATGCTGGTGCGCTGCACCCACTAACTCGTCATCTAGCATTAGGTATATCTCCCTATGCTATCCCTCCCCCTCCCCCCACCCCACAACAGTCCCCAGAGTGTGATGTTCCCCTCAAAGAAGAATAATACTTATCTTTCAGTGACAGTAGGTAGTTCTTCTTGTCAGAAGAATTTTACTCGTTTATATATCTTTTTTTGGGAGGAGCGGGGGCGGGCAGGGTCTTTCTCTGTCCCCAGGCTGGAGTGCAATGGCACAATTACAGCTCGCTGCAGCCCCCAAACTCTGGGCTGAATTGAAGCATTACTCTCACCTTAGCCTCCCGAGTAGCTGGGACCACAGGTGCACGTCACTGTTCCCAGCTAATTATTTAATTTTTTGTAGAGATGGGCCTACTATGTTGCCCAGGCTGTTCTCAAACTCCTGGACTCAAGCAATCCTCCTGCGTTGGCCTCCCAAAATATTGGGATTATAGGTGTGAGCCGCTATGCCCACCTATCTCTTTAAAATGGAGTGCTGGCAGGGCGTGGTGGATCACTTGAGGTCAGGAGTTTGAGACCAGCCTGGCCAACATGGTGAAACCCCGTCTCTACTAAAGATACAAAAGAAGAGGGCCGGGCGCAGTGGCTCACACCTTTAATGCCCGCACTTTGGGAGGCCGTGGCGGGCGGATCACGAGGTTAGGAAATTGAGACCATCCTGGCTAACACGGTGAAATCCCGTCTGTACTAAAAATACAAAAAAATTACCCGGGCATGGTGGCGGGCACCTGTAGTCCCAGCTACTCGGGAGGCTGAGGCAAGAGAATGGCGTGAACCTGGGAGGCGGAGCTTGCAGTGAGCCGTGATCGCACCACTGCACTCCAGCCTGGGTGACAGACTCTGTCTCCAAAAAAAAAAAACAAACAAACAAAAGAAATTAGCCAGGCATGGTGGCACATGCCTGTATTTCCAGCTACTCAGGAGGCTGAGGCAGGAGAATTGCTTGAACTCAGGAGGCAGAGGTTGCAGTGAGCTGAGATCATGCCACTGCACTCCAGCCTGGGTGACAAAGTGAGATTTCATCTCAAAAAAAAAAAAAGAAAGCTTGTAAAGCGATTCCCTAGAATTAAACCATGTAGTGCGTATATATTAACATAAGTATTTTGAAAAAAGGCTGAAATATCTCTGTGTGAGCAGATAGCCCAAATTGAATGCTAACAACCGTATAGCAAGGAGACATGTTGAAAGAGATCATATAACTTAATTATAAACTATTAAGTGTAGCTCTTTAATTTAAAACTTGTAACCAGCCTTCCTACTTTCCTTAAATAAATACACCCCATCATCAAGAAACTTGAACACCCTTGGTTTTTCTCTCTTTACTTTCACTGGGTTAAGGAAGTTCTAGTTTTACCTAGTATTTACTGAGCACCTGTTCTGTGGGTAACATTGAGTTCAACACTGCAGAGAACATGGAAGGAATAACAAAGATTTCTGAATTTACCAGCAGATTTTCCAGTATAGTAAGTGAATTGAGTAAATATATATTAAGCACCTACAGTATGCCAGCAGGCACTGTGCTTAGTGGTAGCAGTATCACTGAGTAAGATAAGGCCATGCCCCCAAGGAACTTACACTCTTGAGAAGGATACAGGTCAGTATCCAGACAATTACAGGACATCCCAACTCGGTGCTAGGATGGGGTGAGATAGAGAGCACTGTGGGAGCACATAGGAGTGGAAGCCTAACCTCATTTTGGAAGATCAGGGAGGCTTTTCTAGAGGAAATGATGGTTAAGTAGACCTGAAGGATGAGTAAGAGTTAACCAGGCAAGTTGGGGAGGAAAGATGAGTGTCCTAGAAGAGGGACAAGTGCAGGAAATTCAAGACGCAAGAGAGCCTGGTGTGTGAAGCGTTGGCAGTAGTTCAGCCTGGCTAGAGAGTACAAGGGGAGAGGGGATGTACTGGGAATGGTAAACAGAGGCCAGATAATAAAGGGTCTGTCTTCTCTGTCTCAAAGATAGAACTCTCTCTGAATGTATTATAGTAGTGAACCCTATTTTTAGTAGAGGCAGCGATGTCATCGTATTGGCGTTTCAGAAAGTTGCCTTAGGCTGTGATGTGGAAAATGGATTTGGGGAGAGCAAAACTAAAGTCAGGAAACTGCTAAGATAATCCAATTCAGTGGATTCAGTAATATTTAAATATTGCATTCAAATATTCAGTGAGTATCTTCTGTATGCCAGACACTTTTCTAGGCCCTGGGAATAAAGCATTGAATACGACATAGAACTTAATTATGATGAAAAGGGGAAAAATCAGAAAGAAAATGAAAATGAATCCTACGGTGAAAGTCACACGGGATGATGAGATAGTCACTAGAAGGCTACTTGGAATTGGGAAGTAAAGCCGACCACTTTGAGGACATGTAAACCAAAACCTACATGATATTATAGAAGGAACCAGCCAAGCTAAGATCTGCGAGAACATTCTAGGCAGAGGAAACAGCAAGCCAAAAGTCTCTAAGGTAGGAATGAACTTGGCAAATCCAGGATCAGAGAGAAGGTGCATGTGGCCAGAGTTTTATGAGTGATGAGGAGAAGGTAGAAGAGAGGAGAAGAACAGATCACTTAGGGCTTTGAGGCTGCATAAGAGTTGCAGAGTCGTGAACAGAGTCAGAGCTTTTTAGGAAGTGGACTTGGAAGGATGTCTTGATTCATTGTGTGGAAGTCTGTTGAGAGAGAACAGTTGAGAGGCTGTCAGTCCAAGCTGCTTGCTCTCCTTAGCAGCGGGGTGGATGGATGGACATGCCATTTTCTGTGACAACGAGCACCGGGAGGAGCAGAGCTGGAGGATCAGTAAGTTCTGACACCAGCTATCCACCGTTAGGCCAAACCCCACAGGATGAGGGCACAGCTCTCTACAAAAATGCCTTCGTTTCACACACCAGTGGCACGTTTGGGGCCCCCCCAGGCAACCCTCACTTCTGACCAGCTGGCTACAAATTCTGAGGTTCCCACCACCCACTCAGGTTCAATAATTCACTAGAACAACTGACAGAATTCAGGGAAGTGCTATATTATGACTACAGATTTATTATAGCAAAAGATTACAAATCAGAACGAGCCAAAGGGAGTGACACATGCAGCCAAGTCTTCGAGGGTCCCATTGGAAGCTTTCATTATCTTTTCCCCATGGAGTCAGGCCTGTTACCCTCCTGGCACATCACTGTGTTACACTATGTGGAGCCAACCAAAGAAGCTCTTCTGAGTACTGGTGTCTAGTTTTTATTGAGGTTTCGTTATGTAGGCATGATTGATTGGATTATTGCCCACAAGGCTGGACTCAATCTCCAGCCCTTTTCTGCTCCTTAGAAGTTGGGCTGCTAGCACATGGCTCAAAGCCCTGACTCTCAGGCCACATGGTTGAGTGTTCTGGCTTGGCCAGCCCCAATCCTGAGTCATCTCCTTAGCACAAATTAGGAGCTCACCCTGTCACCTGCTAGCCCAGGCTTTCAGATGAGGTCTGAAGAACCTACCATGAATAACAAAGACACTCTCATCACTTAGAAGTTCCAAGGATTTAGAGGCTATCTCCCAGGAACTGGGGACAAAGAGCAGCCAGATTCTTTATTCTTAGAGGGTAGAGTTTTGATATGGTTTGGCTGTGTCCCCACCCAAATCTCATCTTTAATTGTAGTTCCCATAATTCCCACATGTTGTGGGAGGGACCCAGTGGGAGGTAATTGAATCATGGGGGCGGGCCTTTCCTGTGCTGTTCTCATGATAGTGTCACGAGATCTGATGGCTTTATTTATTTTAATTTTTTTCTGAGACGGAGTCTCGCTCTGTCGTCCAGACTGGAGTGCAGTGGCACGATCTCAGCTCACTGCAGCCTCCGCCTCCTGAGTTCAAGCAATTCTCCTGCCTCAGCCACCTGAGTAGCTGAGCTTAACAGGTGCGTGCCACCACGCCTGGCTAATTTTTGTATTTTTAGTAGAGATGGGATTTCACCATGTTGGTCAGGCTGATCTTGAACTCCTGACCTTGTGATCTGCCCACCTTGGCCTCCCAAAGTGCTGGAATTACAGGTGTGAGCTACCACGCCTGGCCAGATCTGATGGTTTTATAGAGGGGAGTTCCCCGTCACACACTGTCTGCCTGCCGCCATGTAAGACTTAACTTTGCTCCTCATTCACTTTCTGCCATGATTGTGAGACCTCTCCACCCTTGTGGAACTGTGACTCCATTAAACCTCTTTCCTTTATAAATTACCCAGTCTTGGGTATGTCTTTATTAGAAGCATGAGGAATGGACTAATACAAGGTTACCTCCCCGTAACCAGGGACAGAGGTCAGCCAAATTCTTTCTTGCACAGGAGGAAAGGCAGGGAACAATGAGCTCAGGTTTGACTATGTTGTGAGGCACTTTTAAAGCAGTCCACCTAGAAATACAGAATAAAGGAAGCTAGACTTACGGGGCTGAAGGCAGGAGTTCCGTCTGTGTTGGAAATGGGCATTTTCATCTTACCATCTTGTAGATGTGTGGGTGAGATTGTTTCAGGAGCGTGTAAAATGAGAAAGGAAAGAGAACCTGGGCCAGTTTGTGTCTGTGCCTCAGATACCATCTGGGAAGCTATAAAACAGGCGCTTTTCCCCACCCACCACCCTTGTCCTCTGAAACTTACAATTGAGCTCAGAGTCGTATCCATTTTTTTCCTCTTTGTTCAAGCAGTAGTCCATAGCACACATTTTGGGTTGTCTCCTATATCACAAGAAGAATCCTCCAATGTTAGAACCATTTCTCAAACCTGTTAATACCTCTGCCTAGGCATTTGGTTTTGTGTTTTGCTTAGATTCGCTAGATCAGCATTGTCCAATAGGACTATAATGAAGGAAATGTTCAGTGTATGCACTGTCTAGTACAGTGGCCACATGTGGCTATTGAACACTTGAAATGGGGTAGTACACTCGGGAACTAAATTTTTTTTTAATTAATCTGATTTAATTTTTAAATATGTACATATTTTCTGTAAATAAACAATTAGAAATTATAAATATCACTGAACAAAGACCTTATTTGGCCAAAGAAAAGCTCATTTTTGGAGTGTATATTCCTTTATAAATCTCCTGTAATTTATACCATTTCTATATTGGGGAATTATTTGAGAAGAGTAAATCTGCTTTCCTTTCCTGTTTTGGGGTTATAACTTTTTCTCATCAAAATTGGTAGGTTAGTGTTTAATGAAAATACTTTGATTTTATTTTTGAATACTTTGAAGTAGTTGTAATTATTCAGAGAGTAAAAGTATTGGTTATGTAATAGACAAGTCATACACTGAATTTATGCATTCAAAATGATTTTTTAAATGTTTGTTGTATTGTTTGTATATGAAAAGTGGGAACCCTGAAATAGCAACTGGAAAGTTGAAGGAAAAGATACTGGTTTCATATAGTAGTATAAAAGATATATCTAGTATCCTTTCTCAGCATATTTTTAAAATTTTAAGTTATTTTTCTATTGTCTTCATTGTATTATATTTCCCTTGCTAGGAAATTGAAAGTATTCAAGATTTTTTAAAATACCCTTTATTGAATGTCTGTTACATGCTTGGAACTATTTGGGGGCATTTTAATACATATTGTATTTATTTGTACCTTTTTTTTTTTTTTTGAGACAGAGTCTCGCTGTGTCGCCCAGGCTGGAGTGCAGTGGCGCGATCTCGGCTCCCTGCAAGCTCCACCTCCCGGGTTCGCGCCATTCTCCTGCCTCAGCCTCCTGAGTAGCTGGGACTACAGGTGCCCGCTGCCACGCCTGGCTAATTTTTTGTATTTTTTAGTAGAGACGGAGTTTCACAGTGTTAGCCAGGATGGTCTGGGTCTCCTGACCTCGTGATCCACCCGCCTCGGCCTCCCAAAGTGCAGGGATTACAGGCATGAGCCACCGTGCCCGGCCTATTTGTACCTATTTTTTGAGACAGGTTCTCACTCTTTCACTCAGGCTGGAGTGCAGTGGTGCAATCAAGGTCACTGCAACCTTGAACTCCTGGGCTCAAGCAGTCCACCAACCTCAGCCTCCCAAGTGGTGCCAGCTAATTTTTTCATTTTTTGTAGAGACAGAGTCTCACTTTGTTGTACAGGCTGTTCTTGAACTCTTGGCCTCAAGCAAGCCTCCCACCTGGGCCTCCCAAAGTTCTGGGATTATAGACATGAGCCACAATGCCTGACCTACATATTCTGTTTAAGCTGCCTATCTTCAGAGCCCAAACACTAACTCTAAATTGTCCTTTCAATGCAACCTACTTTTTTACTGCCCTTTATTGTAAACAAAAAGTAAAAGGCACTCCCCCATTTTTTTTTTTTTTTTTTTTTTGAGACGGAGCCTTGCTGTGTCACCCAGGCTGGAGTGCAGAGGCACAATTTTGGCTCACTGCAACCTCCGCATCCCAGATTCACACGGTTCTCCTGCCTCAGCCTCCCGAGTAACTGGGATTACAGGCAGGCACCACCACGCCCGGCTAATTTTTGTATTTTTAGTGGAGACGGGGTTTCACCATCTTGGCCAGGATGGTCTCGATCTCTTGACCTCATGATCCGCCCGCCTCAGCCTCCCAAAGTGCTGGGATTACAGGCATGAACCACCACACCCAGCTAGTAAAAGCCTGTTTTCTTACTTGGTGTTCTGCCCTTATGGTGCCTGGCACGTCATCAGTGCTAAGTAGCTTCCAGTCTTCTGCAATAGAGTCAACTGCTGGGGCTGAGGGGTATGGGGTAGGCAGAGGAAAAGGGGAGGCACTGGCTGCTGTGAAGAATCTGGATGGGAACTAGAACCAAAGGACATGACTTCCGGAGCTTGCCTTCAAGGATACGATATGGTTAGTCATGGCAGGTACAGGAGCCAGTGGATGCATTTTAAGTGATTTTTGTTTAGTAGTTTTGTTTTTTTTTGTTGTTGTTGTTGAGATGGAGTCTCACTGTCGCCCAGGCTGGGGTACAGTAGTGTAGTCTTGGCTCACTGCAACCTTTGCCTCCCGAGTTCAAGCGATTCTCCTGCCTCAGCCTCCTGAGTAGAGTAGCTGGGATTATAGGTGCGCACCACCGTGCCCAGCTAACTTTTGTATTTTTAGTAGAGACGAGGTTTTGCCATGTTGGTCAGGCTGTTCTCAAACTCCTGACCTCAGGTGTTCCGCCCATCTCTGCCTCCCAAAGTGCTGGGATTACAAGCATGAGCCACCGCGGCCTGCCATGTGTTTAATAAATTGTATAGTAGACATCTGTATAGTCTTCATTTTTAGTTTTTGAGTGTGTATTGTTTTTTAATTATTGAAACTATGTTGTAACAATGATGAAAAATTTTAAATGAAAAACATTACTTAATATTCATTACCCTTAACAAAAAGCAGTTTTCATTTTTCCCTTCCATTCTTCATCCTAAGTGCCTAAATATTTTACTTATTTATGACCCCATTATAGTTAGTTTTTATAATCTACCTTATCTGCTGTTACATACTATGCTTTTTCCATATATACATTTTCACAAAACTTTTATAATTATGTAAGTAGTTATGGTTTTATAATTTCATATTTTTGAAGTTTTTATTCTCTTGATTATTCCACTATTTCCATGCTCCCAACTTTGGATAGTTAGATTGTTTATAATAGTACAGTTAAATCCTAACAGTGCTTACTTATTCTCACTTTAAAGTGGCAATGTAGTGGTATCAGTTCCTTCTTTCTTGGAATTCCCTCAGAGCAATTAAGGAATGTGAAAAATAGATAATCAAGTTCCAGCTTTGATGAAGGGGGCTGCCAAATCCAGTGGCACTCAGAAAGATGCTGAGAGAAGAGTCTGCGGCCAGGCAAGGTGGCTCACGCCTGTAATCCCAGCACTTTGGGAGGCCGAGGTGGGCACATCACTTGAGTCCAGGAGTTCAAGACCAGCCTGGCCAACATGGCAAAACCCTGTCTCTACTAAAAATACAAAAATTAGCCAGGTGTGGTGGTCTACTCCTGTAATCCCAGCTGAAGCAGGAGAATCGCTTGAACCTGGGAGGAGGAGGTTGCAGTGAGTCGAGATTGCACCACTGCACTCCAGCCTGGGTGACAAAGCGAGACTTCATCTCAAAAAAAAAAAAAAAAAAAGAGAGAGGAGTCTGTAAGCTGCAGGGGTCAGATAAAGTGAGTAAAGTGTCGTCCTCCAAAGTTAGTGGCATCTCCTAAGGGGTAAAACCAACAGCACCCTGAGTAGGACCATGGGATGGGTGTGCAGGCAGTAGTGGCAGCCGCTATCTTGGATCCACTCTGCTATGAAGAACAGCATGCTAGGCAGGCCAGAAGGAGCGATCACAGAGACAAGCCATATTTGTTAAGAGATGGAATTTAAGAGGACAGGAATGAAGGGAGGCAACCTGCATTTCGAAGATCCCCAAAGCTATCAAGTTCTGTTGACTAAAATGAGGAAAAGACTGAAGAACTCACCCTTGTAAACCACCCTATACAATGAAAATTCTTGCTGACCTGAGCTGTGTGCCTGGCCTCACCCCCACATGAACTTCCTGCAAGTAGCTTGTGTAGTAAGAACTTGCCACATTCTGACATAACTGATAAGGAAGGAACTGGGACAAGATTGTCCGGTGATACTGCAACAAAAAAGGGAAGAGAACAACAAGCAGACATCATTGGTGAAGAACAGTCACCAGAATAATTTTACAGTGGAGATGTGGAGGTTGTAACCACACGTGTCACATTAAAAGATAATCCTTTGCCACTGTGGAAGATGAATACAAAGCAGAAACATAAGAAGGTATGTGCCTTCTTCAAGGGGAAACAGGAAGAGAACAAAAGGAAGTGAAATATGAACTGGCAGACTTTAGACAAGAAATAGAATTACAAAGTAGAATCATTATAGAAATTATGACCGTCTCAGATGCAACATACAGGAGACTGGAATCCGTAGAATGTACAGAAAGAGCAATGTTGGACAGGACTGAGAGAGGTCAACAAAATGAAAGGAGATTGAATAAAGTGACAGTATGAGAAAGCAAGTGACAATTGAGGACAAAGAGCAGCAAGCATGCATCATTTGTGTCCCAAAAAAAGAGAACGAGAACAATAAATCAGGAAAAACACACACACACACACACACACACACACACACGTTTAAAGATGTAATTCAAGGAAACTTTCCAAAAGTAAAAGGAAATTTGAATCTACTAATTGAAGGGGCAGAGCAGTTTCCAGGATAAATTGGCCTAGAAAAATCATTAGCAGGATAGAGTTCTCTGAAGTTGCTGAACTTAAATATGTAAAGAAACCTTTGGACATTCTAGACGAAAAGATCAAGTTACCAATAAGGAGAAACAAAAGTCAACCTAGCATTCAGTTTCTCCACAGTAATGTCTAATGGTCAAAGACCATGAATGATGCCTAGAAAATGCTCAAGTAAAAGAAAGTGATTTACACATTTTAACCCAGTCATTCCATTGCATATAAAGATGGCATACAAACTTTTTTGTTCCTAGAAATATGTACTTTTAAGAATACCTGAAGAAATTGGAAGAGGAAAAACTTCATCCATCCATGAGATACATGGAAAAACAATGACAGAAAGATGCTCAGTGGGGCTCAAATTTATTTAACTATAGGACTAAAACTAAAAATTAGTGATAGAACAAAATGTGTATGATATAAATAATGTTATATTAGGTACAAAAGTAATGTAGGTCTTGTCATTAATTTTATTTATTTATTTATGAAACAGAGCTCGCTCTGTCGCCTAGGCTGGAATGAAGTGGCGTGATCTTGGCTCACTGCAACCTCCGCCTTCTGGGTTCAAGCAGTTGTGCCTCAGCCTCCCCAGTACTTGGGATTATAGGCATGCACCACCATGCCCAGCTAATTTTTTTTTTTTTTTTTTGGTATTTTTAGTAGAGACAGGGTTTTGCCATGTCAGGCTGTTCGAGACATGCCAGGCTGGTCTCGAACTCCTGAGCTCAGGCAGTCCATCCACTTCTGCCTCCCAAAGTTAGGATTACAGGTGTGAGCCACCATGCCTGGCCGCCATTACTTTTAAATGGCAAAAACCACAATTACTTTTGCACCAGTCTAATACACAAGAATGCCAACATAAGTAATAATGTTATAATGCATAATAATAACATAACAGTGTAATACGTATAACACAAGATAAAAGAAGAAGGGGAAGAGAGGGTAAAAGATGGTGGAGGCTGACTGGGCACAGTGGCTCATGCCTGTCATCCCAGCATTTTGGGAGGCCAAGGCGGCAGGATCGCTTGAGCTCAGTAGTTCAAGACAAGCCTGGGCAACATGGTGAAACCCCATCTCTAAAAACAAAAACAATTTGCCAGGCATGGTGGCATGTGCCTATAGTCCCACCTACTCGGGAGACTGAGGTAGGAGGATCACTTGAGCTCAGGACACAGAAGTTATCATTAGCTAAGATTGTGCCATTGGCCTCCAGCCTGGGTGACAGAATGAGACCATCTCGAAAAAAAAAAGGTTGGGGAGGCCAGCTGGCACAGTGGCTCACAGCTGTCGTCTCAGCACTCTGGAGGGCAAAAGGTGGGAGGATTGCTTGAGCCCAGAAGTTCAAGACCAGCCTGGGCAACATAGTGAGATCCCATCTCTACAAAAAATTTTTAAAAAATTAGCTGGGTGTGGTAGTGTGCACCTGCAGCCCCAGTTACTTGGGAAGCTGAGGCAGGAGGGTCACCTGAGCTGGGGAGGTCAAGGCTGCAGTGAGCTGTGATCACACCACTGCACTCCGGTCTGGGCAACAGAGTGAGACCCTGTCTCTAAAAAAAAAAAAGAAATAAATAAAAAAAAATGGATGGGAGTATCCTGATTTCTTTCTCTTTTATAACTGGAAGTCAGAAAGTTTGATTTAAAACTGATAAGACACACAAGCCTGGGCAACATGGTGAAAACTTGTCTCTACTAAAAATACAAAAAAAAAAATTAGCCAGGCTTGGTGGCACACAGCTTACACCCAGCTGCTTGAGAGGGTGCAATGGGATGATCACCTGAGCTCAGGAAGCCAAGTCTTCAGTGAGCCAAGATCATGCCGTTGTGCTCCAGCCTGGGCAACAGAGCAAGAACCTGTCTCAAAAACAAAAAAAGGTCTCTGTAGATCTTCAAGTTGACCTACAGAGTCAACATGATCCCTCTCAGAATCCCAGGTGGACTTTTCACAGAAATTGACAAGCTAGTCCTAAAATGTATATGGAAACTCAAGGGACTCAGAATAGCTAAAACAGTTTTGAAAAAGAAGAACAAAGTTGTAAGACTCAAACTTTCTGACTTCAAAACTTACTATACAGCCACAGTAATCAAGACTCTGATGCTGGCATAAGGATAGACATATAAATCAATGGAATAAAATTGGGAATACAGACATAAATCCTTAGATGGTCAAGTGATTTTCAGCAGGGCACCAGGAAGGACAGTTACGTGGAGAAAGAATAGTCTTCAATAAATGGTCTATAAACAAATGGATATTCACATGCAAAAGAATGAAATTAGACCACTGCCTCACACCATACACAAAAATTAACTCAAGATGGATCATAGGCCTAAATGTCTAAAACTATAAAACATTTAGAAGAAAATATGCAAATGAATCTTTTATAACTGTGGAGTAGGCCAAAACTTCATAGAGACCACACTAAAAACACATGATTAAAAATAAATAAATAAATTGGTGTTCATCAAAATTAGACATTTTTGTACTCCAAAGTACACCATCAGACCAGGTGCTGTGGCTCATGCCTGTAATCTCAGCAGTTTGGAGGCCAAGGCAGGCAGATCACTTGAGGTCAGGAGTTCAAGACCAGCCGGGCCAAAATAGTAAAACCCTGTATCTATTAAAAATACAAAAATTAGCCAGGCGTGATGGCACACATCTGTAGTCCCAGCTACTAGGGAGGCTGAGACAGAAGGATCACTTGAACCCGGGAGGCAGAGGTTGCAGTGAGCTGAGATGGCGCCACTGTGCTCCATCGTGGGTAACAGAGCGAGACTCTGTCTCAAAAAAAAAAAAGAAAAAAATTAAGACTCAAAAGTCAAAATTATTCCTTGATCCATGGGCTGTAGAATAGATTTTGTGTTAGCAGGCATGAAAATAACACAGATAACCAGATGCATTATCAATGAGCAGTAGTATTTTGAAAAGAATTTTTTTTTTCTGTGTAGTAGATCTCAACAGTGGGCCTAAAATAGTAAATCGTGCTGTCAACACATGGGCTGTCATCCAGGTTTTGTTGTCCATCTTTAGTGCACAAGCAGAGTAGATTTCACATCATTCTTAATAAGGACCCTAGGATTTTCAGAATGGTAAGTGAACATTGGCTTCAACTTAAAGCCACCAGCTGTATTAGCCCCTAACGAGAGTCAGCCTATGCTCTGAAGCTTTGAAGTCAGGCATTGACTTCTCCTGAGCTGTAAAAGTCCGAGATGGCATCTTCTTCCAATAGAAGGCTGTTTCATCTACATTGAGTATCTGTTGTTTAATGTAGGCACCTTCATCAGGGATCTTAGCTGGATCTTCTGGATGACTTGCTGCAGCTTTTCCATCAGCACTTTCAGCTTCACCTTGCACTTGTATGTTAGGGAGATGGCTACTTCCCCTCAACCTCATGAACCAACCTCTGCTAGCTTCCAGCTTTTCTTCTGCAGCTTCCTCACCTCTCTAGCCTTCACAGAATTGAAGAGAGGGCCTTGCTCTGGATTAGGCGTTGGCTTAAGAGAATGTTTTAGATGATTTGATTTTCCATCAGAGCATTAGACTTTCCCCGTATCAGCAATGAGGCTGTTTTTCATTCTTATCATTGGTGCGTTCACTGGAGTAGCACTTTTAATTTCCTTCCGTAACTTTTCCTTTGTGTTAACAACTTGGCTCTTTGGCACAGGAGGCCTAGTTTTTGGTCTCTCTCAACTTTCGACATGCTTTCCTCACTAACTTATCATCTCTAGCTTTCCATTTAAAGTGAGAGATGTGCCACACTTCCTTTCGACGCTTAGAGGCTATTGTAAAGTTATTAATTCCGATATTATTGTGTCTCAGGGAGCAGAGAGGCCTGGGGAGAGGAAATGAGACAGAAGAATGACAGAGCTGTCAGAACACACACATTTCAGTTCACCGTCTTACATGGGTGTGGTTTATTGTGCCCCAAAACAGTTACAGTAGTATTAATAACATCAAAGATCACTGATCCCAGATCCCGTGACAGGTATAATAATAAAGAAAAATGTGAAATATTGGAAGAATTACTAAAATGTGACAGAGACAAAAAGTGAGCAATAGCTGTTGCAGAAATGGTGTTGATAGTTGTTTGATGCATAGTTGCCACTAAGTTTCAATTTGTAAAAATGCATTATCTGCAAAGGGCGGGAAAGTGAGGCACAGTGAGATGAGGCGTGCCTGAAGTCGTTTCCCTTTGTTTACAATGTGTTCTTTCTTTGGTGTTTCGTTGTTTGTTTGTTTGTTTTTGAGGCAGGATCTTGCTCTGTCTCCCAGTCTGGAGTGCAGAGGTGCGATCTCGGCTCACTGTAGCCTCGACTTCCTGAGCTCAGGTGATTCTCCCACTGCAACCCCTCAAGTAGCTGGAACTACAGGGGCATACCACCATGCCCAGCTAATTTTTTATATTTTTAGTACAGCCTGGGTCTTGCCATGTTGCCTAGGCTGGTCTTAAAGTCCTGGGCTTAAGTAATCCACCTACCTCGGCCTTCTAAAGTGCTGGGGTTATAAGCGTGAGCCACCGCACCCCCGCATTCTTCTTTCTTGTTGGAACATAAACATCTTTCGGTCAAATACTAAATTCTTGCACCTTTTTGTTTCCCCAGCAAATAAATATGCAATGATAAGGAAGGCAGTTCTCCTTTGGCTATAAGCACCAACATCACTCTTTCTTTTTAGTCTTTTTTCCTTGTGCTAACATTTTCCACTGTTATTCTTATTTACTTGATATTGCCGAATTTGCATGTCTTCCCATTGAATACTCCTGCAAAGCAAGGAGACTTTAGAATAGATAGGGGTAATCCACACAATAGTAGTACGGTAGTGCTAAGACTGCTGATTGCCTGAGTGTGGGCCCAGTGGAAGAACTGTCACTTCAGTAGCAGACTGCCCTCCTCACAAGCCCTGCTTGGCACTTCTCACATGCCACGGCTTTAATCAACTCTGGGGCAAGAATCATTCCCCTCTAACAGATGGACATGAATTTAACCAGACAATAAACCATGTATGTGCCATAAATATGTTTGCTGAGGGCATGATTCCCAGTACAGAACTTTAAGAACAGCTGTCTTATGGGCTACTATTTCTTGGTGAGATGATTTGTTAACCTAATTCTGAAACAGATTACATTTATAAAGTTAATTTTTCGGTGGCTTCCCCACTACTAGCAGTCTAATTATTTTGGGGGACAATTTTTGTAAACAAATCTTTTTTTTTTTTTTTTTTTTTGAGACAGAGTTTCACTCCATCACCCAGGCTGGAGTGCAGTGCCGGGATCTCAGCTGACTGCAACTTCCACCTCCCGGATTCAAGCAATTCTCATGCCTCAGCCTCCCAAGTAGCTGGAATTACAGACATGCACCACAATGCCCAGCTAATTTTTGTATTTTTAGTAAAGACGGGGTTTCGCCATGTTGGCCAGGCTCGTCTCAAACTCCTGACCTCAGGTGATCTGCCCACCTCGGCTTCCCAAAGTGTTGGGGTTACAGGTGTGAGCCACCGCGCCTGGCCTGTAAACAGAACTTTTTTACGTGAGTTGTTCTTGTTTTTTTAAACATGAGTTGTTTTGTTTTTTTTAAAAAAAAGCAAGAGGAGAAAGACTTCAGGACCATTGCGATAGATGTAGGGACCACTGCAATGAGGTCTTGCAGTGGTGGAGAGAGATTGTACTCAACTTCTAGTACATCATGGGTGAGTAGGAATAGGCAGCCAAGGAGCGGATTGGGGTCAGTGGCTGGGAAATGAGTAAGAGGAACCACTGGGATGCGGGGGATCCTGGCTCAACCAGGCTTAGAGGGTTCTTGCTAAAGGCAGGCCAGAGTGACCAGACATTATGTGGGGGATCTATTTACGTGAGATTTTTAAAAAGCTAATTTGATGTTTCCTTTCCAAATTTGGTGTCATTTGTCTCAAAGGACTCTAGCCTTTTGGGCATTGCCAGCAACTTGTCTGAGTGCCTGTGGGGAATGTGATCATTTATTGTGAGCAGTCATTTTTTGTGTGTGTGTACATCTATTAAATTGCTATATACACTGTTACTTCAATGGTTTTAGCTGTACAGTTTTTTTTTTGTTTTTTTTCTTGTTGTTGTTGTTTGTTTGTTTTGAGACGGAGTCTCACTCTGTCTCCCAGGCTGGAGTGCAGTGGTGCGATCTCAGCTCACTGCAACCTCTGCCCTCCGAGTTCAAGTGATTCTCCTGCCTCAGCCTCCTGAGTAGCTGGGATTACAGGCGCCTGCCACCGCGCTTGGCTAATTTTTTGTATTTTTAGTAGAGACGGGGTTTCACCATCTTGGCCAGGCTGGTCGTGAACTCCTGACCTCAGGATCCACCCGCCTCAGCCTCCCAAAGTGCTGGGATTACAGGCGTGAGCCACCACACCCGGCCAGCTGTACAGTTCTTTATAAATACAAGTCTTTTGTCTTTCCACTTCTTTCTGTCATTATCTTCGAAGATGTTTTCGTTCTGTCAACATTGCATTCCCCATGGAACCTGTGCAAATTGAATATGAAGTATTTGTTCGTTTTGCATTCTTTAGAGGATAACTACTATTGGTGTATATTTTCACGGGTGTGATCTACCAAGCGAAGTATAAATTGCTGTAAAACTGGAAAAGTGTTTGAATGAGTGAAGCAGATGTTCTCTTAGCATGAAGCAGATGTAAAACTTGCAAGTGTCTGTCTAATAAAGTATAGCATTTGGTTCTGTACAGCTGGTGCTAGATTACCAATTAATCATGTTTGAATGCATTTTTACTAATTAGGTCCCCCTCTGTTCTTTGTGCATTCTGGCTATAATAAAGGGAGAGATGGGACACAAAAGCTTTCTACCTTTAGTACTTTGAGCAGTGTTTTTTCTTATTCCCTGGTCTTTTATTCTTAGAACCATATAATTCACTCTTTCATTCTTTATTGGCTCTCCAGTTTGATTTGGGATGTAGGTGTGACAGGATTTTCACACTCCTCAAGTGCCTTTGAACACTTTAAGGAAGCTAGAGAAAAGAAAAATAATGTAATTAATGTTGTTGTTGTTGTTCTTAATTTGCATGGACAAAAGCTAGTATTTGCTCAGTTAACATCAATTCATAGCCTCTGTGGTTATTTGAATGAGTAGGAGTTTGGACATTCTAGAAACGAGTGATACCAGGTTGGTTTTAAGTTCTCAAAAGCAATAGAGCACGTTTTCTCAAAGATAAAAAATGAGTGGATTAAAGTAACTACCCAGAAGAGTTGCCTTTACTGCTATGAAAGATACAACACAAATCACTAGCAATGAAAGTTTAAAAAGCTGTATCATTATGTAGTAGCCTTTTTATAACGCAAGTGTGTTATTGAAATTAAATTTTAGGCCCAGGCACTGTGGCTTCTGTCTGTAATCCCAGCACTTTGGGAGGCCACGGCAGGAGGATCACTTAAGCTCAGGAGTTCAAGACCAGCCTGGGCAACATGGCAAAACCCTACCTCTACAAAAAATACAGAAATTAGGTGGACATAGTGGCATGTGCCTGTAATCCCAGCTACTTGGAAGCCGAGAGGATCACTTGACCCTGACACGCAAAGGCTACGATGAGCCGTGATCATGCCACCGTACTCAGCCTGGGTGACAGAGTGAGACCCTGTCTCCAAAAAAAAATAAATAAATTTCAGAACCTGATGGGCCTTTTTTTAAATGCTTGATTTCCCCAGGATAAATTGGTTTTCTGTGAAAGGAAGTTCAATATATAAGATTTGCTACCCTACCTCCCATTTTTCTAAAAGGAATTAACAAACAATGATAAAAAGATTTAGAGGGTAGCAGAAATATATTAAATAAATAATTTCTAAGTCTGAAGATAATAGCATGAATGGTTCTTTCTTATTTATTTATTTATTTATTTTTTGAGGCAGGGTCTCGCTCTATCATCCAGGCTGGAGTGGCTTGATCATGGCTCACAGCAGCCTCAGCCTCCCAGTAGGCTGAGTCTCAATCGATCCCCCTTCCTCAACCTCCCCAGTTGCTGGGAGTTCAGGTGCATGCCACTATGCCTGGCTACTTTTTTTTTTTTTTTTTGTAGAGACAGGGTTTTGCCATGTTGCCCAGGCTGGTCTTGAACTCCTGAGCTCAAGCAATCCACCCACTTCAGCCTCCCAAAGTGCATGGCTATAGGCATGAGCCACCGCACCCAGCCTGAGTGGTTCTTTTAATGAGATGTTTATTACCATTTGAAAATTAGTTGGAGTTAGGGGGAAGCAAAATGAGCTAAAAGAAGTTCATCAGCTAGAAAATGAGATGTTCAGTATTTATCACTTTCCCCCATTGGGTTTGTGGAATGTGAATCTGCTATAATATGAAAAAGCATGGCCGGGTGCAGTGGCTCACGCCTGTAATCCCAGCACTTTGGGAGGCCGAGGCAGATGGATCACCTGAGGTCGGGAGTTCAAGACCAGCCTTACCAACATGGAGAAACCCCATCTCTACTAAAAATACCAAATTAGCCGGGCATGGTGCACATGCCTGTAATCCCAGCTACTAGGGAGGCTGAGGCAGGACAATCGCTTGAACCTGGAAGTTGGAGGTTGCAGTGAGCCGAGATCGCACCATTGCACTCCAGCCTGGGCAACGAGTGAAACTCCGTCTCAAAAAAAAAAAACAGATCGAATTATATTTTAGACAGTGTGTTACAGATTTTAGGACATGGTTTGTTTTGTTTTGTTTTTAACACTGGTGTAAAAGAATCTCTAATAACATAGATTATAACTTTTTATTTATTTATACTTTTACAGGTACAGGTTAAGTATCCCTCATCTGAAATACTTGGGGCCAGAAGTGTCTTGGATTTCAGATTTTGGATTATTTGCATATATATAATGAGAAATCTTGGGGATAGGATTCAGGTGTAAAGATGAAATTCATTTATGTTTTATGTATACCTTATGCACATAGCCTGAAGGTGATTTTATACAATATAGTTCATAAAACAAAGTTTGTAGACACTGAACCATCAGAAAACAAAGGTGTCACTATCTCAACCATCCCAGTGGACAGTCTATGGTTATTTGGCATCACCATTGTTCCTGACTCTGAATTTACATGGTGCCTTTATAAGTAATCATTTTGTTATACTTATTCGTACATAAGTACTTAACAATAAAAAATATGACATACCATCAATACGGTGAAAAAAATAACACTTTCAGGGTAACTTGTGTCATCGTGTTGGCTCTCAGAAGGTATCCAATTTTAAAGTATTTCATTTGGATTTCAGCTTTTCAGGTTAGGGCTGCTCAACCTATAAATAAAGTGTATCATCTAACAGTATTAATTGGATTATTCCAGAAAGTCTTCCGTGTCATTGTTGCCCATTGCTTCTGTTTTATAGTAATAATTTAAATTTAATAAAAGTATCTTGTAACTAAATTGGCTAATAGCTATTTAAGTTTTCAGTTCTTCTAGGGTTGAATACTTATCTAAAAGCAGTTTAAATATTTCATGTATCCATTTACCTGCATAAACCTCTTCCCACCAGGGTTACGCTTGTCAGAGTAAAATTCATGTGTCTGCCTTATTTGACTACAAATACCTTTTATTCTTAGAATAAAATGAAAATGATTGATCTTATGTAATATTGGTAGCTTTTAGGTAGGTGTCTAATGCAATTATATTTCTTTTCATTTTTTTTTGTGCCATCCCTGTTTTGTGTCTCACTGCTATTACATAGGAATGGTGATGTATTCTTTAAAATTTTTTTTAAGATTAAACATTCACTAAAGTAGAGAATAGTAGGACAGACTCCCATGTATCCCTCACTCAGCTTTAACAGTGATCAGCCTTCCATTCTTGTTTGCCAAGATTTTTTGAGACTATATTTTCAGAGTTTTTTCTCTTTCAAGTTGCAGTTATGTATCCTTTCTACAGTAACAATATGTATTTAAACAAAACTAGGTCACATAAACCCATAGGATCTAACTCTGTTTTAGGAAGTGGAGCGAGAAATCTCATTCAGAACAGAGTGTGGCCTGTATTACTCCTACTACAAGCAGATGCTGCAGGCTCCAACCCTCGTGCAAGGTAATTACAACTGATAGTTTCATTTGGGGTCTCCTGCATTTTTTTCAATATTTTAGTGAGAAGTACTGTGCACTAAAAACCACTTAAATGCTCTCTAGAACATGTGTATTTTTCCGTGCTAATGTCTAATCATTTCATGAAAATGTTTTTTGCTCTGGAAGAAGTTATGTAATACTTTATATAACCCTCCTCTCTTTGCCTTCCAGCTCTGTTCCATCCCAAAAGTAATATCTTTGCAATTTCATGGTTTTGTTGCTGAATTTTCTCATGATCATTTTGGAGGAGGTCTTTGCAGGTGAAAGGAGTATTGTCTGAGAACAGGAGGCATTTTGGTAACACAAATGAAAATTACAGTTGTGCCTCTTGTCCCCAGTGCTCCATTCATTCCTTTATTTCACAGTTGCCATTTTCCTGCATTTTTACTTCCCCTAAGTGGGTTAGACCCCACACTCTGCCTTTACTCCATCTAATGAAAGCCCCAACATGGATCTCTTCTACCTAGTACATACTTGATCGGCTTAGCATGAGTGCATGTGACAGAAAACTGCTCTTTTATAGGCTTTATTTGGAGTCAGCTTTGACATTTTTGGTGGCAGTTATTCATAAATTATTTTTTTGCTGTTGTTTTTGAGACAGGGTCTCACTCTGTCGTCCAGGCTGGAGTGCAGTGATATGATCATAGCTCGCTGT
Source organism: Homo sapiens (assembly GCF_000001405.40). Classification (NCBI taxonomy): domain Eukaryota; kingdom Metazoa; phylum Chordata; class Mammalia; order Primates; family Hominidae; genus Homo; species Homo sapiens. The sequence continues at coordinate 32,433,497 of NC_000019.10, forward strand.
AGTCTCAATCTCCCAGCCTCAAGCAGTCCTCCTGCCTCAGCCTCTCAAGTAGCTGGGACTATGGGTGTGCACTACCACGTTCATTTTTTGTTTTGTTTTGTTTCTCTGTGGAGACGAAGTCTCACTGTGTTGCCCAGGCTGGTCTCAAACTCCTGAGCTCAAGTGATCCTCCTGCCTCAGCCTCCCAGTGTGTTGGAATTATAGGCATGAGCCACCGCGCCCAGCCCATAAGTGATGTTTTTTACTTGTAGTTTTATCACCTAGGAGACATGACATTTTGGTTATCTTTGGTTTTGTGCCATAAAAATTAATGAGTTGGTCCCTGTGATGATAGCCAGATTCATCCATAATAAGGGTAATTAATCACCAGCCCTTCGCTTAGTGGTTTTAGCAGCCATTGATGATTATCGTCTGTAGTTCTTATTTCAGAGGGGATGCAAATTAGTGACCTTCTAATTCTGTCATTCCTCCTTATTTATTAGTTGGAACTATGTTATATAGAAAACCTTCTCGTTAATTGTTTGGCTACCTTGCAGTACAGTTTATACAAGAAAAGCAGGCTTAGTATTCATTTTTTCCCCATACAATCAAACCTTGTTATTCACAGATTCCATAGTTGCAAAATCTTTTACTTCCTAAAATGTACTTATAACCCTAAAATCAGCATTAATAGTACTTTCACAGTCATTCATGGACACGTCCAGAGCAACAGAATACTTTAGCCTCTGGCATGCGTGTTTCCCACAGAGACTGAATGAGGCGACACTCTGCCTCCTTGTCTCGGCTCTCACACTGCAGTGTCCTTTTCAGAAAGTCTGTTTTATGCCATGTCCTTTGCATTGTTTTGCTGTTTGTTGAAGTTTAAAATGATCCTCTGAGCCTGGGCGCAGTGGCTCACTCCTGTAGTCCCAGCACTTTGGGAGGCCGAGGCGGATGGATCACCTGAGGTCGGGAGTTCGAGACCAGCTTGACCAACATGGAGAAACCCCATCTCTACTAAAAATACAAAAAAATTAGCCGGGCGTAGTGGCGCATGCCTGTAATTCCAGCTACTCCGGAGGCTGAGGCAGGAGAATCGCTTAAACCTGGGAGGTGGAGGTTGCGGTGAGCCGAGATCACGCTACTGCACTCCAGCCTGGGCGACAGAGCGAGACTCCGTCTCAAAATAGAAAAGTAAAAAAATTAACTAATTAATTAAAACACGACAGACTCTTAAATGGCAGAAATTTATTTTCTCACAATTCAGGAGGCTGGAAGTCTGAGGTTAGGGAGCCACATGGTCAGGTTCTAGGGAGGGCTCTCTTCCTGGCTTGCAGACAGCCACCTTCTTGCTGTGTCCTTACATGGCAGAAAGAGAAGAGCGAGTTCTCTGGTGTCTCTTCTTGTAAGGCCACTAATCCCATCATGAGGGCCCATAACTGTCCAACTCTTAGGTTGGAGAGTTATCCATCCATAACACTCCTGTGTTAGACTTTAGGCTTGCCATAATGTAATACCACAGACTGCGTGGCTTAAACAACAGAGATTTTTCTCTCCCTTTTGGAGGCTAGAAGTCCAAGATCCACCTGCTGTTAGGATTGGTTTCTATTGAGGCCTCTCTTCCTGGCTTTGTAGATGCCCTTTTGTTGCTGTGTCCTCACATAGCCTTTCCCTCTGTGCAAATGCAGAGAGAGCACAAGGGCAAGCTCTTGTCTGTTCCTCTTATAAGAACACCAGTCCTATCAGATTAAGACCCCACCCATGTGACCTCACTTACCCTTTATTACCTCCTGTAGGCCCTGTCTCCAAGAACAGTCATATTAGGGCTTCGGGCTTCAGCATACAAATTTGTGGGGGACACATTTCAGTCCACAGCACCTCCTATTGAGGAACATCTGGGTTGTTTTGGATCAATCTTTTGCTGGTACAAATGGTGCTGCATGAGTGACCTTGTGCCAATGTCATTTTGTATTTTTGCCAGCCTTTGTGTGGGATTGATTCCTAGACATGGGCTTTCTAGGTCAAAGGGTAAATTCATATGTGATTTTGCTGGATACTGCAAAATTCCTCTCCATAGAGATGACACCATTTTGTATTCCCAACTGTAGTATATAGGAGTCTACTTTTTTATAATCTCACAGAGTGTATTGTAAAACTTTTTTTGCCAAGGCAGTAGGTGAGAACTAGCATCCCTCAGGGTAGTTTTAATTTGCACTGTTTTAATAGGAGCAAGGTTGAGGATCTTCTCCTGTGTGGAAGGACTGTGTGCATGTTTTCTTCTGTGAACTATCCATTCATGCCTTGGATTAATTAGCCTGGTTACAGTGACAGAGGACCTCTGTGGCTGTGGATCTCTGTAACAGCAGGTCAAGTTCTCCTTCATCCTTCTCATGACATGTCTGCTGTGAGGGAGCTGCAGCTCTGGTCTGCCCCCAACATCTGCGCATTCAAGCCCTATTTGGAATGTGCCAGTGTCATGGCAGAGGGCAAGAGCAAGAGCTGGTAGAAACATGCCTTGTCTTCTAAAGCCTCTGCTCAGCTATGGCTTACATCCACTTACATGCCACTGGTTAGAGCACATGGCCAAAGCCGTTCTGGGGAGTGGAGAAGGAAGGCCATGTATACTCTCCCAAAGGAGATACTGCAGGTTGCATGGCAGGAGGGCAGGGTGGAGAAATGTGAAATCCTCTTGCCCACATTTCTAGAGAAGGACCTTGTGGTGGTGGTGGTGGTGGTTTCATTCCAGTTACAAAAGTTTTAATTTACCTATGTTTGTGTAAATGTTTAAATGATGTCCATCGAATATGTGGTAAGCTCTTTGAGGGCAGGAGTATGTTTTTTTTGCTTACTCTTATATCCCCAATGCCTACCACAGTCTCTAGCACTTACTAAACAATCTGTGCATAGTTTTGAATGAATGAATAATTATGAGTGTAATTATTTTCTTCCTGACTTTTCACATATCTATAGGTTTTCATGGCCTAATATATGATAATAAAACTGAATCTATGAAGACAATTAACCTCCTTCAGCGAATGAATATTTACCAAGAGGTTTTTCTCAGTATTTTATATAGAGTTCTACCCATACAGGTATGTTTTGTGATATTGAATTATTAATATCAGATGAAAGTCAAAGTCTGCCATTTTGAACTGAAAGTTATCACATCGTTCTTTCTGATCTTCAACTGGTTTAGTAGAAAATCAGCAATACTATATTTTTTTTCCATGTATATTATGAACTTTATAAGATACTGCTTTTTATTTACATAGGATATAAGGTTTTTGTACACAGATGCTTCCTGGCTTATGTATGTATGCGGTCTAGAAGCTAATAAATATTTTCATTTGCTCTCTGTAATCAGGAGTGATTACACATTCACTCCTGATGGATCTTTGAGAGAAAAAATTTGTAAAGTCAGCAAATCACAATGACCACTTCTCATGTGAATGACGTATCATCAGACAAAGTTAGGTATAAAACTTTCTAGAGTAAAGAGTGAAGCCAGACCTGTCACGGACTTCCTTCCCCTGTCTCTTCTCGGTGGTGGGAAGAAAGGCTACCCGAACGCTTCTCTAATAGATGAAAGGGGTGTGGGCTTGCTGCTTGGAATTAGAGGCAAGCTCCTGCATATTGTATTCCTACTGTCATGTTTTAAATGGCACTGAGGAGGGTTAGGGCTCACCTGACAAACATGTTTTATTGTTCCCTTTTACAGAAATATTTAGAGCCAGTTTATTTTTATATTTACACCTTATTTGGGCTCCAGGCGATCTATGTCACAGCTCTCTACATAACCAGCTGGCTACTCAGTGGTACATGGCTGTCAGGACTGTTGGCAGCTTTCTGGTATGTCACAAATAGGTGAGTTGGAGTCAGTATGCTTCTTTTTTTTCCAAAATGTAAGTAAAAATGAAGTCACTTCATTTCCAGCTCAGAGAAATTTCTTCTGCCACATTTGTTTGGTTGGGAGCAGTTTCTCTTTGGTTTGCCTGGTGGTTTACTCAATTTTTCTTATTTAGTTAGGGAGAAAGTGCTACTTACATGTAATTCCAGCTGAGGAACAGAGAGCATTGAATTGCATATCAAGAAAATCATTCATAATAATCCCAAACCTATTATCTGTTTGCTGGGTGATCAAGATTTCTCCAGCCGCATATCTCATCTCTTAAAGGGTTTTTTTAAATTGGCAAATAATAATTATACATATTCATGGGCTACATAGTGATATTTCAATACATATAGAATGTATAGTGATCAGATCAAGGTAATTAACGTATCAGTCATTAAAAAGTTTTTTGGGTTTTTTTCTTGCTGTTTTTTAAAGCCAATGAAGACTTTTAAAATTTTTATTTATTTAGGGGTTGTTTTTGTTTTTTGTAGAGACAGGATCTCCCTATGTTGCCCAGGCTGGTCTTGAACTCCTGGCTTCAAGCAGTCCTCCCACCTTGGCCTCCCAAAGTATCAAGATTACAGGCATGAGCTACTGTGCCTTGCCTAAAAAGTTTTAATTATATCTTCACTATCAACCTTAATAGGGTTGTGTATGGCTCTCAGTTAGTAGAGCTTAAAGATAAAATGCAAGGGCGTTTTTGCCTTATTTAATATCTACTATTATAAGCAGTAGAGCCTTATGAAATCACATTTTAAAAAAATGTATTCAAGATCATTAAATTATTGCCTGTCCTATAATGGCAATACCAGTATTCAATAGGAGTCTTAAAACTTGAACATGAGTTCTAATACAGGTTTTATTTTGTAAGTCTAAGCAAATTACGTGTTATGACAGTCCTGTTGGGGGTTTACTGTATGCCAAGCACTTTACAATATGTGTTATATGGGTTCTTAGAAGAACCCTATAGAGTAGATATTATTATTATCCCCATTTTAGAAATGATAAAATTGAGGCTTTAAAGGTTACATTTTGTATATAGATACAGATATTACAGACATCTATATATATTTCTTTTATATAGAGATATATGTAGATATAGATACATTGTTTGATACATTGTTTCATATATATCTCTATCTTTTATAGAGAGATATATGTAGATATAGGTACCTTGTTTGAGATGTAGATACACACACGTATATTATGTGTTACATAAGTGTATCATTTATTGAATGCCTAGTATGTGTGGGGATGGTGTACAAAGATGAAAAATTTTACCCATACTTGCCCTGTTGGGATTCACATTCTAGAGAGGCAGGAAGTTTTTTTAAAAAATACTGTCAATGACATATTTAAGACTCAAGTATAAAAAACACCAAAGAAATACAGAGAGAGGGAAAATGTGTATTGCCTCTTGACACTAATAAAGTGAGGGAGAAATGAAAGTAAGGGTTTGGCATGATACATTTGTGAGTTTAGGAGTAAGGCTAACCTGGGCTTGAACCCTAGGTGCTAAGGGCATACCCATGGACAGAGCACTTAAATGTTCTCTATGCCAATTTTATGTTACAGGGATGATGATGATGATGATGATGATGATGATAAGGACAATTATTGAGAACCAGTGGCCAGAATCTTAAGTATACTTGTCCTTAATGTAATATATCTTTCGTTGAGGAAGTCTTCGAGGAAATTATTGTAAAAACTATCACTTTGGCCATTTGTGTTTTCTTTTGTGCAGAATAGATACCACAAGAGTTGAGTTTACCATCCCACTGAGGGAGAACTGGGCGCTGCCATTCTTTGCAATTCAGATAGCAGCAATTACATATTTCCTGAGACCAAACTTACAGCCTCTTTCTGAAGTAAGTGTTTATAAAATTTCATATATTTTAATCCCCCAATTTTATATATGAAGCTTCAAAAAATGTGATGTGCTTAGTATCCCAATGCATGTGAATAGTTCTTATTCCATGACCAATTTTTAAACTTGAGTTAAATTAAGTTTTCTTTTCGTGAGCTTTTTTCTACTTTGCAAAGAAAATGTTTTCATTTTTGATGTTAAAAATGTACTCTACATAATCTACCCTTAAATAGTTGCAGCAAACCCACACACAATTTCTGCAAACTGTCAGAATTTTTAAGCCCTTGCTCTTGAGATGTGATTTGGTGCATTATCGCCTCCATAATAGTGTGGAATACACACACCGTATGTGAATATTTATATGCAAAGTGTCACTTTATGATAGTTAGAGCTTAAATAACAAATGCAAGGGTTTTCAGAGCAACAGTTTATGGTTTTTCTGTTTGGTTTATAGAGATACTGGCTGCTCTTGAGAAAACTTGTCTGCAAGGTTTTTTATTACTAGAGACATGTAAATTATACAAAGGTTTTCTTTTTACAGAGGCTGACACTTCTTGCCATTTTCATATCAACTTTTCTCTTTAGTCTGACATGGCAATTTAATCAATTTATGATGCTGATGCAAGCATTAGTGCTGTTCACACTGGACTCCCTGGACATGCTGCCAGCAGTGAAGGTGAGCTTTGCTTTCTTTTCTCACTTGAGATTTTGGCCATTTAGTGTTTTTATATCATAGAATGAGATGAAAATATGCAAGTACTTATGGATAAAATTGAAGCTGTTTCTTAGATCTGCTGTAAATTTGCTGTGGCCAATTGAAGCTGAGTAATTTATGAAGCCTAGTTTGACCATCTTAACTTTTATTCGCTTATTTTAAGTTAAAAAATGGAATGGATTTTATTTTGGGGCATAAATGCCTAGGTCAATTGTTATTTATAGAGATGACTTAAATTTTAAAATATAAGATAGCTCTTTTAAAATGTCTTACTGTGTACTGCCACTTTTAAAAAAGAAATCAATAGGTATATAACAGCTTTTTTGTAGTACTTTATAAAATTTTCATAGTCACATTTAACTAATATGGGATGTGAATCCCTGTTGACTGGCTGAAAGTCACATGTGAAATAAAGAAACCAGTATCTGTCTCCTAATGTCTGCTGCTGTCATTTAATCACATTTTTTCATGTGCAAAAATATGATTTTATGTATTGCGTACAGTTTTAAAATGGCTTATAGTTAGTATTCTAAAGTAGTAGTAACTTAAATATTTCCCAAGTATAATAAAATACTTTCTCCATATCTAAGGCAGCAGCATAGCCCAAGGATTTGTGCTCATTTATTCCATATCAAAGGAGATCCAGTAAGCTTCCATAACTGACTGAGTCTGAATTAAGAAACATAAAAGTCTACCAAGAAATACACATTGCCTGTCTACTGAGACACTGTAATAGAATGGGCACTACAGAAAATGCCAATATGTGTAATTCATTGTCATAGCCACAGTTTGCCTTTTAGCTTGGGAAACAAAGATCACAGACAACAAGAACAAGCAGACAAATGATAGCTGCTAATTAGCAATACTGATATATCTAAAAGAAGAAAAGTTATTTTTAGGCAGAGAAGTGTTTACAGAAGTAAGAAGCTAGAACTGGACCACCTAGATCACAAGTGAGGGTAGAATTTGGGTGGGATGTCAGGGGTGGGGGCAGAATAGGAAGGTGGAATGCAGCAAGAGCAAGTAGATAGGACTAAGTTTATATATGTATATGAAATGTTTAGTGTTTCTGCAGGTGTGCCAGTGACCACTCCTACACTGCTGGTAACCTATACACTCCTATAATCTTTCTTTAGTGTAGTTTCACAGTAGGTATCAAAAGCCTAAAAATGTATTTGCCTTTTCACCAACATTTCTACCCCTATAAGTTTGTCCTAAGTAAATAATCTGCCATGTTCATTTTAGTTGTATTGTAATAAGAAAAAGCTGGGCGGAAAAGATAAAAAGAAATAAAAAACTGGAAATGACTTGAGCCAATAGCAATAGGGTATACTTAAATAAATGATGGCATATCTATGCAATCAAATATTATATAACCATTAGTTCCCCCATATTTTTTTGAAAAAGCGAAACATAGAGAAAATGAGTAAAGGTTCTGGAAAAATACACAGTAAAGTATCAACAGTCAGCTACACGATTGATGTTCTGCATATTCTTTTTGTTCTTTAGATCTTTTGATTTTTTCTGATAATGAACATGTGTCTCTTTTTTTTTTTTTTTTTCTTTGAGATGGAGTCTCACTCTGTCTCCCAGGCTGGAGTGCAGTGGCGCGATCTTGGCTCACTACAACCTCCACCTCCTGAGTTTAAGCAATTCTCCTGCCTCAGCCTCCCAAGTAGCTGGGAATACAGGTGCATGCCACCACACCCGGCTAATATTTGTATTTTTAGTAGAGACAGGGTTTTGCCATATTGCCCAGGCTGGTCTTGAACTCCTGACCTCAAGGGATCCACCTGCCTTGGCCTCCCAAAGTGCTGGGATTATAGGTGTGAGCCACTGTGCCCATCTGAACATGTATCTCTTTTAAAATTAGAAAGCAAAGGTACTGTTTTGGCTCACATACACAACATTTTAAAATAATATAGCTAATTGATTTTTTATTTAGTTCTAAACTTTGTTCAACTTTTACATTTGAAACTGTGTTGGTATTAGAAGTAGTTTTAAGTATCAGACTTTAAGGAGGAACATTATTACAATGAAAGGATCCTGAGTTATAAAACTAAATTGCTGCTGTCAGGTCTGAAAATAACTGGCTCTTTCAGCTTAGGCAAGTGATTTAACTTAGTTTCTTCATAAATTAGAATCACTTCTCTCTAACCATGTCAAATGGGAAAGAGTCAGAATAATTGGTATAGAAAAAGGTAATACAAATTCAGAGCTCAGTGTGGTGACAAGAAGCAGTACCTTCTACAGTACATTTTGTCATCTTTTCATGAATGATGAAACTCTTACCAGCAAAACCTCAAGTTTCCAGTCAGAAATGTGAACAGAGTAAAACAGAACAGCAAGCATATTATAAAGTGTATACTTTTGCTTAATTAAAGGCTAAAATATGGAGGTTAATAAAGTTTTCTTAATCTATTGTGGAAACAGACGCATTCATGATAAATGCTTAAGAGATCATGTTAAGTACCCTACATGGTTCCAGACAAGAGGGAGTAGAGACATTTCTCCCCGTTCCTCCCCAAAGTACATTGAAAAACCTTAGACAGTATATGTATATAACAAACATAAGAGGAATTTGAGAGGTAGAGAGAAGCAGACTGCCTAGGGACCTTGCGACCAGAGGGAAAATTTGACAGCGAGTTTCTTGGGTTTTCTTTTTGCCCCATATATCCTTGACTGGGTGCTGGAGAAGTCAGAAACCTGGGAATAACAATGGACTCAAACAAAAAGCCTCCTCCCTCTAGCAAAAGGACCAGAAGAGAGGAAGCCTAACAAGACAGAAAACTTTCAAACATTAACTGCCTTATTCTAGCGAAATGCTACAGAAGCAAAACCACAGCTCCACTCCCACCTCCATCAGTAAAGTTCAGTGGGAAGCCTAGATTCCTACCCTCACCTAGCTGTCACTAGGCATGCCTTGCTTCCTGCCAGAGCTATGTCAGAGAAGTCTAGTGGGGAACCAGAACTTTCACCATCTCCCAGAGACATCTGTGAAGGCCACTTGGGAAACTTGGACTTCAACTCTCACTCAGTGGTAATGAGACATCCTGTCCCCTCTCTATCAGGATGGTGTCAGAGAAGGTCAACAGGGAGGTTGAGACTCTAACCACCACCCAGATGTAATAAGCCTTTCTCTACTGCCCTACCCCATGCTGTCGGTGCAGGCCATGTAGGGAGCAGTGGTGACGCACCTCTGTTTCTCCCAGCCAGCATGTGTCAGCAGGGACCTGTAGAGAGCCTGAACTTTCGCCTTCACCCAGCAATAAGGAAGTACACCTTCTGCTGACCCCCAGATGTCAGTGGAGGGCAAGTGGGCACCTTGGACTTCCATTTCCGTCTGAAAGTACTGAGGCAGCACCCTTCTTTCCCCATTAGCATAGCGTTGGCATAGTTTGAATGTTTTTGTGGTCCCCCACCAAATTTATATGTTGAAACCCAAATCCCCAAGGTGATTGTATTAGGAGGTAGGTAGGGCCTTTTAGAAGGTGATTAGTGCCATTATAAAACAGGCACAAGGGAGCTGTTTCACCCCTTTCACCATGTGAGGAGGACACAGCAAGAAAGTGCCATCAGTGAACCAGGAAATAAGCCCTCACCAGCCACTGAATCTGCCAGTTCCTTGATCTTGGACTTGCCAGCCTCCGGAACTATGAGAAGTAACTTTTTTGTTGTTTATAAGCTACCCAGATTACGGTATTTTGTTAGATAACAGCCTAAATGGACCAAGACACATGGTGTCACAGGAGGCCTGCTAACATGGCAGATTTAAATAAGATCCAGGGTCCCATAATGTAATAGGATACAGTTAAAAATCACTTCTTAGGCCGAGCGCAGTGGCTCATGCCTGTAATCTCAGCCCTTTGGGAGGCCAAGGCAGGCAGATATTTGAAGTCAGTTTGAGATCAGCCCGGGCAACATGGTGAAACCCCGTCACTACTAAAAATACAAAAATTAACTGGCTGTGGTGGCATGTGCCTGTAATCACAGCTATTCAGGAGGCTGAGGCAGGAGAATAGCTTGAGCGAGCCAAGATGGGGCCACTGCATTCCAGCCTGGGCAACGGAGCAAGACTCTGTCTCAAAAAAAAAAAAAAGAAAAAAAAATTCTTATATTAAGAATTAGGAAAATCTCTCTTGAGTGAAAAGAGACAATCAATAGATGCTAACACTGAGATACACAGAAATTGGAATTATCTTACAAGGAATTTAAGGCAGCCATCATAAAAAAAAAGCTTCATTGAGCAATTACGAACACACTTGAAACAAATGAAAATACAAACTCTAAGCAAAGAAGTAGAAGATACAAAGAAGAAGCAAGTGGAAATTTTAGAACAGAAAAATTCCAGTAATCGAAGTTTAAAACTCAGTGGATGGACTCAACAGCAAAATGAAGTAGTCAGAGGAAAGAATCAGTGAACTTGAAGATAGAACAATTTAGAAATTACCTAATCTGAACAACAAGAAAAAATAGAATGAAACAAAAATGAACAGAGCCTCAAGGACCTGTGAGACTATAATGAAAAGTCTAACATTCAGGTAATCAGAATCCCAGAAGAAGACAAGAAAAGAGTTTACTGAAGCTGAAAAAAGTATGCAAAGAAATACTTTCGGAAAAAATAGTTGAAATTTCCTCAAATTTGGCAAAAGCTATAAACCTTCAGAATCAGCAAGCTGAACTAATATCAAACAGGATAAATCCAAATAGAGCCACACTAAGACACATTATAATCAAACTTTTGGAGACTAAAGATAAATTTTAAAAAATTGAAAGTAGTCAGAAAAATACTGTACCTATAGGGGAAAACCAATTTAAATGACAGTGAATTCCTCATCAAAATCAAGGAGGGGCTGGGCACAGTGACTCACGCCTGTAATCCCAGCACTTTTGGAGGCTGAGGCTGGTGGATTGCTTGAGCCCAGGAGTTTGAGACCAGCCTGGGCAACATGATGCAACCCCATCTCTATAAATAATAATAATAATAAAATGATTAGCCAGGCATGGTAGCAACGTGCCTGAGGTCTCAGATACTTGGGAGGCTGAAGTGGGAGAAATTGAGGCTTCAGTGAACTGTAATTGCACCACTGCATTCTAACCTGGGCAACAGAGCAAGACCCAGTCTCAAAAAAAAAAAAAAAAACAAAAAACAATGGAGGCCAAAAGGAAGTGGCCTAGTATTTTCAGATGCAGAAAAAAAGAACTGTCAAGGCTGGGTGCAGTGGCTCACGCCTGTAATCCCATTACTTTGGGAGGCCGAGGCAGACGGATCATGGGGTCAGGAGATAGAGACCATCCTGGCTAACATGGTGAAACCCTGTCTCTACTAAAAATACAAAAAATTAGCCAGGCATGGTGGCAGGCGCTTGTAGTCCCAGCTACTTGGTAGGCTGAGGCAGGAAAATGGCGTGAACCTGGGAGGCGGAGCTTGCAGTGAGTCTAGATCGCGCCACTGCACTCCAGTCTGGGGGACAGAGCGAGACTTCATCTCAAAAAAAAAAAAAAAAAAAAACCATCAACCTACACTCCTATACCTAGTTAAAATGTCCTTCAGGAATGAAAGGGAAATCAAAACATTCTCAATTAAGGAAACTAATATTGCCAGCAGTCCTACCGTAAGAGAATAGCTAAAGGAAGTTGTTGAAACAGAAAGGAAATGATAAGGAATTTAAGAGCATCAGAAAGGAAGACAAGGCAATGAAAAAAGTAAAAATGTGAATAAATATAACAGACTTTTCTTATTCTCTTGAGTTTCTAAATTACGTTTGAGGCTGGGCGTCGTGGCTCACACCTGTAATCCCAGCACTTTGGGAGGACGAGGTGGGTGGATCACCTGAGGTTAGGAGTTCGAGACCAGCCTGGCCAACATGGCGAAACCCCATCTCTACTACAAATACAAAAATTAGCCAGGTGTGATGATGGGTGCCTGTAATCCCAGCTACTCAGGAGGCTGAGGCTGGAGAATTGCTTTGAACCTAGGAGGCGGAGGTTGCAGTGAGCCGAGATTGTGCCATTGCACTCCAGCCTGGGAGACGAGTGAAACTTCGTCTCAAAAAAAAAAAATTATATTTGATAGCTGAAGCAAAAATTATAACACTGTCTTATGTGGTTCTCTATATGTAAAAGAAATACTTTAACAATATAAATGGGAAGGGTAATGAGACTTAAATGGAGGTTAGGGTTCTATGCCTCACTCAAACAGTTAAAATGTCTATACCACTAGTCCGTAATAAGTTATTAATGCATAATGTAATAGCCAGAATAACCACTTTAAAAAACTATACGAAGCAGTACATGAAAAAACAGTACAGATAAATAAAAATGAAATTGTAAAAATGTTCAGGTAACCTACAGGAAGGCAGGAAGAAGGAAGCAGGAATTAGAAGCAAGCAAACAAAAAAGAATAAAAGAGCAGATTTAAGACTAAAATAGCAATAATTACATTAAAGGTAAATGATCTAAATATACTAATTAAAGAGATGGCAGGGTGGATTTAAAAAGCATGACCCAGCTGTTGTCTAAAACACACTTCAAACACAACAATATAGATAAATTGAAAGTAAGAGGATGGAAAAAGATACAACATGCAAGTATCAATCAAAAGAAAGGAGTAGCTATGTTAATATCAGAGAAAGTAGATATCAGAGCAAAGAAAATTACTAGGGACAGAACAGAACATTATATAATGATAAAACGTTCAATGTACCAAGAAGAAATAGCAATCCTAAGTGTACCTGCACCAAACAACAGTACTGCAACGTGTGTGGGGCAAAAACTGACAGAACTGAAAGGAGAAATAGAAAAATTCACAATCGCAGTTTGAGACTTCAGCACATCTCTCTGGACAATTGATAGAACACCAGACAGAAAATCATCAGAGATATAGAACCCAACAACACCTTCAACCGACAGAATCTAATGATCATTTATAGAAACTCCACCCAGTAACAGCAGAATACTCATTCTTTTCAAGCATTCACAGAATACTTACCAACAGACTATCTCCCGAGCCATAAAACAACGACAAACATAAAAGAATTAGGATTATAGAGAATATAATCTCTGACTGCAATGGATTCAAATTTGAAATCAATACAGAAAGATAACAGGAAATGTTTCAATACTTGGGAATTAAGCTCACTATTACATCTATAGTAGTAATAGCCAGAATAACCACTTTAAAAATATATAAAGATATACACTAAAAAAGAGTCTAAGAGGAACCTCGGAGAGCATTGAACTCAATGAAAATGAAAGTGAAGCATGTTTAAATTTGTGGGACACATCCAAAGCAGTATTAAGAAGAAAATGTGTAGCACTAAAAAGCTTATATTAGAAAAGACAGAAAGTCTGAAATCGGTCATCCAAGCTCTCACCTTAAAAAAGGGAGCAAAATAAATTCAAGCCAGGAGAAGAAAATAATAAAGAGCAGAAATCAATGCTATTGAAAACATGAATAATAGAATTAATTAAAAAGAGCTAGCTTGGTCGGGCACGGTGGCTCTGCCTATAATCCCAGCACTTTGGGAGGCTGAGGCAGGTGGATCACCTGAGGTCAGGAGTTTGAGACCAGTCTGGGCAACATGGTGAAACCCTGTCTCTACTAAAAATAGAAAAATTAGCTGACCGTGGTGGTGGGTACCTGTAATCCCAGCTACTTGGGAGGCTGAGCAGGAGAATCACTTGAATCCAGTAGGCGAAGGTTGCAGTGAGCTGAGACTGCACCATTGCACCCCAGCCTGGGCAATGAGAGCGAAACTCCGTCTCATTCATAGATAGATAGATAGATAGATAGATAGATAGATAGATAGATAGATAGATAGATAGATTAGATAAGATACTCCATCTCATTCATAGATAGATAGATTAGATAGATAGATAGATAGATAGATAGATAGATAGATAGATAGAGCTGGCTCTTTGAAAGATTAGTAAAATTGCGAACCTTCTCCATAATTACCTTGGAACATTAAAAACTTTTCAATCTTAACAGACTTTGAAAGTTCTGATCTCAGGAAGAGTGGGAGGTGGGTGGGTGTTGAGTGCTTAATGGATATAATTCACATTGAGTGATAGATACACGAAAAGCCCAGACTTCATCAGTATATGTTATGTACGTGTAACGAAACCGTACTTATATCCCTTAAATTTACACAAATAAAATGTGTAAAACAAAGTTTTGAGCCTCTGTGGTACTATTTACGTGGTAGCCAATATTGCATAGTGGTTAAGAACACAGACTCTACAACTAGGCTGCCTAAGTTTGAATGAGTCATATGTGGGTCGTATGGAACAATGCTTGCTATTTTATTAATGTTAAACAGATATTAACTGTGGTTATTATGAATGGTGATGAGGAGCATGGACACGATCCATTGAAGACAGCTGTAGTTATTCTACACAGAAAGGATATACAGTTGACCCTTAAACAACACAGGGGCTACTGGTGCCGATGTCTCCCCCCAGCAGTTGAAAATCTGCACACAATTTTTGACTCCCCAAAAACTCAATCGCTAGTAGCCTACTGTTGACCAGAAGCCTTACCAATAACATAGTTGATTAACAGATATTTTGTATGTGATGCATTATATACTATATTCTTATTATAAAGTAAGCTAGAGAAAGGGAAATGTTAATTAAATCCAAAGGAAGAGAAAATATACTTACTGTTTATTAAGTGGAAGTGGATCATCACAAAGGTCTTCATCCTCATCTTCACATTGAGTAGGCCAAGGACGAGGTACAGGAGGGGTTAGTCTTACTGTCTCGGGAGTAGCAGAGGCAGAAGAAAATCTATGTATAATTGGACTTGTGTTGTTTAGGGGTCAACTATATTCTTGCTGCCTTGTTTCTATACTGTACTGTACTAATAGAACTGGGAAAGAATATCCAGTACACCGCTGATAATCCAGGACTTCCTAATACACAGTACTGCTCAATTTTACATTTTTGGCTGTTCATCAGCAATTTTTCTTTTGAATGTATATAAAACTATACAATCTTGTTGTTACACAAACTGCCCCTTTTTCTAGAAATACTCTCACTTGATATAAAAAGAACTGTAAACATCAAAAAACACCCACAAATAAAGGCAACCAGAAAGATGTTTTTGGAAAAAAAGCATTTGTAAATGAGTTAGTATCCTTAAGAGTTCCTGCAAATCCATGAGAAAACCATTTATAAACCAATGAGAAAAGGGAACAAAGGATACAAACACTTCCTAGAAAGAAGAGCATCAAAAAGGGTCAAATGCATAGGTACAAATGTAACACAAAGTGACAATTTACGCTTTACAAAACACCACAAAGCATTGTTGAAAGTTTTAAACGCCTAGATTGGAAAGATAATTCACGTTCTTGGATTGGAATACTTACTGTTGTTAAGATGGCAGTGCCCCCCAAATTGATCTACAGATTCAACACATTCCCTCTCAGAATCCCAGGAGGAGTTTTTGCAGAAATTGACAAGCTAATCCTGAAATTCATATGGAAACTCAGGGGACTCAGAATAGCTACAACAATCTTGAAAAAGAAGAGTAAAGTTGGAAGACTCACACTTTCCAATTACAAAACTTACTGCAAAGCTATAGTAATCAGGACAGTGTGATACTAGCAGAAGAATTGACATAAACCCATGGAATAGAATTGAGAGAGAGAAATAAACCTGCACAAGAAATGGTCAATTAATTTTCAACAAGGGTGTGAAGATAACTAAATGGAGAATTAATGGTGTTTTCAACAAATGGTGCAGGAATAACTGATACCGACATGCAAAAGAATGAAGTTGAGCCCCTTCCTCTCACTGTACACACTAACTCAAAGTGAATCACAGACCTAAGTGTAAGAGCTAAAACCAAAACTTTTAGAAGAAAACATAGTAATAACTCTTCCTGACCTTGGAGTAGCACAAACCTTAGATACAATACCAAAAGCACAAGTGACTTTTACAAAAACAGATTAATTGGACTTCATCAAAATTAAAACTGTTGTACTCAAAAGTGTGCTATTAGGAAAGTAAAAAGACAACCCATAGAACGAGAGAGAATATTTGCAATCATATATCTGATCAGGAACTCCCAGAATATATGAAGAACTCTTATAACTCTTTCAATGATAAAATAGCAAAGGATTTGGGTAGATATTTCTCCAGGTAAGATACATAAATGTCCAATAAACACAGGAAAAGATGCTCAGCGTCATTAGCTATCAGAGAAATGCAAATCAAAACCACAAGCAGATACCACTTTACACCCACTTGGATGGCTAAAATTAAAAAACAGAGACAAATGTCGCGGATGTGAAGAAATCAGAACTCTCATACATTGATGATGATGGGATTATAAGATGGTGTAGTCACTTTGAAAAACAGCATTTCCTCAGCATTTCTTGATTTTAATATAGAGTTACCATATGATTTAGCAATCCCACTCCTAGATACATACCCAAGAGAAATGAAAACATATCCATGCAAAAATGTTTGTATATGAATATTCATAGCAGTGTGATTCATAGCTACAAAGTGGAAACCACCCGAATGCCCATATCCCTTCCATAAACAGTGTAGTCCGGCTGTGCAATAAATAGTGTTCAGCAATAAAAAAGAATGTTGATACATGGTGCAACATGGATGAAACTTGAGAACACCATGCTAAGTAAGAGAAGATAGCTAAAAAGACTGCACTTTATTCCATTTCTGTGAAATGTCCAGAATATGCAAATCTGTAGAGAACAGTACATCAGTGGTTGCCGGAGCTGGGGGTAGGGGATGATGGAGAGTGATGGCTAGTGGATATGGGTTTCTTTCGAAGTGATGAGAATGTCATAAAATTAGACTGAGGTGAGAGTTGCACAACTCTATGAATATACCAAAAATCATGAAGCACACTTTAAATGGGTGAATTTGATGGTATATGAATTATATCAACTAATAAAACTGCTAAGAAGGAAAAACTCTTCCTTCTCTAACCAGTAGTTGTACTCAGGGATCTATCCCTAAGGAAATGTTTTTATTCATCAGTTCCTCCAATGTTTATTAAGTGCCGCTCTTCTAGTGTGTATTCTTTAAGGTGCTGGGGATACAGCAGTGAACAAAATATGTAACTAATCAGACAATTCGGTTAGGAATTCTGAGAATCAGACCTGAAAAAAATTTTTAAAGAGATGTTCACAATGTTAATAAAAAGCCAGAAACACCTAAATGGTCCAGTGGCAAACAAATTATGGCATATGGTGGAATGTTACATAACCATTTAAAATTTAAGTTTTCACAGAATAGTCACTGATGTGAGAAAGTGATATGGTAGGATGTGAAGGATGTAAAATCCTGTATATGAAATACTATATACTGCTGTGAAATCAATATTATTTCTTTAGGTAATGGTGCTGGGTTTTGACTCAAGAGCCCACCTATTGATTGCTATTTCTTTTTTGTGTTTTTCTGAAGTGTCTAACTCTCCTAGAGTAAGATACATTATCTTTATGATCCTAAAGATCATCAGCATCCATTTCCCTGAGTTCCCATTGACACTAAGCAAAAGCACTGAACTGCTGCAAGCCTCACTTTTCAATGCTTCTATCAATAGGTTTGTTTCCCTTGAGGTTAAGAGAACAAAACCATGGGGATAATCGGATTTGCTGCTAAATAAAACGTATTTTTCACTTGTCAGAATGAGTATGGCATTGTCTAATTTGAAAGAGAAGAAGAAAACTAACAGAATAAGTGTCCACTCTTTATTAGGGACTGCCTTTTTTTTCTTTGTGGCGTGTTTCGTGTATTCAAGTTAGTTGTGTTTTGCTTCTTTTGGTATCAACCTATCAATAAGTTTCATTACATCAAGAGTTAATCCTTAGTGCTCATTATGTGCCAGGCATTTCCTCCCCACCCACGCCTCCCCACTTTTTTTAGAGACCAGGTCTTGCTCTGTTGCCCAGGCTGGAATGGAGTGGAGCGATCATAGCTTACTGCAGCCTCAACCTCCTGGACTCAAGTGATCCTCCCACCTCAGCCTCCTGAGTAGCTGGGACTACTTGCACCACTACACCTGGCTAGTGTTTTATTTTTATAGAGACACGGTCTCGCTATGTTGCCCAGGCTGGTCTTGAACTGGGCTCAAGCAATCCTTCTGTCTCAGCTTCCCAAGATGTTGGGATTACAGGCATTAGCCACCGTGCTTGGCCACCAGGCATTTTCATCCATTACCATGTCTGGTTCTTCTGTGAGACCCTACATCAACTCTGTGAGGAAGGTATCATCATCTCTTGTTCACGATGAACCATTTAGGTCACATAGCTGGTTTGCACCAGAATCGGAACTGCAGTACAGGTGCTGTTGGTGCCGGAGCTGATGTCATTGCCCAGTGTACTGTGCTGCCTGCTATGAAGCTGTGAGGTCAAAGAGGACAAGGTCATGCAGCAGGAGGGGTTTGCAGTCTAATCAGGGGATCTGGGCACACACTCACACAGACAAAGCAAGGAATGATACAGTCCTAAAGTATAGAGTATGGAAAACTAGGAAATAACACAGTAAAGTACTTATTGGTGGTCATAAACAGTAACTGAAATCATTGAAAAGAAAACTGAAGATTATAAATGGCCCTTGCCAATTCCCAGGAATAAATACATTCTGCTGTTGTTTACTTCCTCTACTTCATATCATCCCTCTTTACTTCCCCTTTAATTAATGTTAGAAGATTTCTGTTATTAAAAGGTAAATAAACAGTTGGTATGTGTATGATTTAGTTTCCTTTTTTAGATTGTGTTTCTTTTTTTGGAGTCTCACTCTGTCGCCCAGGCTGGAGTGTAGTGGCGCATTCTCGGCTCACTGCAGCCTCTGCCTCCCAGGCTCAAGCGATTCTCCTGTCTCAGCCTCCGAAATAGCTGGGATCACAGGCACGAGCCACCACGCCTAGCTAATTTTTTTTTTTTTTTTTGTATTTTTAATAGAGATGGGGTTTCACCATGTTGGCCAGGCTGGTCTTGAACTCCTGACCTCAGGTGATCCCACCCGCCTCGGCCTCCCAGAGTGCTGAGATTACAGATGTGAGCCACCGCGCCTGGCCTAGATTGTGTTTCTTGAATCTACATGTGTTTTCTGCATTATTTGTAAGCTGAGGTGTATCCACCTCATGACCAACATGTCGACATGTGATGATCTCTTGGTAAAATGTCTGTACTCATCTAATCTTTGGTTCTTGCAGGCGACATGGCTGTATGGAATACAGATAACAAGTTTACTCCTGGTCTGCATTCTTCAGTTTTTTAATTCCATGATTCTTGGATCACTGCTTATCAGTTTTAACCTTTCAGTATTCATTGCAAGAAAACTTCAGGTAGGACTTTTTTTTTGTCCTTTATCAAAGTAAACTTTTTTTTAATTGCGTGGTTTATTGAACCTTATTTTCACACAGCATACAAAGGGAAATTTACAACCTGATTTGCACTAAAAAGAGCACGTGGCATTGTGTGCTTTTTCTTGTGCATGTGGTAGCATTTCTGTTTCAAGCTTTCTGGGTCATCCTTTTATTTTGACAGTTATTTCTTAGAGAATTGGAACCTTACCTTCAATGTGGGGATCAGCCAAAGATGCTTGGTTGAATGCCACTGATTTAAAATTGAAGTAAAAGAGAAAAGTTATTAATTTTTATGTGTGTGAACTCAGGAGCGAGAAGAGTCTCCTGCTTGTGTTGGGAGCGTGTTCATTACAGTCCTTCACGTTGGTGGATACCCTGTTATTTGATGTAGTAATGCTACTCTTTTCCCCATCCTTCCATACCATACTAGTTATTTTTAGGTGAATTAAAATTAACTGTTTTGAGAATTTTGAGAATCCAAATAAATAACTTTAGAAATAATGGGACATTTCCTAGGGTATTGTCAAATCATGTTTGAAAACAATGACTTGCTCTTTTAGCTTTATTTATATAATTAAATTTCTTATATTTACATAAGATATGAGTCATTTGTTTTTGCTTAAAATTACAACATCCTGTTTCACATATGCTAGAAACTTCCGTGTCAAGAAGCCATTTTGTTTTCCACTTTTAGAAGAAGAAATCATTTTTCTTATTAGTCTTTTGAGTGAGAATTGTTATGGACAAAGGTTTTTAGTTGACTATCAAAAACAACAGTTCACAGTCATCCTTTTAACCTTAATTATAAATATTACTCGTATTTGAACTGTTAAGATATTATTATATTTAACAATGTATAAAATTATCAAGATTATAAGAAAACTATTATATGTCAAAAGGCACAATGTACTTCTTTTTACACCCATAAGTCTTTTATGTAATTGACTTGTAACTATGCCCGTGGTGTAGGAATTAATGGATAAAAGATGTAACAGGGCCAGGCGTGGTGGCTCACACCTGTAATCCCAGCGCTTTGGGAGGCCAAGGCTGGCAGATCACGAGGTCAGGAAATTGAGACCATGCTGGCTAACATGGTGAAACCCTGTCTCTACTAAAAATACAAAAACTTAGCCGGGTGTTGTGGCAGGCGCCTGTAGTCCCAGCTACTCGGGAGGCTGAGGCAGGAGAATGGCATGAACCCAGGAGGCGGAGCTTGCAGTGAGCGGAGATTGCTCTGCTGCCCTCCAGCCTGGGCAGCAGAGTGAGACTCCGTCTCAAAAGAAAAAGAAAAAAAGAAAAAGATGTAACAGTTTGTTCAGTCAGCGTATCCTGAGTACCTTCCAAATGGCAGACCCCAATCCTCCTGTTTCTAAGGTCTGAAAAAATAATTAGGAAAAAAAAGACTAGGACACATTTCCTCATCGTATGAAGCTCATTATTAAGTGATTCATTTACTACTAGAAAATCACAAATATTAAGACAGTGTAACCTCATGAAAATGAGTAGGTTGTATTTTCCACATATATTTTCCCTTTATGTTATATGAGCCAGTGTTTTTAAATCCTTAAGTAAGCTCATCTTCAGTGTTTATGAAGTTATATTAAAACTTAAGAATTAAAACATAACTCTTTTAATTTCTAGAAAAATCTGAAAACTGGAAGCTTCCTTAATAGGCTTGGGAAACTTTTGTTACATTTATTTATGGTTTTATGTTTGACACTTTTTCTCAACAACATAATTAAGGTAAGTTAATAAAAATGACATGTTTAATGTATTTTTAATTAACTTATGGCATTGGAGATAATTTTTGAAACTTTCTTTTTCTTTTTTAATAAACTAATTGTTTTAGAGACAGGGTCTTGCCGTTTCCTAGGCTGGCCTTGAACACCTGGTCTCAGATGGCCCTCCCACCTTAGCCTCCCAAGTTGCCGGGACTACAAGTGTGCACCACCACACCTGGCTTCTTTGAAACTTTTAATTTTAAATAAATTCTTGCTTTATAAAGTGTATTAACGTGACTCAAGAGTTACCAGTTTTACTTCAAACAGGCTCAGTTTTAACTTTGTCTTAGTAGCAAGGATTATTTTGTTGATTTTAGTCATTAATTTCTATGTACTCTTATGTCCCACCTTGAACTTACTCACCTTTTGTTATGAAACTTTTAAAAGCTTAACTTAAAAAGCATTAAACAAATAATTTCTCTAAATTTAAAATTTTTATTTTTAGTACCGTAATATACACGTAGCTTTCTGTACTGTGGTACTTAAAAAAAAAAGACATGATTTTTAATTGAGTTCAGTTAATAAGTAAAGTGGCCTTACTATCTACTTTCTGCTGGAAAGAAGAGTTGAGCTCATTTTTCCCAACATTTAACTGACTTATATGCAACAGGCCTAACAGAACAACTCATTTGGTAACGTAGGCATCCATTGGTTTTATGTCCAGTAGGTGCTTTGCTAAGATTTTTACAATGCCCCAGGGGCTCTGCTTAGTTTAACATGCTTTTTAAATGTTTTTATTGGCGTTTTAATTTTTTTTCAGGGTAGGCTTTATTAAAGGTATAATTCTTGGACCTTGATATCCCATTTGTTTTTATGCTAGAGCAAAACTACATTGGTATCTTCAGATACTTTTGCCTGTCCTAGAAGGTTGGTCTCAGGATAGGAGGCATCTGCAAAACAGGCTCCTTCTCCACAAGAGAACTGTGGTCCTTGTTCACGTCTGTTGACTATCAAAGAAAAAAAAGACTCTTCACTCAGCCAGTCACTATGTCACTATGTTCTTTTTTTTTTTTTTTTTTTTTGGACAGGGTCTCTCACCCAGACTGGAATGCACTGGTGTGGTCATGGCTCACTGCAGCCTCGATCTCCTGGATTTAGGTGATCCTCCCACCTCAGCCTCCTGAGTAGCTAGGACTATGTGTGTATACCACCACACCGGCTAATTTTTGTATTTTTTGTAGAGACAAGGTTTTGCTGTGTTGCCCAGGCTGGTCTTAAACTCCTAGGCTCAAGCAGTCCACCTGCCTTGGCCTCCCAAAGGATTGTAGGCGTGAACCACCATGCCCAGCTGTCAGTATGTTCTTAAACTCCATACAGTCAAGTACTTATCAATAATTTATTTTTAAATTTCTAAATTTTTTTTGCTTTTTTTTTTTGAGACAGGATCTCACTGTGCCACCCAGGCTGGAGTACAGTGGCACGATCTTGGCTCACGGCAGTCTTGACCTCCTGGGCTCAAGCAATCCTTCCACTTCAGCCTGAGTAGCTGGGACTACAGGTGTGTGCCACCGCCCCTGGCTAATTTTCACAATTTTTGTAGAGATGGGATCTTGTCATGTTGCCCAGGCTGGTCTCAAACACCTGGGCTCAAGGTATGCTCCCACTTCAGCCTCCCACAGTGCTAGGATTACAGACACGAGCTGCTGCACTCAGCCAAAAGCTTTTTTTGAGTTGATGAATACCCCATTTATCCTGATGGAATTATTACACACTATATGCCTGTGTCAAAATATCTCATATACTCCATAAATATATACACCTATATGCCCACAAAAATTAAAAATTAAAAAGCCTATTCAAAGCCAGGTGTGGTGGCTTATGCCTGTAATCGCAGCATTTTGGGAGGCTGAGGTGGGAGGATCGCCTGAGGCTAGGAGTTCAAAACCATCCTGGGAAATGTAGCAAAATCTAAACTCTACTAAAAAAATTTTTTTCAAAACTTGAGTGGAGCAGCCAACATTTCTGGAAGAGTGGCCAAAGATACACAGTTCTTGCATTGGCCCACTCTACACATTCAGTGACCTGTTCTTGGATTAAACCAGTAAAGAGCTGCATCCCTGGACCACCATTTTTTGACTCCCCGAAGAATAACATCTGTTGAATTGCATTTGATGTTTTGCCAGTGACCTACAACAAGAGGAAGTAGAGAAAATTTTCCTTGAAAGTCCTTGCTGTTTTTGCTTTACCCATGGGAAAAAATTATTTTGAGTCTCAGTTCTAGGACTGTTAAGATCTCTTCCGAGCAACTGTTTTGTTTTACTCTTATAAACCCGTGAGTAACATAAATATGTTGACCTCCCTGTTTGCATTTGCTGCTGGAATGCAAAAGACCAGATTTGTGGCTCATCTCTAATGAATATATTGTGTGTACTGAACTCAATTTTAGCTTCATCTTTTCTCCCTGTCTTCATTTTTCTTCTAATAAATTTTTTCACCATTTATGTTATTATATATGGATTTTTAAGCCACAAATTTAAAATAGAATTATATGAGTTAAAATTGTAATCACTAATGATGAACACTCATATTTGTCTGTCCACCCCTTCAGGGTTACAACTGTCTTGAATTGTCTTTGAGTGAATAAGTCTTGGATCAATTGTATCCACAGACCAAAAGCCCCAAAGCCAGACAGGCTTTGTGGGCGGTGTATCTATTTGAGGTTTCAGATCATCGTCTTGTCAGTTTTCTGGTCTGAAAACTTATGCACACTATGCCTCAGCCTTCTCCCTCTCCCTGAAACCAAAAAATCTCATCTTTTACCTATTTTGCATATTTAACTTATGTATAAGATGTTTTTTGAATAAAGGATTATGCTAAAAAGGGGAGTGGGGTTTGGAAGGAGTTTGGAAGTCCCTGCTTTGGAATTCCTCAGTTCTGAGAACTACTGTGAACATTTACTGATTTTGTACACCCACACGCTCCTGTGAAATTGGACACTGAATATGTAAATTCAATGGGAAGTTATCAGGAAACCGTGCCTAAAGGACTAATAGCAATTTTTGTTTTCTCTTTCCCCGATAGAAAATTCTTAACCTGAAGTCAGATGAACACATATTTAAATTTCTGAAGGCAAAATTTGGGCTTGGAGCAACAAGGTATAACTGAATTGAAAGTCTATGTTTGCTATTTTCTATTGAATCAGCAGGGACTTTAAAACTTAAGTTGTCATTGTGCCTTCAACTATTAATTGCAGACTCCCTCTGAGGAAAGATGCAATGTCATTTCTTTGTCTTATATTGAATTTAATACTTTGCTTTCCATTTGTTCCCTAGGGATTTTGATGCAAATCTCTATCTGTGTGAAGAAGCTTTTGGCCTCCTGCCTTTTAATACATTTGGAAGGCTTTCAGATACTCTGCTTTTTTATGCTTACATATTCGTTCTGTCCATCACAGTGATTGTAGCATTCGTTGTTGCCTTTCATAATCTCAGGTATGGTATATTTCAGAAATCTAATGCTCTCCTTTAATGAACTTGTTCCATGTTGCAGAAAAATTGCAAAGTTGAAAGTCAGAATATCAGACACAAGTAATAGTATTCATCTTAAAGGGGGAACATACCTCGTTTAGAGTGGACTACACTCCCAGTAGTTAGGAGACAACAGAGTAATGATCAGATTGCATGCGGTCTGGGCTTAAGTCTTGGCCTGCACACTTGGGAACAAAGTGACTCTTGAGCCAGTTACATAACCTTTTGATATGTCCATTTCCTTATCTTTAGAATGGGAAGACTAAGAGTACTTACTCTACAGGATATTTGAGAAATAAGTAAAAACAACATAAAGCACTTAAAATAGTGTCTGGTGCCTAGACTTCGGCAGGTACAAGCCATCGTGAACTGGTTTCATTATCACTGTTGACTCATAAGCCTCTGTTGTGTTTCCATTATTAGCATCCTGTGTTTTTCTCCCTTCCTCCTCTAGCTGCTTTTTTGTATTGCTCTTGAAATGTAAGAGTTAATTAATTATTGCTCATTTGTTTTCTTGCATCTTGCTTCAGGGCTCATAATGTTGGAGTGGACCATAATTATTAGTATCTACTAAAAGTTTTGAGTAATAACTGCCAATTTTAAAAAACTAAGTATATCTACCAATCTACTGAAAGAAAAAAATCAGGAGTATGAAGGCTTTTTAAAAACTTGTAAGAATATCTACCCATCAAGCTGCTGGGGGGGTTTGCATTGACTCTTCGTGTTAAACTGAAAGAAAATTAAGTGTAAGAAGTTGAAGCTGCTGTCATTTGTGAAAACTTAATGAAGCTCACGAGGAAGCCCTTTTTCTGTAGTTACCTTGCCAATTAATGTGCTGGTGAACTGTGATTCACAGCCACGAGAGAGCTGTCATTAAAATGAGTCCAGAGCAGTTGAGAGGTTTTATGATCATTAAGAATGAAACAACATTGAACCATGAAAATATTTCATTGAACATAAACTATTTTACTATCCTTGAGAAGTGTTCTTTTTCATACCTAACCCAAGATAAAATTTAGCCCTGTGAAAATAGATGGAAATTATTCTGGACAGTGTGATTTAATATCATTCCAGACATAGCAAGTGTCAACAGGACTCTGGACTGCATACAAAGCAGGAAGTTCAGTGGGCCTGCAGTATCTTCCTGAAAATGTCTGCCATGCTCTGTGTGAATCTATGAGCCATCTCTGGAGGCTGATTGGGTATATGATCATAGATAAAAGATTTTAGAGCATCTTCATCTGCCAGATAGGGATATTAGGACTTTATTAGAGGAAAAGCACTACATGAAAGTAATTAAAGAATCATAGTCCAGTCATGTCACTTAACAAGGGGGATATGTTCTGAGAAATGCATATTAGGCGATTTTATCATTGTGCGAATATCATACAGTATACTTACACAAACATAGATAGTATGGCCTACTACACACCTAGGTTATGTGGTATAACCTACTGCATCTAGGCTGCAAACCTGGACAGCAAGTTACTATGTTTAATACTGTAGGCAGTTGTAACACAATGGTAAGTATTTGTGTAACTAAATATATCTAAACATAGAATAGGTACAGTAAAAATATAAAGGCCAGGTATGGTGGGCCTGTAATCCCAGTGCTTTGGGAGGTTGAGAAGGATTGCTTAAGGCTAGGAGTTCTAGACCAGCCTGGGCAACATAGCAAGACCGCATCTCTACGGAAAAAAAAAAGAAAAAGAAAAATTAGCCAGGCACGATGGTGCAAACCTGTAGTGCTAACAAGTCGGGAGGCTAAGGCGGGAGGATCACTTGAGCCCAGGCGTTTGAGGTTTCAGTGAACTATAATTGCACCATTGCACTCTACCCTGGGTAACAGAGTGAGACCCTATCTCTATTTTTAAAAAATACTGTAATAAAAGATTAAACATTGTATACCTATATAGGGCAGTTTTCATAAATGGAGCTTGCAGGACTGGAAGTTTTTCTGTGTGAGCCTGTGAGTGAATGTGAAGGCCTAGGATGTTACCATACACTATTGTAGACTTTATAAACACTGTGCACTTAGGCTACAGTAAATCTATTTAAAAAACAAAGTGATTGTGCTATGACCTTATAATGGCTATGATGTCACTAGGCAATAGGAATTTTTCAGCTCCATTATAATCTTACGAATCCACTGTGGTATGTGCGATCTGTTGTTGGCCAAAATGTTATGTGGCACGTGACTGTCTAAATGTGAATTAACTTTTAAATAAGGGCCTTTTGTCAGTGCCAAGTATTTAAAGTATTTCTACCTTTTTAGTACTAGGAAGGATGATACTATGACTTGTTTTGTTTTGTTTTGTTTTGTTTTGTTTTGTTTTGTTTTGAAATGCATCTCGCTCTTGCCTGGGCTGGAGTGCAGTGGTGCAATCTCGGCTCACTGCAACCTCTGCCTTCCGGGTTCAGGCAATTCTCCTGCCTCAGCCTCCTAAGTAGCTGGGATTACAGGCATGCACAACCACCCCTAGCTAATTTTTGTATTTTTAGTAGAAACAGGGTTTCACCATGTTGGCCAGGCTGGTGTTGAACTCCTGACCTCAAGTGATCTGCCTGCCTCAGCCTCCCAAAATGTTGGGATGACAGGCATGAGCCACTGCACCCTGCCAGATACTATGACTTTTATGTAGACATCTGCATTAGTGTGAGGGGTACATCTGAAAGGGGCATGGTGTTCCCTGCCTCAGCCTCCCAAAGTGTTGGGATGACAGGCATGAGCCACTGCACCCTGCCAGATACTATGACTTTTATGTAGACATCTGCATTAGTGTGAGGGGTACATCTGAAAGGGGCATGGTGTTCTGTGTTCATGGAATTAATCAGAGCCTTCCAGCTTGGCTGGGCTATGGGGGAGGTACTGCAGACTTCTCTTAGGTATCTAGAGAGGATAAGAGCAGATACTCCCCTTGTCTGTTTTATTTTTATTTACTTTTCACACCTTGCCCTGTTGATGGATATTCTTATTTGGAGTATCCTTTTTGTACCAATATGGAAACCAGTGTTTGGGTTGTAATATTTACTTTTAAGTAAAGATTCCAATTGTGAATTACCAATGGTGAGAACTGCCTTAGAGTATCCTTTTAATTTTCGTATGTATTTATGGTAGGAAAAAAAGGATTTCTGGGAAATAAAAAAAGTCTCTAGTTACATAGAGAAGCATCGTATGTGCCCAGTTCTATTGGGTATGTATGAAGGGATCAGTAGACCTTCATGAAAGTTTCATCTTTAACTAGTAGCCTTTACTGTTGTTTTCTTTTCCCCTCGACAACAAATTGTGCAACATCTAAAGTCACTGATCAGTCTTAACATCACTGAAGTGGAGACAGCCAGGCAGTGTGTGCTTCCCGGTGTAATGTGATGTGGAATAGAGCCGTCCTGTTTTCTGTGGAAATATGTTTCAAGTCCCTCAGTGGATGCCTGAAACCTCGGATGGTTTCACACCCTTTCTATACTATGTTTTTTTCCTATACATATATCCCTGTGATAAAGTTTAATTTATAAATTAATCATGGTAAGAGAATAACAATAATAATAAAATACAACAATTATAGCAACATGCCAGCATCACTTCTCTTGCACTTTGGGGCCTTAGTTATGTAAGATAAGGGCTGTTTGAACACAAACAATACAGGGACATTTAAATGTATCTTACTTTATTAGTAGTTTAGTAGCTGAATGTATCTGCTTGTCTGTCTCGGGTAGGTGGGTAGACTATACAGCGTGGAAACACAGGACCAAGGGATGATGATCTGAGTCTCAGGTGGGACAGACAGGGATGGAGAGATTTCATCATGCAACACAGAATAGCATGTAATTCAAAACTATGAATGGTTTATTTCTGGAATTTTCAATTTAATATTTTCGGACAGCAGTTTCCTCAATAACAAACCACTGAAAGTGAATCCACCGATAAGAGGGGACTACTGTGCATCATAACCCCGTGAAGTGTTCTTGCCAAAAAAATGAACTTGTGTCTGATAAACCTCTAGATCTAATTACAAGTTTACAAGAAGCATGAAACGTATAACCACCACTGTGAGCCACACCTGGGAGACGGGAACAGCTTCAGGACATATGTTCTCTATTCTTCCACAAACAAATGGCCTGTTTTTTAAAAAAAGGAGATACTTTTATAGATCAAAAGATATTTAAAGATATATATTAGTGAAATGCAACATGCAGTTCTTAGATCCTGATTCAGAGAAACCTGAAAAAAGCAATTGATGCAAACAGGGAAAATAGAACATGAACTAGGTATTAGATGATGTTAAGGAATTATTGTTACTTTTATTGGGTGTAATAATTTTAATGTAGCCGTATTTGGTAAAAGTCATCTTTTGGATATCAGGAGGTATTGGTAGGTTAAAAATGTGATTTTTGAGGGGTCATAAAGGAACTGAATTCCAAGTTAATGGATGTGTGTTTTGCTTTTGCTTATTTGTAAAAATTTGAAAAATACTCATAATAACTGGTAAAACATCTTTTAAAAATCTCTTTCAATTTCAGCAATTCCAAAAAATTTGAGTTTTTTTTTTTGCATTCTCTTTTAATTTAAAGAATTGAAGCACTTTAAATTTTTACTTCAAAGCTGCTGTGAAATTTCAGTTTTTCTCATTATTAATGCATTTATATTGTTACACTTTAGCCTCATAAATTCAAAATTGATCAATGCGAATTCATTTCATCTTATGGAAATAATCAATTTCTGAATACATAAAGGCATACATTTCTTGTATCTTCTTCTTTTACAAAGATCTAACTAAAATTATGTTTCCAGCTTAAATTTTGTATGTTGCTGTTTTACTCAGTGATTCTACAAATCAACAATCCGTGGGTAAAATGGAAAAAGGCACAGTTGACCTGAAACCAGAAACTGCCTACAACTTAATACATACCATTCTGTTTGGATTCTTGGCATTGAGTACAATGAGGTATTTTTGTCTTACCTGTTTGTTTACTTTTTATTTGATCACTCTTGATGTTACTTAGCAATATAATTTGGAAAGTGACAATCATCTTCATTAATGATCATGGTTCCCATAAAATCATCCTTATATCCTATCTTCTCTCAGTATAAAATACTCAACATCAGTTTTTACAATTAATTACAAACACGCCTCTATGTTTTACTCAAAGCATAGTCTTGAAAAGGCAGTGGAGTTAAACAACGAACCCTTCGGCAAATGGCATCTGCATAGTTTTAAGTAAGATTTTGCCGTCATAGACTGTAAAGCTGCCTTTATAGGTGTCTCAGAATCCAGGTTTATATACAACTAGTACTTCTGACTTGCGCCTGTGTCTGTTCTTGCAGAATGAAGTACCTCTGGACGTCACACATGTGTGTGTTCGCATCATTCGGCCTATGTAGCCCTGAAATATGGGAGTTACTTCTGAAGTCAGTCCATCTTTATAACCCAAAGAGGGTCAGTGTCATCCCTTTTTCCATCTCCTTTTATGACTTGCAGTATTTCTTTCATACCACTTCTTTTTTTGTTTTTCAGTAGCTGTGAGATAAAATGGATACTGAAATTGAAGCTGAAAATACATAATTGATATATTAAGATTTTATAGGGAATTATTTTAAAATAATTTTATTTTAAAAAATTACTTTTTTCTCAGACTATAAGTTAGATATGTTCATTATACAGAATTTGGAAATACAAAAAAAAGCACAAAAGGGGAATTAAAATTACCAATAATCCCCTTGTCCGGAATTATAACTGTTGTTATTATAATGTATTTTCATAAAGATAATTATTTATATATGTATGACAATTTTTCAGTAGCCTATAAATGCAGTTTTGAATTGTTCTACTCCATAAATTCACTAGGTGGCAATATAGTAGAAGCTGCAGATATCTTACAAATGATTAGAATCCTAGTATCGACTCAGTTATTCTGCATATTGGAGACTTGTGCTCCATTAAATTATATTTCTGGTAATTTTTTAAGGCATATATTTACAAAGCAAAACTGTAAGGCAGAAGTGTTTAAAAAAGCCGGGCACAGTGGCTCACTCCTATAATCCTAGCTGCTCAGGAGGCTGAGACAGGAAAATCACTTGAGCCCAAGAATTCCAGGCCAGCCTAGGCAAACATAGCAAGACCCTGTCTCTCAAAAAAGAAAAGGTTCAAAATACTTATAATCTAAATAATGTCTTTCTTATATAGATATGTATAATGCGATATTCAGTACCGATATTAATACTGCTGTATCTATGCTATAAGGTAAGACTGATTTTCCTCATTCTTGTCATTCATGTATTTAGCAGAATAATTGCTTTGATTCAATATATTTTGTGTATTATTTGGCAAATAGAGTGGTTTGTGAAGGTTATAAATACCTCCTTAGCTTCTTACTGAAGGTGACATTGATGGGAAAATGGATCTTTTTCCCAAATAGTTTTAACAAGTAAAAACATGATAGCGAAAACTACTATAGCATTTAATAATTCTAATTAATTTTGATTTAGACTCTTAATATTCAGCTGATGCAAATTCTGAAAATAAGGTGTTTTCAGACCTATTTTGAAATGAAAGTAGGAAAATTATTTTCCCATTACCTGATTTATATAGACTAAGAGATTTTTAAATGTATCTTACTTTAAGCTCCATATTTTATTAGATGCTTATCTTCATAAGAGAATTAGACACATAAATAAACACAGCCTAAGGCTAGGCTTTTTAAAATCTGTTCTTCAGTATCAATAGGAAGTATCTGGATTTTTCATATTCTCATTTGACTAGTTTCTGAAACAGCATGAACTGCCCTTTAATTCAGAGAATTTCTTATCAGAGACAATGATCATTGGTCAGGTTGACTGTGGCTTTTTGTCACATCTTTGACATTGGCAGTCTTGAATCATCACTAGGGCAGATAGCACAGACTGTTTTATCCAATTGAGCTTCTGCCCTCTCTTTTTAAAGAACCTAACATATTAAGTTTATATTTTTTTTCCTTTAAATTTTACTTTAAGTTAAAACGACGGATTTCAAACTCTACTGTGTAGAACCCCTGATTTGGGAGGGTGGCTAAAAGCAGGGGTGATGGGACCTCCCGCAGAGAGGATCAGCTAGAGCAGCTCAGCTTTGGGGTTTATTTGCTTATATTTTCATGTAGGATTTTGTGAACCAAAGGTTTCAGGCTAAAGAAAATATTGCTAAATACTATATTGTAAATATTTCAAAAAAATGTGTTCTGTTATGAGCCTGTCTATCAAAACATTTACCATTAGCAAAACTCTGTGCTAACTCCTAGATATTAAAAAACACACAAATAGATTTATGCCTCCCCACCTCTGGGAATTTTATTGCTCTAATGCGAATAACTGAAACTTACTAAAAACATCTAGACACGAACAGTTAAGGATTAAACAGTATATGTTACTGAGGAGTCCTGTCAGTTTACCTTTACACAATGATTCAGTGGATTAAAGCACCCTCCTCACAGAAAAGATAAAGCTCATGAATGTTTTTCTCACCACTGAAGATGTACCGAACAATAACCATCTTTCATACTGCCCGTGTGCATGTAGGTTCAGTTCTTTTATGTCTCAGCTATCTATTGAAATTTTACTGATTTTTTTAAGCTATTTGAGGACTGAGGTGTTTTGTTCGTAATAAAATTGAGGAAGGACATTGTATAAGAAGTAAACTGTCCTAGGGAGCATTGATTCTTGAAGCGTGGTCCTCAGATAAACAGCATCAGCGTCTCTTGGGATCCTGTAAACATGCATGTGTTTGGGTCCCACTCCAGACCTACCGAATCAGAAGCCTGGGAGTCCAGTACAGAAATAGGCATTTAACCAGCCCCCCAGTTTTAAGAACCCCCTGCTGTAGCGGTCACAGGGTTTCTCAGCAGTGGCACATTGACACTTGGGCCAGAGAATTCTTTGCCGCTGGGGGCGGGGGCGGTCCTGTGTGCTGTAGGCTGCTCTGCGGCAGCTTCAGCCTCTGCCCGCTCATTGAAGCACGTCTCCCCTGGCTACAACCAAAAATGTCACCAGACATTGCCAAATGCCCTGGGGCTGGGGCTAGGGGCACAATGTCTCCCCTTACTCATCTTGAAAACCACTGCTATAAAAGAACTGGGACAGCTAAAGAAGCCATCATCTCCAGGAAATCCTGTTGCAGGTTTTCCCTGAATAAGGGAGTTAGTATCCTGAGGAATCCTCCAAAAGACTGTTGGCCTAGTCTCTCTTGATACAGGAGTTTAGGAGAAATCCTAATGCATTCAGCTTTCACTGTATAAAATAGTTCAGATATTTCATCTCCACAAAACTTACATAAAATCACAGAGAAAATTAAGATGGTATGGGTATGAGGGGTTACCCTGAAACTGAATCTGTTTTCCAACTATTCCAGCTCTTACAGACTTACCTGTAAGTAATGTGAATTCATATATTTCAAAGCCTGATTTCAGTTTTACATTGCAATTGTAGTTAGAGTTTCAAAATTTCTTGTTCATACTACCAATTTTGCTGTATTTCTCTTTAGTATAAGCATATTAAAAGGGAAAAAAGCATGTACTAGCCTGCACTCCGAAGTCAAGACTTTAGTAAAATTAGGACGTTGGTCTTGATTAACTTAATTGGATTGCTGAAATCTCTACTGCTGATTGGTAAAAACGGCAGTTAGTTAATTCAGCACTTTCATATTGTTAAAGGAGTTTGCCGCAAAATTCTCACTAGCTTTTAACATTTTCAGAATTAATAACAGTAACTTTCAAACTAGAAAAATATCTAATATTCATTGAGTTCACAGATTTCAAATATGTTTATACTGTAAGAATTAGAGCATTTCATTAAAAAGTTGGTATTCTATTGGTTATCAAATTAGTAAGGAAACATAGATCATTGAAATATTACAAAGGCATCATTTAATCAGTAATTTTTACTACATCTCTTCCAAAAACTAGAACCAGAAGTCCTGACACCTGATTTCCCATCACTAGCAATTTTCCTGATTCACCCACCCAGGAGACAAGATTTGAATGAGCAGTAAAAATGGCCAAAGATGAGATGACCAAAAAAACAGTGATAGGTCTCAAACACAGCCAGAGATCAATCAGGTGCTGCTTTGATTCTACTAGTGGTTCTTAAATAAAAGTATTATATTTTCTACGTCAGTGGAGCATACATACATTGTCATTGGTCTTCTATGCTAATATGTGAAGTGAATTCTACCTTTGACCTTAGAATGTATATAGATATGATCAAGTCTTTTTAGTCAACTGTCATTTGATAAAAACAATTAAGATTTAGTTAATTGTTGAATTAAATGGACTTAAGATATTAGATAAGTGGGTAATTCAGAGAGTAATTTTTACATTTTATTTAGAAAACCTTAAGTACTCAAGTTGACCAGGAGGCACCAAGTGGTATAAATACAGCCAGATGTACCAGATATTCCTGGAGAGCCCTACATTTAAATATTATTCTCTTTCATTGTACCAGCAATTATATTAATATATGTCAAACCATTTGACCAGATTTCTAGTACAAAAATACAATCATGCTATTTTGAAATGAAAAGGGGGCTGGATTTGGAGCCAGGGTCCAGGTTGTAGCTCTGCCGCTTGTGACTTGGTCAAGTCAGATACCTCTCTGAGCCTCAGTTTCCACACTTCTAAATGAAAAATAAATCCCAGTGGGTGATGCTGCCTGTTGCGTCATCCATGTCATGGGTTATTGTGAGGATAAAACAAGGCCGTATTCTAAAGCATTTTTGCAGCAGTAAAATGGCTCTGTCTTCTACAGGATACATTCTACTTTTAGGGGTAAATTGCATGGTATTAGTTAATTACATATTCCTAACGGATTGTGAACTTTCTCATGGTTGGCATTCTTGTCATGTCAAAATAATGTTTTGCCAGGTATTATCATCACATACAATAGCATTTCTATTGGAGCAAAATAAAAAGCTCATTTTTTAAAGTTGGCGATACCTCACATCCTAATTAGTTTCAGCTGAAGATAATTTCAGAAACTTCCCAGGCGCTAGTTCCCTTGTATTAGGAGGGTTGCTGCAGAGGTGAAATAGTTGTATATTCCAGTAGCTATGTTTATTTAGTTCACACATTATATGCAGTTTATCTTTTTTTCATTTAATCTTAGTGATAGTTGTGGGTGTAGGGGTGGATTTTGTTTTTGTTTTGTTTTGTTTTTAATTTCAGTTCTGGCCAGGAATGATGGATGAACTCTCCGAGTTGAGAGAATTCTATGATCCAGATACAGTGGAGCTGATGAACTGGATTAAGTAAGAGGATTTTTTTTAACTTTTAAAATTTTAAGTGCCTTTTAAGAGTCACTATAGACCACATTTCGTTTTGGGGGTTTTTTGTTTGTTTCTGAATCTAATTACGAAGAAACATTCGTCCTTACTAGATTTTTCTTTAAAACTCCATATTTGAAAATAATGTCTTTCTATTTAAGAAATATTCTCTCCAGCTATATCTCATGAAGAAAGGAAAATACCCATTTGGAGAGGAAAACCGATTCAATAAATAAATTTCAAACCACTGACAGAAATGGCAATAAAAGTTTATAATATCTGTTGAAACTTAAAATTTGATGTCTCTGCCAATTTTATGTTTATTATTTTCATTTTAATACCATTCTGATTTTCCACTAATGGTGACACTTGAAAGTATTCTTTCTGGCCGGGCTCAATGGCTCACGCCTGTAATCCCAGCACTTTGGGAGGCTGAGGTGGGCTGATCACCCGAGGTCAGGAGTTCAAGACTAGCCTGGCCAACATGATGAAACCCCGTCTGTCTCTACTAAAAATACAAAAATTAGCCAGGCATGGTGGCAGGTGCCTCCTAGCTACTCAGGAGGCTGAGGCAGGAAAATCACTTGAACTCGGGAGGTAGAGGTTGCAGTGAGTCAAGATCGCGCTACTACACTTCATCCTGGGCGACAGAGCAAGACTCTCTCTAAAAAAAAAAAAAAAGAAAGAAAAAAGAAAAAATATTCTTTCCTTGTTTTTTAAATTATACTGTAAACTCCAGTTAAGTAGAGGCTCATGACAGCTCAGTGCGGATTTCATGTTAACTCATCATATTGCCAAAGCCTAGGACCAGAGAAAATTTTAGATACAAAACCTGGAACTTTCCGTCTTGAATATCATAATGCTTTAGTGTCCTATTGGCTCTTATTTCTGCCGGCACTTTGTTGTTTTGCCTCAGCATTCAGCATCAGAATGAAATTTGTGTATTTCAAAGCTTTATTAACAAAACCTGCCTCCCACCAGCAAAAATAAACTTTTCTACCCAGAGCACCATTCCTATGCCCTGGAACACTGTATTTCCCTACTTTTAACCAGAAAGCAGCAGTGTAATTATTCACATGTAAATAGAGGCTGTGCATCACATGTGGTGCCTTCTGAAAGCATTGGCTGGATTGTCTGCGTCCCATGGCTAATGCTTACTCACCAGTACAGGTCAGCCCTGCGTGTCTGCAGAGATGGTCAGTGCTTGACAGCTGAGGCCTCCCTAGGGCAACGCATGGATCTCATAGAGATTTGTCTAAAACATACACATGGCTTTGGTCCTAATGTCGGACTGGGTTTGACTAGATGCAGTG
This sequence comes from Homo sapiens, assembly GCF_000001405.40. Taxonomy (NCBI): domain Eukaryota; kingdom Metazoa; phylum Chordata; class Mammalia; order Primates; family Hominidae; genus Homo; species Homo sapiens. Next base: position 32,470,142 of record NC_000019.10, read on the forward strand.
AGTATAATTTTTCACATATTTCTGGTGCTGAGAGCACTAAGCGTTGCTTTGTCTTTATTTAATTTTAAATCATGCCAGACGATTACAGAGTAAATAATTCCTTCAGTATTTATTATGTACAAGGAAAGAGAGTTATTCGTGTAAAGGAAAGCTAATTACTTTTGCATTAACTATAGTCAGCTGGAAATTTATGACGTACATCTGAAGTTGAGGCTGATATTTTCTGTTTTCAGGACTATGCTGTTGAAATCAATGCTGAGGACCCCTGCTTTCTGGTAGCATGCTGAAGGTGGTGGGTCTTCCGGATCTCCTTAGATTAGCACCATAAACACCCCAGTCTTTCAGGAATTAATTATAAAGTCATTAAAAATGTATTCTAGCAGAGCCCCAGGTTATCTTCGGCAGTCTCAGACTAGATATATTTATTTGTAGTGCCTTTATTTTTATGCTTTTCCCCACAGAAAATTAAAATAACATTTCTGGCTCTGAAAAACTGGATGAGAGATGATTCCAGGTGTAAAGAAGAGAATACAAGTGTCCTATTTCCCTCGTTTGGGAGGTGATGTTCACTCCTCAGACCCTCCTTTTGCTAACAGCTCGTCTCCCTGTAGTGCTTTTGTAGTAGACATATTCCTTTGGCTTTTTTTTTTTTTTTTTTTTTTGTAATTCTCAGCAACTGAAGGATTTGCCTTGTTCCAAAAAATTTGTTCTATTGTGATCTAGTCTCAGCTTTTTCCCCTAAAATTCTTCAAATCTAAATAATATTTTTGTAAAACTAGCTGCTTGGTATGTTTGCAAAATAAGCATAAGTGGTGATGAATGTATGCCAAAATAGGGTCTATGTAGACATCAAATATGTTTGTTTAAATCAACACTCAAATCCACACTGGCCTGTAGGTGTGGATTCCAAACTCAAGTGACTGCCTTAATATTCTTTTAATCTGCCCTGATTTCTTCTGTTTTTGAAACGTAAAATATGACCTTCAAGTTTCACCTCACTGCTTTGATTAGTCACACGGTATCCATGTTATTAGCAAGTATGAGTTGTGCTGGAGAAAAGGCTGCGGCCTAAGGACTCTTTCAGACGCATGGGCTGTGTCTGAAAGAGTCCCAAGACGCCTGGCAGAGAACCAGCACTGTCCCTGAGGGCTGCCTCTGTCCTCCCCAGCCTGTCTTCCTGTCTGCCCTGTTCCCAGACAGTCAAAGCAGACACACTCAAATGTCTGTCTTCTGCCCATGCAATCATCACGGCATCTATCGGACAGGGGCACAGCCTCCATTAGGGGAGGGATGGCTGTCCTTGGGATGAATCACAACTAGAGAAATAGTGGCCTGTGGAAACCCTGGGGACACCTCAAGTGACCCTCCATTTTGGCACAGGGCACCCCTTACGTGACGTGTTGAAAAGAAGCTTATCCATCCTCTTCATCACTCACACACCTGGAAGTGTCCCGCCCCGTGTCCTTGCTGCTGGAGTAAGCCACACCCCACATGAGGCATTACGTTGTGCTCCTGGACACAGGGCTTCCGCTTGGAGATTCAGGCTTTCCAAGTATTCTCAGAGGGCTTCTCTGCTTTAAGGGTAAATTGAAAGATGTGGTTGCCTCAGTGGGAGTTGGTTCTTTTCTTTTTTATAGGCTGAAGAGATATCCTCAAGGGAAAATAAAGGGCCTTACCTGAGGGTGACACTTAACATGAGAAGGGTCATACCCAAGGGATTGGATTCCTGTGAAGACTCTTAAAGCCTTAACTAATTTATAAAGTTATTTCACATCTGAAGTTGTGCACTTATTAATATAGTTCAGCAGATGTTCATCGAGCCCCAGCTGTGTATGGGCACCGTGTGAAGTGTGTGGATGCAGGTGGCGCTCCACTGCAGCTGCCTTTCACTGGAGTAACCGCTGGGCCTCGCCTCAGCACAATTGCCCTCATTCTTTTCTCCCGAATTCTCACCCTCGACTCCATTTTAAGATCTTCAGTGGCTTAGCAAGTTCAGTGGGAAAGTTTTTTTTAGAATTCTAATTTTTAGTAATAGAAAATGTTTTATGCTTTCCTATCTTTAGCTCCTAAAAGGAGTAGAGATTGAAGCTTCAGTATGAAACCAACAGTGTTTAGGGATTAAGTTGCTCTTTTTTACAAGGATGGTGTGACATTTGACATGTTGTTAAAGTCAGGGCCCCAGGCTGCGGTAGCCCCAGCCGCCTTCCCTAAGAGCTGGGAGGCATGTCCAGCCTTCCACACCCCAGCCTTTGTGCATTCACCTGCCTGCTGCTCTCCACGCTACACCGATGCATTGCATGCCTTGTTTTCAAGCAGAATTAAATGCATATATTCATATTTACCCTTCTCTGCTGATAAGGTTTCCTGGATACAAAGATTAAAAACTTGGATTTTTTTTTTTTTTTTTGCCTTCTGGTGTCTCTTTCAGCAAAAGTCAGGCGGTAGTTTTAAAGGTTTTCTGTGCAATTAGAAAGCACGTTTACCTCAGCAAGGCTGAATGCAACCACAATCTGTGGTTTCTACCTTGTTCCTTTGTGTCCTTGAATGTTTCATTTTTCGTTCCTGAAAATTTTCTTCTGACATTTTGCAAATAAGATAGGCATATCTATATATTTGCATATTTTGAGGGATGACATTTTAGCTACTTCACTTTAGGAGATTTTCACTGGAAATAGTCTCTTTCCAGTAATGAAACCCGTGTGTGCAGTATTTTCTCAATGGGTCTGAAAAAATGGACCAACTTTCTTTCACATTTAACCAAAGCAGAAAGTTCGTGTATATTTTAAATATGATGTAGGCTAAGTTCAGACCTTAAATGCCTATAAGCCTCTTTTCTATTTAATGAATCATTTTGTAGTATTTGCATAATTCTATAAATTTTTGAAGTGTAGATAAAGCAAATGTTCACACATTATATTATAATGCTCAGTTTCCCCATTAGTTCAACAGCAATTAACTTGTTGAAGCTTAGAGCTTCAAAAATAAATGAGATTATTTGTTCAAAATGCCATCAGGTCTTCCTGGAATGACATTTAAATTATATAATGTAAATCCATTTGACCTGTGAGTCCTTGTCATTATTTAGTGACATTTCTTACAGAACAAATTGTGTGCAGGTTGGGCAGCCTGCTATGGAGCTTGGCAGAGAGCTATAAAAACAAATTATCCTTTCATTTTATACATCATTTGTTCAAACATTTGTAAAAATTGCTTTGTTTTTCTATAATAGAGAAATGTCATTCAGTGGTTAAAAGCACATTAGCTATTTTAGATACAGACCACAGACTGTATCAGGCAAGAGTGTCTGTGAAGGAAGAGCACCCAGCATTATGTCCATCACTGTGCATGTTTTCAGCTAAGGACAACGGATCCCTTCTCCCTTTGCCTGCTAAATTTACCACAAAATAGAAAGGACAGTGAATATAAGTATCTTTTTAAGTTTAGAAATGTGTGATTGTTTGTTTCTCATTTTGTTCCACTTTGCTTGTAGCTTTTCCTTTGGCATTTGCCTTACGGGTAGAGTGAAGTATTGGAAGTAGCAGTGATATTTCCCAGGTTTACCACGGAGCTGGCGTATGAGACAAAGCCACATGGCATGGAGGGAAGAAGCATCATCCCTACTGTCCTCAGAAGTCAGTCATTTTCAAATAAGTGTTATTTTTGGTTTTATTTTATTTATTTTTTGAGATGGAATCTCTGTCGCCCAGGCTGTAGTGCAGTGGCGTGATCTCGGCTCACTGCAACCTTCACCTCGTGGGTTCAAGCGATTCTCCTGCCTCAGCCTCCCAGGTAGTGGGACTACAGGCAGGCGCCACCACACCTGGCTAATTTGTGTATTTTTGGTAGAGATGGAGTTTCACCATGTTGGCCAGGCTGGTCTCGAACTCCTGACCTCAAGCAATCTACCCACCTCAGCCTCCCAAAGTGTTGAGATTACAGGCGTGAGCCACTGCACCCAGCCAGAAGTATTATTTTTAATTCATCTTATAGGCATGAGGATATATGTATTTTACTGCTTTAAAATAAAGCCAAGTCCTCAGTGAAAGAGTATGTTAACAATCCAGATGATTGTGGCACTAACACATTAAATAGATTACACTTCTTTTAAACTTTCTGACTTTTTGCTAATAAGGCCAGACATTAAGACAGTCACAACTTAATGAGCTTCATTCCATTTTTTCTTTCATTCCCCTGAGCAGCCATGTGTCACTCGCTCTGCTGGTGATGGCCCTGCTGCTGCCTTGGGGCTGCACCTGCTAGGGGCCGGGGATGGGAGCCACTCAAGAGCTCTTAGAGCCTGCTGAGGAGAGAGCATCTTCAGTGACTGCTGTTTCATTTCCAGCTTAGCTGAAGGCTTGCAGTAAGCATTAGTAAATACGTGATACACTAGGCTCACTACAGCACTGGGTTATTTTGAAGTGTTTGTCTGTAATGGGAGCTGTTAAGTAAGCTTTTTTCTTTTTTTTTGAGTTGGAGTTTTGCTCTGTTGCCCAGGCTGGAGTGCAGTGGCACGATCTTGGCTCACTGCAACTTATGCCTCCCGGGTTCAAGTGATTCTCCCTCCTCAGCCTCCTGAGTAGCTGGCATTACAGGCACCCACCACCACGCCTGGCTAAGTTTTGTATTTTTAGTAGAGACAGGTTTCACCATATTGGCCAGGCTGGTCTCAGGCTCCTGACCTCAAGTGATCTCCCCACCTGGCCGTCCAAAGTGCTGGGATTACAGACATGAGCCACCACACCTGGTCTAAGTAAGCTTCTTGAAGACAGGTTGTCATACCATGTTTGCCAGCCCAGCACGTAATAGACCCTCAGCAATATTTTTTGAATAAAGAACGTTATAACTCCCTAGAGGGCAGTTTAGGACTTTGGGCATTTAAGCCTTTGTGAACTCTGTAATTCATCCAAGGGCTATGATTATAGTCCAGGAGGCAGGCTGAAACCTTAATCATTAGCTGTGGCTGGATAACAAGGCCTGTCATCTCTGCTGTAATTATAAACTGCATGCTACTATAGCTTTGTGCATCTTCTTGGTGCTGAAGCTGCACAGAGATTCCTATTATACATTCAAAACGGTGATGGTGAGATAGTCTTGTGATTGGAATGGATGTTGGAAGCTCAGCTGCCGGGTTCGTCTTTTGTGTAGAAGGCCAGCTTGGCACTGTTCAGGCAGTGAGACTACAAACCAGGATCATTCGCCTCTGATAGCTCTCGCCTCCACCTCCTGCTCTGCCAGGCGTGGAAACCAGACTCATCATGTTCTCTCTGCATCCTAAATCTGTCTAGTTCAGAGGACCAAAGACAGCCACTTTTTGGCATGGGTGTGTCAAGTTATCGTATCGTTGATTGCTGTGGAATGGCTCATGCCAGTTGAGAGTATTCAAAGGAAAGAAGCCTGGCTTGGAAAAATGGTGGCACTTTAAAAAACTAATATTTGTTCATACTTGTTTCCTTTAGCAATTACACTCTAGGTAAGGGTAGCACAGTACACAAGGCCCAGAGTAAGTGTTTAGTAAGTGTCAGTTGAATTAAACTGAATTTCAGTAAAACCTTTCACTAAGGAATTCTGTGCACCTTCACGTTTTCATTGAAACCCTCTTATTCCTCTGACCATGTGGGACAGAATGTGAGAGAGTCCCTGTAAATTGTTGATACGGGGAACAGAGCTAACATCTATTTGTTCTTGTTCCTGGGTCTGTCAGAATGACAAGCTCTCAAGTGCAGCCAAGCTCATGTGAAACTTTTTTCCTGCTGGAATCTGCATTCTAGACTCTGGCATGGGAGAGGGGATGCATATTATGTGTCATTATGTATGCTCATTGTCATTCCAGCCACTTTTTTTCCTCACTTAAGAACGCTTATTGGAATGCAAGTGAATGAGAGTGTCATTGTTAGAAAGAAAATCTTGAATTTTTCAAAAGTAAACTATTTGTAAATGTCACAACTTGAATTGTGGGATGTCTTGCTTGTAGACATCCAAGGCCTCTGTTGGATGGCATTCACGCTGGAGTCTTAGCGCTGAGTTGGAATAAATAAAACATCCTGGTGGGATGTATGAATGTGATGAGGCTTCTCTTAGAAACCGCAGCACCAGAGCTAGTTGCGTGCCCTGCTCCAAAACCATGGAGAACAGCCTGCCATGGCTTTTTCTGCAGAGGATGTTGAATTTTAATGATTTTAAATAAACTCCTCATAACCATCTTCCTCATTTTAGTTCAGTCCAGCAGGCACAGACTCCTCTCAATGCAAGAAGGATAAACGCAGCCCGCAGTGTCCTCAGTGGGCCTCTGTGGGAAATTCTGCACTCAGGAGAATCCCCAGAAGAGAGCTCTTAGGGCCTCCTGAGAAATTAACTCCTTGACCGCTTACAAGTGACTCTCAGGTTTCCAAAAAAAAAAAAAAAAAAAAGAGGAAAGGAATTAAATCAGCTACTAAGATTCCTTTTTTCCAGGGAGGAAAAAGGAAAAATGCTTTTCCTATATTCTGGGAGTCTTTTCTTGGTCCCTAGTCCCTGCCCCTCACACCCCTGGAAGACAGAAAATCGTAGCGTGGTGGGAACTGGAAAGTGAGTTTGTGCCTTAGTATTAGGGTGCCCCGTGTTCCTTAAACTGCATATAGTTTCTCATAATCAGGACCAAAGGTATATGTAAAATAATTGCGTTTTCACATCAGAAGTATTTGTGTATCCCCCATATTAAGTAATAAGATATTGGCTATTTCAGAATCTTGTTTCCATGTTTTGTTGTTGTTGTTGTTGTTAATTCTGTTTTTATTTATGGTGGTATCTGTGATTTTTTTCCTTATTGCTTTTTTAAGCAAAAACCCTTGGAACTGACTCATGATCACCTGCAGTTTCTGGCTTGATGATTTGTTACATGTTGCTCTAGGTAGCTCTTTTGTTAAGTTCAATACGCAAAGCAGTGGCAGTCTTTTAGGTTATTTTTGTTAGACTCTGCCCCTCTGGAACAATAGCAGGAGAGGATTGTGGGTCTTGGCCTAGAAGCCTGGACTCAAGAGCTACACTGCCTGCCTTCTAAGACAATTCCTTATAAAAGTAAACCTAGCAAAACAGTAAGAAGTTTCCCCACCGTTATTCTGGTGAACAGTCAAAATCATACAAAACATTGTTGTAAAAAACATGGGGCTGGTGCAAAAGTAACTGAGGTTTTTGCCATTGAAAGTAATGGCAAAAACCGCAATTACTTTTGCACTCAATAGTTTGAGTACAAATCAAAACCGAAGCAAACTCCCGTTTTTTTTCCCTGACTCGTAACACTTGGTAACATAGCTGGATTCTTCTGAAAAAGTTTGATATTGTCTTCTTTGTTGTCTTTAAGGATCTCTTAACAGTGGGGTTAATTCAGACTCTAAAATCTTTCAGCTCTAACACTCCAAGAAAGGCTGTGTTTGCGGGAAGCATGCAGTTGCTGGCCGGAGTCAAGCTGTGCACGGGAAGGACCCTAACCAACCACCCGCACTATGAAGACAGCAGCCTGAGAGAGCGGACCAGAGCGGTGAGGCTCCCCAGTGCCTCCCCTCGCTTCTTGTGGGCCAGCTATGGGCTGCGTGTCCCTATGTGTGGTAAAGATGGGGCTGAATGCTGCACCCTCCAGCATTAGGTTAGGAGGATGAATTAGTCTGTTTTCACGCTACTGATAAAGGCATACCTGACACTGGGCAATTTACAGAAGAAAGAGAGGTTTAATTGACTTACAGTTCCACATGGCTGGGGAGGCCTCACAATCATGGCAGAAGGCAAGGAAGAGCAAGTCATGTCATACATGGGTGGCAGCAAGCAAAAAGAGAGCTTGTGCAGGGAAACTCCCCCTTATAAAACCATCAGATCTCATGAGATGTATTCACTACCACGAGAACAGCACGGGAAAGACTTGCCCCCATGATTCAGTTACCTCCCACCAGGTCCCTACCACATCATGTGGGACTTCAAGATGTGATTTGGGTGGGGACACAGCCAAACCATATCAGAGGGGAAATCAGAACGTAAGTGCACAGGGCTCGCATCTCCTGGTCCAGGACCTCTGCCTGCCCATATCCACTAAGGACGTGCCATTAGACCACAGGTCCTCCCCAGGTCGGGACCTCTGCCTGCCCATATCCACTAAGGACGTGAGGTTAGGCCACAGGTCCTCCCCAGGGAAGAACCGAGAAGACACACGCCTTGAGATGTGCAGAAGAGCGCATTTGGGAGCAAAGCTTTTGGATTAGGGAGGGGAAGGAAAAGGCGTTGAGGCATACTGGTCACGTTTCTTATGGACCTTTCTGAAGTCTGGGGTTTTTGTTTTTTAATAGATAATAATACAGTCTCATAGTTCAAAATTCAGAACATACAAAAGGAAATATGGTGAAAAGTGCCTCTCCCATTATTGCAGTTCTTAGTTCCCCTCCTAGGAGGCAGATAATGTTAGCAGTTTCTTGTGTCTCCTTCCACAGGTATTTCACGCATATACAAATATGCGGGGAGGGTGGTGCCCCTTTCTCCATTTTTACAGAAGAAGTGGCATTCTACATTCTGCTTCTTCGGCATTTAATGTGTTTTGGAAAACATTCTATATTCAGTATATTAACAGCTTCCTTCCTATTTTTAAAGCTGCTTAATATTTTACATGGATGTGGCATATTTTATTTAGCCATTTCTGCTGTTTCCCTGTCTTTTGTGATTATATGAACAATGCTGCAGATAAACTTGTCTGCACATCACTCTTTCCAGGCACGGTGTCTGTCTGTACAGCAGATTCTTGGATGGGGAAGTGCTGGGTCAGGGTTGTTGACATCTGTAGTGTAGATCGAGAGATGTTATCAAGTCCTCTCTCTACAGGTTGTATCTGTTTACATTCAAGTCAGCAGTGCAGGAAGGTGCCTGTGTTCCTTCATCCTCACCAGTCAGGTTTCAAACTCATAAATGTTTCCTAATGTCACTTTTTTCATGTTGGCGGTTGAAAAGTTGTTGAAAAAGTCTTGTTTTGAGGTGAGATTTGACTAGCCTAAAAGCAGATGATTTTTACTAATCTCCTGTCTTGTATAAGAATCATTTGAATTCAGACTCCTGCTAAAATAGGAATTTTTTGATGGGCTGAAGTGTTCCAGATAGTTCCAAATTAACTAGGAGGATGCAGGAAAGGGGCTCCCTGGCTTTCCAGGCACCAGGTTCATCAGGGGTGGCCTCTACTGCTTGGACTGGAGACTGCAGAAAAGACAGGTCGAGTGCACAGAACGTCCTGGGCATCTCCTTTCCTGTCTCAGTACTAGGGTTAGGCCCCACACACTGACATCCTCAAGGCCCTACGGCTCTTCATCAGGACCCTGGAACCCTTGGAATGCCTTCAGCCTGAGACCTTGTGCTGGACTGTAGGACAACACAGTTGTCACAGTAACAGCATCCTACCTCCCTACCATTTCACCCATCCATGTGGACACATCAAGTTAGACCCTCAAGCCCAAATCAGAAATCTAGCACTCGAAATCAGGGTGCAACAAAGGAGGCAGTGCCTCTCTTCATGAACCCCCACATTCAACACCTCACACAGCCTGTTTCCATTCCAGCCCCAGAATCTGGGACGCTCAGTTTGCATCCATCCACTGAGGGTGTGTGGCACTGGTATGAACGTGAAGGGGGCCTCCTGTGGCGTTGCCCACGGTGTGCTGCAAGTGGCTCTCACCCCTAGGATGGACGAGAGGGAGAGGAGCAGTGGGGTCTCTCAATTAGCTGAGATGCGGAGTAGCAGGTAAAGCAGCCAATGCTGCCCCAGCCTAGGAGCAGAGACCCTACAGGGATCCTTCTCCCCACCTACCAGTTTCAGAAGCTGGGGCTCTGCCTTATTGGGACGTGTGTCCCTCAGACTGTCCCATCACCCTTAATGGGCCATTTTAGTCTGGGGGTCCCCTTTTTAAAGGTAGAGACTGTGTCTTATTTACTCAGCCCTGTCATTTACCTTGGGAAAGCAGTCTTAGAATTGGTGCCTACTGATGAATATAGTCCTGACTTGAAGTAATACATTCTGAATCCAGATGTGTTCTTCCTGGCTCACTCTCTTCCCAAGGCCGAGCACTCACAGCGTTCTGGGAACTTCCACGCACACACTCCAGGCCTGCAAATGAGCGAGTGCAGCGTGGCCTGGGCTGGAGAGAGCACCTTGGGTGTTAGGTCTTAGACTCAGCCCTGTGGAAGGTTACATCACATAGTTAACTCCCTGGCAGTCAAGTAGCATTTGCCACATTGCATTTTTATGTCTTTTTGAAGGTTTATCAGATATATGCCAAGAGGGCACCAGAGGAAGTGCATGCCCTCCTAAGGTCCTTCGGCACTGACTACGTAATCCTGGAAGACAGCATCTGCTACGAGCGGAGGCACCGCCGGGGCTGCCGACTCCGGGACCTGCTGGACATTGCCAACGGCCACGTGAGCATGCTGCCTCTCCCTGTGTGGGGGTCTCCTGGAGGGGCGGGACTCTGATTTGAATCCTAAGAATGTGAATCTTTTTATCCTTAATGTCTAGTTGAATTACGCTACGAATCAAGTATTTGCTTTTTCTCTTGCTTCCTACAGAAGCCCTCTCTTGGCACTTTAGTGACTGCCACCGGGGCTGGGCAAGGGAGAGGTGAGAGGGGAGCCCTGGGTCCCCAGTGTCACACCAAACAGAGCAGCTCTGCCTTCAGCTCATTTGTATGATGGGGCTCTGCATAAAATGTATCTGTGAAGGATTTTGCTGCTATAAACAAAACCTCAGCCTTTAAACCCACTGCTCCAACGCTTCGTATTGGCTAGCTGCTGCATGGCAGGGATGGTGGGGCCCTCCTGCCCTCCGGTCTAGGTGGTGGATTCCCCCTACCCCTCCTGCCCTCTCCTACTGAGTGTCCTGTGTCCACTGGTGTGTTTCCACAGGCCGGCTTTCAGAGGCTAAGTTGCACTCCAGAGCAGAAAAGCAGCAAGCCGCTTCTCCCTTCTCCCTTCTGAGGAAAGTGTTCTTGGAGCTATGCCAGGTCTCAGTAGAGCAAACAGATTTTCACCCTTTAGAGGTGTGATGTGTGCTGTAATTAATGGTATGAAAGCCAATAGATATTTGTAAACAAGTTGGACAAAGTGACAAACCTAGCCTAAATTTGAAAAAAAAAAATCTTGACTGTACAGAATTTGAGATTCAGATTTTTGCCCGAGGAGAATCATAGTTCATAACTGTCTTGAGTTCAGAGGTGGTACAGACCAGAGACATCCATTTAAATTTTGATTTGAGCGTGACTTTTTCAGTTATTTATTTATTTATTTATTTATTTTTAGAGACAGGGTCTCACTCTGTCACTCAGACTGGAATGCAGTGGCGTGATCTTGGCTTACTGCAGCCTCAACCTTCCAGGCTCAAGTGATCCTCCCACTTCAGCCTCCCAAGTAGCTGGGACCACAGGCATACATCACCATACCCAGCTAATTTTGTTTATTTTTTGTAAAGATGGAGTCTGGCTATGTTGCCCAGATGAGTCTCAGACTCCTGATCCAAGCGATCCTCCTGCCTCAGCCTCCCAAAGTGCTGGGATTTCAGGCATGAGCCACCACGCCTGGCCTAAATGTGACTTTTTCTGATGAGTTAGAGAGCTTTCTCTGATCACTGTAGTTCTCTGTATTTCATTTCTATGAGAGAGACAGTATAGTATGTTCCTGAGAGCAAGCAGACCTGAGTTCTAGTTCTGGCTTTCCCGTTAATGGGATCATCGTGTGACGCTGCACTCTCCTTCTCAGCCTTGGTCTGCACTTCTGAAGGGGGAAAAGGATGGCCCTGATGATCTCCAGGTGCCCATGGACATTGAAATAATATAATTTAATTTCACTCACATACCATTCTTAAACCCAATACCCATTCCTGCTCCTACTGTCTTTTGTAAATAGAATTTTCCCCCCAAATTGTATTTGGGTTTGTTTTGGTTTTAGATGATGGATGGCCCAGGAGAGAATGATCCTGATTTGAAACCTGCAGACCACCCTCGCTTCTGTGAAGAGATCAAAAGAAACCTGCCTCCCTACGTGGCCTACTTCACCAGAGTGTTCCAGAACAAAACCTTCCACGTTTACAAGCTGTCCAGAAACAAGTAGCGCAGATTTCTGCCCAGTGTCTATTTTTGATACGGAGAAACTGCATCATGATGAAACTCAATAGATGACGTTTCCTATGTAAGTAGGTAGCCCAAACCTTCAAGCTGTGATATGAGTAAGTTCTACAGATGTTTACACAAGTGTTGCCATCTTTGAAAGCATCTTCTACAAGCAGAAGTCTTTTTCGTTGTGTGTCTATCTTTCTCATTAATGTTCTTTAGCCTAAATGTTAACAACTTTCTAAGAGTGACCTAGAATTATGTTGTTGGAGAGAATGATGTGTGTTCCATGGATACCTGGATAGGCACATAACATGTTGGAAGATGAGCACCTGCTCAGGATTTGAAATACGTTTAATTTTCAGGTGACTTAAGACAGCTATGATTGAATCAACTAGAGATGATGATCGACTTATTTAATATGATTTCACTGGTGAAGACCAATTGGTAGCTTTTTAAAAAGCACTTTAGTGTCCTGTTTTACCTTAAAATGTTATAATATTTTCCAGTTGTCATGCTGTCAACATTAACAAAAAAAATCATGTTAAGGCTTTGTATCAAACATTTTGTTACACTCTGTCTGAAATGTAATGTGGAGTACTTCAGCAGTATGTGTCATGTATTGTGTGTGTCTGTGTGTGTGCATGTGCACACATGTGTTTTAATGCTGGGCACAGAAAAGTGTTACAAGTTCCATATCGTAAGTCCTTAAAGGGGCAGAAATATATGTAGCCAAGTAGAATTTATTACATTTTAGTGTTATTATTTTAAAACTTACTGATACTCTTTAACCTCTCCTGCAGTAATAGTTTTGCTTTATTTCTTACTCATTTCAATTTATTGGGTTTGCAAAATTTTGTAAACTTTTTGTGTTTTTAGCCTTTGTATTTTTTACAGCCTAGAATCTTGCAAAGTCTGAATATTTTTTAAATGTTCTATCTTAACTAGTTCACTAATACAGTATTTTTAGCAGACAGCATTTTCAGACAGCATTTTCATACCAAGTTTGACTTGTGGTCTCCAATCTTACTGGGAAGGCCCTGGTAGTGTAATTCTTTTCCTTATTAAAAGGTAACCAAGTGCCTCTAAGTCATGCTTATTTGTAAACAACAAAGAAGAGTATATGTACCTGCTCAAAATTTTTTTGATAATCGCTTATATAATTAATTTCTAATGATGAGGACATGTAAAAGTTGCCAGTAAGAACATAGTATGCATTTAATTAAATCAAGATGGCTAATGGAATTAACTTTCTCCCCTGTTCTTGCCAGGTGGAAATGATTTAAGCATTTCTCCTTGCAGTTGTATTGAAGTAAATTACCATAGGCATCAAGATGGCTGCATCACATTTTCAAATGATTTTATATTCAGTTGCTACTTATAAAGCAGCATTCAAAAAGTCTTTTACACTGTCATGTTGGACACAAGCAGACTCAGCTTTTATCAAAACTTGTTTAAATAAAAAATTGACAGTAGCTGGGTTATTAAATTATGCAACTGAAACTCCTGAATTATATCTTTTCTGTATCCCTTAATAAGATTGGAGACCACTGCCGTTTAGGATAATACAATAATAAAACGTTTTAATCAGTACTAAAACTTTAATTAAGCCAATAATGATGCATGCCTGTTGTAGCTGACAGCATGGGTCAGTACATCCTTCAGCGAGTGCCTTACTCTAATTGAAACCAAGCACACGTAAGGTACAATATGTTAGACTCTGTGATTTTGTTTTCAAAATCCTCTGTTATGGCTATATTTAAATTTATTTTAAATATTCCTGTATGTATTCATCTAAGCATTTGGGCATTTGGAGTCTTAATATACAAGAAACACGTACTTAAATTTTTATGCTTATCACCGCAATGATGGCAAACAGTGATTTTTTTTTTCATAGTTTAGGTGTCATTGTTGCCAGCACCTTTAGTGCTCAGTCTTCAGTGAAAAATATAAAGTGCCAAAAAAATCTTGCAAGACAGAATCCATACTTAACACTCTTTCCAAGACACTGTGACCATGTACAGTAGCTATTTCCTGATGACCAAATCTCTCAACGAATCATGTTATTAATAAATATTTTTAGCACTCATCAGTATTCTCCAATGTGACCTTCTCATTGGAGTACACAGAAGGAAAGCAAAGAAGAGCATCTGACTTCTAGCTCTGGCTTACAGCCTCTCTACCAGGCCGAAGCAAGAGACCCGCGGCAGCAGCTCCCCGCCACTCAGACCTGGGTGGTGATAACCTCAAAGAATGGCTCTGTTTTCTATTGACAGAAAACCCACTTGATTTTGCTTCTGAGTTAGCAGTCAGAAGACCCTCTAAGTACAATAGAAGTGCTCTTAACGGACTCTGCCTGTGTGACTCCCAGGCCCCGGAGTCTCCATCTCTCTCGTAAGCCACCTGCCACAGCACAGCTGGAGGCTGTTCTCTGGTGTTCTCAGCGCTCCGGCTCCCTCCCTGGAGTTGTGCACCCGTCCCAAACTCCTCCATGCAAGTTCTGCTTCCTCTTATAAGTACACAACTCAGTTAAGTATTCACATACACACAGAAAATACGGGTGTGAAAAGAAAGAATTTTCTGTAAAAATTAAGTTGAATACTTTGGTAAAAAGTGATAAAGGCTGAGTTGCCAATAAAAGTTGCTTTTAAATTAGGTGTGGCTGGGAATATTATAAGATATTGGGGAAAATATACAAATCAAGAAAATTTCTGAGCTTAGATTGCTTCATAGATTTATTTAAGTACTCATCCCACCTTTAAAACCTCTAAACTGAGAAGAAGGGACCCAAATCATGTTATTGGTGTGATTTATGTGAGAAGTAGAACTGTAGTCATTGGACCCTTAGGCAAAGGAAAATCCGTGTCTTTATATCAGAAGATCGGCAAACGAATGTATATTACACAGTTTAGGTTATGATTCCCTACTTTAACCTACTTACTTTATTAAATGACCAACTACTGATACTGATCACAATAGTTATTAGAGATTCTAATTTAGTTGGAAGGTTCTAATCACTTTCATTACAGGCATTTGAAAAATAGGGATTCATTTCGAATATATTAGCCAGGAGCATAGTTAGATGTTACCCAGGCCATTTATCATCCTGTTAATGATGATTTTCCCGACCCTTGTGAGATCAGCGTGACAGGAGTGTGTGTGTGTGTGTGTGTTTCTGTGGGTGTGTGGTTTTGGTTGGGTGCTGCCAGGTGGCAAAGGCATATGTAAATACATCTGATCTGCATCTTTATTTCACAGTTAACTAAAAGTAAAAATGTCTATTCTGATTCCATATTGATTTTGTCTAAGATGTAAAAATTTGAGTTCATCTTTGGCCAAAACCTACCTGAATTAACATACAAAATATTTGATTTTTAAAATTTAATTCAAATCTCAAAATCAATTAAGTATTCTCAGATCCTATATCTTGGTTAATATGCTCCCAGATACTTTAAACATGGCAACCTTTTGGCCTAAGAGAATGTTTGTTCATGGAAAAAAGCTTTTGAGATGAGAGGGTGTCTTACTTTCTTGTGGCAATTGATTTTCTGTTTTAACACCCTTTGGGTAAAATCTTGCAAAGAGCTTTTATAATTTGTTTTACTGAATTGTATGGAGATTGTATACCAAGTAAAGCTCTTTTAAATTACATAAGATGAGTGTCTTGCATTTCTTTGAAGGTCAAAGCCCAAGGAACCTGCTTGTTGAAGTGCATTAAATATTTGCTAAATAGAGTAAATCACTAAAGGTTAGTGTGTCTACTAAAAATACAAAAAATTAGCCGGGCATGGTGGCGAGCGCTTGTAGTCCCAGCTACTCAGGAGGCTAAGGCAGAAGAATGGTGTGAACCCGGGAAGTGGAGCTTGCAGTGAGCCGAGATCCCACCACTGCACTCCAGCCTGGCCGACAGAGCGAGACTCTGTCTTTTAAAAAAAAAAAGAGTTTTTCACCTAGATTAAGTCAGACCCACCCAATATAATCTCCATTTTTGTTAGCTCAATTGTAATTGTTAGCTTAATTGTGATTGTTATTGTTGAGGGTGTTTATTTTTTAGAATGGAATTTGGTTTGACAGCTGCTTATTTGTTTCACTTGAATTCCAAGGTTATAGTTTAGATTTATAAGGAGAAGACTACTATCAGCAGAATTTATCCTTGAAGAGATAAATGCTAGTTTGACCTCAAGAACAGTTTCTACTTGATTAAATTCTGAGTCTTTAGTAATTCAGGAAGATGGGTGGTAGTGCACCTGCTTGGTTGGAGTGTATAGATAACAAATGTTTGGACTGTTATGTTCAAAGCAGAAGTTGAAATTTCAAGCAAAAATGGTCAGACAAAATGGAAAAAAACTGGCAGTGAGGTCTCAAATATTCTGTACTGACAGGTGGTCCCTAGCAAAATAAGAATAATAATATAGATAAGCAGGAGATGTGGGATATGAATGAACTGACATGGAATGGGCTGACATGGACACCAGGCACTTGACAGATGAAATGTTTTTTTTCTCTGCCCCTCCTTTCAGATAAGGTGTCTGAAACTCATTTCATAAACCTTTTCGTTATTATTTAGAAGTTTGCTTTATAAGATTGTTTTTCAAAATGCAGATAATAGAACTATAGTATAATGTGAAGTCAATTTCATGGGTTACAACCAACATTTAAAAGGAAAGGAGGGAGGGAGGGAAGGAGGAGGACAGCCTAATGTTAAATATAAGTGCTGTTTTGTGGATTATCTATTCCAGTTATAGGTATTCATTTTTGGGGGGTACAATATAAAATATATTTCTTCCGTGAGTTATAGTCAGGCTGAAAGCCAGGCCTTTATTAGCTGAGGGATTCTGGGAGGATGGCAGCTTGAACTTACCTGTGTCCTTGCCCTCTGTGCTAGCAGAACTGTCTGAATGAACACTGGTGATATTAAAGAACTAGCATAATGATAGAGAATGGCTGGGCTCCCGGCTAAACCCCACCCTTAAGCCTGGAACCCTGGCCCTAAGTGAAAACAGCTGACCCTGTTTTTCTGCCCAAATGTTGCCTTTTGGGGCTGCCATGCCCCTATCCTGTGCCCATAAAAAGACTTCAGGTGGCAGAGCAACACAAGCAGCTGAACAGCAGGGATACAAGCTGCCAACTGGCGGGAATACAAGCAACTGAGCAGCAGAGACTACAGATAGACCCAGCTAACTTCAGATGTGGCTTCAGGGAAAGATCACCTTCCCACACCATCCCCTTTCCAACTCCCATCCTACTGAGAGCCACTTATATCACCCAATAAAATCCTCCACATATACTACCCTTCAGTCCATTCATGTGACCTGATTGTTCCTGGATGCCAGACAAGGACCCAGGTGCCAGGAGGGCAGGGGCTTGGATGCTGCTGTGGGGCCCAGCAGAGCCTGCCTCCTGCCAAAGAGGAGCAACTGTCCTGTTCCAGCCTTCCTTCTCTCCGGTTCCTGCACTCACTTGCTCGCATACTCCCTCTCATGAGGAGCAGCCAGCAGCAGGCTGAGTGAAACAGCCACTCCAGTTTTCACCCATGAAGGGGTTCCCTTGAAGGGAACAGTCCCATCTCAATAATTCTTATATGTGATATGGACATTTTCTTAAGTTTCTTAAGTTTCTTTAAGGTTCTTAAGTTTCTTTTTAAAGTCCTTATATTTTAAAATATATACTGAAATATTTACAGACAAGTATATGTCTAGGATTTGTGTCAAAATTTTGTGGGGCATCTAGATGAAACAAATTAACAATGAAAAGATATGGCTTAAGCTAGTTTGGAATTTTTATATAGTGAAAAGAGAGAAATTAGACCCAACGAAACAGACTGAAACTAGGAACAAAACTAGGAAGATAAAATTTAGGAGATAGCTGAAATCAATCAATGCAACAAATAGTAGAAAGGATAAATAAATTCAAAATTCAGTTATTTTAAAATAAAGCAGTTAAACACTGGGCCAACCTGATTAAGACAAAATAGCAAAAATATACAACAGTAGAAATGTAAAATATATAATTCCAGAATCAGGGATAATAATAATTATATGAGGATAACATATGCAATTCTGTAACAAAAATAACCTATAGGAAATGGGTGACTTTCTAACAAAATAGAAAATGTCAATGTGGCCTGAAAAAGAAGTTGAAAACTTGAATAGACAAAACCCATGAAAGTTCTGGCATGGGGTTCAAAGGTTGCAAAGGACATTTGGACAAGAAGGGTGCACAGCCAGATTCTTTCTCACTCTTAAAGGGGATGACTCCCAAGTTCACCTAGTCTCAGCCATAGAATAGGGAGAACCCCAAGTTTTAGGAAAGCTAGTCCAACTTTAACAACAAAATAACACAGAGAGTGTATCAGTTTTCTATTACTACATAACAAATCACCACAAACTTTGCAGCTTGAAACAACACACATCTATTATCTCAAGGTTTTGTGGATCAGGAGCTGAAGCACAGGTTAGCTGGGTCCTCTCCTGTCTCACAAGGCTGCAATCAAGGTATCAGCCGGGCTGCTTTCTCATCTGGAGTTACAGGACCTCTTCCAAGTTCACGCAAGCTTGTGGCAAAATTAAATTCCTTATGCCTGTGAGACTGAAGCCATTAGCTCCTAGAGGCCACCCCTCTCTAGGCGATTCACAGCATGGCCGTTAGCCTCTTCAAGGCCATCAGAAAGCATTTCTCCAGTTACTGTTTTAAGAGTTTTTCGGCCGGGCGTGATGGCTCACGCCTGTAATCCAGCACTTTGGGAGGCCGAGGCGGATGGATCACAAGGTCAGGAGATTGAGACCATCCTGGCTAACATGGCGAAACCCCATCTCTACTAAAAATACAAAAAATTAGCCAGGCATGGTGGTGGGTGCCTGTAGTCCCAGCTACTCAGGAAGCTGAGGCAGGACAATGGCATGAACCCGGGAGGTGGAGCTTGTAGTGAGCTGAGATCGCACCACTGCACTCCAACCTGGGCAACAGAGCGAGACTCCGTCTCAAAAAAAAAAAAAACAAAAAGTTTTTCACCTGGATTAAGTCAGACCCACCCAATATAATCTCCATTTTTGTTAGCTCAAAATCAGCTTGTTTGTGACCTGAATTACATCTGCAGAATCCTTTCGCTTTTGCTATATAGCCTCGCCTAATTACCTAAATAGGAGTGGCATTTATATTCATAGGCTCATCCACACTTAAGGGGAAGGGCTCTGCAGGGCATGTTGTTCAGGCAGTGGGAATCTTGGGGGCCATCTTAGAATTCTTCCTACCACAGACAGTTTAAAAGAACAGGGTCTGGGCCAGGCATGGTATCTCACGCCTGTAATCCCAGTGCTTTGGGAGGCCAAGGCAGAATGATCACTTGAGGTCAGGAGTTCAAGATTAGCCTGGGCAACATAACAAGACCCCATCTCTACAAAATATATTTTTTTCAAATTAGCCATGAGTGATGGCACACACCTGTAGTCCCAGTTACTCAGGAGGCTGAGGTGGGAGGATCCCTTGAGCCTAGGCGTTTGAGGCAGCAGTGAGCTATGATTGCATCACTGCACTCCAGCCTGGGCAACAGAGCAAGACCTTGTCTCTTAAAAAAAATGTAAAAATAAAAGAATAGGGCCTGGCGATAACTGAGTGGCAATGGTTAACATAGGGCTTTTGTAAACTTTGACAGAAAGGAGAAACACAAGGTGAATCCCAGGGTTACCCAGGCTTTCTCCCTTAGAGGATTTTCCAAACTGTGGCACAGGAAAATGGAGCCCAAGCAGAGTATGTCAGGCTTTCTGGAGGAAGCAGATTGGAGTTGATAGCTGCTGAGGTGGCTGGGGTTTGGCAGGGGTTGGAGGGGCAGAGCACCAGAGAGGAGGGAGTTGGAATAAAGAAAACCTAAGAATTTCCCATTGGGTCCTTGGTCAGTTCCTAGCCTGCAGAGGCTTAGCAGAGAACATCTGGTCAGTGGCAGAGCTGAACAGAAATTTCAGAGGTTACACAATCCCGAGGAGACACTGGAATTTGGGTCCAGCTGGGGCTGAGAGACCACGGTCAATCTCCCAGGCATTCAGCTGAGACTCTGGAGAGACTATACCTTATCCTGGGAGTAGAGGCTGTTATCCCAATTGCCTGCCAGAAACAAATGTAAATCTGCTATGAAGGATGATAGCCTTATTCATGGCTTCAAATTGTCTTTACACTTTTTATATACACAATGTAGCACTCAATAAAATAATCAGGAATAATTTTTTAAAACTGAGACCAAGTGTGGTGGCTCACACCTGTCATCCCAGCACTTTGGGAGGTCGAGAAGGGAGGATCACTTGAGCCCAGGAATTTGACAGCAGCCTGGACAACAAGGCGAAACTCTGTGTCTACAAAAAATACAAAAACTGGCCGGGCGCGGTGGCTCACGCCTGTAATCCCAGCACTTTGGGAGGCCAAGGCGGGCGGATCACGAGGTCAGGAGATCGAGACCATCCCGGCTAAAACAGTGAAACCCCGTCTCTACTAAAAATACAAAAAATTAGCCGGGCGTAGTGGCGGGCGCCTGTAGTCCCAGCTACTTGGGAGGCTGAGGCAGGAGAATGGCGTGAACCCGGGAGGCGGAGCTTGCAGTGAGCCGAGATCCCGCCACTGCACTCCAGCCTGGGCGACAGAGCGAGACTCCGTCTCAAAAAAAAAAAAAATACAAAAACTTACGTGTGGTGGCATGCGCCTGTAATCCCAGCTACTCAGGAGGCTGAGGTGTGAGAATCACCTGAGCCTGGGATATCAAGGCTGCAGTGAGCCATGATCATGTCACTATACTCCAGCCTGGTGACAAGAGTGAGAGCCTGTCTCAAAAAAACAAAAACAAAAAACATGACTGAAACAGAATTGAAGTAGAAACAGTGCCACAGGCAAATCAAATATTGCAGCCTGAAGCATAGACTTTAAAATAACTATGTTTATCATATTTAAGACTTTAAATGACAAGAAGGAGAATTTAGGTGAATAACTGAAAACTTTATAAAAGCAAAATGGAAATGCTAGAACTGAAAAATGCAATGAATTAAGTGTTCACTGTTGGGTTAGACACAGCTGAAGAGAGTTGATCAACTGGACAATAGGTTAGAAGAAAATATCCAGACTAAAATATTGTGGGCTGGGGAGAAGTTGAAAAACAAAGGAAAGGCTGTGTGTGGTGACTCACACCTATAATCCCAGCACTTTGAGAGGCCAAGGCAGGATCGGTTGGGCCTCAGGAGTTTGAGACCAGCCTGGGCAACATAGTGAGACCCGTTTTTTTTGTTTTGTTTTGTGTCGTGTTATGTTGTTTTGAGATGGAGTCTCGCTCTGTTGCCAGGCTGGAGTGCAGTGGCAAGATCTTGGCTCACTGCAACCTCCGCCTCCTGGGTTCAAGTGATTCTCCTGCCTCAGCCTCCCGAGTAGCTGAGACTACAGCTGCCCACCATGCCCAGCTAATTTTTGCATTTTTAGTAGAGACAGGGTTTCACCATATTGGCCAGGATGGTCTCGATCTCTTGACTTCATGATCTGCCCGCCTTGGCCTCCCAAAGTGCTGGGATTACAGGCGTGAGCCACCGCACCCAGCCCTGTTTTTATTTAAAAAGAAAAAGGAGAGCATGGAGTATATTTTGGTATATTTTATGCCATTCTATAAGTGGTACTGGAGTCCCACAAGGAGAGGAAATAGAATGGGCCTGTATGACTTTGGGCATGCTACTCATATTCTTAGCTTCATGTCTTCTTTTGTAAATGGAGGTGTAATCATAATATACCTATTGGTTTGTGGGGTGGATTAAATGAGATAACATTTCAAGCACTAGGCCCAATATCTAGCACATGGTAAGTACATTAGATGAAAGCTGCAGGATTATTATCACAGTCGTCTTCAAAATTAGAATGTGAAAGAGAAAAGCATGAAGAGCAAAGTTACAGGTGAGTCTGACAGATACTAAAGAGCCCTTAGTAATTTTATGTTAACTATTCTTGCTGTAGAAAATATCTTTAAAAGCAAAAAGAAAAAAAAAAAGAAAACTTCAAGGACTGAGGAGGAGATTAAGAGAACAGTTTTATAGATAAATTAGTTTCTTAGTAATTCCTGAGGTGTGTATTTGCAACACAAGGAAATGGATTTGTGTTTGTGTCTCTGTGCGGGTGAGGAAGAGAGACAGAAAAATAGAGCCATGGACAAAGACCAAGAGAGACTGATTGATTGGATGTTCTTAGAGGAGACATTATCATTGTTGAAGATAAATGCCAAAGCCCTGCCAAGGTGCACATATTCATAAAGAAGTAGAAGGGGCTGATTGTGCGTGAATCTGCTTAAGAAAGGGAAAGGAGTGAAGGAACATGATTTCAGGACTAGCCCGGTAATTAGAACTGCAGTGAGCTAATTAAGGCTCATAAATTTAATGAAACTATTAGCATTTTCTCTTGCAAGAAAAGGTATATGTTTTCTCTCAGGAAATGACACCTGTGAACAATTATCTCTCATTTCTATTAAGATTATTTACATAAGTTTTGCTCATTTGGCACTCACTGCTGTTAATTATTATTTTTTATTTTTTACAACACCTGATATCACACTAGATTCACTCTGTAGGAAGGTGCTTTGGGGGTTACTGATAATTAATAGTTTAGCACAAATAGACAAGACCATTGTTAGGGGACCTGCTGTACTGTTACTGTGCTGTCTTTGTGGGCAGCCTTTTTGTTTAATAGAAAATGTTTCAGAATCTTTGAATATCTGTAAGAGCCTGGTAGATTATGAAAATTATGAACACAACCTTTCCTAGGCCATCATGTAACTCAATGGTTTCTTCAGTGAGAACTTCCTGAGTACCTACTGTATGCCAGAGGAAGAGGTGAGAAAAGGGCGTGAGGATAGGTTTATGATATAAACATGAATTCAAAATATCCTATTATTGCACTGAATTGAAATGGATATGATGACCTCTAAGGGAAAGCCAAGGGTGTATCATTTAGGAAATTTCAAATTGCAAGTGTAAACCAAAAGTATCTGAGATAAGTCTTCATTTAGAAAGTTTATTTTGCCAATGTTAAGGACACACCATGACACACAGCCTCAGAAGGTCCTGATGACATGTACCCAAGGTGGTCGGGGTGCAGCTTAGCTTTATACACTTTATGGAGACACGAGACATCAGTCAGTACATGTAAGATGTACACTGGTTGAGTCCAGAAAGGTGGGACAACTCAAAGTGGGGGGCTCCCAGGTCATAGGTAGATTTAGAGATTTTTCTGATTGACAGAAAGAGTTACTGTCAATAGAAAGGAGTGTCTGAGTTACAGTAAGGGACTGTGGAGTCCAAGGTTTTATCATGCAGATGAAGCCTCTAGGTAGCAGGCTTCAGAGAAAGTAGATTGTAAATGTTTCTTATCAGACTTAAAGAGTCTGTTCTATCCATAATTCCCAAAGTACGGAGGGTGTAATGAAGCATGTCTAGTTCCCCCTTCCCATCATGGCCTGAACTAGCTTTTCAGGTTAACTTCAGAATGCCTTTGGCCGAAAGAGGGGTCCATTCAGGTGGTTGGGGGGCCTTAGAATTTTATGTTTGATTTACACAAGTTTCGGAAAACCTAACCCAAGTTGTCTTACATAAAGGGAATGTTTTAGCACATTTAACTTTTTTAGGCCTTTAGGTAAGGCTTAATCTGATATCCTAGTAATTAGATTTATTCAATTAATATTTGTTGAGACCTAAAAGGCCTTGGGAATACATTAGTGTCTAAGACATTCCGTATTCTCATTGAGCTTACATTTTAGTAGAGGATACAGACAACAGATAAAAAAATAACAGAAAACATCCAAATGTTTTAAGAGAAATGAAAGTGCTATGATAGAGTATGAGTGGGTGGCTCCTTGGGTTTGGGTGCTCAGAAAGCCTTCTTGGAGGAGATGTTTAGGCTAAAATTTCAATGACTACACCCAGAAGAATCACGCTATACTAAGATTGGAGGGAAGAAGGCTCCAGGCCGCTGAGCCAGTATCACAAAGTCCTGGGCAGAAAGGAGCTTGGTGCGCCTGTCAGATGCAGCACACAGGAGAGGAGAGAGTAGGAGAAGGATGCAGAAGGCAGACCACACATGCCACCATGAAGAAGTTGAATTTGTTCCCAGATGTGATTCAAAAATGGAGGATTTTGAGCAGGGTAGTGACATTATCTCATTTGTGTTTCAAACAGCATGTCTGTGAATACTGTATTTTTCTATTGCTGCCATATCAAGTGACCAAAAACATGCAGCTTAAAACATCACAAACGTGGTCTCCAGTTTTGTAATCAGAAGTCCAGGTAGAGCAGGAAGTGACTGTGTCCTCTGCACAGAATCCAGGAAGATGAAACCTAGGCTTCCTTCTGGAAGCTCCAGGGATGAGTCTGTTTCCAGGCTCATTCAGTTGAAGAACCAGGGTTCTCATTTCTTGGCTGGCTCTCAGCTAGGGACCACCCTTAGCTCCTCAAGAGGTTCTTGCTCCATAGCCCTCTACATCTCAAGACCACCAGCAGGGTGTCAAGCTTCACACTGCCACATTCCTTCTGTCTCTTCTCTGCCGCATCTTCTTGACTTCAGCTGGGAAAGAGTCTCCACTTTTAAGGACTGGTGTGTGTTAGATTGGAACCACCAGATAATAGAAGATAATCTCCCTCATCTCAAGGTTCATAATTGTCATCACATTTGCAAAGGCCCTTTGGCCAAGGAGCATGACATATTCACAGGTCCTAGAGATTAGGAAGTGGACATTTCCTAGAAATTAGGAAGTGGACATTTCAGAGCAGGGTGGCATTAATCAGCCAACCACAGATGCTGGGTGGAAATCAGATGTGTGGGTGAGGTATGCGATCAGAAGCAGGGAGACCAGAGATCAGGAAATTTCGGTAGTCCAAGTGCAACGTTATGGTGTTTGGGAACAGAATAGTAGGTAGGGGTAGAGAAAGGAGGTAGGGCTGACAGGACTTGCTGGTATTGTAACAACGTAAGTGGAACCGGAGATCATTATGTTAAGTGAACTAAGCCAGGCACAGAAAGACAGACATCACATGTTCTCACTTACTTGTGAGAGCTAAAAATTAAAATAAGTGAACTCATGGAGATAGTAGAAGGATGGTTACCCAAGGCTGGGAAGAGTAGTTGGGGAGTGGAGGGGAAGTGGATGGTTAATGAGTACCAAAATCATGAGTAACACCTAGTGTTTGCTAGCACAACAGTGCAACTGTAGTCAAAAATAATTGAATTGTACATTTTAATTGTGCATTTAATTGTACATACTAAAAGTATAATTGGAATGTTTGTAAGACAAAGGTGTATTATTCTGTTCTCACGCTGCTAATAAAGACATACCTGAGACTGGGAAATTTATAAAGAAAAAGGTTCAGTGGACTCATAGTTCCACGTGGCTGGGGAGGCTTCACAATCACAGCGGAACATTAAAGAAGAGCAAAGGCATGTTTTCCATGGCGGCAGAGAAGAGAGCTCGTGCAGGGGAATTCCCATTTATGAAACCATCAGATCTCGTGAGACTTACTACCACAAGAACGGTATGGGAGAAACCACCCCCAGGATTCAATTATCTCCACCTGGCCCCACCCTTGACACATGGGGATTATTACAGTTCAAGGTGAGATTTGGGTGGGGACACAGCTATACCATATCAAAAGGATAAATTCTTGAGGTGCCAGATAACGCCATTTACTCTGATATAATTATGCATTGCATGGCGGAATCAAAAGATCTCATGTAACCCATGAATATATATACCTACTACATACCCACAAAAATTAAAAATAAATTTAAAAAAAAGACTTGCTGGCAGATTAGACATTAGGAATAAGAGAAAGACTATGAGGAACAACAAATTTTTTTCTTGGCTTGCATAACTTGGTGTATAATGGTGCCTTTTCTTGATTTCTCTTTTTTTTAATGAACCTAACATTATGAACATAAAAGGATGCCTTTTCTTGAGATGGAGAAGAGTATGTGGTATTGGTGTTCAACAAATACTCTGGTTCTCCCCTCTTCTCGGCCCCTTTTCGCCTACGTGGGGCCTTATGACTTGTTCTTGACAATGAGATATGTCATTTCTGGGTCACAACATTCAACTTCCCTTGCAAAATCCTCCAGAACTCTCTCCCCAGTGGTGGCTGCTGCTGTGTCCATCTGGGTCCTGGAATAAGGATGGTGAGGAGCAGAGATTTCTCGCCAACTTGCATTCAAGTTGTACTGTAAGAAATAAACCTGTGTTGTTTTAAGTCACTGAGATTTGGGGGTTGTTTGTTATTGCCCCACAGCTTCACCTATTCTGACCTGACATACTGGGGGAGGAGCAGGAAAAAAGAATTGTGAATTGGCCATGTGAAGTTTAAGGTGCTTTTTCAGTGGTGTTCCAGGTCTCAGGCCTCTCTGCCCACTGCACTGCTGTGCCGTGAGGAGTGTAAACATATTCCACCCCATTCTTGCAGACCCGCTCCTGGTTCTAGAATAGCCGCCCACTGCTCTCAAGGTCTGTATGTTTCCTGGTCCAAGTTCAGAGCGGGGAAAGTGTACCTCCAAGATAGCTCAAAGGGCCAGTACTGGAGCCTTTTTGACCTGGCTTGGTTCATGTGCCCATCGTAGAGCCAACCACTGTGACCAGGGGCATGGGTTCAGTAGATGACTTGGACCAGTCAGTTTCTATCTCTGGAGTTGGAATGTGGAAACAATCACACGTAAATCACCTGGCTAGGAAAGCCAGAGTACTACTGGGAAGGGAGATGCTGGGAATACATGTCCAGTACAAGGAAAAAGACATCTTCAGGTTCCTGCGGCAAATCTGGCACTGCCCTTGGCACTTTGTGTGGTCTTACCTGTAGGGTCCAGCCCTACGGGGCTTAGCGGGTGTTCTCCCCGTGTGCGGAGACGAGAGATTGTAGAAAAGTAAAGACACAAGACAAAGAGTTAAAGAGAAAACAGCTGGGTCCAGGGGACCACTACCACCAAGACGCGGAGACCGGTAGTGGCCCTGAATGGCTGGGCGCGCTGATATTTATTGCATAGAAGACAAGGGGGCAGTGTAAGGAGGGTGAGTCGTCCAAGTGATTGATAAGGTCAAGCAACTCACCTGATCATGGGACGGGGCCCTTCCCTTTTAGGTAGCCAAAGCAGAGAGGGAAGGCAGCGTACGTCAGCGTTTTCTTCTATTTACTTGTAAGAAAGATCAAAGTCTGTAAGACTTTCACTGTTTCTTCTACTCCTGTCTACTAAGAACTTCAAAGAGGAACCAGGAGTATGGGAGGAACATGAAAGTGGACAAGCAGCGTGACCACTGAAGCACAGCACCACAGAGAGGAGTTTATGCAGCCGGATGACTGTGGGAGGGCCTGGATAATATCTAGCCTCCCACAAGAAGCTTGTGGAGCAGAGTGTTCCCTGACTCTAAGGAAAGGAGACTCCCTTTCACGTTCTGCAAAGTAACAGGTGCCTTCCCAGGCACTGGCGTTACCGCTTGACCAAGGAGCCCTCAAGCGGCCCTTATGCGGGCATGACAGAGGGCTCACCTCTTGCCTTCCAGGTCACTTCTCACAATGTCCCTTCAGCACCTGACGCTATACCCACCGGTTATTCCTTGGTTATATTAGTAATACAACAAAGAGTAATATTAAAAGCTAATGATTAATAATGTCTATACTACTGATTGATAATGTCCATGATCATCTCTATAGCTAATTTGTATTATAACTATTCTTATTCTAACTATTTTATTTATTATACTGAAACAGTTTGTGCCTTCAGTCTCTTGCCTCAGCACCTAGGTAATCCTTCACCCACACTTACCAGTATTCCCATCCTTCAGGGAACCATTGCAAACACTGATAATGTGGCTAGAATTGACAAGAATGTCTCCCATGTAACCTTTAACCACCGTCAGATTTATTTTGACAAACATTTTTCCCATACAAGCAATGAAAATAATAAGTAACTTTTTTTTTTTTTTGCCAGTGCCTCAACTACAGTAATTAGCCATGTAGAGAGGTGCCTAAAGACCCTACAGTCAGCTCATTTGTGTCAGGTATGTTACCTTTGAAACCATGCCCCAAAGAGTTAACTAAAACCAATGACTGACTGAAATTCTTGAGCTTGCAAGATGGCAGATAAGAAGAAAAACAATTTGCTGAAACGCTGAAACTCCCTCCACTTGTAAGATAACAAAACTGGCAGAAATCAGTTGGACCAATATTGCCAATTGCAATCTGCACTGAAGGAGCTTGTGGACATCACAGCCTACGTTTCCACTGTACATTTCTTACTAACTCACCGCAGACTTGTACATGAGACCCGTGAGGGGGCATGGAGAGATAACTGCAGTTAAAGTCCTGTGCAAGGACTTTCCAGACCTCCCCCTTCGTTCCACCAATCTCCTGCTAATCCCAGAACCCAGCCACTAAACCTTTTCTAATAAAAGTACGGCCTAAAAGCCAGCACAGAGTCAGATTTGAGCTGAACACCTGTCTCCCTGTTGGTCGACCCATAACAGAAAGCTTTTCTTTAGTCAGAAATAATGGTGTCATCATATTGGCTTCTAGCGCATAGAGCAGCCAGCCCTTCTGCTCAGTAACACCTTCCTTGCCCACATCCTCTTATTAGAGAGCTAGCTGAGACCACATTCATGACCCCTGCCCACAGCCAGCTGCCCATGTTTGTCTTACCCAGGGTGAACCATCATTCTTCTCTGTGTATTTGGAAATGTGATTCAGAGATTCTAATTGGTCTCCAGTGGCAACTTGAATCGTGAAGACATGAGGCTAGAGCAGCTATGTGCACACTAAGAAGACAGCCAGCCTGCAGCCTGCCATGAAGCAAACACGAACAGTAGCCATGAGAGGCCAGGTGCCCCCAAGGAGGCAGGCAGAGGAAACCTGGGGTGTGGACTCCCAGGGCCCACGTGTAAGTCCCTCCCAAGGCTCACCCTCATTCATTGTTCCTGGGTTTCATGAAGCTCCTGGTTACCTTTCAGACGAATGACTTCTCTGACCTGGGCTAAGGCAAGAACACCTTCCTTATAACTAAGTCGTCCCCAATGAAGACCCTAAAGAATTCTCATGAGTCTGCTTTTCTTGAGGCAGACACCTTTTTTGTAATGCTCTTTCATAACACCAATTCCAAACAGTTAAAATGGTACTTCTCACCCTGAATTCTGGTTAATTACATATGCTTCTGCCCTTCTCACAGTGCTTTGAAATTCTTGAAGGCAGAAACTTTTTTTTCCCCACCTTTAAATCCCCAGTGGATTCTTGGAGTGAGTGTGTATCAAGGGTTTGTGGCCCTGGATTCTGCAGGTGAGGTCAGGGTCAGATGACAGTGATACTCAGTGAACTATAATTAGTGTCTTCCTTCCAAGGAGAGAAACAGAATGAGAGCGTGGACTGTGATGCCTGGCGAGATAACTTCCCTGCCTACTACTTTTCAAAGAAACTGACCTACCTATACATCCCCAAAAGAATATATGAATATGAAAACTCCACTAAAAATATCCAGGCATTCAAGTCAACAGCCAAAAAAAAGGCAGGGGGAATAGTGACAGAATACAAAGATAGAACGTGTCCACTTAAAAACAATGTCTACCATGTCAGTGTCAGGTGCAGTGCTCTGATATTTATTGGTAGACCAAATATAATTTTGCTGTTCAGATCTTCAATATGTATAGAATTATTTCTGTGTTTCTTTCTTCTGTTAGAGGTTGAGAGGCGTTTGACTCTCCCACTGTGATTGTGGATTTGTCTCTTTCTCAGTTTATTTTATTTTATTTCAAGACGGAATTCCACTCTGTCACCCAGGCTGGAGTGCAGTAGTGTGAACTTGGCTCACTGCAACCTCTGCCTCCTGGGTTCAAGCGATTCACTTGCCTCAGCCTCCCGAGTAGCTGGGATTACAGGCACACACCACCATGCCAGGCTAATCTTTTTGTATTTTTAGTAGAGATGGGGTTTTGCCATGTTGACCAGGCTGATCTCGAACTCCTGACCTCAGGTGGTCTGCCCACCTTGGTCTCCCAAAGTTCTGGGACTACAGGCATGAGCCATTACGCCCACCCTCAGTTTAGTCCTGTTAATTTGCTTTATATATTTTGAAACTGTGCAGTTGGGTACATCAGTATTTAGAATTGCTAACATTTGCAGGGGGACTGTTCTCTTTAAACATCTATGAAATGCCCACTTAATTTCTAAGCAGTGCTTCTGAGCTAATTTTGTTCAATACCAATGTAGTCTACCAGTTGGTATATATATATATTTGTGACCTTCTTCTTTGAACCTTTCTGTATTCCTGTATTTATGATATGCTTTTATATAGTTAGGGGGTTTTTTTTGCCTCCATTTTTACTCTTTTTTTTTTTTTTGGAGACAGTCTTACTCTGTTGCCCAGGCTGGAGTGCAGTGGCGCGATCTTGGCTCACTACAACCTCTGCCTCCCAGGTTCAAGTGATTCTCCTGCCTCAGCCTTCCAAGTAGCTGAGATTACAGGCATGCATCACCATGCCTGGCAAATTTTTGTATTTTTAGCAGAGACAGAGTTTCACTATGTTGGCCAGGCTGGTCTCAAACTTCTGACCTCAGGCGATCCACCCACATCGGCCTCCCAAAGTGCTGGGATTACAGACGTGAGCCACTGTGCCTGGCCCATTTTTTCTTTTTAATAAAAGTCTTTAGGCCAGGCACAGTGGCTCATGCCTATAATCCCAGCACTTTGGGAGGCCGAGGCCAAAGGATCACTTGAGGCCAGGAGTTTGAGACCCCCCACCAAGCAATGTAGTGAGACTCATCTCTACAAAAAAATAAAAATTAAAAATTAGCCGGGCATGGTGGCACATGCCCATGGTCCCAGCTACTAGGGAGGCTGGGGTGGGAGGATCACTTGAACCCAGGAGTTCGAGACTACAATGAGCTATGATCCCACCACTGCACTCTATCCTGAGTGACAGATGGAGACCCTGTCTCTAACAACACAAAAAAGTTTTTAGTCTGTTTAGAATTTAATTTAATCACTGACAGATACATTGGAGTCTACATACACTGTCTCACTGTTAGTTTTCTATTTGACCTGTTTTATATTCAGTTCACCCCTCTGTAAGCTTACATACTCTTTAATATTTTTTTCTGATTTTATGTTGAAAT
Organism: Homo sapiens; assembly: GCF_000001405.40. NCBI lineage: Eukaryota > Metazoa > Chordata > Mammalia > Primates > Hominidae > Homo > Homo sapiens. Next base: position 32,501,379 of record NC_000019.10, read on the forward strand.
GGTGTCGAATTTATAGAAAAGTTATAAGAATTATAAAAAGAACCCAGATTCACTGATTTTTAACATATGACCATATTGGCTTTATCATTCTCTCAGCAGATTGATAGTTACAGGAAAACATTTATTATTATTTCTTCTGAATTATTTAGGTATATGCTGCATATATCATACCACTATGCCCTTAATTTTTCAGTGATTATTTCCTAAGAATAAGGGTATTCCTTTATATAACCACAATTATTTTACCAAATTTAGGAACTTTAACATCAACATGTAATAATCTATAGATCTAATGATGTAATCTAATGATATATATCTAATTTATAATATATATTCTAATGTAGTTAATTGCCCACAAAATGTTTATTATAGCAATTATTTTTCCAGTAGAGAATCCATTTTGGAATTGCATTTAGTTGTCAAATCTTTTTTTTTTTTTTTTTTTTTGAGACAGAGTCTTCTGTCGCCCAGGCTGGAGTGCAGTGGCACGATCTTGGCTAACTGCAACCTCTTCCTGAGTTCAAGCAATTCTCCTGCCTCAGCCTCCCGAGTAACTGGGATAGCAGGCACGCATCACCACTCACCCCTGTAATTCCAGCACTTTGGGAGGCCAAGGCGGGCGGACCAGTTGAGGTCAGCAGTTCGAGACCAGCCTGGCCAACATGGTGAAATCTCTCTCTACTAAAAATACAAGTCTTTTAAGTCTCCCTTAATCTGGAACAGTTCCTCAACCTTTCTTTGTCTTTCCTGAAATTTGTATATTTGAAGAATACAGACCAGTTATTGTATAGAATCTGCTACATTCCCGACTGGACTGCTACATAAATGATACTGTGTCCTCAGGTATCACACCTGGAGGCCCATAATATTCATGTTCCCTTATTCAATGATACTTTTTTTGTTTTTGAGATGGAGTTTTGCTGTTGTCACCCAGTCTGGAGTGCATTGGTGCAATCTCAGCTCACTGCAACCTCTTCCTCCCGGGTTCAAGCGATTCTCCTGCTTCAGTCTCCCAAGTAGCTGGGATTACAGGCATGCACCACCACGCCTGGCTAATTTTTCTATTTTTAGTAGAGACTGGGTTTCACTATGTTAGCCAGGCTGGTCTCGAACTCCTGGCCTCAAGTGATCCACCCATCTCAGCCTCCCAAAGTGCTGGGATTATAGGCGTGAGCCACCAAGCCCAGCTTCAATTGTTATTTGAACTAATTATTTGTCCTTCCTTTTAATCGTGGTTGTTACTCTTGTGAAATAGAGTTGAGTTTATTGGTTTCAGTTGGCATTTAGAGTTTTTCCCCATGTATACTGATCTAATTTTATTTATTTATTTTTACTATTTAGGACATTAACATCATGTAAGAGTGAAAACAATAAAAAAGACTCAAAGAATGTTGCTCCTTCCTCATTCCTGCTATCTCATCCTGCTCCTCTTGTACAGAATCCCTTCTTTTTTTTTTTTCGCTCTGTCTCCCAGGCTGCAGTGCAGTGGTGCAATCTTGGCTCACTGCAAGCTCCGTCCCCTGGGTCCAAGCGATTCTCCTGCCCCGAGCCTCCTGAATAAGCTGGGACTACAGGCGCCTGCCATCACAAATGGCTAATTTTTGTATTTTTAGTAGAGACTGGGTTTCACTATGTTAGCCAGGCTGATCTTGAACTCCTGGCCTCAAGTGATCCACCCGTCTCAGCCTCCCAAAGTGCTGGGATTACAGGCATGAGCCACCATGACCAGCCATATATAATCCTTTTTATTCATTTCTGATTTACCCATTCTTTGTTTCTTTTTGCAAAAATCCGCTGATATGCATGTTTTATTATTTTTTTATTATATTATTTTCCATTTTTCTTTACACAAAATGAATATATTCTTTTGCACTTTTTACTTTTTGATAATATAATTATATATTATATAACTTATATAGTTATATATAATCATATGTAACATATATGATTATATCATATATGACATATGAATATATAATCATATATAACATATAAATCATATGTAACATGATTATATAAATAATATATAACATGATTTATTTAATATGTAACATACAGTTATATATAATCATGTAATTATACTATAATTATAATCATAATATGTTATACCATAATATATATATTATATATGTAACAATATAGTATAATTAAATTATTATATCTTACATACTATGCAATAACATACTATAGTATATAACTATAATATATAGTATAGTATAGTATATAGTATAGTATGTTATACCATAATATATATATTATATATGTAACATAATATAGTAGAGTTAAATTATTATATCTTACATACTATAACATATATAGTATACACTATACTATAACATATACAGTATAGACTATACTATAACATATATAGTATAGACTATAACATATATAGTATATAACTATACTATATAGTATAGTATAGTATATAGTATAGTATATAGTATAGTATGTTATACCATAATATATATATTATATATGTAACATAATATAGTATAGTTAAATTATTATAATATATCTTACATACTATACTATAACATATATAGTATATAACTATACTATATAGTATAGTATAACATATATAGTATATAACTATACTATATAGTATAGTATAGTTATATAGTATATAACTATACTATAACATAATATAGTATAGTTAAATTATTATATATTAGCATTCCATGTGGGTCCATAAATACACTGTTGTACAGATGTTATGCCCATTAACAATTATTGATATGATTGATCTCAATGCTCTCACATTGTTCTAATTACAGCGTGTATTATATTTACCCTGTTTCTCTATATGATGTATAAGTATCTCACATTCTACAATTATTTTTTATATTTTGGAAGCCTCATATTTTGTTTCACTGATTACCTTATTTATACCTTTGATGTTCTTCATTCAGCATAAACAAGAAAGCTCATCTGTTATCTACTCAACAATCATCGGTCATAGTCTACTTTTCTCCTTCTCCATTCTGCTCCAATTTTTAGTTGCATTCTTTCCACTTTGTCAGAAAATATTCCGTTTACATACTATTTCTCCACCATGTCTCCACTTGTTGTAAGTGTCTCATAATTACCTGAAGTGATAGAGCATCATTTCTAGGTACTTTGTATTAAAGATGGATCTTTATTATAAACTCACAGCCTCTCTCTGTCCCTCTCCCTGCCTTTCTCTTTTTCTCTCGGCATTTGTGCATGAAATATATATTAAACAAAGTACAGCTGCACAATTAAAAAGAAAGAAAAAAGAAACAACATATGGGATAAATGGAAAAGAAAGAGCAACATAGAACATCTAGAATTAAACTTATCAATAATTATATTAAATGCAATGATCAAAACTACGATTAAAAGGCAGATATCATCACATTGGATACAAAGCAAAACTTTAAAGAAGCACACTTTGAATAAAAAGGCATGGGCAGGTTTAAAATAAGTAGGTGCCGGGCACAGTGGCTCACGCCTGTAATCCCAGCACTTTGGGAGGCCAAGGGGGGTGTATGACCTGAGGTAGGAGTTTAAGACCAGCCTGACCAACATGATGAAATCCCATGTCTACTAAAAATTCAAAATTAGCTGGGCATGGTAGTGCATGCGTGTAGTCCCAGCTACTCAGGAGGCTGAGGCAGGAGAATCATTTGAACCTGGGAGGCAGAGGTTGCAGTGAGCCAAGATCACACCATTGCACTCCAGCCTGGACAACAGAGCAAGACTCCATCTTAAATAAATAAATAAATAAATAAAATAAGTGATGACACTAACAGTACAGGCAACAAAAGAAAAAAACAAATTGGACTGCATGAAAATTTAACATTTTGTACATTGAAAGACACTATCAGTAGTAAAAAAGCAACCCCACAGAATGGAAGGAAATATTTTCAAATCATACATCTGATAAGGGATTAATATCCAGAATATATAGAGAACTAAAATGAAGAAAAAAAATTCAAAAATGAGCAAAGGACTTGAATAGACATTTCTCCAAAGAAGATCTACAAATGACCTACAAGCATGTAAAAAGATACTCAACATCACTAATCTTTAGGGAAATGCAAATCAAAACTACAGTGAGATACCACCTCACACCCATTAGGATGGCTACTTTCAAAACAAAACAAAACAAAAAACCACACACACACACAGAAAATAACAAGTGTTGGTGAGGTTGTGGAGAAACTGGAACTCTTTTGCAATGTTGGTGGGAATGTAAAATGGTGCAGCCAGTACAGACAGCAGTATGACAGTTCCTCAAAAAATTAAGCAATGAATTTCAGCAATGAATGGGTACTTCTGGGTAATACCCCCCCAAATAGAAAGCAAGATTGCAAAGAGATATTTATACACCCATGTTTACAGCAGCATTGTTTATAGCAGCTACAATGTGGAAGCAATAGTATCCATCAACAAATGAATGGAAAAGCAAAATGTGATATATTGATACAATGGAATATTACTCAGCCTCAACAAGGAAGGAAATTCCGCAGTATACTGCAACATGGATGAACCTTAAGGACATTATGCTAAGTGAAATAAACCAGTCACAGAAAGACAAATACTGTATGATTCAACTTATATGAAGTACATAGAATAGTGAAAATCATAGAGATGGGAAGTAGAGTGGTGGTTGCCAGGGGATGGCAGGGGTTGAGGGTGGAGGGAAACAGGAGTGATTGTTTAATTGGTATATAGTTTCAGTTCCGCAAGATGAAAAGTGTTATGGAGATGGATGTTGGTGATGGTTGTACAACATTATGAGTGTATTTACACTGAACTGTACACTTAAAAATGGTTAAAATGGTAAATGTTATGTGTATTTTACCAAAATTTAAAAATTGGGGGAAAATAGATGAAAACAGACACTAATCCATTCCCCATCTAACACTAACATAATCTCTCCCACTAACACTAATCACAAAAATCTGCAGTGGCTATATGAATGTCAGCAGAGTGGATTTAGCAATAATAATTATTACCAGGGATAAAGAGGGATATTTCACGATAATAAATGAGTCAGTTTATCAGAACAACAATCCTACATTTAGTTGACCCTGACAAATTTTTGTTTCATTTATATTAAAGCTTTGATACTTTGATTCTAATTTAACATAATTGAAAGGATAGATTAACCCACAAATACAGGTAAAGATCACAATACCCTTCTCATTAATTGATTAAACAAGTACAATATTTAGGACTATTCTACCCAACAAGATCAGAATTCACATTTTTTTAGGTTCATACATTCAACATTCAACAGCATACACCACAGAAGAGGCTATAAAATGTTTCAGTAAATTTACAGGGATTGAAGTCATGCAAAGTATGTCCTCTAACAACAGTGGAATTGCATTGGAAGTCAATAACAGACAGATATCTGGAAAGCCCTTCAAATATTTGGAAATTAACCAACAGACTTTTGAATAATCCATGGACCAAAAAAAGAAAGCAAAAGAGAAATTAAAAAATATTTTGAGCTGAATAAAAAAGAGCACACAACATATCAAAATAGGTGAGATGAAGCTAAAGCAGTATACAGAGGAAAATGCATAGCTTTAAGTGCTTATTTAGAAAAGAAGAAAAGTTAGAAATCAATGACCTAAGCGTACACCCTAAAAAACTCAATAAAAAGAGCAAAGTAACAAAAGGACGTGACAAAGATCCGAGAAGAAATCAATAAAATAGAAGACAGGAAAATAATAGAGAAAAATTAATAAAATTTAAACCAGAGTTATGAAAAAATCAGTAATACTGATAAAATTCTTTTCCTTTTTTTTTCTTTTTTACCCGAGGATATCATCCTCTACTGGTACAAATAAGATGAGGGGGCAAAAGATTTTCAATTACATGATGTCGTTCTCAAATTACAGGCAACATTCTAACTAGACTGATTAATAAAAAGAGAAGACACAAGTTATCAGTATCAGGGACATCACTACTGATCCTATAAACACTAAAATAAAAAGAGAATATTATGAACAGCCTTATGGCAATAAATTTCACAACTTAGATTAAATAGACTTTTTTATTTATTTATTTATTTATTTTGAGACAGAGTCTCGCTCTGTCGCCCAGGCTGGAGTGCAGTGGCACAATCTCGGCTCACTGCAAGCTCCACCTCCCAGGTTCACGCCATTCTCCTGCCTCAGCCTCCTGATTAGCTGGGACTACAGGCACCTGCCACCACATGCGGCTAATTTTTTGTATTTTTTTTAGTAGAGACGGGGTTTCACCACGTTAGCCAGGATGGTCTCAATCTCCTGACATTGTGATCCACCCGCCTCGGCCTCGCAAAGTGCTGGGATTATAGGCATGAGCCACCACGCCCGGCCAATGGACATTATTTCTTGAAAAATACAAATTGCCAAACTGGCTTAAGAAAAAATATAACATTTAAATAGCTTTATACATCTTAAAGCAATGATTACTTAGCATGTATCAGAATCAACTGGAGTTTGCCCAGTTCCAGAATTTGATTTTGTTAGTCTGGGGTAGGGCATAAAAGTTTTTGGACGCGTACAGTGGCTCACGCCTGTAATCCCAGCACTTTGGGAGGCCGAAGTGGGTGGATCACCTGAAGTCAGGAATTCGAGACCAGCCTGGCCAACATGGTGAAACCCTATCTCTACAAAAAAAATACAAAAATTAGCCAGGCGCGGTTGTGCTTGTCTGTAATCCCAGCTACTTGGGAGGCTGAGGCAGGAGAATCACTTGAACTCAGGAGGCATAGGTTGCCATGAGCCAAGATCACGCCACTGCACTCCAGCCTGGGCGTCAGAGTGAGACTTCGTCTCAAAAAAAAAAAAAAGTTTTTAATAAGTTCCAGATGATATTATGCTGCTGGCTTATTGGCCACATTTTGAGAATTAGTGTCTTCTTTTCCTATTCATTTAATGTTTATATTTTTACTTTTGTTGTTTCTAAGGTTTTTTTTCCTGGCTTTGTTGAGGTATAATTGGCAAATAAAAATTGTATATATTTAAGGTGATACATGCAACATGATGTCTTGACATATGTATACATTGTGAAATAATTGCTACAATCAAGCTAATCATCATATCTATCACTTCACACATAGATGCCATTGTGTGTGTGTGGTGAGAACATTTAAAGTCTACTCTCTTAACAAGTTTCAAGCATATAATATAGCATTATTAACTTCAGTCACCGTTGCCATACATTAGGTCACCAAAACTTGTTCATCTTATGTAACTGAAACTTATTGCTTCTTGAGCAACATCTCTCTTAGCCCCCGGCAACCACCATTCTACTCTATGCTTCTATAAGTTTGACTTTCTTAGATTTCTCATGTAAGGGAAATCATGCAGTGTTTGTATTTCTGTGCCTGTCTTATTTAACCTAGCATAATGTCCTCCAAGTTCATTCATGTTGTCACAAATAACAAGATATCCTACTTTTTAAAGGCTGAATAATATATGCCATTGTGTACGCATGGAACACATAGAAATGTTGTCTACATACCACATCTTCATTATCCATTCACTGGTCAATGGACAATTAGGTTTATTCTACCTCTTGGCTATTGTGAATAGGGCTGCAATAAATACAGAAGTGAGGATAGTAGTAGAATTGCTGTATCACACGGTGGTACTACTTTTAATTTTTTGAAGAACCTCCATACTATTGTTCATAACGCATTTTTTTTGTTTTGTTTTGTTTTGTTTTTTATGGAATCTCGCTCTATTGCCTAGGCTGGAATGCAGTGTGGCATGATCTCAGCTCACTGCAACTTCTGCCTCCAAAGTTCAAGTGATTCTCCTGTCTCAGCCTCCCAAGTAGCTGGGATTACAGGTACCCACCACCACACCCAGCTAATTTTTGCTTTTTTCGTAGAGACGGAGTTTCACCATGTTGGCCAGGCTGATCTCGAACTCCCAACCTCAGGTAATCCACTCGCCCTGGCCTCCCAAAGTGCTGGGATTACAGGTGTGAGCCACCGCACCCGGCCTGTTGTTCATAATGACTGTACCAATGTTCAATCCCACCAACAGTGTACAAGAGTTTCCTCTCTGTGTGCCTGCTCCCCAAAGAAATGAGCGCAACTGGGAAAATTATTTTTAAAAATCAACCATTTAAAGTTTCTGGAAATTGTTCTAAGAGCCTGTGGCAAATGAAGAAATATTTGTTCAAGAAAATCAATGAAAACATTGTAAAAACAGTAAAAGTCTGTGGCATTTGAACCACAACTTCTTCCTACCCTCAACCCTCCCAGCTTAGCATGATGGAAACTCGACTCCAGGCGTGAGCAGCCAAGAGCGCAGGGCTCCTTCTCCTCCAGCTAACAGTCGATGGCTACAGAACCTTTCAAGGAGTGGCAGTCCACAGCATTTATTGCCCCCCAAAACCAGCTACATGTTGCAGAGGCTAAATTCCAGGCAAGTGTGGTCAAGAGGTTTGGGGCTCCATTCTTCCACCCAGATCCCCACAATAGAGTGGAGGCTCTACTTATGGCATGAAACACTGCGAATACTAGGCCCTGATCACCCTCACTCCAGCTAGTTCACAGTTTCAATGTCAGGGGAAGGAAGCTGGGAAGACCAGAGGCTACCAATCTCATCCCCTATCCTGCTCCTAAAGCAGAGGGATCACTCAGAAGTGGGCTACTGTCTCTGCCCCCAGGCTGATATTTTGCCAGGGTAAGAGGCAAACCATGAGAACAGAGATCTCTGAAGCCCTCCCCAAAGGAACTGACTTTATTTTAAACAAACTATAGGGAAGTCCATGCCTAAGTCACAAACCATGGAGGTTTTGGTGGTAAGCAATTAAGGATATTGGTAGCTTCATGTGAACCACAAGCTAAACTATAGGTCAACTAGTTTACCAGAGAGAACCAAAGAAAGAGGACATTAAAAGGAGCCTTCCTGCTCACGCCTGTAATCCCAGCACTTTGAGAGGCCAAGGTGAGCAGATTGCCTGAGCTCAGGAGTTGGAGACTAGCCTGGGCAACATGGTGAAACCCCATCTCTACTAAAATACAAAAGAAATTAGCCAGCCATGGAAGCATGTACCTATAGTCACAGCTACTCAGGAGGCTGAGGCAGGAGAATTGCTTGAACCCGGGAGGCAGAGGTTGCAGAGAGCCGAGATCACACCACTGCACTCCAGCCTGGGCAACAGAGCAAAAAAAAAAGGGGGGTGCTTCCTGGGATAAAAAAAACTAACCTTAAACACTAGACTCATAAACTACATAAACTACTTTTACAAAAGGACCCCAGTGTAACAGGATGAGACTATGAAGCAATTTCTGTCTCAGAGCATTGTTGAAAACATTTGCGCAGTCAGCTAGCAATGATTGGAGCTTAAAGACGGGTGTGATCAGGGAAAGAGACTAAGAAAGCCCCTCTGGAACCACTGTCATGAGAGAGTGACTGTGTACAGGCCCAAGGTTGCACATTTCAAGGGGCAACAACTCCACTAAAATAGTCCATCTGATCACTAAACAAATCAGCCCAGGGGGAGGGAGTCAGGGTCTATATTATCTAACTATTCCTAAAAATGTCCTGTTTTTTAAAAAATTACAATACATGAAAAGAAACAGGAAAATGTAACTCATAGGCAGGAAAAAAACAACATAAACAACAAAAACCATCTGTGAGATAGCTCAGACGTCAGATTTAACAAACAAAGTTTCCAAGACAGCCATGTTAAATACATTCAAAGAAGTAAAGGAAATCATGCTGATTGAAGTATGATGAAAATATGTCATTATATAAAAAATATCAGTGGAGAGATAAAAATTATTTTAAAAAACCAAATATTTCCATCTGGAGCTGAAAAGTACAAAAACTGAAATAAAAAATTAAATGGGCTTAAACAGTAGATTTGGACTAGCAGAAGAAAAAATAACAAACGTGACAGTAGATCAATAGAAGTGATACAACCAGCAGAACAGAGAGAAAAGAAGAAAAATGAATAGAGCCTTAGAGACCTGTGGGATGTGATCAAGCACACAAACGTGCATACTGTAGAATCAGGAGGAGACAGAGAGAGAGAGAAAGAGAGAGGAGAAAGAAATTCTAGGAAATAATGGCTGAAATCATCCCAAATTTGATGAAAAGCATTCATCTGCATAGTCAAGAGCTTAACAAATAACAAGTAGGATCAACACAAAGAGATACACACAGAGATGCATTGTAGTAAACCTGCTGAAGATACAGAGAAAATCTTAGAAACAACAAGAAAAAAACAATTTGACATGAATAAGGGAACCACAGCAGGATTTACCACTAACTTCTCCTGAGAAACAATGGTAGCCAAGGTCAGTGGGGTAACATACTCAAAGTGCTGGAACCAAGAATTCTTTTTCTTTTTTTTTTTTTTTTTTTTTTGAGACAGGGTTTCACTTTGCTGCCAAGGCTGGAGTACAGTAGCATGATCATAGCTCACTATAGTCTTGAACTCCTGGACTCATGGGATCCTCCTCCTGCCTCAGCTTCCCAAGTAGCTGAGACTACCAGCACACCATCATGCCTGGCTAATTTTTTTTTTTTTCTGAGACAGGGTCTTGTTATGTTACCCAGGCTCATCTTAAACTCCTGAACTCAAGTGATCCTTCTGCCTTGGCCTCCCAAAGTGCTGGAATTATAGGCATGAGCCACCAAGCCTGGCCAAGTCAAACAAGAATTCTATATCCAGCAAAACTACCCTTCAAAACATGAAAAATAAATTTAAGACTTTTCCAGGCAAAAACTGAGAGAATTCATTGCTAGCAGATCTGCCCTACAAGAAATAGTAAAGAGAGTCCTTCAGGCTGAATTGAATGGACACTAAACTTAAACCCACCTGAAGAAATAAAGACCACTGGAAAATAAAATTACATGGATATATACACAGTATAAATGTATTCTTTGCTGCTCATTTTTCTCCTGACTTAAAAGACAACTGCTTAAACGAATAATTTAAAACCTATGTGTTTTATCCCTTTTAATACTATTGTAAATGCATTTTTTCTTTCTTTTTTTTTAAATTATACTTTAGGTTCTGAGTTACATGTTCAGAACATGCAGTTTTGTTACATAGGTATACATGTGCCATGGTGGTTTGCTGCACCCATCAACCCATCACCTACATTAGGTATTTCTCCTAATGTTATCCCTCCCCTAGCTCTCCACTCCCCCGACAGGCCCCAGTGTGTGATATTCCCCTCCCTGTGTCCATGTGTTCTCATTGTTCAACTCCACTTATGAGTGAGAACATGCGGTGTTTGGTTTTCTGATCTTGTGTTAGTTTGCTGAGAATGATGGTTTCCTGATTCATCCATGTCCATGCAAAGGACATGAACTCATCCTTTTTTTGTGGCTGCATAGTATTCCATGGTGCATATGTGCCATATTTTCTTAATCTAGTCTATCATTGATGGACATTCGGGTTGGTTCCAAGTCTTTACTATTGTGAATAGTGCCACAATAAACATACGTGTACATGTGTCTTTATCATAGAATGATTTATAATCCTTTGGGTATATGCCCAGTAATGGGATTGCTGGATCAAATGGTATTTCTAGTTCTAGATCCTTGAGGAATCACCACACTGTCTTCCACAATGGTTGAACTAATTTACACTCCCACCAACAGTGTAAAAGCATTCCTATTTTTCCACAACCTCTCCAGCATCTGTTGTTTCCTGACTTTTTAAGAATTTTTTCTTGATTTTATTTTCAGAGTGTTCATTGTTAATATATAGACTTGCAAATGATTTTTTATATTGAACTTGTCTCCTGCGACCTTAAAGAACTCTTGTATTCATTCTGATAGCTTTTTAGTGGATTCCTTAGTGTTTTATACATAGAAGATTATGTCATTTGTAAATAGAGATAGTTTTACTTCTTCCTTTCCAATGTGGATGTCTTGTAATTCTTTTTCTTCTCTAATTTCTCTGGCCAGAACCTCCGGTATGGTGTTAAATAGAAGTGGCAAAAGCAGGGAGGCCGAGGTGGGTGGATCACGAGGGCAGGAGATCGAGACCATCCTGGCTAACACGGTGAAACCCTGTCTCTACTAAAAATACAAAAAACTAGCCGGGCATGGTGGCGGGCACCTGTAGTCCCAGCTACTTGGGAGGCTGAGGCCGGAGAATGGCGTGAACCCAGGAGGCAGAGCTTGCAGTTAGCTGAGATTGCGCCACTGCACTACAACCTGGGTGAGAGAGCGAGACTCCATCTAAAAAAAAAAAAAGAAGAGTGGCAAAAGCAGACATCTTTCTCTTTTTCCTGATCTTGGGAGGGTAAACATTCAGTCTTTCACTATTAAGTAGGATGTTAGCTGTGGGTTTTTCATAAATGTCTGGTTTCAGGTTGAGGAAGTTTTCTTCTGTTCCTAGTTTAATGGACATTTTTTATCATGAATGATAACTTCCTGAGACCAAACTGAAGAATACGTAAATGAAGGATATTGGTAACTAGATCAGATTGGTGAATTATATCTGTTGTTGAACTGATAAGGTAGCCAGAATGCTTTCTGTCATAGAGGCAAGTTGAGCCATCCCTGGATGCATTGGTATGTTAATATCAAGGAGAGAACCATAGTACATATGTTCGTCTCCACTGAAATTTGTTTGTCCCCATCTCCTTAAACCACACCCCTGCCCCATTGAATCTAGGAAGTCATAGAATTTACAAATAAATGAGAAGTTCCTAATAAAGAACTATTGTCAGACACTCTTTTATCCTTGGACTCAAGTGGGTGATCATAAACTTCAGAAATACTTAATTGTATGTCATTAATTGCAAATTAAAACATCAATTGCAGAAATTGCAAATTAAAACAACAAAGAGATATCACTACATACCTATTAGGCAAAAATTCAAAACACCAATAACATTACGTCTGCCAAGGATGTGGAATAACAGAAACTCTCATTCATGGCTGGTGGCAATGCAAAATGGTACAGCCGCTTTGGAAGACAATTTGGCAGTTTCTTATAAACTATACTCTTACCACATCACCCAGCAATCAAGTGTCTTGGGATTTACACAAACTAGTTGAAAACTTATGTCCACACTAAGACCTGTACGCAGATGTTTGCAGCTGCTTTATTCATAAGTGTTAAACCTTGGAAGCAACCAAGATGTCCTTTAGTAGGTCAATGGGCAAATAAACAGTGGTACATCCAGACAATGAAATACTATTCAGCCCTAGAAAGAAATGTGCTATTGGGCCATGAAAAGGCATGAAAGAATCTTAAATGCATATCACTAAGTGGAAGAAACCAATCTGAAAGGGCTACGTACTGTATGTTTTCAACTCTATAACATTCTGGAAAAGGCGGAACTATGGAGATAGTAAAAAGATTAGGAGTTGCCACAGGTTAATGGGGAGGGAGGGAGGGATGAATAGGCAGAGAACAGAGGATTTTTAGGGCAGTGAAACTCCTCTACAGCATACTGTAATGATGGATCCACGTTAGGATACACTTGTCTAAACCTGTAGAACATATAACGCTGAGAGTGAACCCTAATGCAAACTATAAATTCTGGTTGATTATGATGTGTAGGTTAATCAACTGTATTAATTTTACCACTCCAGTGGGGGATGTGAATAATAGGGGAGGCCAGGCAAGTGTGAAGGTAGCACAGGGTATGTGGGAAATCTCAGTGGCTTCCTCTTTTTTCTTTCTTTTCTTTTTTTTTTTTTTTTGAGACGGAGTTTTGCTCTTGTTGCCCAGGCTGGAGTGCAATGGCACGATCTCGGCCTACTGCAACCTCCGCCTCCCAGGTTCAAGCAATTCTCCTGCCTCAGCTTCCAGAGTCGTTGGGATTACAGGATTCTGCTACCATGCCCGGCTAATTTTTGCATTTGTAGTAGAGACTGGGTTTCGCCATGTTGGCCATGCTGGTTTCAAACTCCTGACCTCAGGCGGCCTCGGCCTCCCAAAGTGCTGGGATTACAGGCATGAGCCACCGCTCCGGGCCTCTGTGCCTTCTTCTTAATTTTGCTGTGTGTGAACCTAAAACTGCTGTAAAAAATGAAGTCTACTTTTTTTCAAGTTAATTGAATGAAAAATCAGTCAGTAACAGAATGACCTCAAAACCAACAAAGAAATTGCAATGCAGAGTATTTGAGTCTGACATCTAACAGAAACACTATAAAAAGGAAAGAATTACTACTATCCATGAGAATGTTTGGGCTTTTTCAAAATGACAATATTTTAAAGGACGTAGTTCAACATAAATCATTAGCTTATTAATATTTCTATGCCATTTTAGGTTAATACGCAAACTCAGTGTGTAATATTTTAAGAATTCTAACGCAAAATATTGAGCCATCTGTAAATCTAAGCTGCTTTCTATGTGACTACCAAAAATCTACTCTGGTACTTTTTGCTGTAAGATATTTGTAATTAATTTTCCCTTCACATGTATAATCTACTCCATTAAACCTAAGCTGTGAGACCCATTATTTTCTAATATCCTTCCAAGAGATCTGGAGGAAGGTACTAGAGTGGCGAAGGGTTCTGCCCTGGCACCCACTCGCCAGCAGCGTGACCTTGGGCACTTTTTCCGTCTCAGTTTCCTGACCTGTAAATAGATTAAATCAACAGTCTTATCCCATAGGATTTTTGAAAAATGATGAAATTAATTAATAATTCAAAGCTCTTAGAACAGTGTTGGGTACAGAGTAAGCGCCTATTAATATTTATTGATATTATTAATACAATTTTGACACTTAAAAGTGAGTTTGGCTTGTGTAATTATTCTTTTTACCCTCTGGTATAAAATGTTTACCCCTGATGTGGCTGACCCCTATGTGAATAGATACCTCAGCTTCTCTTTGTCTACTCTCTGCCTATTTTGAAACACATTGTGCCATCAGCAATAAAGGAAATAACTTCACAGAGCATTAGCAGCTACTTGAACATTCCAGGCGTGGTCCCAGCTGAAAGCACTGGCACATGTGGTCCCCCAGCCCAGGATTCCCTTCCCTCCCCTTTCTTTTTCTTTTCTTTTGTTTTTTGTTTTGGTTTGGTTTTTTGAGACGGAGTCTTGCTCTGTCACCCAGGCTGGAGTGCAGTGGTGCAATCTTGGTTCACTGCAACCTCCGCCTCCTGGGTTCAAGCGATTCTCCTGCCTCAGCCTCCCGAGGAGCTGAGATTACAGGCACCCACCACCATGCCTGGCTAATTTTTGCATTTTTAGTAGAGACAGGGTTTTGCCATGTTGGCCAGGATTTTCTCGAACTCCTGACCTCACGTGATCCACCCACCTCGGCCTCCCAAAATGCTGGGATTACTGGAGTGAGCCACCGCGCCCAGCCTCTTTCCTCTCCTTTCCACACGACTCCTTCCCTCCCTCCACTCAACTCTCTGCTCAAATATTGTCTTCTAGGAGTGACCTGTCCTAGTCCCCCAATTCTCTTTTATACTATCAATCAGCACCTATGATTATATTTTTGCTTGTTCTAGTTTCTTCACTAGAATGTAAGTTTCCAAAGGGCAAGGACTGTATCTCATTCACTCTCTCTCTTCTGCTTCCAGAACCCACTGTGATTAGACTAGACTTCCTTGGCCTCCCTATGGAAAAGAGCACCCTCTTCTTGGTCTCCCTTATTTTGCTTTGATTTTCTTTACAGTATGCATTATCATATTGTTTAATTATTTGTTTTTCATGTCCCTAAAACATAAACCTCATGTCTCCAGTGCCTAAAAGACGTGGCATCAATTAGACACTTAATAAATATTTTATTTTTTGTCTATTTTTATTTTATTAATTTTTTTATTTTTTATTTTTATGTGTACATAGTAGGTGGATATATTTATGGGGGTACATGAGATACTTTGATACAGGCATGCAGTGTATAATAATCACATCAGAGTAAGTAGAGTATCCATCACCTCAAGCATTTATCATTTCTTTGTATTAATAAATATTTTAATGAATAAAGAGTACCTGGTATAAATAGGCCCTCAGCAAATATCCCAAGTGAATACATTTTCCAGAAGATGTAATGGAAGGACTAAAGGAAGGCTATATTTCCCATGGTCAATCAAAACATAATAAAATTTTTATTTAAAAAATTCCATTATATCTTACATAAGACAAATTAGTTCTATTATAAAGCCATGATTGCTAAGCTCAGATAGGCCCTCAACAGCTCAGAAATTCTATTGTGTTGTCAACTTATTTTCTCATTTTCCATGACAATTATTCCAAATCTTCTCTCCTCTTCATCCAGCCCCTCCTTTTCCTACACTCCCAGTAGATAAATCCATATATCAGTAATCTATTTCTGTATAACAAAGTACTCCAAAACTTAGTGGTTTAAAACATTAAAAGCATTTATTATCTCACAGTTTCTGTTGCTCAGGAATCCAGGCATAAATTAGCTGGATGCCTTTGGCTCAAGATCTCTCATCAGGTTTCAGTGAAGCTGTCAGTGAGGTCTGTGATCTCATCTGAAGGCTCAACGGGGGTAGGATCCTCTTCCAAGCTTACTCACATGGTTGTTGGTAGTGTTCAGTTCCTTGTAAGTGGTCAGTTAGAGGCTTCCCTTAGTTTCTTGCCTTGTGAGCCTTTATTTAGGATTGCACATGACATGAAAGCTGGCTTTCCTCCAGGTGCACATGCACACAAGAAAGTCCAAGCCAGAGGCCACTGTCCTTAGATTCTCTAATAGCAGAAGTGGCATCTCATCACTCCACCATGTTGTATTTGTTAGAAGCCAGTCACTAAGGCCAGACCACTCTTAAAGGAGAGGATTCCACAGGGAATGAACACCAGGAGACAGGGCGTCTTGTGAGATCTTAGAGTCTGCCTAGTGCACACCACTTCCAATTTTACAGAGAAAATAGAGGCCATGGCATTAGAACTTTCTCATCTTCTACCCATTCATCTGCACCACCCTGTCATCCTTTTCTGCTGTAGCAGTGGAGATGCGATACTTCCACCTGTGCTTTGGTTCCCATTTCGATCCTTTTTCTCAGATTATTGAGAGCCAGTCTGAGAGGGGTAAATTGATTATTACCCCTTTGTTGCACAGTCAACCTCTCAACTCAACTGCATCATTCCCAACAGCCTTTCAGTGGACTCAAGACTCTTCCCACAGAAGCAAACCAGCAAAAACACAAACAAAACAAAACCAAACCTCCACTTCCCTTCTCTTTGCAATATGTATCATTTTATTTATCTCCTTTATTTATTTTTCCAAATACCCTCCCTCCTCAAAAGAAAAAAAAAGCTGTCTGTTGTCACTTGTCAGTACACTCCAAGATAGCTTTTGGCAGAATTACTTGACTAACTGTTGCTGGTGTTGCCGGTGACTTCATGAAACTCAATGAACATTTTTTAGTCCCTGTGTTCTCTTAATTTTGAATGCTGGTGACTGCTCCATCCTTTCTGAAACCCCCTCTTCCCTTACTTTCTAAGACAATGCTCTCCTGTTTCAATTCCTGTTTCTGTAGCTGCCCCTTCTCTAGTGCTTGTGTGGGATTACCTTCTCCTATTCATCCCTTTGACGTTGGAGCTCCTCGGGGCTTGGTCCTAAGATTTCCCTTCTCACTCTGATTTTCTCTTTTTTGGTGACCTTACCCAAGTCCTTGTTTCAACTACCATCTCAATGCATATGACTCACCAACTGACTTCTGTAGCCCAGAATTGTGTACATATTGACCCATTTGACATTTCTTCTTGATGTCTCCAAGGTACTTCAAACTCAATATGTTCAAAACTGAACTCATTATTTTCACCCCAAACCTGTTTTTTTTTTCTTGTGTTCTCTAGTGTATTTGTTTCCTAGGGCTTACTGTAACAAATAACCACAAACTCAGTGGCTTAAAACAACAGAAATATATTCTCTCACAGTTCTAGAGACAGGAAGTCTGAAACCAAGTTTCAAGAGTTGGCCTCCTTCCAAAGGCCAGACTGAAGGGAGGATCCTTCCTTTGTTCTTCCAACTTCTGGTGGCTCCACTGGTTCTTGTCTGGCAGCCACATAACTTCAATCTGTTTCTCCATCTTCATGTGGCTTTCTCTTCTCCTCTTGTGTTTCAAATCTCCCTCTGCGTTTCTCTTAGAAGGACTCAGAATAACCCAGGATGATCTCACCTCAAAATCCTTAATTACATCTGCAAAGACCCCTTTTTAAAAATAAGGCCACACTCACAGGTTCTGGGTGGACATGTCTCTTGGGAGGCCACCGTTCAACCCAGCTCCATGAATGGCACCTTTATCCCGTTGTTCAGGCCACAGGAACCTCATAACTGTGTTTGTGCTATCTTTTCACTTGTTTCCAGTATCCAAAGCATCCGCAAGTTATTTTAATTCCTCAGCATCTCAGGTATCTGTCCACTTCTCCCTCTTTACCACTACCTTGCTCAAGCTATCATCACCTATCACCTAGAGTCTGTAACAGCCTCCTGTCTATCCACAGCCACTCCTGCATCCTACTGTGCATTCTGCGCACTGTAGACTTGTTTCAAAATGCAAATCTGATCATGCTGCCCCACTCTGCCTTATCTCCACGTGTTCATTGTTCTTAGGAAACAGACAAGTGTAACACAGTCTATATTAAAATCAAAATGAAATGAGGATAAGCTGCAAACTGTGAAGCTTTTGGGATGGTAATACATACCAGGCAGGGACATACTTGGTAAAATAAGAAGAATACCTACAAGAATGGATGACTTTGAACTTGACCTGCAACAATTTAATATAATGACCTTCCTAGGTCCCTTCTCTACTCTATAGAAAACAAAGCCACTGGGAATTGATGCTAAAAAGCATCTGTCTCCCTTCAACACTCATCATGCAGTGAATTTTGAGACGGCTGGGATCCCCTCAGAGTATTTCTGCCAGCAGCATTTAAACTTGTCAAGCCTTCTTTCTCCATCCTCATCTTTTCTTATAACTCTTCTGCTGTGGTACCTGAATGTGAGCTGTCCAATTGGTTTCAAAATGAACGGACTCCAAGTTACCTACTTTTATATTACTGTCACTACAAAGCAGTCCTCTCCAATTTATGTTCTAAAAATAGCTAAGTGGAGACCTTATAGGTCTGATGAAAGCAAATCTGTAGCATAAAAAAATAAGGTGTTCACCAGTCAATCATAAACCACCCTCTGGGCACCTATAATGTATTCAGCACTGCGCCAGTTGCACTCCCCTTTAGCAAGTGTTTTGGCCACAAAACAGGGAGATGGAGTGCAAAGTGATTTTCACGAGTAAAATATTCCCTCCATAATTTCTGTTCTTAGGATAGGCTTGATTCTGTTGCCATAATGAACAGCCCTAAAACCTTGGCAGCTTAAAACAATAAAGGGTTATTTCCACTCTTGCTACTTATCCAGCAGGTTGGCTGGGACTTTCCATCATGCTGTCTTCCCTCCTAGACCAGCTGATGAAGCAGCCACTGTTGGGACATGCCTGGTCACTATGGCGGAGAGGGAAATGGCTCTTGAAGGGCTTGCACCAGTAATTAAATGCCCTGGCCAGGAAGTGAGATGTGTCTCTTTGTCTGTCAGCTCACTGGCTAGAATATGGCCCCACTTAACCATAAGAGGCCCAGAAAATGCATTCTATGATCTTCTCAGACAGAGAGAGCACTGGAAATATTTGCAAACAGCACTAAAGATGACCACAGTCTGCCCTCTGGTCACTAAATATTTGGACTACCCTTCTTTCCAGCAAGCAAAATATACTCACCACCCTCCCCAAGAGAAATAATCCAAAAGTTCCACCCAATGAGGGCATCAGACTTGAAGTCCCAAAGTGCTGGGTGGGGCATGAGCATCTCTACTGCAGGTCCAAGAAGGCACTCTCCATCCAGAGAGAGTATCTGTCCATTCTAAAATTACATCTGCAAAGACCCCTTTTTTAAAATAATACTCACAGATTCTGGGTGGACATATCTCTTGGGAGGCCACCGTTCAACCCAGCTCCATGAATGGCACCTTTATCCCGTTGTTCAGGCCACAGGAATCTCATAACTGTGTTCGTGCTATCTTTTCACTTGTTTCCAGTATCCAAAGCATCCACAAGTTATTTTAATTCCTCAGCATCTCAGGTACCTGTCCACTTCTCCCTCTTTACCACTACCTTACTCAAGCTATCATCACCTTTCATCTAGAGTCTGTAACAGCCTCCTGTCTATCCACAGCCACTCCTGCATCCTACTGTGCATTCTGCACACTGTAGACTTGTTTGAAAATACAAAACTAAGCTAAAAGCCAAGTTATCTGTCCCACCTCCCAAGCTATTGCCCCACTCCCAATATACAAAAATAGAACAGTTGTCGGCTCACCGCCATCAGCACACCTTCAGAGAGGAGAAGGATGGAAGGCACTCAGACACTGACTCTATTTTCCCTTCTCTGTCGTATTTATTGCAGTGAACTTTTACATAGTGTCACGTATCTGTCAAGAATGCCCGTAAGCACGGTACATATATTAATTGATTTAACCCTCACTCTACAGCACTATGGGAAAGGTACTGTTGTAAACCCCATATTCAGATGAGAAAACTCCAACAACTTATTTGTGCAAGGCCCCCAGCTAGTCCACGCTACAGCTGGGCTTCTGCCTGAAGTAGCCGAGCTCCAGAGTCTGCTGCTAACCATTATACCACACTACCTCTGCAGAATGGCTTCGTCTTTAGAGATTCATTTACAAGTAAAATTCCAAATTAAACTTGCAACTTAAAAGTGGAAAAAATGCTTCTCATGAGAAGTACATCTGAATCTTGAAGGGAACAGACTGGTTCCTGGAGTTGCCAGCACCCACCTCTCAATGTGCACTTGCAAACTCCCCAGTGGGTTGCTGTGTGCACCCAGGAGGAGCCTGTGGGACAGGCACACCTCTCAGAGTTGGGGTCCCACTCAAATGTGGGATGCTCCCAGGTGGCTGTGTCAGAAAAGCTCCAGGTAGAAAGGACTGCAGCTTTGCTCTACTGCCAGCCAAGGAAACCACCTGTGAACAAGTACACACTCATGGGAGTGGAAAGGGAAATGGACTTTCTGAATCCAACACAGGCTGTGTTTTGAAGACCGCTTCATGAGTCATTTATGATTTTATGGTTGTAATTTCCCACCACTTAGACCTAATAATTTTGTCTATTTAGACCCAAGGATCACCACAAACCCCATTCCTTATATTCATAAGTTCTTTGTTTTTATTCTTCTTTAGATATGTATTCCATTAACTAAAGCGTGCATTTTTAAGACACACCCATGAGTTCCTGACTCTAAGGTTTTTCCCTACAACAATCTGCAAATAATCATTTCACTATCTTTAACATCTTTAGTTTAGTTTTAATTATTTATTTTTATTTATTTATTTATTTTGAGACAGGGTCTCGTTCTGTCACCCAGACTGGAGTGCAGTGGCTGAATCATAGCTCACTGCATCCTTCACCTACCAGGCCCAAGCGATCCTCCCACCTCAGCCTCGTAAGTAGCTGGGACTACAGGTGCATGCCACTACACCTGGCTAATTTTTTTTTTTTTTCTGGAGACGGGCATCTCACTATGTTGTCCAGGCTAGTCTCAAACTCCTGGGCTCAAGTAATCTACGCACCTCAGCCTCCCAAAGTGCTAGGATAACAGGCATGAGCCACCATGCCCAGCCATCACCTTTAGTTTTCAAGCAAAGAAACAGACAACCTGAAATTTCCCATAGTAAGTGGATCTTATCCTGCCCTGATGCTTACAGAATTTGTCTTGGTCCTGATTGCTTTATTCTGATTTGATTTGTTTTGTTATAGTAAGAGAATCCTTTTAGTGTATAATTTCCAGTCGTCCTTCTATTTTATCTATAAATTTGGTTTTGTTACGCTTGTTTTGTTTTTCTCAGGAAAACCCACTGCGTGTGGTATCATTACTGTCGGTTTCCATCTCCAGCACCGGATCACGGCTGCCCCCCCAACCTCTGCCCCTAGTACTTGATGCGTTTCCCCCAGACCTCATCTCCATGGCAGCAGTACAGATTTGATTCCAACGGGCTTCTCAGGCGGGTTTTTTTTGTTTTGTTTTCTTTTTTCGAGACTGTCACCCAGGCTGGAGTGCAGTGGCGAAATCTCAGCTCACTGCAAGCTCCGCCTCCCGGGTTCATGCCATTCTCCTGCCTCAGCCTCCCTAGTAGCTGGGACTACAGGCGCCTGCCACCACGTCCGGCTAATTTTTTGTATTTTTAGTAGAGACGAGGTTTCACCGTGTTAGCCAGGATGGTCTCGATCTCCTGACCTCGTGATCCGCCCACCTTGGCCTCCCAAAGTGCTGGGATTACAGGTGTGAGCCACTGCGCCCAGCCTAGGCGGTTTTCATTTTACAAAGATTTTTCCCTCAACGAATTCTCCAATATCTACTTTTCCCCTCTTTCTGTTGTTTAATGCTCTTGTCTTTGACCACTTGGGTCTCTTGTTTGAACTCTTGTTTCGTAAAGATGTCCTCTTTAATTTCTTTGAGGGATTATAGAATTCATAACTAAAGGTTTCTTCAATTATATGAGTCAATTCTTGTTCAGGCATATATTCTTTTTTTTTTTTTTTTAGTTATTGATAAAAAATGGTTTGTTTGTTTGTTTGTTTGTTTGTTTTTTGAGATGGAGTCTCACTCTGTCGCCCAGGCTGGAGTGCAATGGCAAGATCTCCGCCTCCCAGATTCAAGTGATTCTGCCTCAGCCTCTCAAGTAGCTGGGATTACAGGCACCCGCCACCACACCCACCTAATTTTTGTATTTTTAGTAGAGACAGGGTTTCACCATGTTGGCCAGGCTGGTCTTGAACTCCTGGCCTCGAGTGATCCACATACCTCAGCCTCCCAAAGTGCTGGGATTACAGATGTGAGCCACCATGCCCGGCCTTATAAAAATGTTTTTGATCGCCTGTAATCCCAGCATTTTGGGAGGCTGAGGTAGGCGGATCACTTGAATTGTGCCTTTGGTGTTGATATTAGATTAATGCTGGCCCCAAAGAACGAATGATGAAGTGTTTCCTCCACTTCTATTTTCTGGAAGAGATTGCGAGGAACTGGTATTACTTTTTCCTTAAATGTTTGATAGAAGTCATCAGTGAGATTTTAGACCATCTATGTGTGGTGCTTTCTTTCCTTTTTTACTTGAAGGTTATTGTTGATTCAATTTCATTTATGTATATAGGGCTAATTAGGTTATCTCTTTCACCTTGTGTGAGTTTTGGTAGACTGTGTCTTTCCTGGACATCCACATGCACAAAAATGTCCCTAGAAACAGATCTTATACCTTTCACAAAACGTTTTTTAATTTAATTGTTTTTGAGATGGAGTCTCACTCTGTTGCCCAGGCTAGAGTGCATCACCCTGATCACGGCTCACTGCAGTCTCTGCTGCCAGGGCTGAAGCAATCCTTCCACCTTAGGCTCCCAAGTATCTGGGACCACAGCAATGTGTCACATACCTGGCTAATTTGTAAATTATTTGTAGAGGGTGTCACTATGTTGCCCTGGCTGGTCTCAAACTCCTGGGTTCAAGTGATTCTCCAGCCTCAGCTTCCCAAAGTGCTGGGATTACAGGCGTGAGCCACCTCTCCCGGCCCACAAAAATTAAATGGATCATAGCCCTAAATGTAAAACTATAAAACTTCTAGAAGAAGACATGGAAGAAAATATCTTTGACCTAGAATCTGGTGATAAGTTTTTTGTTACAACACCAAATTCATGTCATTGATACATATGTGCACACGGCTGTTGTCCAGAGAGGCAAGAAACAAGAGATTGAGGCTGGGCATAGTGGCTCATGCCTGTAATCTCAGCACTTTGGGCGGCAGGGGCAGGTGGATCAGCTGAGGTCAGGAGTTTGAGACCAGCTTGGCCAACATGACGAAACCCCATCTCTACAAAAAAATACAAAAATTAGCCAGGCATGGTGGCGGGTGCCTGTAATCCCAGTTACTGGGGAGGCTGAGGCAGGAAAATCGCTTGAACCTGGGATGTGGAGGTTGCGGTGAACTGAGATTGCACCTTTGCACTCCAGCCTGGGTGACAAGAGTGAGACTCCATCTCAAAAAAAAAAAAAAAAAAGATTGAAGCACCCCTCGGAGCCCCTTCTGTCAGCTATAATTCCTTACTCTGTCTGCCTGCACATTCATTGAAGACAAATCTGAAAACTAAACAGAAATAAACCC
Organism: Homo sapiens; assembly: GCF_000001405.40. Classification (NCBI taxonomy): domain Eukaryota; kingdom Metazoa; phylum Chordata; class Mammalia; order Primates; family Hominidae; genus Homo; species Homo sapiens. Next base: position 32,525,486 of record NC_000019.10, read on the forward strand.
TTAAGCTCCAGACCGTTTACATACCGAAAGCATGTTATTCAAAGCACTAGGCTATCAAATGGATGTCACATCCAATTTGTTTAAACAGACACAATATGTGAATAATGGTGGACAAATATATCGTTGGACAAGTTTAGAGTCATAGATTTCTTTTATCCTAAAGTCACAAAAGCTCAAGTTTAACTCTAAACAAACAAAACTGTGAATTGAAAAAAAAAACTTTGGCCTTACTCAAGAGATTTTTCTGTTGAATTTCCTCCAATAGTCAGTAATGGATAGATTAAATCTTCAGAAAAATAAAAAAAGTTTGTGTGTTTAAAGCAAGATGATTTCTTTCTTTGTCAATATTTTTTATTTCAATAAGCTTTTGGAGTACAAGTAGTTTTTGGTTACATGGATGAATTGCATAGTGGTGAATTGTGAGATTTTAGTCCATTCATCACACAAGTAGTGTACATTGTACCCAATATGTAGTTTTTAGTCTCCCACCTCCCTCCTATCCTCCCCATTCTTAGCCTCCAAAGTCTATTTTACCCCTCTGTATGCTGTTTCATATCCACAGCTTAGCTCTTCCTTTTTTTGTTTTTTTGAGATGGAGTCTTGCTCTGCCGCCCAGACTGGAGTGCAGTGGTGCATTCCCGGCTTACTGAAACCTCCGCCTCCCAGGTTCAAGCAATTCTCTTTCCTCAGCCTCCTGAGTAGCTGGGATTACAGGTGTGTGCCACCACGCCCAAATAATTTTTGTATTTTTTAAGCAGAGATGGGGCTTCACCATGTTGGCCAGGCTGGTCTCGAACTCCTGACTTCAAGTGATCCGCCTGCCTACCTTGGCCCCCCAAAGTGCTGGGATTACAGGCGTGAGCCACCGTGCCGTGCCTTAGCTCACACTTATAAGTGAGAACATATGATATTCAGTTTTCTGTTCCTGAGTTACTACACGTAGGACAATGGCCTCCAGCTCCATCTAAGTTGCTATAAAAGACGTTATTTTATTCCTTTTTATGGCTGAATAGTATTCCATAATGTATGTATGCCACATTTTCTTTATCCACTCATTGGCTGATGGGCACTTAGGTTGGTTCCATATCTTTGCAATGGTGAATTGGGTAAAACAAGATGATTTTTGTTAATAGAGTTGAATGTTCTCATGGGGAGCAGTTAGAAAACGGGTCAAGTGGCTGAGTGCAGTGGCTCATGCCTGTAATCCCAGAGATTTGGGCAGGAGGATTGCTTGAGCCCAGGAGTTCAAGACCAGCCAAGGCAATATAGTGAGACCCCAGTTTCTGCAAAAAAATTTAAAAATTAGCAAGGCATGGTGGTGCATGACTGTGGTCCCAGCTACTTGGGAGGCTGAGGTAGGAGGATCGCTTGATCCCAGGAGGTTGAGGCTGCAATAAGCTATGATCATGCCACTGTACTCCAGCCTGGGCAACAGAGCAAGACCCTGTCTCAAAAAGAAGAATAAGAATAAGAATAAGAAGGGGAGGAGGAGGACTACAGAGCAAAGTCTTTAAGGTTTTAATGGAAAATTCTTCACCTGGAATACTATTCCCAGTCTGATTATCTTTCAAAATTAAGGGCGGGATGACAGATGCAGTATATTTCAAGGAGTCAGCAAATATACTGCATTAGTGAAGAAAGACGCCAATGCGTGTATCAGTACATTGGTCTCAATAAACAGATTATATCCCTAATGGCCTTAGCTGGGACACGGGAGGAAGGAATTGCTGCTAAGGGTTTTACCTTGCAGGAGGGAGCAAAGTGGAAACTGATGAACTCTAAGTCTCAGTAGAATTTCACCATTCTATTGGATCATTGGTCCAACACAACTGAATCATCAATCCCAAGGAAACCCAGATCACCATTTACTTGGGTCACTCTCCTCCCAGCAGTGAGAGGTTGTCTGCACCATCTGGAAAGGTAAGATGTAGATGTGATGTAGTCTGCTGATGAGACTTCAACAGTTGTGCTTTCCAGACCACTGAAAACCCAAAGTATTATGGCGGAACCAGTATAGCAGTTTCCTCTTATCCACAGTTTCACTCTCTGGGGTTTCAGTTACCCACAGTCAACTGCAGTTTGAAAATATTACATGGAAAATTCCAGAAATAAGTTTTAAAATGTGCACTCTTCTGAGTGGCATGATAAAATCTCACATTGCCATGCTTCATCTTGCCTGGACACAAAACAGCCATTAGTTCAGTGTAATCACACAGCCTACGCTACCTGCCAGTTAGTCACCTAGGAGCTGTCTGGGTTCTCAAACCAACTATCTCAGTATTGCCGTGTTTGTGTTCAGGTAGCCCTTATTTTAGTAAATAATGGCCCTAAAGTACAAGAGGGGTGATGCTGGCATATTGTTATAATTGTTCTATTTTATTATGAGTTATTGTTATTAACATATTACTGCAACTAATTTATAAGTTAAACATTATCATAGGCATGTATGTATAGGAAAGCATACTATCTGTAGGGTTTGATAATATCCACAATTCCAAGCATCCATTGGGGGTCTTGGAATATCTCCCTTGCAGATAAGAGGAAACTACTGTACCTGGCACAAAAACCTTCTTTTGAAAATTAAACTAAAGGCATGCTGTATTACTCTGTTCTCATGCTGCCAATAAAGACTTACCAGAGACTGGGTAATTTATAAAGGAAAGAGGTTTAATTGACTCACAGCTCTGCAGGGCTGGGGAGGCCTCAGAAAACTTACAATCATGGCAGAAGGGGAAGCAAACATGTCCTTCTTCACATGGCAGCAGCAAGGAGAAGTGCAGAACAAAGTAGGGGAAAGCTCCTTAAAAAACCATCAGATCTCATGAGAATTCACGATCACAAGAACAGCAGCATGGGAGTAACTGCCCCTGTGATTCGGTTACCTCCCGCCGGGTACCTCCCACAACATATGGGGATTATGGGAACGATGATTCAAGATGAGATTTGTGTAGGGACACAGCCAAACCATATCACATGCACAACCTTTTACTTAGGTGAGTTCTGTTGTATCCAAAGCTATTCAAGGTGATTATTACTAGTACCATGCCTTCTGTGTTTTCTGGACCGAATTCACACTAGAATCCTCTTACTCAGCATAGAGCCAATTTCAGCATTGTCCTGCCTCAGCCACTTCCAATACTGCATATAGAAATACCCATGCACCCTGAAGAGCCTTTCACAAGGCTCTCTCCTGATACTTAATGACACAGGGCCATTTTCTCTTCATTAAATCATGATTTTAAAACATACAACAAAATGTTTAAAACCAAAACAGGGCGGGCGCAGTGGCTCATGCCTGTAATCCCAGCACTTTCAGAGACTGAGCCAGGTGGATCACTTGAGGTCAGGAATTTGAGACCAGCCTGGCCAACATAGTGAAACCCCATATCTACTAAAAATATAAAAAATTAGCCAGGTGTGGTGGCGAGCACCAGGCTGAGGCAGGAGAATCCCTTGAACTGGGAGGCGAAGGTTGCAATGAGCTGAGATCACGCCACTGCACTCCAGCCTGGGCGACAGAGCCAGACTTTACCTCAAAAAAAAAAAAAAAAAGCAAAACATATGACAATAAAACCTGATAATTTGCTAAACATAGAATTACTAGATCTGATATATCATAAAACATTACCACAACCATAAGCAGAACAGAGCAAAGTACCATGATGGTTACTTTTATGTGTCAACTTTGAATTCCTGGTTTATAAAATGATTTATAGCTTTGCATTCACCAAATAGGTAAAACTACACTTTTAAGATGACAAACTGGGCCAGGTCTGGTGGCTCACACCTGTAATGCCAATAATTAGATGGGAGGATCACTTAAGGCCAGGAGTTTGAGACCAGCCTGGGCAACATAGTGAGACCCTGTTTCTACAAAAAATAAAAAATTAGCTGGGTGTGGTGGCATGCACCCGTAGTCCCAGCTACTCAGGAAGCTGAGATGGGGGATTGCTTGAGCCTAGGAGGCCAAGGATGCAGTGAGTTATGATTATGCCACTGCCCTCCAGCCTGGGCCACAGAGTGATACCCTGTCTCAAATAAAATTTAACAATTTTAAAAACTAGCTGGGTGTGATGGCACATGCCTGTAGTCTCAGCTACTTGGGAGGCTGAGGTGGGAGAATCTCCTGAACTCAGGAGTTTGAAGTTAAAGTGAGTCATGATTGCACCACTTCACTCCAGCCTGGGCCACAGAGCAAGACCTCATTTCAAAAAAAAAAAAAAGACAAACTGACTTGGTAAGACTACTTAAAATTAAGAAGACCTTCCTTTTTGGCCAACGTTCCAACATGGTACATAAAAAAAAAGACCTCGGTTGTAAGTTTTGTGGGGGTTTTTTTGGTATAAAATTATCCTAAATTTCTAGTCTTTATTTAAGATGAACATAAATTGGCTCTATAGAGTTTTCACTGAATAATTAACTAAGGATTCAGCTTCTCATTTGTAGTAAGATTGAAAAAGATAAATAAATCAGGCCTGTGACCAATTTACCCCAAAATACAATTTCTTCATTATAAAGAACAAAACAGGAAAGAAGTTAAAGAACTCCCTTAATAAAAGCACTGAACTGCCACAAGTCTAATAGACTATTAGAGCCTAGATGAAGATGGAAAATTACCTAATAAAAATCGCAATTTGCATAGATTTGCCCCATAATTACAAAACTTATTAAGTTCCATTTTCCCAGATACTATAATGGGGTTCACCTTTCATTTAATGCAATTCGTGATCACTGACTACTTCAGGCAGCAAACGTTGGTAAAATCAAATCCATAATTACATTTTTGGTTCATATGTGAAAGACTGAAATATTCACTAACTGATCTATATACTATTTGTTAAAATTAAGTAGAATGAAAAATTCTGAAGAGGGTTTTACTCAAATCTTTAACTACCGTTTTCAAGCCTTTCGCTCCATTGGCTCTGTCCAAAGCGAGGTTATGAAGGTTACAAAACCGAAAGAAAACACTTGCTTTGGGTCTATATTCATTCCATCTAGTTCAATACAGTACATGTTTATTAAAATCGTCCCATATGTGTGGTCCTGTCTGAATTAAGCAGGTGGGATAACTGCCAAATGTCTGTTTTATCCTGAATCCTGTAAGTAGCAAGTGCCTTTTGGTTCTGTGGCAGACTGAGACCAGTAAGGCCGCCAGTGAATCATGCCTCCCTGGGTCCACTGTCTTTTCAGTGTAATTTTGTGACCCCTCCCATCAAGATGATGGGTCTATTTCCCCATCACCTGAATCTAGGCTGGGCTTGTGACTTGCTTTGGCCAATGAAATGCCACAGATGTTCAGCTGGGCTATGAGAAGGCCTATAGCTTCCTCTTTCCCCTCTTGCAATATTCCTGCTGTCAAGGAAGCAAGACTGGGCTAGACCCAGTTTCAGGAGAGGCCCAGCAGATAGCAGACACGTGAGGAGGCCATCATGGATTCTTGAGCTGCCAGATGACCACAGTAACATGAGTAACCCCAGACCAGAGCAACAGAAAACCCGCCCAGCTGAGCCCAGCCAACCCATGGAAATAATATTACATAAATAAATTAATGAAAACATATTTGTTGTTTTTAAGCACCCCAAGTTTGGGGATGGCTTAAGCAGCCCTGGGTAACTGACACCACTGACACCATCTCCAAATCCCCAGTTTCCCAGAAGAGAGTCTCTACTGTTCTGGAAACCACAATAGTGGGTGTGACTGTGGGGAATGGTCCCTGAAAGCACAAATGTGTCTTCTTTTCATTTTTTCACTAGTAGTTATTGCTACTAGTTCAAATGCACTATTCCTGTTATCTTCATCAGTCACAATAACATTTAGGGTTATAGAAGATTTCTAGGTAGAAATAACCTACATATGGAGATACATGCAGAACGAATTTCAGTGTGTTCCTTACTCCAGTGAAGTCTTGCAAAGTGGTCTTAAAGGGCCTCCACATCTGCACACTTCCACCTTGGCTGTAATTGTGTAGCAGACTCCCAAATACACAAGTTGATTGATAGTTTGATTGGTTAACTTGTTCTGAAGTCATATCCATTGATATTTGTTTGAATGTCATTCTTGGAGCGCAGAGAGGAAAGGTCCTGTGGAAGGTTGCGCACTGTGGGGCTGGCTCCCCAGTCCAACCAATGAGGACTCCCACTTCCATGCCCCAATACCTTTTTTTTTTTTAGAGACAGGGTCTTGCTCTGTCACCCAGGCTGGACCACAGTGGTGTGATCCTAGTTCACTGCAATCTCAACCTCCGAGGCTCAAATGATCCTCCTGCCTCAGCCTCCCAAGTAGCTAGGACTACAGGCATGTGCCACCATGCCCAGTTAATTTTTTAATTTCTTTTTTGTAGAGATGGGGTCTCTCCATGTTGCCCAGGCTGGTCTCAAACTCCTGAGCTCAAGCGATCCTCCCACCTCAGCCTCCCAAAGCAGTTGGGATTACAGGTGTGAGCCACCGCACCTGGCCAGTCTCCCTCCTCTTAACTGCTTCCTGCCTTCCCTTCCCACCAGACTTGGTTTAATCTCTCTAGGCCCTGAGTTCCAAAACCCATCTCAGATTGGGTTAAAGGGGGAATTCACTCTAACTGTCAGAAAAGTTATCAAAAACTTGAGAACTGACCAAAGAGATTTGCCGGGGGTTCTTTCAGGGCAATCCTGGTTTTGCCTCTTTGATTGACTTTCCGTTGCCTGAGTTGTTTTACATCTCTGCAGGGGCAGAGGTGAATTTCGAGATTTTTTTGGTAGGTATGCAAATAACTACTGAACAGTAGAAAAGATAACCCCAGCTACAGGTTTGTGGACTGCAGGAGATTAGCCAGTTTGTGTGACCCTGCCCTAATATCCCTTTACTAAGTTGTCTAAAATACCCAGTCCCTCAAATGCACTAAACCACTTTTAGCATCTTCCTGAACTCCACATTAATTAATGAGTCCAAGACAATCTTTGGCACTTCCTTTTTTTATTGCTGAGTCATCTTATTTAATCTTTTGTGAATTATACCTTAACATAAGGCCCAAAAAGGGTTTCAGAGAAGCCAAAGACTGGAAGGACTCAGCCTCCTAAAGCAGCCACCACCTCCCGCTGCTCCGGGCCACGAAGTCTCTCTCTCTCTCTCTTTTCTGTCTCTCTGTCTCTCTGTATGTCTCTCTGTGTCTCTCTGTTTCTCTGTCCCTCCATCTCTGTCTCTCTTCGCCTTTGTCTTTGTCTCTATCTCTCTGTTTCTTTCTCTCTGTCTCTCTCTGTTTCGGTCTCTGTCTGTCTCTGTCTCTGTATCTCTGTGTCTTTGTCTCTCTGTCTCCCTCTTTGTTTCTCTCTGTCTCTGTCTCTTTCTGTCTCTGTCTCTCTTTGTGTCTCTCTGTCTGTCTCTCTCTGTCCCTGTCTCTGTTTCTCTCTCTCTCCATTGATCCCATGCCTGCCTCTGCCGCACTCTCCCCTGGACAGCCTGGCCCTCTCCCCAACACCCTAAGGGGAAATGGCCACCCACAGCTCTCCAGTTTGCATATTCTCGATTTAGAGGAATGGCCCAGATGGACCAGAGTCCTTAAATCCCTTTCCAAGGAAGAGACTGAGGTCACTCCAACATGCTTCCAGCCTCTGCTTCTTGACCACTGGAAGATAAGGACAAGGATGTGAAGTTTCTGCATTTGTATCACCAAAAACATCACTGGAGTTCCTAGGGACTGTGGTGGCCACCCCGAGATTTCCCTGCCCTTGGTGCCTGGTGGAGAGCTGAGCCCTGGAGAGGATGGAGGCTGGGAAGGGGGCTGTGGTGTTGTGATGGGGTCAGTCTCCCTCTTACCTCCGGAGCCACACACCCTTTGCCATTCACCACTGTTTTCTCTTTTTTGTTCTTGATTAACATTGCCAAAATTTAAGTCATTTTACATTTTTTCAAAAGAGCCATTCCTTATATTAAAAATTCTACTCTAGGCCGGGCACAGTGGCTCACACCTGTAATCCCAGCACTTTGGGAGGCCAAGGCAGGTGGATCACCTGAAGTCAGTAGTTTGAGACCAGCCTGGCCAGCATGGTGAAACCCCTACTAAAAATACAAAAATTAGCTGGGCGTGGTAGCGCACGCCTGCAATCCCAGCTACTTAGGAGGCTGAGGCATGAGAATTGCTTGAAGCTGGGAGATGGAGGTTGCAGTGAGCGAAGATTGTGCCACCACACTCCAGCCTGGGCAATGGAGTGAGACTCTTGTCTCAAAAAAATAAAAATAAAAATAAATTCTACTCTAGTTCTTTTATCTAATTTATTGTTTCCTGATTTTGTCTCCATTTTTCTTTTTCTTAGCTTTATTGTATTGGTTTTCTAGCTTTTAAGGGATGCTAAGTTCATTTCTTTTTACCCTCTCTTGCCTAATAATGGAAACACTTCATTCCCATCCTCAGAGCAAAGGTTCAGCTGTGTCTCTCATAAGTTTTGGAGCTTCCTGTTTTCCAAGTTGCTAACTTCTAAGGATGCTGGAACTGTTATTATATTTGTGTTTCTTTCTGGACAGAAGGGGCACCTAAAAGGCTTGTTTAACTTCCAGGGTTTGAGTGTTTAAAATCGACCTTTTGTAGCTGATTTCTAGTTTTGTTACATTGTCGTCAGAAAATGTGCCTTGTGGCCCATCCTGCTGCATGGAACTAAATTTTCTTGTTGTGCCTATTTCATGGGTTCTTGGATAAGATGATCATACACAGGCCAGAACGTTCCATGGCTCTACGTCAATCTTATTACAATGCCTCTAACTCTTTTGTTTTTCCTATTTGACCAAAGATGGAGAATGGTGTGTTAAACCATCTCATTATGATTTTCCTTAGGATAATTTATTCTTGAATTTCTTCTAGTTTGCTTTATACATTTCAACCTCAGTAATTTGCTACATCTATGTTATTGATATCAACATCTTCATTGTCAATTATAGTTTCTGTACCGTTAATATTCTGACCTGAGGCCAGGTGTGGTGACTCACTCCTGTAATTCTAGTTCTTGGAGAGTGCCAGGTCCAACCCGCAGACCCTGCTGAACGAAGGATGAACAAATGCACTCAGACACAGATATCCAGTGAAAGAGCAGGCTAGGGGACCGGGCCACCCACAGACACCGAGGAGGGTGCTATAAAGAGTCAGCAGCTGTGGCCCTCACAAGCTGGCCCTGTGAGCATTTATTCAGCACAGATTTAATGACAAAGGCTTTGAGTCAACACACTTGTTGGTAATTAACATGGTTGCCTTCCCCAGAGAGAGCAGTCCTGCACATGGATGATTAAAGGCCAGGTTCCAAGGCCTAAGTAAACTAACTTATCCAGATCAATTTCTTTACATCCCCTTGCTATCTAACCTAAGTTCTTAAGAGAATTCAGCTGCCTTCAGCCAAATTTTCTTTCGAAGCTTTGCAAACCCCTGGCCTTCCAAGAAGGTTTGCATCTTCTACAATTTTGCCACCACCCCAATCTCCTACAGGGGAGGTCAAGGCAGGAGGATTGCTTGAGCCCAGGAGTTTGACATCAACCTAGGCTACATGGTGAAACCCCATCTCTACAAAAAGTACAAAAGTTAGCTGGGCATGGTGGCACACACTTGTAGTCCCAACTACTCAGGAGGCTGAAGTGGGAGGATCACTTGAGGTCGAGGCTACAGTGAGCTGTGATTGCACCATCACACCACTGCACTCCAGCCTGGGTGACAGAGACCCTGTGTCAAAAAAAAAAACTTTGACCTAAATCTATATCGCATATTAATAACATAAGCCCAGTTTAAAAAACTGCATCTATCTAATATTCATTCATTCATTCATTCAAATATTTGAGCACTTGCCACATGCCAGGCACTATGCCTGGTGCTGGGGACAGAGTGTTGAATGGAACCACAATGTTCCTGTCTTCACAGAGCTCCTAGTGAAGGACAGAGACCATGATCAAATTTAGCAACAATGTAGCAACAATGTAAGACTCGCAGTCTCACACACACACACACACACACACACACACAAGCATCCATGTACCATTATATGCTGTCATGCACACTTTCACACATGCACACAGCCATACACTGCCACACACATACTTGCACACAGCCATACACTGCCACACACATACTTGCACACATTCATCTTTAGCCAGTAAAAATATGCCTGGAGGATGGATTATGAGGAAGGGAATTGTGGGGCTGAAAGTCATGGGCATTTAAAATTGACCAGAACTGCCACATTGACACTCTCCAAAGACAGTACAATTATTGTAAGTACCAACAGAGCAGGAACAGAGCAGGAATGCTTCTCTCCCACACCTTTATAAACACAGAACTTTTGTGTGTGTGTGTGTGTGTGTGTGTGTGTGATAGAGTCTCACTCTGTCACCCAGGCTGGAGTGCAGTGGTGTGATCTCTGCTGACTGAAACCTGGATCACTTGAGGCCAGGAGTTTGAGACCAGCCTGACCAACATGGTGAAACTCTGTCTCTACTAAAAATACAAAAACTGGTGGGGCACGGTGGCTCACGCCTGTAATCCCAGCACAGGAGGGAGGCCAGGGCAGGCAGATCACCTGAGGTCAGGAGTTCCAGACCAGATGGCCAACATGGGGAAACCCCATCTCTACTAAAAATACAAAAATTAGCCAGATGTGGGTGGCATGCACCTGTAGTCCCAGCTACTCAGGAGGCTGAGGGAGGAGAATCAGTGGAACCCAGGAGTCAGAGGTTGCAGTGAGCCGAGATTGTGCCACTATACTCCAGCCTGGGCGACAGAGTGAGACTCCATCTGAAAATATAAATAAAAAAATAAAAATACAAAAATTAGCCGGGCGTGGTGGCGCACGCCTCTAGTCCCAACTACTTGGGAGGCTGAGGCATGAGAATCGCTTGAACCCGGGAGGCAGTGGTTGCAGTGAGCCAAGATCATGCCACTGCACTCCAGCCTGGGCAACAGAGTGAGACTCAGTCTCAAAGAAAAAAATATATATCTGATTGTTAAAAACAGCCCAGCATCTCCTCCTGTCGCTCTTGCTCCCTTTCTGTCCAGTTGACACACCTGCTCCCCCATCACCTCTGCAGTGAGTGGAAGCTTCCTGAGGCCTTACCAGAAGCAGATGCCAGTGCCATGCTTCCTATACAGCTTGCAAAACTGCGAACCAAATAAACCCCTTTTCTTTATAAATTACCCAGCCTCAAGTATTTCTTTGCAGCAGTGCAAGACAGACTTAAGACACTGGTCCAGTAGGTGACGGTAACATTTTTGTTGGTTTATTTTATATTTTTTTAACTCATAAACCTAAGCACCTTTCAACCTAGATTTGTCTTATCTATTTTTAGAAGCCCTTTACACATGCTGAGTATTAACACCTTGTCATATGTCACAAATATGTTTAGCTATATTGATGGCGTGGTGTGTATATAAGTTATAAAATTTGAGGTGCCCTCTTTTTTTCTTCCGTTACCTCTAGATTTCTTTCCACCTCTCAGATGATGAAAATATGCCCCCCGTTTTCCGCTGCTACTTTAGCAATTCTTTTACTTTTGGGTTTTTAGCCCAGCCAGACTTTTGTTAATAATAGGAAGGCAGAGACAAGATTTCTCGCCAAATGGACAGGCAATTGTCCTGGCAACATTTATTGACTAATCAATGAGGCAGTTCGCCAAAAGTAAAATACTATTACCAGAGCAAGGGTAGAGAAGAGGGATGTTGGATAGTGGAAAAAATGAACGTCCATTCTTCTGCATAAAATTTTCCTTCCAAATCTCAAATCTCAGAGCCTATGTTCTTTCTTTTCTTTTCTTTTCTTTTCTTTTTCTTTTTCTTTTTTTGAGGCAGAGTCTCGCTCTGTCACCCAGGCTGGAGTACAGTGGCTCGATCTTGGCTCACTGCAACCTCTGCCTCCCAGGTTCAAGTGCTTCTCCTGCCTCAGCCTCCCGAGTAGCTGAGGTTACAGGTGCCCACCACCACACCTGGCTAATTTTGTATTTTTAGAAGAGACAGGGTTTTGCCATGTTGGCCAGGCTGGTCTCAAACTCCTGACCTTAGGTGATCTGTCTGCCTCAGCTTCCCAAAGTGCTGGGATTACAGGCGTGAGCCACCATGCCTGGCCTCGGAGCCTATAATCTGAGAGAAAACTGTAACTATGTGGTAATGAGCCGCATCCAGCCAATAAAGAGCTTGCTTTATTTAGAGAAGACAGACTTTGTTTCATGGAGGAGGCCAGGCTTCCGAACTGAGTCCGGGATGCAAGGAGGTGGCCACCCAGTCATGAGCAGAGGCGCTGGTTCTCAGGAAAAAAAATACCCCGGGAGTGAAGGGGGCCAATACAGCATGTGTGCTGTGAGGAACTCTCCATGGTGACCAATTTAATACAAAGCCAAATCCTATGTTTTGATGTCTTGAATAGCTTGCCTTGAAGAGAAAGGTTGCCATGGTAACTCTTTCAAAGACAATGTCTTCACCATAGACCAGTTGTTTAACCTGCAGAGAACAATCTTTTTCTCTGTGATGACAATTAAAATCCAACAAGGAGGTTGAACTCAGCAGCACCAGTATGGTCTCCACAGGGAGACCTTCACTAAAAATGGCAAAACAGGCCAGGCGTGGTGGTTCACACCTGCAATCCCAGCACACTGGGAGGCTGAGGTAGGAGGATTGCTTAAGCCCAGGAGTTTGAGACTGCAGTGAGCTATGATTGCATCACTCCACTCCAGCCTGGGCACCAGAGCAAGACCGTGTCTCAAAAAATCAAAACAAAACAAAATAATAAGACACTCCAGTGAACAGTATTGGCAAGATCAAAAACATTTTTTATAGATGACATAAATGCTGTATTGGATTCTTTTTGAATCAGCCTCTAGACAGGTCAGGAAAGAACAATTACAAGAGGGAAAATGTAAATGTTTTTACCTTGAACATATGAAAAAGTAAAAAGTCCACCTAACAGAAATTGGGAAATGTAGGTAGAAGGAGAGGGAAGGCAAGTTAGAGGGGGTTGATGTCTTCCCTCCCCATGGGGACAGGTTTAGAGATGCTACTGAACATCAATGGAACAAGACACAGAGGTTGAAGTGAGTTATTTGATGTTGCAAAGTCAGCCACCATCACCAACACCAACAAAATATAAACAGGAAGAGGGAAGAGGGTGTATTAGTCTGTTTTCACAGTGCTATAAAGAAATACCCGAGACTGGGTAATTTATAAAGGAAAGAGGTTTAATTGACTCACAGTTAAACATGACTGGGGAGGCCTCAGGAAACTTACAATCATGGTGGAAGGGAAGGGGGAAGCAAGGTCCTTCTTCACATGGCAGCAGGAGAGAGAAGTGCAAGCAGGGGAAATGGCAGATGCTTATAAAACCATCAGATCTCTTGAGAACTCACTCGCTTTCTTGAGAGCAGCATGGGAGAAACCACCTCCATGATCCAGTCACTTCCTACTAGGTCCCTCCCTTGACATGTGGGGATTATGGGGATTAAGATTCAAGATGAGATTGTGGGGACACAGAACCAAACCATATCAGAAGGGAATGGGGTGAGAGCACGCAATCTTCATTTTTCACATTAGACAGTGTTTTGAGAACCCCCAGTGAAATCGAGGTTATAGCACCAGAGTGGCTAGCAACCCTGCCCTAGGGAGATGCAGAGGAGCTGGGCGTGGGTGTCTAGAGTGTGCGTCTCTTTTTAAAAAATTTTTTTATTATTTTTATTAAGTTGAGATGGTGTCTCGCTATGTTGCCTAGGGTGGTCACGAACTCCTGGCCTCAAGCCATCCTCCCACCTCAGCCTCCCAAAGTGCTGGGACTACAGGCGAGTCATCATGCCCAGCCTAGACTGTGCCTTTCATGGGATACTTCTTTTACCCAGTGGACAGTAACCAGAAGGTCCTTTGCATGGGAAGCTTGTTTACCCAGCGGACAGTGACCAGAATGTTCTTTGCATGGGAAGCTTGTTTACCCAGCGGATACTGACCAGAAGTTCCTTTGCATGGGAAGCTTGTTTACCAGCGGATACTGACCAGAAGTTCCTTTGCATGGGAAGCTTGTTTACCAGCGGATACTGACCAGAAGTTCCTTTGCATGGGAAGCTTGTTTACCCAGCAGAGTGTGACCAGAAGGTTTTTTGCATGGGAAGCCTATTTACCCAGCGGACAATGACCAGAAGGTCCTTTGCATGGGAAGCTTGTTTCCTGAGGCCTCCCAACCAGTGGACGTCCTGGTGGCTGTTGTCTGAGCTCTGTCCAGCTTATGCCTGCCTGACCATTGCTCTGGCACTGGGAGTCCAACCTCATGTTCCCAGCATCCCGGGGAAACGCAGCCTGGGGAAGCCCCCGGTTCTTCAGCTGGAAGGTGCAAATTCCATCCACCACCAGGGTAGGGAGCAGACCCTAGGCAAGGAGGGCACAATATGTGGGAGGGCAGGTCACACAGACCGGAATGAAGAGTCAGGCAGAGAGAGGAGAGAGAGAGATGCGGCTCACGGTGTATACATAAGGGAATGGAGCATGGGTCACTTTAAGTTCTTGGGAAAATGTCTGAATGCTCCACTTATTTATTTTTATTTCAAGAGTTTTTGGGCCAGGCGCTGTGGCTCACGCCTGTAATCTCAGCACTTTGGGAGGCCAAGGTGGGCAGATCACTTGAGGTCAGTAGTTCAAGACCAGCCTGGCCAACATGATACAACCCTGTCTCTACTAAAAATACAAAAATTAGCCAGGCATAGTGGGCACATGCCTGTAATCCCAGCTACTTGGGAAGCTGAAGCAGGATACTCGCTTGAACCCGGGGTGGGGCGTGGCAGGGGGGTAGAGGTTGTAGTGAGCTGAGATGACGCCACTGCACTCCAGCCTCCAGAGCGACAGAGCGAGACTCCGTCTCAAAAAAAAAAAGTTTTTGGGGTACAGGTGGTTTTTGGTTTTGGTTACATGAATAAGTACTTTAGAGGTGATTCCTGAGATTTTAGTCCACACAGTGTACACTGTACCCAATATGTAGTCCTTTATCCCTCACCCCCTCCCAACTTCCCCATCCCTGAGTCCCCAAAATCCATTATATCACTCTCATGCCTTTGCATCTTCATAGCTTAGCTCCCACTTCTAAGTGAGAACATGTGGTATTTGGTTTTCCATTCCTGAGTTACTTCATTTAGGTTAAATAGCCTCCAGCTCGATCCAGGTTGCTGCAAAAGACATTTTTCATTCCTTTTTATGTCTGAGTGGTTGAATGGTGTATTTAAAGGAAGCAACGAGAGAAAGTGGGGAGGCAGTCTGCTGGGCAGGGGAGAGATGCCTCTAAGTTCTTATCTCTGGCCACTGGCTTGAGCCATTTGGGTGTGGCAGTCAACTTCGAATGCCCAGGGAGCAACTTTTGCTGTGTTCTTTCATTGCGGGGAGTCAGTCTATGGAACAGAGCCACAGCTGTATTAATTACAGTTGTGACATAAACACTAGAAAAACTAGCACATGGCATAAAGTGACTCAGAGAGGAAAAGAGAGAGAGACAGGGGACCATTTCTCTTATGAGCAATTCTCTATTACTTAAGTTTCAACCATATGCATACATTGATAAAACAATTTTAATGTTTCACTGAAGACCACTGCATGACATCTAAACATGTCTGATAATACTCAGTAGGTGAATTTACCAGTTTTAAAAAGACTTGATCAACACGAAGGAAAGGGGTAACAACAGACTGAGAGACGAAACAGCATCTCCATCGTGGGCCATGTACGGCCCTTACCTGGAAACTGCTGGCAACAGACAAACTGAAAAACCACTAGAGTCATCTGAGCACTTGCTGATTTCACACTAAGGCATTGTAAAGAGCAGGAGATTGATGGGATAGTGGTTCTCTGAATTTGTTTTTTTCTTTTTTTAAGAGTCGTGGTCTTGGCCAGGCGCAGTGGTTCACACCTGTAATCCCAGCACTTTGGGAGGCCAATGTGGGCAGGTTGCCTGAGATCAGGAGTTTGAGACCATCCTGGCCAACATGCTGAAATCCTGTCTCTACTAAAAATACAAAAATTAGCCAGATGTGGTGGTGCATGCCTGTGATCCCAGCTACTAGGGAGGCTGAGGCACAAGAATTGCTTGAGCCTGGGAGGCGGAGGTTGCGGTGAACCAAGATTGTGCCACTGCACTCCAGCCTGGGCAACACAATGAGACCCTGACACACACACACACACACACACACACACAAAAGAGTCATGATCGTGCTCTGTCACCCAGGCTAGAGTGCGGTGGCATGATCATAGCTCACTGCAGCCTCAAACTCCTAGGCTCAAGTGATCCTCCTGCCTTAGCCTCCTGAGCGACTGGGACTACAGGCATGTTCCACCATACCCGGCTAATTTTTAAATTTTTGGTAGAGATGAGGGTCTCACTATGTTGCCCAGGCTGGTCTCAAACTCCTAGCATCAAGTGATCCTCCCCTCTTGGCCTCCCAAAGTGCTGGGATTATAGGCATGAGCTACCATGCCTGGCCCAATTTTTTTTAACTAGTCCTTATTTTTTAAGAATACGTACTGAAATATTTACAGATGAGATGGTACGATGTCTGGGATTACTTCCAAGCCATCCAGTGGGAGGAGGGTAAGGATGGAACCAAACTGGCTGTAAGCTGATAATGTGGGGTTCATCATACTATTTTCTCGACTTGTGTCTATGTGTGAAATTTCCTATATTAAAGACAGACACAGAATAGGAATGTATACACTAAATGGCAACAGTATACATTTTGACATCTTGGATTTTTAAAAATTAAATACACGCTGTTCAGTTTTTAAGTAAAGCCCTAATTTGGGCAGATTCTCCCCTTCTAAGGGATTTGAACACAAATTTCTGAACCCTAGGGTTGGAGTATGAGTATTGCTGGCTCCTTCGTGTTTTTTGACAGGGAGAAACCAACAGTGCACAAAATGGTGACTGTCACCAGACACTGAATCTGCCAGCACCTGGATCCTGGACTTCCTAGCCTCCAGAACAGTGAGGAATAAATTCATTGTGTTCTGCAAAGCTCCAAGGACCTCCTGAAATAGTCCTGAGTCCCTCTCAGCCTGGTGTAGCACCCAATTCAGTTGTCTGGCTGGTTTGTGGTGCCAGGCCAAGACACCACTTTGGGTGGGGAGGAGAAAGAGAATGAAGTAGGAGGGGAGGGCGTGAGCCATGATTTGGGAGAGAGAATCAGACAGTCAGCCAGAAAGACGCATACAGTAGGCACTTAATAAATGTTTGCCTGGATAGACAGGAACCGAAGTACAGGCGCTGAAGAAAGGCAGTAACTTTTTCCCATGGATGGGAGTTCTGCTGCAAAAGGACATAATAAAAATCGACATGATAATTGCTGTGATCTGAAAGTGTGTGTCCTCCTCCAAATTTGCATGTTGAAATCCTAACTCCCAAAGTGATGGTATGAGGAGGTGGGGCTTATTTGATCTGGAGGGTGGAGGCCGCTAGGAAACTGGCTCTGACTGATAAGGCCTTCAGGATTGGGATGAGTGCCTTTATAAAAGAGACCACAGCCTGTAATCCCAGCACTTTGGGAGGCTGAGATGGGCGGATTGCTTGAGGTCAGGAGTTCCAGACCAGCCTGGCCAACACAGTGAAACCCTGTCTCTACCAAAAAATACAAAAATTAGCCAGGTGTGGTGGCACGTGCCTGTAGTCCCAGCTACTCAGGAGGCTGAGGCAGGAGAATCACTTGAACCTGGGAGGCAGAGGTTGCAGTGAGCAGAGATCAGCCAATGCACTCCAGCCTGGGTGACAGAGCAAGACTCTGCCTCGGAAAAAAAAAAAGAAAGAGAGAGAGAGAGATCATAGAGATCCAGCTAGCCTGTTTCATAATATGAAGGCACAGCAGGAAGGCGCCACCCATGAGGAAGCTGACCATCACCAGATACTGAATCTGCCAGCATCTTGATCTTGGACTTCCCAGGCTCCAGAACCAATAAATTTCTGTTGATAGTACCCAGTTTATGGTATTTTTATAGCAGCCTGAACAGACTAATACAGTTTCCTACAAAAAAACCAAGGATTTTGTAATGGGAATGAATGCGAAGATACCAAATATTCCTGTGCTCTTCTGAGAGTCATTCTTGCTCAAAGAGCCTGAAGAGTTTCCATGACTCTTGTCTAAACTTATTTCTAATCCCTGATTGTTTATCTTTTAGGATTTCCATATTATTTTTCTACTGCATTTGTTTGTTGATTTGACAGTGTGACCACAGCAGCCTAGCCACATGTCAAAAAGGCAGCCACAATCATAAGTCAAAGGAATTTAAGAAACAGCCAGGCACGGTGGCTCACGCCTGTAATCCTAGCACTTTGGAAGGCTGAGGCAGGTGACTCACTTAAGGTCAGCTAATCGCCTGAGGTTAGGCGTTGGAAACTAGCCTGGCCAACATGGTGAACCCCCGTCTCTACTAAAAATACAAAAACTAGCCGGGCGTGGTGGCGGGTGCCTGTAATCCCAGCTACTCAGGAGGCTGAGGCAGGAGAATCGCTTGAACCTAGGAGGCAGAGGTTTCAGTGAGCCCAGATTGTGCCACTGCACTCTAACCTGGGAGACAGAGTGAGACTCTGTCTCAAAAAAAAAAAAAAAAAAAAGTGAGGCCAGGTGCGGTGGCTCACTCCTATAATCTCAGTACTTTGGGAGGCCAAGGCAGGCAGATCGCTCGCAAGTTTGAGACCAACCTGGGCAACACGATGAAACCCCATCTCTATAAAAAATACAAAAATTAGTTGGGCATGGTGGTACATCTTTAGTCCCAGCTACTTGGGAGACTGAGGTGGGAAGATTGCTTAAGCTTGGGAGGCGGAGGTTGTAGTGAGCTGAGATTGTGCCACTGATCTCCAGCCTGGGCAACAGAGCCAGACCTTGACTCAAACACCAAAAAAAAAAAAAAAAAAAAAGAAAGAAAATGTGACTTTTTTTTTTTTTTTTGAGATGAAGTCTCACTCTGTCGCCCAGGCTGGAGTGCAGTGGCACGATCTCGGCTCACTGCAACCTCTACATCCCAGGTTCAAGCGATTCTCCTGCCTTAGCCTCCTGAGTAGCTGGGATTACAGGCATGTGCCCCCACGCCTGGTTAATTTTTGTTTTTTTAGTAGAGACGGGGTTTCACCATGTTGGTCAGGCTGGTCTCGAACTCCTGGCCTTGTGAGATCCGCCTGCCTCAGCCTCCCAAATTGATAAGATTACAGGCGTGAACCACCGCGCCCGGCCAATGTGACTTATAAGTAATCGGAAAAGGCATTGCAGACATGGCAAGATTCTGTGTAAATTGCTTTAGCTGAAATTAGACACTCAATTAGGCACTTAATTACCCTGAAGCCTTATTGATGCCCTATTAGAAGTGGCCCCACCCACTAGAATCAAGTGGAGATGACAGGTCGGCTCCCTGTAGTGGTGCCAGAAGCAAGACTGATACAGCAACCACAGGCAGCATTCAATCCACAGCTCCCAGGCCTCCTGGCCTCCTGTTTTCCTGATCACACCACTCACTGCACGAGCATTTTCCATCTGAGATCCTCTCAAATCTGAATTTTAAATGTGGGTTTCCTTTCAGGACTGCAAGCAGACAGTCACTCTGCATGGCCCCACTGTAAGGATGTCAACCTTTAGCGGCAGCTTGGACCTTCAAGGGGTCATCAGCAGAGCCGCACTGATCAGCTGCTCGGAGTCCAGCTCTGACTGATGAAGTCAGCTAATGGTCCACGCGCCCCTTCTCATTAATAACTCACCTCCATGGGCAGCTGGGTCCAGGTCTCTGCCCCTGGTATCACATTATATGATAATTATATTCAGATTAGTTTTTCATATCCTTTGGACAGAGACATGCTAATTTGGGTACTTAGACATTAAAATCTTATAAAGTTCTCGAGTGATTTTAAGTCCAAGTTCTTAAATGGGATGCCTTATTGGAAAGAAAACATGTAGCTATCAGCTTCCTATCAAGAACTGACTCCTGGCCAGGTGCAGTGGCTCACATCTGTAATCCTAACACTTTGGGAGGCTGGGGTGGGAGAATCACTTGAGGCCAGGAGTTTGAGACCAGCCTAAGCAACACAGTGAGACGCTGTCTCTACCCCCGCAAAAAAAATGTAATTAAAAACAAAATAGTCAGGCATAGTGGTGCCTGCCTGTAGTTCCAGCTACTTGGAAGAATGGGGCAAGAGGATTGCTTGAGCCTAGGAGTTCAAGGATGCAATGAGCTGTGATTGTGCCACTGCACTCCAGCCTGGGTGACAGAGCGAGACTCTGTCCCTTAAAAAAATGCCGATTCCTGGGTAGATAGGCAACTGACTTTGATCAGACGCTCTCCTATGGGTGGGGATGCTGTCTCACAACAGATTCAGCACCATATTTTATTTTATTTTTTTGAGACGGAGTTTTACTCTTGTTGCCCAGGTTGGAGTGCAGTCGCGTGATCTGGGCTCACTGCAACCTCTACCTGCCGGGTTCAAGTGATTCGCCTGCCTCAGCCTCCCAAGTAGTTGGAATTACAGGCACAAGCCACCACCCCTGGATAATTTTTTTTTTTTTTTGTATTTTTAGTAGAGAGTTTCACCATGTTGGCCAGGCTGGTCTCAAACTCCTGACCTCAAGTGATCCACCCGCCGCAGCCTCCCAAAGTGCTGGGATTATGGGTGTGAGCCATCACGCCCGGCCCAGCATCTTATTTTAAACGGTCCATCAGAGGAAGACAAATACTATATGATCTCACCTACATGAGGAATCAAGAAAAGTCAAACTCATAGAAACAGAGAGTAAAATGGTGGCTTGCAGGGGCTGGGGTGGGAGATATGGGGAGACGCCAAAGGGCCGCAAACCTTCAGTTACAAGATGAATCCATTCTGGAGACCAACCAGACAGCATGGCAAGGACAGTTCATAATAACATACTGCATCCCTGAAATTTGCTAAGAGAGTAGATCCTAGATGTTCTCACGACACACACACACAAATGATAACCAGGTTAGGTGACAGATCGGTTAACTAACTTAGCTGTGGTCATCATTTCACAATACAGCTGACTCTTGAACAACATAGGTTTGAACTGCATGGGCCCACTTACACGAAGATTTTCTTTATTTTATTTTATTTTATTATTTTATTTTATTTTATTTTTCGAGACGGAGTCTCTCTCTTTGGAGTGCCATGGCACGACCTTGGTTCACTGCACCTCCGCCTCCCAGGTTCAAGTGACTCTCCTGCCTCAGCCTCCTGAGTAGCTGGGATTACAGGCGCCTGCCACCACACTCGGCTAATTTTTGTATTTTTAGTCGAGACGGGGTTTAGCCACGTTGGCCAGGCTGGTCTCGAACCAGGATCACCTGACCTCAGATGATCCACCCACCCCAGTCTCCCAGGGTGCTGGGATTACAGCTGTGAACCACTGCGCCCAGCCTACAGGAAGATTTTCTTCTGCCTCTGCTACCCAAGCTAGCAAGACCAACCCCTCTTCTTCCTCCTCCTCCTACTCGGCCTACTCAACATGAAGACAAGGATGAAGACCTTTGTGATGAACTACTTCCACTTCATGAATAGTAAATGTATTTTCCTTATGATTTTCTTAATAACATGTTCTTTTCTCTAGTGTACATTATTGTAAGAATATGATATATGATACGCACACAAAATATGCATTAACCATTTATGTGATTAGTAAGGCTTCTGGTAAACAGTAGGCTATTAGTAGCTTTGTGGTTTCTGCTTTTTGTTTTGTTTTTGTGTTTTTTTGGAGACAGAGTCTCGCTCCATCAGCCAGGCTAAAGTGCAGTGGCGCAATCTCAGCTCACTGCAACCTCGGCCTCTGGAGTTCAAGCAATTCTCCTGCTTCAGCCTCCCAAGTATCTGGGATCACAGGTGCGCACCCCTGTGCCCAGATAATTTTTGTATTTTTAGTTTCACCATGTTGGCCAGGCTGGTCTCCAACTCCTGACCTCAGCTAATCCACCTGCCTTAGCTTCCTAAAGTGCTGGGATTACAGATGTGAGCCACCGCACCCAGCCTGCTTCAGTTAAGTTCTGCCTGGTGATCATTCTTGTCAATTCTCATTGCATTTCCCTCACTTAATGGAGACCATGTTTGTGTCTGTCTCTGTTTCAGTCTCGGTCTCTCTTTCTGTCTCTCTCCCTCACCCTTTCTCTCCATGAATTCCCATAGGCTGAAGTTATTCCACCACTGAAGTCTTAACTCCAGCGTCCACTCTCCAAGCACTGCCTCCTGATCCCCAGCTCCCATTCCCACTTGTGCTCCATTCACCTCCATCTCCCCTACTCTGCCCTAGGAGGACTTCCCCCACCTCCTGGCTCTGCTCTCTTCCCTGCCAGACGCGGACAGCCACTAGAAGTCCGTGGTCCCCAGCCCCAGATGGGCCTTCAGCACAAGCATCCCTTCCACTGCCATCCCATACGCCAGGGGAGCAGACTGTGGCTCTTGAGATCTGTGATTAGTCAAAACTCTTTCAGGGCCAGTTGCAGTGGCTCACGCCTTTAATCCCAGCACTCTGGGAGGCCAAGACGGGTGGATCACCTACGGTCAGGAGTTTGAGACCAGCCTGGCCAACATGGTGAAACCCCATCTCTACTAAAAATACACAAATTAGCTGGGCATGGTGGCATGCACCTGTAGTCCCAGCTACTTGGGAGGTTGAGGCAGGAGAATCGCTTGAACCCGGGAGGCAGAGGTTGCAATGGGCCAAGATCGCACCATTGCACTTCAGCCTGGGTGACAGAATGAGACTCCATAAAAAAAAAAACAAAAAAAAAACCTTTTTAGGATAAATTTTCTCATGAAAAAAATTTGTATATGTAAGCTTGAAAGTCAACTGACAGTAGGCAGATAGTAGTTTATGAGCCATAAGGCATCTCAGCCCCATCAATAATAAGAGTGTACTTCCGACACCAAAATAGATATAGAGACCAATGTCATTGGGAGCTAGAATTCTGCGTGTGGTTTGTGATTAACTTGGTGGACGAAATTCTCCTTTAAAGTCGTAAAGTTCCATGAAGTCTCAGTCTCAAGGTCAGGAATCTTGGTATCCTAATTTTCTGTAGCGAGCTGTGGGGGAAGCGGCATTCTGTTCCTACATGCATTGTTCTACCAGCAAAAATCCAGTCTTAGCAAACACAAAATATTTCTTTTTCTTCCTTGTTTTTTTGAGACAGTCTTGCTCTGTCTCTGATATTACGATGTCTTTTCTTAAAAATAAAATAACAAAATATTCTTATGCTATAGGTTTGACTTTTGTGCATAGGGTCACACCTCTATTAGCCCACTTAAAAGAAATAGAAGTCGAAAAAAAAAAAAAACTAGAAAAGAAAAAGGTGAATGTGGCCGGGCACGGTGGCTCATGCCTGTAATCCCAGCACTTTGGGAGGCCGAGGCAGGCGGATCACCTGAGGTCAGGAGTTTGAGACCTTCCTGGCCAACATGGCGAAACTCCGTCTCTACTAAAAATACAAAAATTAGCCAGGCATGGTGTCGCCCTCCTATCATCCCAGCTACTCGGGAGGCTGAGGCAAGAGAATCACTTGAACCCCAGGAGGCAGAGGTTACAGTGAGCTGAGATCGGGCCACTGTACTCCAGCCTGGGTGACAGAGTGAGACTCCGTCTCAAAAAAAAAAAAAAAAAAAAAGAAAAGAGAAAGAAAGAAAAGAAACAGGTGAATGGAAACTACCCAACCCAGTTCTGGCAGGACTGTTAACGGCCCAGACCCTTCAGGAATGAAGGTTTGGGTCACATCACAAGGCCAGAAGTCACCGGCTGAGATTCTTGCTGAGGACCAAGAGAGTGGAAAGAGTAGTGGAAGAAACTATCTAAACACCAGCTTGAGCCACACGGCTAGTGGAAACAAACAATCAAAAGAACAACACACAACACAAAACAATTTAAGGCCTATAGTTAGCAGAGTATGTTTTCCTTGCCTTGAAATGAATGCATATATGATATTTCCCTTTCTCATTCCCCCCGCCTTTTTTGGGGGCGGGGGTGGGGGGACAGAGTTTCGCTCTGTCACCCAGGCTGAAGTGCAGTGGCACGATCTCAGCTCACTGCAACCTCCATCTCCCAGGTTAAGCAATTCTCGTGCCTCAGCCTCATGATTAGCTGGGATTACAGGCTTGCACCATCACGCCCGGCTAATTTTTATTTTTTTTAATTTTTTTTTATTTTTAGGTAGAGACAGGGTTTTACCATGTTGACCAGGCTGGTCTCAAACTGTTGAGCTCAGGTGATCCATTCACCTCGGTCCAAAGTGCTGGGATTACAGGCGTGAGCCACCATGGTTCCCTTCTTATCTAACATAAGATATACTGACAGTAGTTAACCCTATATCTCAGCATTTAAGTTACAGGTTTAAGTTAAGGTATATGTTTGGGTTCTATGAGGGCTAGTTGCATTATGTTAGGTGAAAGCATGATTCTGCCACTGTTTTCATTTGGAACTTAAGGGTGGGGAAAGGAGGTGACTATGCATGCCAAGGTGACCAAGGGGTGGAGTCTGCCAGATTGCAACTTTTCACCTTGGCACCAGCATTCCAGTCTAAGGCTAGGAAATCCATTGCCTGCATGGTCTGGCCGTTAGGGTCGGCCAAGAGCTGAACTCGCGTGAGATTTGAAAGGGTGAAAGCGAAACTGAAGCCCTTACTCTTGGAACGTCCTTTTGGTGGGATTCTTCCTAATTTTAGACCCCACCAACCAACAGTGGGCTCAGTCCAGTGCAGAGAGCAGGGCTGCAGTTCCGGCAAAGCATGGCTTACGCAGACCTCCCCTTCATGCACCAGCTTCCAGAATGTTCCCACAAACTCTGCTCTCCCCAGCCGCACCTGTGTTTCTGGCTGTCATGGTTAGTTAGAGGCTTTCGACACCCACATTCCAGAACTTTAATTTCCTACATTGGTATAAATCTAGTAAGCCGCGTGTTCCCATAAAACATAATTTTTTTTTTTTTGAGACAGAGTCTCGCTCTATCGCCCAGGCTAGAGTGCAATGGCGTGATCTCGGCTCACTGCAACCTCCGCCTCCCGGGTTCAAGCGATTCTCCTGCCTCAGCCTCCCGAGGAGCTATGATTACAGGCATGCGCCACCATGCCTGGCTAATTTTTTATTTTTAGTAGAGATGGAGTTTCGCCATGTTGGCCAGGCTGGTCTCGAACTCCTGACTTCAGGCAGTCCGCCTGCCTTCAGGTGGTTCTGGGATTACAGGCGTGAGCCACTGCGCCTGGCCCATAAAACATAATTAAATAATAAAGAGGCAAAAGAGATGAACAAACAGTTCACAAAAAAGGAACTACAGATGGTTCTTAGACAAATGAAAAGATGTTCAACCTCATTTATTACCACAAAGCAGATGAAAATTTCCTTCAGACACATTTTTCATCTGTCAAACTGGCAAAAATCCATAGGTTTCCTGGCACCCTCTGTGGACAACGCTGTGGGGAAGCTATCTTCCTACAGTGCGGGTGGAAAAGTCCATGAAAGAGTCCTACAGAGGGTGCAGTTAGCGACAGCTGTCACGTTTACATAAGTGGATGAGTGACTTCAGCAATCCAACTTTGCTTTTTTATTCTACAGATATGCATACCAGCACACGTTAAAAGGTATCTATCTGTTCAAGGATTTTTTTTTTTTTTTGAGAGGGGTCTCACTCTTGCCCAGGCTGGAGTGCAGTGGTGCAATCTCAGCTCACTGCAACCTCCCCATCCTGGGTTCAAGTGATTCTCCTGCCTCAGCCTCCTGAGTAGCTGGGATTACAGGCGTGTGCCACCATGCCCGGCTACTTTTTTGTATTTTTAGTAGAGAAGTAGAGATGGGGTTTCACCATGTTGGTCAGGCTGGTCTTGAACCCTGACCTCGTGATCCACCCACCTCGGCCTCCCAAAGTGCTGGGATTACAGGTGTGAGCCACCGCACCCAGCCTCAAGGATATTTACTGCAGGCTTTTTACTACTGTTTGCAGTAGTAAAAACCAAGAAACAATGTAACAATTGTCAAAAGGTAAATAAATTCGGCTGGGCATGATAGCACACAATTGTTCCAGCTACCTGGGAGGCCAAGGTGGGAGGATGCCTTGAGCCTAGGAGCTCAAGGCCAGCCTGGGCAACATAGCAAGACCCTGCCTCTTTTTTAAAAAGTTAAATAAATTGGCTGGGCATGGTAGCTCATGCCTGTAATCCCAGCACTTTGGGAGGCTGAGGCAGGGGAATCACCTGAGCTCAGGAGTTCGAGACCAGCCTGGGCAACATGGAAAAACCTCGTCTCTACTAAAAATACAAAAAATTAGCCAGGTGCGGTGGCAGGAGCCTGTAGTCCCAGCTACTTCAGAGGCTGAGGCACGAGAATCGCTTCAACCCGGGAGGCAGAGGTTGCAGTGAGCTGAGATTGCACCATTGCACTCCAGCCTGGGCGACAGAGTGAGACTCTGTCTCAAAAAAAAAAAAAGTTAAATAAATTAAGATGTGTTCATATACTAGAATGTTATGCAGCTGTGATGAAGAATGAAAGTAAGAACACTGTTTTGCATTGATATGGAAAGGTATCTAAGATATTGCCATGTGAAAAGAAAAAGATGAACAACTATACACAGGGTGTGCATTTTTTTGTAGCAAAGAAAGAAAAAGAAAATATATAATTTGTGTTTGTTAGTGTCTGCATGAATCATTTCTAAAATGAAGCCAATGATAAGAGTGGGAATTAGCAGAAACAGTACATACGGGTAAAGATGGAAGAGAGTTTCTTTGTATATCACTTTTGTTTTATTTTGTTTGAGACGGAGTCTCACACGGTCGCCCAGGCTGGAGTGCAGTGGTGCGATCTTGGCTCACTGCAAGCTCCGCCTCCCGGGTTCACGCCATTCTCCTGCCTCAGCCTCCCGAGTAGCTGGGACTACAGGCGCCCACCACCACGCCTGGCTAATTTTTTGTATTTTTAGTAGAGACGGGGTTTCACTGTGTTAGCCAGGATGGTCTCGATCTCCTGACCTCATGATCTGCCTGCCTCGCCTTCCAAAGTGCTGGGATTACAGGCGTGAGCCACCGCTCCGGCCATGTTTTGTTTTGTTTTTGAGACAGGGTCTTGCTCTGTCGCCCAGAATGGAGTGCAGTGGCATGATCTCAGCTCATTGCAACCTCCTGGGTTCAAGTGATCTTCTCACTTCAGCCGCCAAGTACCTGGGACTACAGGCGTAAAGCCACCACGCCCAACTAATTTTCCTATTTTTTGTAGAGATAGGGTTTCGCCATGTTGGTCAGGCTGGTCTCAAACTCCTCAGCTCAAGCCATCTGCCTGCCTCGGCCTCCCAAAGTGCTGGGATTACAGACATGAGCCATTGTGCTCGGCTGTATACCATTTTTTAAATCGTGTGAATATATTTCTATTCAAAAATTAAATATGCACAAAATCTAACTAGGTGTTGATTTAAGAAAAGCAAGTCTTACTACAATCATATTGACATTCGTTCAAAAAGTTAATTGCAGCCAAGAGTGGTGGCTCAAGCCTGTAATCCCAGCACTTTGAGAGGTGAAGGTGGGAGGATCATTTGAGGCCAGGAGTTCAAGACCGACCTCTGCAACATAGCAA
This sequence comes from Homo sapiens, assembly GCF_000001405.40. Classification (NCBI taxonomy): domain Eukaryota; kingdom Metazoa; phylum Chordata; class Mammalia; order Primates; family Hominidae; genus Homo; species Homo sapiens. The sequence continues at coordinate 32,553,016 of NC_000019.10, forward strand.
GACCCTGTCTCTATAAAAAAATTTAAAAGTATCTGGGCATGGTGACACATGCTTGTAGTCCCAGTAACTCTCAGGAGGCTGAGGCAGGAGGATCCCTTGAGCCCAGGAGTTTGAGCCTGCAGTGAGCTATGATTGTGTCACTGTACTCCAGCCTGGGCCACAGTGTGAGACCCTGTCTCTAAAACATAAAAAATCCTTTAAAGAAATAAATAGGCCGGGCGTGGTGGTTCACACCTGTAATCCCAGCACTTTGGGAGGCCGAGGCGGGCGGATCATGACGTCAGGAGATCGAGACCATCCTGGCTAACATGGCGAAACCCCATCTCTACTAAAAATACAAAAAATTAGCCAGGCGAGGTGGCAGGCGCCTGTAGTCCCAGCTGCTCGGGAGGCTGAGGCAGGAGAATGGCGTGAAGCCAGCGGGCGGAGCCTGCAGTGAGCAGAGATCGCACCCCTGCACTCCAGCCGGGGAGACAGCGAGACTCCATCTCAAAAGAAAAAAATAAATAAATAAATAAATAAGTAATTGCTCACAAATTCATTATTTTTACTTAAAACTAATCTAATATATTTATATGGAGAAGTGGGGTCACAATTATTTAGCTAGCTTCTTCCTCTCAACCTTTAATTTTAACTATTTTAAACCTTAGTCAGACACTCTTCTCCTACATTCACCACTTACTAATATTTTGCCACATTTCCTTTATTATTATCTACCTATTTAGTCACACTTGCACACAAGCATACACGCACTTTTCTGGGTGAAATTATCTGAGCATTAGTTGTAGACGTCATGACACTTTACCCCTAAATACTGTAGCATGTAGCTCTGAAGAACAAAGACACATTCCTTACACAGCCACAGGTTACTGCAATCAAGAAATTTAACTTTACTATTGACTAATTAGCAGTCTGTATTTAAATTTCCCCAATTATGCCCTTTGTATTTGTTTTTTTCCTTTTTATTTTTTGTTTTTTAGTTTTTATTTTTATTTTATTTTTTTTAGACGAAGTCTCACTCCATCACCCAGGCTGGAGTGCAGTGGCACAATCTCGGCTCACTGCAACCTCCACCTCCCAGGTTCAAGCAATGCTCCTGCCTCAGCCTCCCAAGTAGCTTGGATTATAGGCACGCACCACCACCCTGGCTAGTTTTTGTATTTTTAGTAGAGACGGGGTTTCACCATGTTAGCCACACTGGACTCAAACTCCTGGCCTCAAGTGATCTGCCCACCTCGGCCTCCCACAGTGTTGGGATTATAGGCACAAGCCGATGCGCCCGGCCTATACTTGTTTTAGTTTTGTTTTGTTTTGTTTTGTTTTTGAGACAGAGTCTCTCTCTATCACCAGGCTGGAGTGCTGAGCAATCTCAGCTCACTGCAACCTCCAACTCCGTGGTTCAGACAATTCTCCTATCTCAGCCTCCCGAATAGCTGGGATTACAGGCACATGCCACCACGCCGAACTAATTTTTGTATTTTTAGTAGAGACGGGGTTTCACCATGTTGGCCAGGATTGTCTCGATCTCCTGACCTCATGATCCACCCACTTCGGCCTCCGAAAGTGCTGGGATTACAGGTGTGAGCCACCATGCCCAGCCTGTTTTTTTTCTGATTGACAGTCTGGTCAATGATCACATTGCCTTTAATTGTTACACCTCTTTAGGCTGTTTTAATACACAGCAGTTCCTCAAACCTCTCTTGGTCATTCTTGATATTGACATGTTTATCTGGGCCTGTTATTTTCAGAACGTCCCTAAAATCTGGATTTTCCAAGGTGATTTCTCACGACCAGTCTTAGGTTAAACATTTTTGGCAAAGGTGCTTATAGGTAATGTGCCTTCCACCAGGATGCCAAATGGCCCCATTGTTGGCGGAGAAGCTTGATTATTTGGTTAAGGTTGGTATCTACCAGGTTTCTTCATTGTAAACCCTCTTTCCTCTTGGTAATTAACAAGTCTTTTAAGGTGATACTTTGAGACCACACTCGTGTCTTGTTCCAACAACATATCACTCAATGGTTCCGCATCCACTGATAAATTTTGCCTATATCAATTACAACAAAAGTTTTTGCAAAAAGTGGTTTTCTAGTTTTATCATTTCTTCTACATATATTAATGGCCATTTTCTTTTTGTGTGTGAGGAGTAAGGGGCACTATTATTATAATTCAAAAATATATATAAATATATATTTTATATGTAAATATGTATAAAGAGTATAGTAATAGTTATAAATGTATAACTCAAAATGTATATAAATGTAAATATATATATTTATATATAATATATATAAATTATATATAAATATATATATTTATGTAATATATAATATATTATATTTATATATTTATATTTTATATTTTTATATATAAATATATAATTTATGTATATATTTTATAATTATATATTTATATTTAATATATAATATATAATTTATGTATATATTTTATAATTATATATTTATATTTAATATATAATATATAATATATTTATTTATATATTTATATTTAATATATAATATATTATTTTATATTTAATATATAATATATTATATATTTAAAATTATATAATATATAATATATTATATATTTAAAATAATATTTAATATATAAATATATTTATATATTTATATAATTTATATTTATATTATATATATTATATAAATATATAAATATATAAATTATATATTTCTATATATCATTTATACATAAATTAATATATAAATATATAATTTATATATATAATTATATAATTTATATAATTATATAAATTATATAATTATATAAATTATAAATTTATATATATTTATATGTATAAATATATAAATATATATAAATTTATACATATAAAAATATAAATTTATATATAAATATATATATAAATACAAAATAAATAAATAAATATGTATATGTATATATTTGGAAACAGATCTTGCTCTGTCACCCAGGCTGAAGTGCAGTGGCACAATCACGGCTCACTGCAACATCCAACTCTGGGGCTCAAGGGATCCTCACACCTCAGTCTCCCAAAGTGCTGGGATTACAGGTGCACACCACCATGCCCAGCCTCAAACTGTTTTTTATTTAATGTGTTGTCATTCATTACTGTCATAATTCCTCATGCTCAAAGTGTCCCAGTGGGAATGCCTCCAAGCTAGCTCCTGTGTCCCTCAGACATATTCCCATCAATCGTGAGGCATGTCCTTGCATTTAGAAATAAGACGTTGCGGGCTCAGTGTGTACATTTCTTGCTCCAGATCTGGAATCCACCATTTTCCATGAAGCCTTGGTTCCTTCTCGTAGGGAATGGTACTTAAAGACCACAGTCTGGGCACCTGGGGTTTTTATGTCTTCCAGGCCCTTTTTACTTACTCATTCTGATAAAGAACTGGTCTTTGCTCTTCAAACATCTCTCAACCATTTCTCTACCCCACCTTCATTTTCCTTTCCTCCTCCTTTGGGCATCAAATTTTTGACAAAATGTTGGAAGCTCTGAAGACTAGAAACTGTGAACCTTAATGGTACAACATTTGAAATGAGACAACTTCATTTATTTCCCAGCACTCCCCACCCCCAAGTTGAAATGGGTTGCAACCAAGCTATTTTAAGGACTGCTTATAAAGAAAGGAGCCACAGGCAGTAGTCTCACATTCAGATCTTTTTCTGGGAAGGGAGGGGAGAAGAGGAGGAATTTCATCTAATACAAATATCATTTGCATTTTAAAAGTCTATGTCTAATTGCTACTTACAGCTATAGTAAAAATTGATTTAATACACTCTAATTGTATGGTTTGAATATGTAATCAGAAATGCAAAGCTTGATGTCTTCGATTTTAATTTTCATAACTAAAACCTCTCCGTTCACATATTTCAGTAGTTTCTGGGCTGAAACACATTTTCTAATTAATGATCAAGATGTGTGCAATAGTTCAAGACCTTTTCAGGATTTGGACCACCCTGAATAATGCATTTTATTCCACATCATAATTATGCTTGTCCCTTTATTGAACTGGTCATTACCTTGGCCATAGGGAGATATCCCCCAGAGAGTCAGTTCGTGAATTATTAAGTGGCCTAAGATTTGCATCATCCTGACAGGTTAAAGGGCCAAATTTACTTGACTATCAAACAGTTTTAGAAGATTAAAAAAAATTACAGTTTGCAACAACTGGAGCTGTACTCCCATGTTTTAATAAAAGCTCTTTCCTCAAGAACACAGTCTCAGAACAGCACAAAAGTCACTGCATGACTCTGTAAGACGAAGGACAAGCCAGTAGGTACCTGACCTGTGAAATCCAAACTCTGGCCACCTCAACACTTTCCTGTTCAAGATCAGCCTTGGTCAACACTGTATGTCAAAGTACATAAGGTGTATCAGCAGCCACCAAAACTCAAAGCAAATGGTTCAACCAAAAATGGGAACCTTCTGGTTAACTGAGAAGCCTATAGGCGACTCTAACTTAAACTGCTTACGTGGTTTTAAAAAATAATAATAATGATATTTGCAAATCCAAGAAAAAATATTGTATGGTTTTAATTGAACAAAACAAACTCAAAGAACCTTATACGGTTAAATAACACATTCGGTGCACCTATATAAATGATCAACTTTTGGGGGGTAAATAATTTTTGACATTACTATCACCATGAGAATAGAGATATTGTCAGAAAAAAAAGTTAATGATCTTGAAATGGCCCCAAAGAGTTTTGAATGTCCTGTGTAGTGAACCATTCAAGTCACCTGCACTTTTTCTTACCTTTGAGTTATTTTATAACTTTATAAATTGTTGGAAACTGGTAGTAATGAAAATGATTCCTTGCTATAGATCTGCAAAGGAATTTTGTTTGGTGGAATGTAACTGATTATGGCCCTGTGGATATTCACCATTTTTGCACTTATTTCAGTATTCCTGGAAAAAAACAAAAAAACAAAAAAACCTCTTTATGTGCTTTTTTAAGTATTCAAGGAGCAACTCCTTCCCTTCAGGCAAAAGGTAACCTGCTTCAAGCCAGCTCTGTAAACCTCCGTCTGCCCCAGTCCAGAAGCTCCTTATCCTGAAGTGTTCTTACAGCTCTCAGCTCTGTTATGTTCCTTGGTTCACAACACTTTTTGATTCTTTCCATATATTTCCTTATGTTTTGCTGTTACTTTAGTCTCCCCAAGTCAATTACGAAAGTCCATCCACCAACAAAGAAGTACTTCACATTGTCTTCAATACTCCTATGGCATTCTTTGAAAATAAACTCTCTTGTTGCTGTTGTGATCATTGTTAGGGGTATGAAATACAGAAAGTTTGTGTTTGCATTTTTCATATACCTTCCATCAAATCAAGAGTTATCCTCCACCCCCAAGGTCAGCTATGGTTACTATGAAAATCATCATCGTTTAATTTATTTCAGCTCCTCTTCACCCACATGACCCCCAATTCTGACTGCCACAAGGATTCTGTAGGAAAGCACCACGACACCCTAGAGAAGCAGAGAAAACAACAGATGTGGATATAGAACATTTGAAAAATATAAACTGATATCTCTGTCAATTTCTGTACTTTTTCAACAGAAAAAAAGACACAATCTTTTCGAATGTTCACGGTATATTTACAAAGGTCATCATATCCTGAGCTACAAAATTTAAAAAAAAACCTAAATTAATGTCCAAAATAACAAAATGAGGTGGGAGGCAGGACTCCACTCCAGAGGTGGGGCTCAGACGCAGGACCAGACTGAGGACAAAGTAAAACAGGGAAGAGGTGAAAGCACCTCTCCGTAAGACACGCCCACCAGTGTGCCATGTCAGTTTACCATTGCCATGGCAACGCCCAGAATTTACCATGCCTTTCTATGGCAACAACCCAGAAGTGCCACACTTTTTCTAGAAAATTCTGAATGACCTGCCCCTTAATTTGCATGTAATTAAAAGTAGGCGTAAATATGACTGCCAAACTGCCCCTGAGCTGCCACCTCCATGCACTGCCTAGCAGGCAGCACTGCTCTGCTAACCGTCATGAAGCACTAACACTACCGCCTCAGTAAAGCTGTTTCTTCCACCCCTGACTCACTCTTGAATTCTTTCCTGAGGGCAGCCACGAACCTTCCCACGATAAGCTCCAGCTTTGGGGCTCTCCTGCCCCACATAGAAAGCACATACCCTTACCAGCACGGAAACAAAATAGCAAAGTGATCCAGTAAGCCCCCCAAAATTGAATACCTTGTAAACTGAAAATCACTCTCTTGGTCAAACTAGAAATCAACAAAAATCACCACCTATAAATAGATGACAGCAAGAGTGATACATGTCAAATGTCAGAAAAAAAATAGCTGTCTAGACTGAAAAATAAAGCCACAATATTGTATAGCTCCACCCATTGAAAGGTAGAGTTTTTTGTTGTTGTTTTGAGATGGAGTCTCGCTGTGTCGCCCAGGCTGGAGTGCAGTGGTACAATCTCGGCATGAGTCACGGTGCCTGGCCTGAAAGGTAGAATTTTTTACTCAGCCCTCGAACCTGGGCTATCCCCTGACTTGCTCTGGCCAACAGAACCTGTGGGAGTGACAGTGCATGAATTCCTGAGCCTAACAGTCTCTGTTTTGTTTTGTTTTCTTTCATTTTTTGAGATGGAGTCTCACTCTGTCGCCCAGGCTGGAGTGCAGTGGCGCGATCTCGGCTCACCGCAACCTCCACCTCTCAGGTTCAAGTGATTCTCCTGCCTCAGCCTCCCGAGTAGCTGGGATTACAGGCACCCACCACCATTCCCGGCTCATTTTTGTATTTTTAGTAGAGACAGGGTTTCACCACATTGGCCAGGCTGGTCTCGAACTCCCGATCTTAGGTGATCCACCCACCTCGGCCTCCCAAAGTGCTGAGATTACAGGCATGAGCCACCATGCCCAGTCAACAGTCTGTTTTTGTTCTCTGGGAATGTTGTCCTGGCACTGCCACTTAAGGAAGCCAGTCTAACCCACTGAGGATGAGCGGCCAGGTGAAGAAGAACACGGGGCCAGCACGCACTGCAGGACACGAGTGAGGCCCTTGGACTTTCCAGCCCAGCTGGCCCAGCAGCCAAATACCACGCATCAATGACCCCAGGTAAGCAGAGGAACCACGCAGCCAACCCAAAATATTATCAGACATAAACTGTTGACAGATTAAGCCATACGTTTTAGGGTGGTTTGTCATGCAGCATTAGTTAACAAACAATAACTTTAATTGTTTTCATTATTAATCATGACTTTTTTTTTTCTGAGACGGAGTTTCACTCTGTCGCCCAGGCTGGGGGGCAGTGGCACGATCTCGGGTCATTGCCACTTCCACCTCCTGGGTTCAAGCGATTCTTCTGCCTCAGCCTCCCGAGTAGCTGGGACTACAGGCACCTGCCACCGGGCCTGGCTAATTTTTGTATTTTTAGTTAGAGACAGGGTTTCACCATCTTGGTCAGGCTGGTCTGGTCTTGAACTCCTGACCTCGTGATCTGCCCGTCTCAGCCTCCCAAAGTGCTGGGATTACAGGCGTGAGCCATCATGCCCAGCCAATCATGACATTTTTAACACATCACACACGCGCGCGCGCACACACACACACACACGCACGCACACACATTGTAGAGGACATCTGCTGTTTTGGCCCACCCAGGATCCAGGTCCCTTTCCTCTGGTCACAGGTCCTCTCTGGAGGACTGTGGGTCTCCAGGAGTTGGGTGAGACTCAGGTGAAGTCAATCGTGATGTTAAGTTTTGAAGAGAAGGCAAGGGTTAAAGAAAGAGGAGAAAGAGAGAGAGGTGGCTCTACAACAATGCAGGTTTTATGTCCAGAACAAGATCTGTGGAGGTGGGGGACCAGCTTAATGCCAGAGCCCACTGCCAGTTACAGTCTGGGGTAATTTACAAGTCTGGCCAGGGAGAAGGGGGATCTGGACATTATGGCTTGCTGCCCAGGAGGATATTGATAAATTGTTGCTGTGATCAGGTGGTTTGGCCCTTTTTCTGGTGGGATGTTTTCCACGCCCGTCCTGGAAAACGAATTGTTTTAATGCCATTTAAATTAGGATCAAAGAGGCCAGGCACGGTGGCTCACGCCTGTAATCCCAGCACTTTGGGAGGCCGAGGTGGGTGGATCACGAGGTCAGGAGATGGAGACCATCCTGGCTAATATGGTGAAACCCTGTCTCTACTAAAAATACAAAAAATTAGCCAGGCGTGGTGGCAGGCACCTGTAGTCCCAGCTACTCGGGAGGCTGAGGCAGGAGAATGGTGTGAACCCGAGAGGTGGAGCTTGCACTGAGCAGAGATCACGCCACTGCACTCCAGCCTGGGAGACAGAGCGAGACTCCATCTCAAAAAAAAAAAAAAAAATTATAATCAAAGATAATCTGTAGGCCAGATGCAGTGGCTCATGCCTATAATCCCAGTAGTTTGGGAGGCCAAGGCAGGAGGATCATTTGAGGCCAGGAGTTCAAAACTAGCCTGGGCAACATAGTGAGACCCCGTCTCTACAAAAAATGAAAAAATTAGCTGGGTGTGGTGATGCACACCTGTAGTCCCAGCTACTTAGGAAGCTGAGTTGGGAGGATTGCTTGAGCCCAGGAGTTCAGAGGCTGCAGTGAGCTGTGATTGCACCACTGCACTCCAGCCTGGGAGAAGAGCAAGACCCTGCCTCTATACAGAAATTTAATTAGATAAACTTACAACTAAATATATTAAAAACAAACATAAACATAAGAAATACTCAGATCTTCTTTTCCCCATATCCACCATATTTTGACTTTGAGGTTACTTGCAGCTATTGTGTCTGTACGGTAGAAACACTATAAAATGGTGCCATCTCTTCCTAGATCCACATTAGGTGACTTCATGTTGTAGCTGAAAATCTGCCTTGGTGGGAGTTTTGGAAATTGATAAACGCTACAATCAGGCTTGAAAATATTTTTTTAATTGCATAGATCTCTGTAATCATAGCATTTTGGGAGGCAGAGGCGGGCGGATTGTCTGAGCTCAGGAGTTTGAGACCAGCCGGGCAACATGGTGAAACCCGTCTCTACTAAAATATAAAATATTAGCTGGATATGGCGGCGCACGCCTGTAGTCCCAGCTTCCGGAGGCTGAGGCAGGAGAATTGCTTGAACCTGGGAGGTGGAGGTTGCAGTGAGCTGAGATTGGGCCACTGCACTCCAGCCTGGGTGACAGAGCGAGACTTCGTCCCCCCACCTAAAAAAAAAAAAAATTGCTTGGATCTAAGAAAGCGGTGGGAAAAACTGTTAATGCCAATTAAACTTAAAAGTGAACAGTATTTATAGCTGTTACATTATGCATAGCACAGACAACTGAGAAAATAGTCTTCTGATATTCAAAAATTATTATCTGATTCAGCAAAGAAGTTGCTTATGTCATTGACAAACAAGTGATGTACCGACATATGTCTTATTTCACTTTCATCTTACTCCTTAAATAGAAATAGCAATCAGCATTTATGTCAGAAGTATACTAATTGATTGCAATCATTGGTTGGCTGTAGATATAGGACTTCAACAAAAATCAACGTAAACCTTTTGTTATAACCAACTGGCTATATGAAATTTACAATAAAGAATACCGTATACCATATATTTTATTACTATTTATAAGTTATATAATGGATTCTTTTTTTTTTTTTTTTTTGAGACGGAGTTTCACTCTTGTTGCTCAGGCTAGAGTGCAATGGCGTGGTCTCTGCTCACTGCAACCTCCGCCTCCCGGGTTCAAGCGATTCTCCTGCCTCAGCCTCCCAAGTAGCTGGGATTACAGGCGTGAGCCACTATGCCCGGCCTAATGCATTCTTTAGCATCAGTAAAATTTATAAAATGTTGATATATTAAATAATACTTCTCTACCCAGGTCCAGAAAAAAAGGTAAAAGCCAAAAATAATTAGATAAATAAATGTTAAATATACAACATTTTTTCCAGTCTCCTGATAAATATTTACCAGCATCCAGCATACTAAGTGGGCACAAGGCAACCTTTTGGGTGATGGAAATGATCTGTATATTGACTGGACTGATGGTTTCATGGTATATACATTTGTTAAAATTCATTGAACTATGCATTTAAAATGTATGCATTTTATTATATGTAAATTATACCTCAGTAAATTTGATTTTTTTAAAAAACATAAAATTGGCCAGGTGCGGTGGCTCACGCCTGTAATCCTAGCACTTTGGGAGGCCGAGGCGGGTGGATCACAAGGTCAGCAGTTCGAGATCGGCCTGACCAACATACTGAAACCGCCTCTCTACTAAAAACACAAAAATTAGCCAGGCGTGGGGGCAGGCGCTTGTAACCCCAGCTACTCAGGAGGCTGAGGCAGGAGAATCTCTTGAACTCGGGAGGCGGAGGTTGCAGTGGCCAAGATCACACCACTGCACTCCAGCCTGGGCGACAAAGCAAGACTCTGTCTCAAAAAACAAGAACAAAAACAAAAAAACAAACACGAGAAAACGACAACCAAAAAAACATAAAAGTAGGGTCAAAGGATAAGATGATGAAGACTCCAATTCCACAGTACTTTAAAAATTATTTGGGGTCCAGGCATGTGGCTCACGCCTGTAACCCCAGCACTTTGGGAGGCTGAGGCGGGCAGATCGCTTGAGTTTAAGAGTTTCAAGACCAGCCTGGACAACATGGTGAAACCCCATGTTGAAACCCCATGTCTACCAAAAGTACAAAAATTAGCCGGGCACGGTCTCACGAGCCTGTAATCCCAGCTACTCAGGAGGCTGAGGCAGAAGAATCACTTGAACCTGGGAGGCAGAGGTTGCAGTGAACCAAGATCGTGCCACTGCACTCCAGCCTGGGCGACCCAGCGGGACTCTGACTCAAAAAAAAAGGCGGAGGGTGGGGGATTACAGTATTTTGTTTGTTTGTGTATTTATTTTGAACTTCATTTAAGCCTAGAGAAGGCAAAAGTCACAGACGCCTCCCCGACAACCCGCCAGCTCCACAGCCGACGCATGGCTGAAGCTCTGGGCCCTCAGTCCTGGCACCAGCATGCCTCTGTCTCTCATCTTCTGCAGATACCCAGGAGAGCTTTCCTCTGTTAAAATAACAGCTGAGATTAATAGCTTTTGCAGTAATTATTGGTGACAGTAAAGGAAATGTGTGATTTGCACTTTTTTTTTTTTTTTGGAGACAGGATCTCACTGTGTCACCTAGGCAAGAGTGCAGTGACGCAACCATGGCTCACTGCAGCCTCGACCTCCCAGCGCTCAAGGGATCCTCCTGCCTCAGCCTCCCAAGTAGCTGAGATTACAGGTGTGCACCACCATGCCCAGATAATTTTTGTATTTTATTTATTTTGTAGAGACAGGGTCTTGCACTGTCACCCAGGCTGGAATGTAGTGGCGCAACCACTGCTCACTGCAGCTTTGACCTCCCCAAGCTCAAGCCATCTTCCCACCTCAGCCCCTCCGAATAGCTGGGATTGACTACAGGCATGCACCACCATGCCTGGCTAATTTTTGTATTTTTTATTTACTTAGTTTTTTCTGTAGAGACAGTGGTCCCACTATGTTGCCCAGGCTGGTCTTGAACTCCTGGGCTCAAGCGATCCTCCTACCTCATCCTCCCAAAGTGCTGGGACCACAGGCATGAGCCATCGCACCTGGCCTGAATTTGTGCTTTTAAAAGCCTCTCTAAGTATTTGGTGAATTTTCCACAGAGATGTCCTTCTGCCCTTAGCTCTTCTGTGCAGGAGGTGAACAGGAATGAGCCCATTCACTCTGGAGGCATGTCTTTGCCACTGTCTGAGAACAAAAGCCAAGTCTGAAAGTTAAAGTCACAAATATAGAGGGAAAGTCACATATCTGGACATTGTGTCTTAATGAAGATCAGCATTCAGGGAGCACTTGGAAACATTAAAACCTTTATTTTTTCATCCAGATATGTTACAATATGTTATAATATGTTACAATCACATCATTCTCTTTATATATGTACACGTCTGTATATGATATATATGTCATAATCATATTGACCTATATGATATATATCATATATACACGCTTTCATAGCAAGACAAATGCTTAAGGACAAATTGGTTTTACTTATTTTTGTGAATTAAAATCCTACCACTAGACTTGCCTTTAGCACCCTAAGCCAAGTGGCTTATCAGTTATCAGTTAACACCAGTTACCAATCAGCAGGCACTTATGGAGTAGTGACTACGTGTTTATAACGCCCGCCTTTCTGTAAAGATGGGCATTTATTGCTTTGTGTTTCTTTAATTGATGTAATTAATCCCGGCTCATTGTTTCCAACCTATTCCTCTTCTTGGCCCAGCTGAGGAAGTATTAAGTTGGTACAAAACCAATTGCAGTCTTTGTCATTACTTTTTTTTTTTTTTTTTTTTTTTTTTGAGATAGAGTCTCATTCTGTCGCCCAGGCTGGAGTGCAACAGTGCGATCTCGGCTCACTGCAACCTCTGCCTCCCAGGTTCAAGTGATTCTCCTTCCTCAGCCTCCTGAGTAGCTGGATTACAGACACCTGTCACCACCTCTAGCTAAATTTTGTATTTTTAGTACAGACAGGGTTTCGACATGTTGGCCAGGCTGGTCTTGAACTCCTGACCTCAAGTGATCCACCCGTCTCGGCCTCCCAAAGTGCTGGAATTACAGGCGTGAGCCACCGTGCCCGGCCTTTGTCATTACTTTTGATGGCAAAAACTGCAATTAATTTTGCACCAAGCGAATACATGTCTTGACATATCTTCATTACCAGTTGACCTTTGGATTTTCACTCTAAAATGATTCTATCACAAAGAAAATCTTTAAGTTTGTAATGAATAATTTAATTGAGCTGGGCATGGTGGCTCACATCTGTAATCCTAGCACTTTGGGAGGCTGAGGTGGAAGGATTGCTTGAGGCCAGGAGTTCAAGACCAGCCTGGGCAACATAGTGAGGGCTCGTCTCCACAAAAAAATTTTAAAATTAGCCAGCCATGGTGGCATGCACCTGCAGTCCCAGCTACTCGGGAGGCTGAGGTGGGAGAATCGACTGAGCCCAAGAATTCAAGGTTACAGTGAGCTATGATCGCACCACTGCCCTCCAGTCTGGGTGACAGAGTAAGACTCTGTCTCTAAAATAATAATAATAATAATAATTTAATTAATCTTATATTAATTGAGAATTTGGGTGATAGTAGTCCATTGTAGCAAATACACTATTATTTAAGGAGTAAGGGTTAACTTTCTCATGAATCAAAATAATTCAGTACAACCCCAGGAAGAAACAGATCTGTGTAAACTGCAGGGAAGACGATTGAGCCCAGGAGGGTACTTAGCTCAGTGCCATCACACAGGGGAGGTATAGACCCTCTGACACAGAGTTTTGCTGCTCTTTATTTCCAAAATCAGTCCTGGTCAAACTGCTCCATGCTCCTTGAGCCCAGAAAGTCACTTGGGCTCCCAAAGACAGCCAGGGCACTTTAGAATGCCGTAGCCCACAGGCCAGCCCATGGCTATCTGCATGCACCCAGAGAGCCCACCTAGAACCACTCAGGAAAATGAACAGTAAGGGCATGGAGACAAGGCTTAGGGTTGTCTAAGAATCAGAGTGCAGCTTTGGAATACATGGGAACTGTCTCATGGCTCTGGCGCGGTTTGCTTACTCATTCCCATGGGAGGATTCCAGATGGTTAGTGTGTGTATCCCCAGCCCACATGGCCTCCCAGGCGAGGGTCATTTGCTCACCACATATACCACTTTTGCTGTATCCATATACCATCCTATTCTACCCAGAGGATTTTTACCCTCACTGTGTGCTGGATCCAATTCCTACTGGATTGCAAGAATCAATTGTTAAAATTTCAGAAAATGTGCAAGCTGTATTTTGTTTTGTTTTGTTTTGTTTTGTTTTAATTTTTGAGACAAGGTCTCACTCTGTCACCCACACTGGAGTGCAGTGGCGCAACCTCAGCTCACTGCAACCTCCACCTTCTGGGCTCTAGTTATTCTCCTACCTCAGCCTCCTGAGTAGCTGGGACTACAGGTGCATGCCACCATGCCTAGCTAATGTTTTGTATTTTGGTAGAGATGGGGTTTTGCTATGTTGCTCAGGCTGGTCTTGAGCTCCTGAGCTCAAGCAATCCACCCGCCTCAGCCTCCCAAAGTGCTGGGATTACAGGCATGAGCCATAGCACCTGGCCCATAAGCTGGTTTTTAAACGTAGTCATTATTAAAAAAAAAAAAAAGAGAGAGCTTATAATTAAGTATTGTGTTAAAATATGAAGGTACTAAATACCTAAAGCATCATTCCTATTTTACTGTGTTCTACTCCCACATTTGCTCTGATGTTACTTACATCTGTTCTGCCCCTATGGTGGGAATACAATATAATGACGTGCTACTGTGCCCAACTCAGCTCCCTGTTCAGTGACCTCACGTCGGCAACCTGAAATTGGCCATGGTGGAAGAATTTACACCACAGAAAGCAGCAAATGTGACAAATCAGGGTTTCTTTTGTTTTGTTTTGTTTGTTCCAAGAAACTTTGTTACGCATTTCCCAACGCACTGCCAGATATTGGCATATCCCTTGTGGGATATGTGGAGTGGGATGAATAGCAGTTAGTCTGGTGAATAGCAGGAGACCTTCCCAGCAGAGTGGATGGTCTGCACAGACACTTGGAGGTAGCAAAAGGCATGAGCCAGGGCCAGCCTGAGACTGTTAAGAGGACCTGGGTACTGCCCAGGTGTCAAAGAAAATGAGGACCGAGGGCAGGCGCCATGGTCCGTACCTATAATCCCAACACTTTGGGAGGTCGAGGTGGGAGGATCGCTTGAGGCCAGGAGTTCGAGACCAGCCTGGGCAACAAAGCGAGACCCCCATCTCTACAAAAGTTAAAATAGGTCACAGTGGCTCACACCTGTAATCCCAGCACTTTAAGAGGCTGAGGTGGAAGGATCACTTGAGGCCAGAAGTTCAAGACAAGCCTGGGTAACACAGCAAGACCCCATCTCTAAAAAGTAAAAATATCTCTTGAATGAATGAGTGAGTGAGTAATGTTACTAGATGAGACCAAAGAATCGCCTTCTCAGGATGTTTTTTGTTTTTTTGTTTGTTTGTTTTGGTTTGGTTTGGTTTGGTTTTTTTGAGATGGAGTCTCGGTCTGTCACCCACGCTAGAGTGCAGTGGCACGATCTCAGCTCACTGCAACCTCTGCCTCCTGGGTTCACGCCATTCTCCTGCCTCAGCCCCCCGAGTATCTGAGACTACAGGCGCCCGCCACCATGCCCGGCTAATTTTTTGTATTTTTAGTAGAAACAGGGTTTCACCATATTAGCCAGGATGGTCTCGATCTCCTGACCTCATGATCCGCCCGCCTCAGCCTCCCAAAGTGCTGGGATTACAGGCATGAGCCACCGCGCCCGGCCAGGATGTTTTTAAGGACAGGTGAAAGTCCTCCTAATTTTATTTGAGGAGAGGAAGGTCTTCCTCATCTCCTTTGAGGTTGGTTCTCTTTGGATGAGGCAGGTGGAGGCTACGATGAAATTTCATCTTGGCCCCCAATCATACAGGACCCCTGTCGGCATCAAGTTCCCCAGAATTAAGACCCAGAACTGAGAGTTATCCCAAGGCCCATGGGGTCATAAACAGCCAGGAATGAAAAAAAATTTATTGGTGCCAAACTGTAGAGAAAAAAAATGCAAAGTCAAGATGAATACACTTGATGAAACTCAAATTGAAGCCCTTGTGTTATCATTTATTATTTATATATATGCATTATATTGGATGTGGAATGGGGTGCATTTCTGTATATTTAACGTTTTATGTAATGGGTGCTCCAAAACTAAAGGAGCCCAGGAGGCTCTTAAAATAGCCCGCTTCCTGTTAGCCAGCAAACTTTCATGTCTTTTCCTTTCTTTTCTTTTCTTTTTTTTTTTTTTCTGAGACAGGATGTCACTCTGTCTCCCAGGCTGGTGTGCAGTGGCACAATCATAGCTCACTGCAGCCTTGAACTCCTGGGCACACCACAATTCCTGGCTTATTTTTTAATTTTTTTGCAGAGACGGGGGGGGTGGGTCTCATTATGTTGCCTAGGCTGGTCTCGAACTCTTGGCTTCAAGCAATCCTGTCATTTCAGCCTCCCAAGTAGCTGGGACTACAGATGCAAGCCACTGCCCAGCTTATTTATTATTGTGACAGAGTCTCACTCTGTTGCTCAGGCTGGAGAGCAGAGGCATGATCATAGCCACTGCAGCCTCAACCTCTTGGGCTCAAGGGATCCTCCTGCCTCAGCCTCCTTGAATAGCTGGGACTACAGGCACATACCACCATGCCTAATTTTTTTTTATTTTTTTGTGCAGACAAGGGTCTCTCTATGTTGCCCAGGCTGGTCTTGAACTCTTGGCCTCAAGCAATCCTCCTGCTTCAGCCCCCTAAGTGCTGGGATTACAGGTGCGAGCCACCATGCACAGCCAGTCTGTGGCTTTCTAGCCATGACAAGGAAGTCCTGACGAGATAATATAGCCATCTCCTCACCCTCCTGTATGGCCATCTCATGGTGAAGAAAGCTGTTATCCCAGCAAGTGGCCACAAAAGCTTGGACGGAGCTCCTTCTCAAGTAAAAGACTATAACTAGTTTTCAATGAGAAGCTTTCTTTTTCTTTTTCTTTTCTTTTTTTTTTTTTTTTTTTTGAGACAGAGTCTTGCTCTGTCACCCAGGCTGGAGTGTACAGTGGCGCGCGATCTTGGCTCACTGCAACCTCCCCCCTTCCAGTTTCAAGTGATCCTCCTGCCTCAGCCTCCCGAGTAGCTGGGACTACAGGCACCCACCACCACACTCTGCTATTTTTGTATTTTTTTTAGTAGAGATGGGGTTTCACCATGTTGGCCAGGCTGGTCTCGAACTCCTGATCTCAGGTGATCCGCCCCCCTCGGCCTCCCAAAGAGCTGGGATTATAAGCATGAGCCACTGCACCCGGCCAGATTTATTTTTTAATGGACCACACTCTGCTTCTGCTCCTTGCATTTCAGTGAGTTCCACGGCACCGTTTCCATGATATCACGACTGATCCATGCAGGATCACGGCTAATAAATGGCTCTAAAACAACCTGTGAAGACATAACCATTAAGTGTGCCAGGTACCAATCTGCAATTCCACATGCTGCACATACAGCTCTGAAGCGCACGCTCCCCACAAGCCCGCCGTGGCTTTCTCAGAGGATCGGGCATATGGAACCATAATGGAGCATAAATTTACAGCAACAGAGATGGACGAGGGAGATTAAAGCTTCATCTGTAAGGACATACTGCATGGCAAAAAAAAAAAAAAGAAAAAAGAAAGAAAGAAAAAAGAAAACAACAGTTATTGTAGTTTCTGCTTTGTAGTATAATGAGAAACTCAGTCGCTTTTGATAGAGTGTGGGCTCCCTCTGCTGCTTGCAGGAGACACCAGGACTCCGGGCATTTGGGGTTCCTTGGAGATCAGCGCAGAGGAGGTGGCCTGAAGTGGGAAGAGAAAGATGGGGCTGAGCGTTGCAGACGGACCGACTGGTTCTGCAGGCTCTGACCCTGTGGGCTTCTCAGAGTAATTATGCTGCTGCTGCACCAAGAAGCAAGAAATGGAAATAACAGAAAAACGCAAAGAAACTGTAAGATGCACTGGCCAGATCACCTGTGTGCACAGAGGAATGCATCACGGAAGCAATGCAGCCTGCCCAGAGCAGCTTCTCCTTCCCTCCCTCCCTCCCTTCCTGTTTAAATTTTTGCAGAGATGGGGTCTCGTTATGTTGCCCAGGCTGGTCTGGAACTCCTGGCTTAAAGCAATCCTCCCGCCTCAGCCTCTCGAGTAGCTGGGACTACAAGTGCAAGCCACTGCTCTTCCTTCCTTCCTTCCTTCCTTCTTTCCCTTCCTCCCTTCCTTTCTTCTCCTTTCGTCCCTCCCTCCCTTCCTTCCTTTTCCCTCCATCCCTGCCTCCCTCCTTCCCTCCCTTCCTACCTACCAACCTTCCTTCCTTCCTCCTTCCTTGTTTCCTCCCTCCTTCCCTCCCTCCCTCATTCATTTCCCAGTCACAAGGTAGGACTGCACTTCCCCACCCGCTTTGATGTTAGGCATAGTCACATGATTCACTTTGGCCAACACAATATAAAGAAAAATGATGGGTATCATCTCTGGCTGGAAACTTAAAGGGACAGGTCGGGTGCGGTGGCTCATGGCTGTAATCCTAGCACTTTGGGAGGCCAAGGCGGGTGGATGACTTGAGGTCAGGAGTTCGAGACCAGCCTGGCCAACATGGTGAAACCCCATCTCTACTAAAAATACAAAAATTAGCTGGGTGCAGTGACACGTGCCTGTAATCCCAGCTACTCAGGAGGCTGAGGCAGGAGAATCGCTTGAACCCAGGAGGCAGAGGATGCAGTGAGCTGAGATTGAGAGGTGACAGCATGCTGGCAGTCCTCAGAGCCCTCGCTTGCTCTCGGAGCCTCCTCTGCCTGGGTTCCCACTTTGGCGGCACTTGAGGGGCCCTTCGGCCCGCCGCTGCACTGTGAGAGCCCCTTTCTGGGCTGGCCAAGGCCAGAGCCAGCTCCCTCAGTTTGCAGGGAGGTGTGGAGGGAGAGGCGCGAGCAGGAACCGGGGCTGCGCGCAGCGCTTGCGGGCCAGCTGGAGTTCTGGGTGGGCGTGGGCTTGGCGGGCCCCGCACTCGGAGCAGCCGGCCAGCCCTGCCGGCCCCGGGCAATGAGGGACTTAGCACCCGGGCCAGTGGCTGCGGAGGGTGTACTGGGTCCCCCAGCAGTGCCGGCCCACCGGCGCGGTGCTCGGGACCTGCAGTCTTAGCTGCCTTCCCACGGGGCAGGGCTCGGGACCTGCAGCCTGCCATGTCTGAGCCTCCCACCCCCTCCATGGGCTCCTGTGAGCCCGAGTCTCCCGGACGAGCACCACCCACTGCTCCAGGGCGCCCAGTCCCATCGACCACCCAAGGGCTGAGGAATGTGAGCGCACAGCGCAGGACTGGCAGGCAGCTCCACCTGCAGCCCCGGTGAGGGATCCACTGGGTGAAGCCAGCTGGGCTCCTGAGTCTGGTGGGGACGTGGAGAGTCTTTATATCTAGCTCAGGGATTGTAAATACACCAATCAGCACCCTGTGTTTAGCTCAAGGTTTGTGAGTGCACCAATCGACACTCTGTATCTGGCTGCTCTGGTGAGGACGTGGAGAACTTTTATGTCTAGCTCAGGGATTGTAAATACACCAATCGGCACTCTGTATCTAGCTCAAGGTTTGTAAACACACCAATCAGCACCCTGTGTTTAGCTCAAGGATTGTAAATACACCAATCGGCACTCTGTATCTAGCTCAAGGTTTGTAAACACACCAATCAGCACCCTGTGTTTAGCTCAAGGATTGTAAATACACCAATCGGCACTCTGTATCTAGCTCAAGGTTTGTAAACACACCAATCAGCACCCTGTGTTTAGCTCAAGGTTTGTGAATGCACCAATCGACACTCTGTATCTAGCTGCTCTGGTGGGGCCTTGGAGAACCTGTGTGTTGAAACTCTGTATCTAACTAATCTGATGGGGACGTGGAGAACCTTTGTATCTAGCTCAGGGATTGTAAACGCACCAATCAGCGCCCTGACAAAACAGGCCAGTCAGCTCTACCAATCAGCAGGATGTGGGTGGGGCCAGATAAGAGAATAAAAGCAGGCTGCCCGAGCCAGCATTGGCAACCCGCTGGAGTCCCCTTCCACAGTGTGGAAGCTTTGTTCTTTTGCTCTTTGCAATAAATTTTGCTACTGCTCACTCTTTGGGTTCACGCTGCTTTTATGAGCTGTAACACTCACCGCGAAGATCTGCAGCTTCACTCCTGAGCCTGGCGAGACCACGAGCCCACGGGGAGGAATGAACAACTCCAGACTCACTGCCTTAAGAGCTGTAACACATACCGCAAAGGTCTGCAGCTTCACTCCTGAGCCAGCGAGACCACAAACCCACCAGAAGGAAGAAACTCCGAACACATCTGAACATCAGAAGAGACAGACTCCAGACGCGCCACCTTAAGAGCTGTAACACTCACCGCGAGGGTCCGCGGCTTCATTCTTGAAGTCAGTGAGACCAAGAACCCACCAATTCCGGACACAAGATCACACCACTGCACTCCAGCCTGGGTGACAGACAAGATTCCGTCTCCAATTAAAAAAAAAAAAATTTAAAGGGACAGTGTGCAGTTCACTAGGTTATCTCTTCCCTGGTACTTGGTAGCATTGAGATGACAGCTGCTCTGTCAGCCTAGGTCTCAGAGTGAGAAAATGAGGTAGGAGGCAGAACAGACTCCAGAGTCGGGGCTTGGACACCAGACCAGATTGAAGACTAGCTAAAACAGGGATGTGCTGGAAGCTCCTTTCCATAAGACACGTCCACCAGTGCGTCATGTCAGTTTACCACTTCCATGGCAACACCCAAAAATTACTGCCCCTTTCCATGGCAATGACCCAACAACCTGGAAGTTACCACCCCTTTTCTAGAAATTTCTGCATAATCTGCCCCTTGATTTACATATAATTAAAAGTGAGTCTAAATGTGGCTGCAGCACTGCTTCTGAGCTGCTCCTCCAGGCACACTGCCTGTGGGGTGGTCCTGCTCCGCAAGGAACGGCCCCTCTGCTGCTGCTGCTGTGCATGAGTGCTTCAAGAGAAGTTGCTATCCGACACCACCAGCTTGTCCTGGAATTCTCTCCTGGGCAAAGCCAAGAAACCCTCCCAGGCTTAGCCCCAATTCTGGGGCCTGTCCTGCTAAGGAAGAAGGGAGGGTGAAAGAAAGAAAGAAATGTGTAATTAGTTTGTTAGGGATGCCATATAAAACTACCACAAACTGAGTGGCTTAGAACAAAAGAAAATTGCTGGCCATGCAGAAAGAAGTACTGCAGTAGCTGATGATAATAATTTTCCTTTCTGAAAATATCAGGCTGGGCATGCTGGCTTGTGCCTGTAATCCCAGCAGGGATTTGGGAGGGATTCGGGAGGCCAAAGTGGGAGGAAGGTTTGAGGCCAGGAGTTTGAGAGCAGCCTGGGCAACACGGCAAGACCCCATCTCTGCAAAATGTTTAGAGAGCTGGACATGATGGTGCGCACCTGTAGTCCCAACTCCTAGGGAGGCCAAGGCAGGAGGATCACTTGAGCCCAGGAGTTTAGAGTTCAGCCTTGGCAACAGAGTGAGACCCCATCTTTTTTAAAAAAAAAATATTGTCTCACAGTTCTGGAGGCTGGAAGTGTGGTATCAAGGTGTCAGCGGGGCCATACTCCCTCTGAAACCTGTAGGAAGAGGCTCCTTCCCCATCTCTTCCTAGCTACTTGTGGTTTGCTGGTAATCTCTGGCACTCCTTGGCTTATAGATACATCATTCCAATCATGTTCATCTTCCCCTGTGCATGTCTGTCTCTGCATCCAAATTTTCCCAATTTCCCTCCCTCCCCTCATCCCCCACCTTTCTTTCTTTTTTTTTTTTTTTTTTTTGGTCTGAGACACAGTCTCACTCTGTTGCCCAGGCTAGAGTGCAGTGGCACAATCTTGGCTCACTGCAACCTCTGCCTCCTGAGTTCAAGTGAATCTCCTGCCTCAGTCTCCCGAGTAGTTGGGATTACAGGTGTGCGCCACTATGCCTGGCTAATTTTTGTATTTTTAGTAGAAACAGGGTTTCACCATGTTGGCCAGGCTGGTCTCGAACTCCTGACCTCAGGTGATCCGCCCTCCTTGGCCTCCCAAAGTGCTGCGATTACAGGCGTGAGCAACCGTGCTTGGACCAAATATCCCCTTTATATAAGGACACCAGTCATACTGGATTAGGGCTCACCCCCAATGACCTCATTCTAACTTGATTACTTTTGTAAAGACCCTATTTCCAAGGTCACATTCTAAGATACTGGGGGTAAGGACTTCAACGTGTCTTTTTGCAGGGACATAATTCCACTTATAACAGCAGGTTCACAGAGCTCAGCCTTTCAGCTGGCTTCTTACCAGTCAATAAACCCACCCATACACTTGGAGTTCCTAATCAAATCTTTCTTGCTTTCTCCTTAAAAATGAACAGGTTAGGCCGGGCGTGGAGGCTCACACCTGTAATCCCCAGGACTTTGGGAGGCCAAGACGGGTGGATCACCTGAGGCCAGGAGTTCAAGACCAGCCTGGCCAATCCAGTGAAGCCCATCTCTACTAAAGATACAAAAATTAGCCGACTGTGGTGGTGCCCACCTGTTGTCCCAGCTACTGGGGAGGCTGAGGCAGGAGAATCACTTGAACCGGGAAGGCAGAGGTTGCAGTGAGCCAAGATTGCACCACTGCACTCCAGCTTGGGCAACAGAGCGAGACTCCATTCCCCACCCCCCGCCCAAAAAAATGAACAGGCTAATCAAGGACCACCAACTATCTAATGACAGCCTATGGCATGTGGGAGAGACTATAATAACCATGTTTTCTTATTTTAAAATTTTAGATACAGGGGTCCACGTGCAGGTTTGTTACACAGGTGTATTGCATGATGCTGAGGTTTGGGCTTCTATTGATCCTGTTACCTATATAATGAACATAGTACCCAACAGAGAGTTCTTCAACTATTCCCCTCCTCCCTCCGTCTCACTGTCAGAGTCCGCAGTGTCTGTTGTTTCCATCTTTATGTCCACGTGCACCCGAGATTTAGCTCCCACTTATAAGTGAGAACATGCAATTTTTGGTTTTCTGTTCTGTGTTAATTTGCCTAGGATAAAGGCCTCCAGCTGCATCCATGTTGCTGCAAAGAACATAATTTCTTTCTTTTTTATGACTGCATAGTATTCCATGGTATCTATGCACCATGCATTTTCTAGTTTCTGTTTTTGATGCTCTGACATCTTGGGGCCTTGCTGACCCTGGAGGGATGGTCCCTCCCAGGGCTAGCCACATCCTAAAGATAGTAAGTGACTCTCCTGTGAGCACAGCTTTCAGATGCACACCAGCCAATCCAGAAGTCATTCCCCAACCACCTCCGTTTCAGGGCCCTCACAGGGCTGTTACACTCAGGGCAACTATTTCTCTGCCCTAGTCACCCCAGGGCCCAGTACCAGACTATTAGAAGCAGAGCCCACAAAAATTACTCAAACTAGCCAATCCTGAGCCTGCGTATCTGCCTCACCTGTTCCTTCTCACAGAACTCACAAAAAAGGCTCTCGTCCACTTTTACCCTCTTCCCTCTGCCTCGTGACTGCCCCTGGCCCCTGTGTGGTGTGCCCTGCCTCCTGTTTCTGGCGGTCTGTGAATCTAAGCTTTTTCCTTCATGACCGTCAATTCCGTGCCTGTATGTCTTCGCATATCTAATTTAAACAAATCCTGGGTACCCTTACAACAGAGGCCAAGAAAAATAATCAGGTATAAAAACAACCTGAAAAGAAAGAGGACTAACTCAGGAAATGAAAGAGGATGTTTAATTGGTTTCCAATTATTATTATAACAATATTTAAGAAGTTATTACACTCAAAAATCAAGAACAAGATAGTACGCAAACAGCATGATAATGCTGCATAAACAGAGTAAGGAGAATAAGTAAATAAATAAATTTTTAAACGGTGCAATAAGGGAACAAGAAAGTGTTCTTATAAAATAAAAATATAATGGCTTAAATAAATTCAAGAGAAAGGTCAGATGATAAAACAGAAGAAGCCTTCCATAAAGTAGGACAAAAAGACCGAGATGGAAGACATGAAAGAAAAGGGATATGAAAGATTTATCCAGGAGGCCCAGTTTACAGTTGTCCCAGATAGAGAAAGATAGAAATCAAAGAGGAAAAAAGTATCAAATGGACAACAAAACAAAATTGCCCAAAAGTTAAAGGTAGAAGTTTCCAGATCAAAAGAATCTACCAAGCAAACAGGACAAGGGCTTTTAAAAGGCCCAAACCTTTGCAAAATTTCAGAATCCTGGGAGGAAAAGGAAAGATTCTAAAACTTTTCTTTCTCTTCTTTTTCTTTCTCTTTCTTTCCTTCCCTCCTTCCTTCTTCCTTTCCCATTCCCCTTCCCCTTCCCCTTTTCTTCCCCTCCCTCCCTCTGTCTCTCTCTCTCTCTCTCACTCTCTCTCTCTCTCTCTCTCTCTTTCTCTCTTTCGGGGCTCACTCTCACCCAGGAAAATTCCTAGGCTCAAGCAATTCCCACCTCAGCTTCCCAAGTGGCTGGGACTACAGGTATGCACCACCATGCCCTAATTTTTAAGTTGTTGTAGAGAGAGGGTTCTCACTAGGCTCATCATGTTGCCCAGGCTGGTCTCTAACTCCCAGCCTCAAGCGATCCTCCCACCTCAGCCTCCCAAAGTCCTGGGATTACAGCTGTGAGTCATCACACTTGACCAAAAGCTTTCAGAAAGAGAAAAAAAAAAAACACCACTCACGAAGGAATAGGAATCAGATTTTTGTATCACGAACACCAAATGCTAGAAGACAGATGAGATGTACCTTTATACTCCAAAGGGAGTGGACACTAAACACAACTGGATCACGAACTGACAAGAAAACAAACAGTGGTGGTGAAGGTTATTTGAATAACTGGAGAGACAAATGTGGGCTACATCAAGTAGATGATACTATTTTATCTATATTAATGTATTGGGTACAATAATTATATTATATATGAGTATATCTTTGTTCTTAGGATATACACTTAGGAGTGAACTGACATATTTGAAACCTTCAAATGGTTCAAAAAAACTGTGTGTGTGTGTGTGCATATGCACACACGTATGTATGTGTGTGTAGACATATAAAGTCAATGTGGCAAACTTAATGATTAATGAATGTATGGGAAAGATATATACACGTTCTTTGTACTATTCCTCCAATTTTTATAGATTTGATGGTTTTCACAATGTAAAGTAAGGAATTTTACAAATTACTAATATATAACAAAGTTAGAAGGGTAAATTAAAAATAACATTTTGTATTATATTTTAATTTAAAGTAATTCTGAGGGGAAAATATTTTATCCAAAAGTCTATAACCAACCATGAATTAGTCAAGTGTTATGGTCAATTAAATATTTAGACATATGACAATATAGAAAATTTGTCTATCACAGACTTTTTAAAGACAATTACTTAAAAATGTGTTTCAACAAACTTAAGGGTTAAACCAAGAAAGAGCATAAGGAATCCAAGAAATAGAGGATGAAACTCAAGATGGCAAGGAAGGAAAATCTAGGATAAGAGGTATGCAACAGTCCCCACCATTCAGTGGGGAAAGGACAGTCTTTTCAACAAATGGTGCTGGGAAAACTGGATAGCCACATGCAAAAACATGAAGTGGGACCCTTACCTAATGCCATATTAACTCAAAATGGACCACAGACCTGAACATAATGAGCTAAAACTATAGAACTTCTAGAAGGAAACAGGAGAATAGCTTCATAACGTTAGATTTGGCAGTTATTTCTTGGGTATGACACCAAAAGCAAAGGCAACAAAAGAAAAAATAGGTAAGTTGGACTTTATGAAAATTAAAATATTTTGTGCATTGAAGGACACAATCAACAGAATGTAAATCCCATGGAATGGGAGAAAATAGTTGCAAATCATATACTTTGATAAGGGATTATCTAAAATATGTAAAGAACTACTACAACGCAACAACAAAAAAAGAAAAGCAAATTTTAAAATGGGCAAAGGGCTAGAAGAGACATTTTTCTTTTCTTTTCTTTTCTTTTCTTTTTTTTCTTGAGACAGAGTCTCGCTCTGTCACCAGGCTGGAGTCCAGTGGCGCGATCTTGGCTCACTGCAACTTCCGGCTCCCGGGTTCAAGTGATTCTCCTGCCTCAGCCTCCTGAGTAGCTGGGACTACAGGTGCGTGCCACCACGCCCAGCTAATTTTTGTATTTTTAGTAGAGACAGGGTTTCGCCATGTTGGCCAGGATAGTCTCAATCTCTTGACCTAGTGATCTGCCCTCCTCAGCCTCCCAAAGTGCTGGGATTACAGGAGTAAGCCATCGCACCTGGCCTAGAGTAGACATTTCTCTAAAGAAGATATACAAATGGCCAACAAGCACATGAAAAGATGCTCAACATCACTAATCGTTAGAGAAATGCATATCAAAACCACAACACCTCACCTCATACCCGTTAGGATGGTTACTATCAAAAACAATCAAAAAACAAACAAACAAAAAAACAGAACACAACAAATATTGGTGAGGAGACGGTGAAATTGGAACCTTCATTCACTGTTGGTTGGAATGTAAAATAGTGCAGTTGCTGTGGAAAATGGTATGGCCATTCCTCAACACAGAATTATCACATTATCCAACAATTTCTCTTCTGGGTATATATCCAAAAGTGAAAGCACAGACCTGAACAGATATTTCTACACCCATGTTCATAGCTGCATTATTAATAATAGCCAAAAGGTGGATGCAACCTAAGTGTCCATTGTCAGATGAATGGATAAACAAAATGTGCTAGGTATATCCATACAATGGAATATATTCAGTCTAAAGAGGGAAAGAAATTCTGCCACATGCTACAACATGAATGAACCTTTAAGACATATGCTAGGTGGAGTAAGCCAGTCACAAAAGGACAAATATTGTATGATTCCACATATACAAGATACCCAGAATAGGCAAATTCATAGAAACTAGAATGAGAATGGGTGGAGACTGATTATTATTCTCAGACCCCTCCCACCCCCACCCATTCCCATTAGAGGCCCCTCACACCAACCTAAATCTTTACTGGGTAGAGTTCCAGTTCAGGATGATAAAAAAAAAAAGTTGTAGAGATTGATGGTGGACAAGGTGGTTCATGCCTGTAATCCCAGCACTTTGGGAGACCAAGGCAGGTGGATCACTTTAGGTCAGAAGTTCGAGACCAGCTTGACCAACATGGTGAAACCCCATCTCTACTAAAAAATACAAAATTAGCCGGGCACAGTGGTGCACGCCTGTGGTCCCAGCTACTTGGGAGACTGATGCAGGAGAATCGCTTGAACCCGGGAGGTGGAGGTTGCAGTGAGCTGAGATTGAGTGACAACTGCACGATAATGCATTTCATACCACTGAAAAGTACACCTAAAAATGGTGAAAATGGTAAATTTTGTATTGTGTATATTTTGCCACAATTAAAACACACAGGCCAGGTGTGGTGGCTCATGCCTGTAATGTTAGCAGTTTGGGAGGCTGAGGCAAAAGGATTGCTTGAGCTCAGGAGATAGAGGCCAGCCTAGGCAACATAGCGAGACCCCATCTGTATTTTTTTAATGTAAAAAATAAAATAACACACACACAGACAAACAAACAGAATCTGTATGAGTCACACGTTTAGGTAGCTGAATATCCTCTCTGCCCCCAATTCCCCCAAGTCAAAGGCAGAAGGGATTTGTTCCACCAAAGAGTTTACACCAGCCACAGCTGCCCACTGCAGTATCCTCCCAGGAAAAGCCCTTTTGTGCGTGGAGGAGGCAGATGGCGAGGAGGCAGATGTGCACTTTTTTTTTTTTTTTTTTTTTTTTTAGAGACAGGGTCTGGCTGTGTCTCCCAGGCTGGAGTGCAGTGGCGAGATCAAGGCTCACTGCAGCCTCGAACTTCCGGGCTCCAGCGATCCTCCTGACACAGCCTCCTGAGTAGCTGGGACTACAGGTGCACATCACCGCGCCCAACTAGTTTTTTAAAATTTTAGTAGAGATAGGCTCTTGCCATATTGCCCAGGCTGGTCTCTAACTCCTGACCTCAAATGACCCTACCGCCTCCCGAAGCGTCGGGACCACAGGCGGCGAGCCACCGGCCGGCCTCTGTGTGCACCGAGGAGCCGGGCAGCCACCGCCACGATCCAGCTTTAGGACATTTCCATCACCCCACTCAGCCTTCCTGCGCCCCTGGTTCCTCATCTATAAATAGAGATAATATACGCCTAACCCTCTAGGTCACCAGCACATTGCACCCATAATTATTATACTTGTTGATGCCACACTTTCAGGTTTTAACCTTTCCAAAGCGCAGCCCCGCCCCAGCGCAGCCCAAGTCCCTGCACGCAGAGGCGCCGATCACGGGTGGGAGGTGGATCCCGGAGGCCCCGCCCCAGGCCCCGCCCCTCCGTGCGCCCAAGCTCGACCGCCTGAAATCGGGGAATCGGGCCTCTGCCGGCGCCCTGGCAGCGGCGCGGGGCGTGGCTCCGGGCTGGATTGGTGGCGCCTGGGCCCCGCGAGCGCCTGCGCAGTGGTCAAGGCCGCGCTCGCGCCGAGGGGCTGCGAGAGTGACCGCGGCTGCTCCAGCGCTGACGCCGAGCCATGGCGGACGAGGAGCTTGAGGCGCTGAGGAGACAGAGGCTGGCCGAGCTGCAGGCCAAACACGGGGTGAGCGCATCAGCCCCCGCCAGGCTTGGCCCTCGCGGGGCGCCGCCCTCGCCCGGAGTGTAGGGCGCGCCTCCGGGGCGGAGGCTCTGGGCGCCTCCCCGGGGCCCCGGTCCCCTGCGCTGCCCTGGCGGCCTCGTGGCCGGCTCAGAGGTGGCCTCGTCGCTTTCCTCGTCGCGAGGGGCCCAGGAGGCTGGCGGCGGGGGCCGCCACGTGCGGGACCTGCCCTGGCGTTGGGGTGTGGGGTCCCCTAGCCTGGAGCGGGCTCGTCCTGGCGGGCCTGGATCCAAGCACAATCTCAGCTTTTGGAGCCAGCAGCCGGACCGAATTCAGTTTTTCCGGAGTTCAGTTGTTATGACCCAAGTTTAGCCGACAGGTATTGAGGGTCCGCTGTGTTCCCGGTGCTGAGAGCGCGGCAGGGTCGGAGGAACGCTTGCCCCGCCGGGATGACAGGGAGGGGCCGCCTGGGAAGCTTGGATGGATCACACGCCCGGAGAGGCGTTTCTGATAAGGGACCGGGACCTTAGGGACGGAGGGCGCAGTCTTTGAGTTATCGTTGTCCCTAATACCGAGGCCCGTTTTATTTTCCAGAAATTATTCCTACATGTGAAACACGGTTTCGTAATACAGGGATTCCCCTCCCCAGGGTGCTCTGTATTCCAAAGCCTTCTGAGGTTGTGGTTTTAGACGTTCATCAAAACGTTGTAAGTGGGAACTAGTTCATTGATTTCTGTGAGGCCCAGTTTCTTATTTGGGGAGTTGTTTCTACCACCGCAAGAGACTGTTATGTATAGGAAACAACAGAACCGTTCCTTTTTCCCGCCGCCTCCCGTGAAATTTCTCTATTAAATTTAAGTTTTTTTTTTCCAGGATCCTGGTGATGCGGCCCAACAGGAAGCAAAGCACAGGTATGGGCTGGAAACGTGAACTTTTTGAAGGGTGGTTTCACCAAATGGATTTCTTTTGCTGTAGTTATTTTAAGCAGGTGTGTGACTCAGATTTTTTTGTTTTGCTGGAATGGTGATTTGGCCAAAATCATCCGCAGGGTATCTTCATTATTGTTAAATAAACACGTGTGCAGCTCCACATCAGACCTTGTATTGCAATTACTGGTTGATGTTTCTCTGCTACAATGTGAGTACCTTAAAAATGAGCCTGATAATAGGCAGCTGTGGCAGTTTCCTCGGCTGTGGGGGTGACGTGAGTCCGGTGCCTCACTTAGTAAGTGCTCAATAAGTGTTAACTGGTAAGCTATTCTGATTGTTTTATCCCAACACAGCGCACAGCACCTGAGACAGATGCAGGTAATTGATTCGGTGGCAGGTTTATTGAATGAGTATGTGATTACCCTATCATGCTATCATTTTTTAAAAATTGTGGTTAAATAAAATTTCACCATCACAACCATTTTTAAGTGTGCTCTTCAGTAGTGTTCACACTCTAGAATGTTTTCATCTTGCAAGACTGAAACCTTTAGCTACTGGACAATTCTCTATTTCCCCTTCCTCACCTTCTTACTCCTCCTCTCCAGCAAATATTTATAGAGCACCTGCTCTGGGTCAGGCACTGTGCTGGGTCTACAGAAATAGGAAGGGAGGGTTCGGGAGAAGACAGACGGTGAGAAGTATCTGGAGTAGTGATAGGAAGTAAAACGACGCAAATTTCATTGATTTCTGCCGTGTACATCTTTTCATTGTCACATATCTGAAATCAGGATGCCTTTTAAAACAGATTGCTCTTGCCCCAGATTCTTCCAGAGGGGATTTACTTTTGACTCTGCTATCACTTGAGTACATTTCTGAGACCATTGAAAGTTAAATTCTCTGCTTGAGGTTTTCCCCTGCCTCCTGCCTAGTAGTGTGAATTCAGACAGCAACCCTGTAAGACTGAACTTTTTTCTTCTTTACGTCAGGGCCAGGTGCATGCAAGCTTTTGTACTGCCCCTTACTGCATGGCATATTTATTTATTCTTTACTTTGTACTGAGAATGTTGCTCTTTGATACCCCAGTGGTGGGATCAGAACTCACTGCAGCCTCAAACTCCTGCTGGGCTCAAGTGATCCTCCCACCTCAGCCTCCTGAGGAGCTGAGATGACAGGCGTGCACCACCATGCCTGGCTAATTTTTTTAAACTTTTTTTTTTTTTAATAGCCTCGCTATATCACCCAGGCTGGTCTCAAACTCCTGGCTTCAAGTGATCCTCCCACCTTGGCCTCCCGAGAAACCCCAGTTTTGAATGGAGATCTCTATTAGACCTCTCATTTTAGGGTTTTTCATTTTTAGAGATACGTAAAACTATGGTGTATCTTAGAATTGATGGCATCTTAGGGTTCTGTGATATAATAGTTTGTGGCAGGCCAGGTGTGGTGACTGAAGCCTGTAGACCCAGCTACTCAGGAGGCCGAGGGGGAAGAATCACTTGAGCACAGGAGCTTGAGCTGATCATAGCTGCAGTGAGCTGTGATTGCACCACTGTACTCCAGCATGAACAGCAGAGTGAGACCCCATCTTTTTTTATTGTTGTTGAGATGAAGTCTCACTCCATCACCCAGGCTGGAGTGCAGTGGCACAATCTTGGCTCACCGTAACCTCTGCCTCTGAGCTTCAAGCGATTCTCCTGCCTCTGCCTCCCAAGTAGCTGGGATTACAGGCACCCGCCACCATGCCCGGCTAATTTTTGTATTTTTAGTAGAGATGGGGTTTCACCATGTTGGCCAGGCTGGTCTCAAACTCCTGACCTCAAGTGATCCACCCACCTCAGCCTCCCAAAGTGCTGAGATTACAGGCATGAGCCACCATGCCTGGCCTAGACCCCATCTCTTAAAGTTTGTGGCAGGGCTGCAGTACTCAAACCATAAAGAAGTGGCCTATGGAAATGAGCTTTAAGCCACATTCCATGAACCGAAGGGCCTCTGAGCTGGGAGTGGATAGTGGGCACAGCCAGCCCCAGCTCTCCCTCTCAGTTGAGCCAAAGCATCTGTGCTCATTTGTTTTTAGATTTCTTAAAGGATTTCATTTGAAAGAAAAAAGAAACAAGTCCATGAGACCACTGTCCTGTGAACGTGAACTACTTTCTATTTGGGTAGGTAGGAAGAAGTGAGGATAGTTGCAAAGTTATAATTTCATTCCCCTTCCCCACCCAGAAAAATAGAACTGAGAGTCTTAAAACATGGAATCTGGCTGTAGCTTGGCCACAGTTACCTATGTCTCTTTAGCATAGCCTCCTGGATCTCAGCTTTATCTCTAAGAAAATGATATAGATTAGTCACATGGTCCTTCTAATTGCCTGAAATCCCACTATAAATTTCTAGCACCTGTCACGCAATAGGTACTTAAGAAATGTTGGTGATGGTGTTTGAACTGAGGCTCCACTCTGATGAAACTGTAAAGCTCACCTTCCAGCCTGGTAGGTTGTCACCTGTGTAATATAAAGCTGGTTCTTTGAGGGCAAAAGGGGATTCTACTTGAATGTAGCTGCAGCCTTATGTACAGCAACTACCATAATGCAGTTTGTATACCGCAGGCCCCATGTGGAGACACATACTGGATGGGTTCTTTCTCGTATGTTACATGGGAATGCCGACAGCTGTGTTTTAATTGTGTTTGACCTATGTTTTCGTTGTAGGGAAGCAGAAATGAGAAACAGTATCTTAGCCCAAGTTCTGGATCAGTCGGCCCGGGCCAGGTGTAAGCATCTTTGATTTCATTTCCATAAAGTTAGCTTGAGTTAGTTGAATGGGGTGATTAGATACCATTATTGCTATCACTAGATGAAATATTTGCTTAGGCTGAAAACACTTGAGATGTGTAAGAAGTGTGAAGTTTATAAACCTAGAGAACTGTACTTTAATCCCTAGTAAAAGTACCAGGTCACTTCTCTTACCAAGATGTTCTCCAGGTGTGTATTAGGTAAGATTTATAGGAAACAACTCATAGGGCCAATCACAAAATGTTGCTGGTAGTTGACATTTTGTGTCAACTGGTGATGGGGACTGGGGATGGGGGACTTAGGGGCTTTTTATATGTATTGTCAGTTTTAGTGTATGTTCAGAGTTGTTCATCATAAAAACCAAAACCTGTAGAAAGAAAAAATGAGACAGTCAGAATGAACTGGTATTTTCTGTATTTTAACTGGAAGCCCAGTTTGAGTGTAGAAAAGGCGGCCACAGGTGGATCACCACCATTATGTGTAATAGATAAACCGCTTTCCAGAGGGCAGTCATATATTTTAAGAAACAGGAAGCATGGTGCTTAGAATCTGAGAACCCAACTTTAATCTTGGCTGGGCCACTACCCCCATGTGCCCATGTGGAGATTGGCATGGGTGAACTTCAGTTTTCTCATTTTTAAGAGGAGTAACAATACTGTCTTGCCCTACACTGAGGGACAAGCTTGTGAAGTGCTTTGGAAAGGTCAATGCATAGTTTTAAGGTATAACATAAGTGCATTTGATTTTAATGGATTTTTTGCATATGTATTTTTTCTTTTTAGTAAGTAACTTAGCACTTGTAAAGCCTGAAAAAACTAAAGCAGTAGAGAATTACCTTATACAGATGGCAAGATATGGACAACTAAGTGAGAAGGTAAGCTTAGACAGCCTTGAGGAACTTTACTGTTACCTGCTTTATCAAAACATGGCTTCAAAAGGTCAGCTGCATCTTCACTGGATTACAGAATTCTTGCTGACTCTCAGAAGAAATTGTTGGAGAGAATAGTCATACCTACTTTAAAAGAGAATAAATTGCCTTTCCTAAATTCCTCTGCTTCGCTCCTTTCCTGGCGTTGCTCTGGAACCTTGTTGGTGTCTGTGACCCAATGACTGTTAGGGTCAGCTAGCTTCAATTGCCCCTGCACTGGAAGCAAGGTTTGTCAGTAACACCAATTAAAATACTACCAGTGTAAGTAGAAGGTGTGTTTTGCAGATGAGAAGGTGCTAAGATGCCTTGCTTATGTTCTCTGTGTTGCTGTAATACCATGAGGGGTATGTTGTGGCAAACCTGGCCTTTGAGATCAAGACGAACCCCACCTGCCCTGAGAAGCCGTCTGCTACCACCACAGCCTACCCGAATTGGTCCTGTCCCCTAAACCCCTCACACTGAGAACTGCTTGTGTGGGAGAGAGCTGGTTGGGTTGATCTTTTCCGAGTGTGACTTACCTCCTTCAAGGGGATGTTTAAGCTTCTCGGGCAGAAGTGGTGTGTCTATTCCTGACACCAAACACCGTGGTATATGTGGTTGTCACACTCAGCTAGTGATGATAAAGGTGTTCTTAAATATGTTAGCTTTCAGTTTTCCTGAGGAAGCAATTTTATGGATACTTCCCCCTCCTTCTCAAGTGAGGAATAGCAGAGCAAATTTTATTTGGAACTTAAACCAATAGTTATAACCAATAGTTTCAACCTCCTGCCTCACCACTGCTTCCTTCCTGAGCTCTTTCCCCACACCTCAAAAAGAGTACAAAGTGATTCCATCTGCAGAGGTAAATTCTTTGTTTAAAAAAGTACTGTTTTTCTTATCTTTTCTGGTTCTCCTAGGTATCAGAACAAGGTTTAATAGAAATCCTTAAAAAAGTAAGCCAACAAACAGAAAAGACAACAACAGTGAAAGTAAGTGTCCCCAGATGCTTGTGGCAAATGAAAAGATGGATACTTTAAAGATTAATGTTGAGTATACATCTACCACACATATTTTTCAGCCCAGAGACATTTTCCTTTTGTCAAACACGTGAAAGTTTGGGGAGAAAGGCTGAATCTGTTGGGGGAGGGTTCTAATTTTTATAGGCTCTTGACTCCATTCCCACCCTTTTAGTTCACGCTAAGTTGCTTTAAAGACACAAATGTCTTGCTAAAATTGGTAGAAATCTTTTCTCGGAAAATCTGAGTTATGCTTTATTAGAAATGTTCTGACACTCATTTAATTTTCCTCCCAGTTCAACAGAAGAAAAGTAATGGACTCTGATGAAGATGACGATTATTGAACTACAAGTGCTCACAGACTAGAACTTAACGGAACAAGTCTAGGACAGAAGTTAAGATCTGATTATTTACTTTGTTTATTGTCTATATGCCTTTTAAAAAAATAAACTTGTTATGCAAAATAAAACATTTGGGTAAGTTGTTTTAGTATCATAGCCAAGTGGCCAGATCTGTGTTTTGAATTTTTCCCCTTCCTACCAAAAGCTTTTTTTATTTTTATTTTTGTTATTATACTTTAAGTTTTAGGGTACATGTGCACAATGTGCAGGTTAGTTACATATGTATACATGTGCCATGCTGGTGCGCTGCACCCACTAACTTGTCATCTAGCATTAGGTATATCTCCCAATGCTATCCCTCCCCCCTCCCCCCACCCCACAAGAGTCCCCAGAGTGTGATGTTCCCCTTCCTGTGTCCATGTGTTCTCATTGTTCAGTTCCCACCTATGAGTGAGAATATGCGGTGTTTGGTTTTTTGTTCTTGCGATAGTTTACTGAGAATGATGATTTCCAATTTCATCCATGTCCCTACAAAGGACATGAACTCATCATTTTTTATGGCTGCATAGTATTCCATGGTGTATATGTGCCACATTTTCTTAATCCAGTCTATCATTGTGGGACATTTGGGTTGGTTCCAAGTCTTCGCTATTGTGAATAGTGCCGCAATAAACATACATGTGCATGTGTCTATATAGCAGCATGATTTATAGTCCTTTGGGTATATACCCAGTAATGGGATGGCTGGGTCAAATGGTATTTCTAGTTCTAGATCCCTGAGGAATTGCCACACTGACTTCCACAATGGTCGAACTAGTTTACAGTCCCACCAACAGTGTAATAGTGTTCCTATTTCTCCACATCCTCTCCAGCACCTGTTGTTTCCTGACTTTTTAATGATTGCTATTCTAACCGGTGTGAGATGATATCTCATTGTGGTTTTGATTTGCATTTCTCTGATGGCCAGTGATGGTCAGCATTTTTTCATGTGTTTTTTGGCTGCATAAATGTCTTCTTTTGAGAAGTGTCTGTTCATGTCCTTCGCCCACTTTTTGATGGGGTTGTTTGTTTTTTTCTTGTAAATTTGTTGGAGTTCACTGTAGATTGTGGATATTAGCCCTTTGTCAGATGAGTAGGTTGTGAAAATTTTCTCCCATTTTGTGGGTTGCCCGTTCACTCTGATGGTAGTTTCTTTTGCTGTGCAGAAGCTCTTTAGTTTAATTAGATCCCATTTGTCAATTTTGGCTTTTGTTGCCATTGCTTTTGGTGTTTTAGACATGAAGTCCTTGCCCATGCCTATGTCCTGAATGGTAATGCCTAGGTTTTCTTCTAGGATTTTTATGGTTTTAGGTCTAACGTTTAAGTCTTTAATCCATCTTGAATTGATTTTTGTATAAGGTGTAAGGAAGGGATCCAGTTTCAGCTTTTTACATATGGCTAGCCAGTTTTCCCAGCACCATTTATTAAATAGGGAATCCTTTCCCCATTGCTTGTTTTTCTCAGGTTTGTCAAAGATCAAATAGTTGTAGATATGCGTCATTATTTCTGAGGGCTCTGTTCTGTTCCATTGATCTATATCTCTGTTTTGGTACCAGTACCATGCTGTTTTGGTTACTGTAGCCTTGTAGTATAGTTTGAAGTCAGGTAGCGTGATGCCTCCAGCTTTGTTCTTTTGGCTTAGGATTGACTTGGCGATGCAGGCTCTTTTTTGGTTCCATATGAATTTTGAAGTAGTTTTTTCCAATTCTGTGAAGAAAGTCATTGGTAGCTTGATGGGGATGGCATTGAATCTATAAATTACCTTGGGCAGTATGGCCATTTTCACAATATTGATTCTTCCTACCCATGAGCATGGAATGTTCTTCCATTTCTTTGTATCCTCTTTTATTTCATTGAGCAGTGGTTTGTAGTTCTCCTTGAAGAGGTCCTTCACGTCCCTTGTAAGGTGGATTCCTAGGTATTTGATTCTCTTTGAAGCAATTGTGAATGGGAGTTCACTCATGATTTGGCTGTTTGTCTGTTATTGGTGTATAAGAATGCCTGTGATTTTTGCACATTGATTTTGTATCCTGAGACTTTGCTGAAGTTGTTTATCAGCTTAAGGAGATTTTGGGCTGAGACAGTGGGGTTTTCTAGATATACAATCATGTCATCTGCAAACAGGGACAATTTGACTTCCTCTTTTCCTAAATGAATATCTTTTATTTCCTTCTCCTGCCTAATTGCCCTGGCCAGAACTTCCAACACTATGTTGAATAGGAGTGGTGAGAGAGGGCACCCCTGTCTTGTGCCAGTTTTCAAAGGGAATGCTTCCAGTTTTTGCCCATTCAGTATGATATTGGCTGTGGGTGTGTCATAGATAGCTCTTATTATTTTGAGATACATCCCATCAGTACCTAATTTATTGAGAGTTTTTAGCATGAAGGGTTGTTGAATTTTGTCAAAGGCCTTTTCTGCATCTATTGAGATAATCATGTGGTTTTTGTCTTTGGTTCTGTTTATATGCTGGATTACATTTATTGATTTGCGAATGTTGAACCAGCCTTGCATCCCAGGGATGAAGCCCACTTGATCATGGTGGATAAGCTTTTTGATGTGCTGCTGGATTCGGTTTGCCAGTATTTTATTGAGGATTTTTGCATCAATGTTCATCAAGGATATTGGTCTAAAATTCTCCTTTTTTGGTTGTGTCTCTGCCAGGCTTTGGTATCAGGATGATGCTGGCCTCATAAAATGAGTTAGGGAGGATTCCCTCTTTTTCTATTGATTGGAATAGTTTCAGAAGGAATGGTACCAGTTCCTCCTTGTACCTCTGGTAGAATTCGGCTGTGAATCCATCTGGTCCTGGACTCTTTGGTTGGTAAGCTGTTGATTATTGCCACAATTTCAGCTCCTGTTATTGGTCTATTCAGAGATTCAACTTCTTCCTGGTTTAGTCTTGGGAGAGTGTATGTGTCGAGGAATTTATCCATTTCTTCTAGATTTTCTAGTTTATTTGCGTAGAGGTGTTTGTAGTATTCTCTGATGGTAGTTTGTATTTCTGTGGGATCGGTGGTGATATCCCCTTTATCATTTTTTATTGTGTCTATTTGATTCTTATCTCTTTTTTTCTTTATTAGTCTTGCTAGCAGTCTATCAATTTTGTTGACCCTTTCAAAAAACCAGCTCCTGGATTCATTAATTTTTTGAAGGGTTTTTTGTGTCTCTCTTTCCTTCAGTTCTGCTCTGATTTTAGTTATTTCTTGCCTTCTGCTAGCTTTTGAATGTGTTTGCTCTTGCTTTTCTAGTTCTTTTAATTGTGATGTTAGGGTGTCAATTTTGGATCTTTCCTGCTTTCTCTTGTGGGCATTTAGTGCTATAAATTTCCCTCTACACACTGCTTTGAATGTGTCCCAGAGATTCTGGTATGTTGTGTCTTTGTTCTCATTGGTTTCAAAGAACATCTTTATTTCTGCCTTCATTTAGTTATGTACCCAGTAGTCATTCAGGAGCAGGTTGTTCAGTTTCCATGTAGTTGAGCTGTTTTGAATGAGTTTCTTAATCCTGAGTTCTAGTTTGATTGCACTGTGGTCTGAGAGATAGTTTCTTATAATTTCTGTTCTTTTACATTTGCTGAGGAGAGCTTCCAACTATGTGGTCAATTTTGGAATCGGTGTGGTGCTGAAAAAAATGTATATTCTGTTGATTTGGGGTGGAGAGTTCTGTAGATGTCTATTAGGTCCACTTGGTGCAGAGCTGAGTTCAATTCCTGGGTATCCTTGTTAACTTTCCGTCTCATTGATCTGTCTAATGTTGACAGTGGGGTGTTAAAGTCTCCCATTATTAATGTGTTGGGAGTCTAAGTCTCTTTGTAGGTCACTCAGGACTTGCTTTATGAATCTGGGTGCTCCTGTATTGGGTGCATATATATTTAGGATAGTTAGCTCTTCTTGTTGAATTGATCCCTTTACCATTATGTAATGGCCTCTTTGTCTCTTTTGATCTTTGTTGGTTTAAAGTCTGTTTTATCAGAGACTAGGATTGCAACCCCTGCCTTTTTTGTTTTCCATTTGCTTGGTAGATCTTCCTCCATCCTTTTATTTTGAGCCTATGTGTGTCTCTGCATGTGAGATGGGTTTCCTGAATACAGCACACTGATGGGTCTTGACTCTTTATCCAATTTGCCAGTCTGTGTCTTTTAATTGGAGCATTTAGTCCATTTACATTTAAAGTTAATATTGTTATGTGTGAATTTGATCCTGTCATTATGATGTTAGCTGGTTATTTTGCTCATTAGTTGATGCAGTTTCTTCCTAGTCTTGATGGTCTTTACATTTTGGCATGATTTTGCAGTGGCTGGTACCGGTTGTTCCTTTCCATGTTTAGTGCTTCCTTCAGGAGCTCTTTTAGGGCAGGCCTGGTGGTGACAAAATCTCTCAGCATTTGCTTGTCTGTAAAGTGTTTTATTTCTCCTTCACTTATGAAGCTTAATTTGGCTGGATATGAAATTCTGGGTTGAAAATTCTTTTCTTTAAGAATGTTGAATATTGGCCCCCACTCTCTTCTGGCTTGTAGAGTTTCTGCCGAGAGATCCGCTGTTAGTCTCATGGGCTTCCCTTTGTGGGTAACCTGACCTTTCTCTCTGGCTGCCCTTAACATTTTTTCCTTCATTTCAACTTTGGTGAATCTGACAATTTTGTGTCTTGGAGTTGCTCTTCTCGAGGAGTATCTTTGTGGCGTTCTCTGTATTTCCTGAATCTGAATGTTGGCCTGCCTTGCTAGATTGGGGAAGTTCTCCTGGATAATATCCTGCAGTGTTTTCCAACTTGGTTCCATTCTCCCCATCACTTTCAGGTACACCAATCAGACGTAGATTTGGTCTTTTCACATAGTCCCATATTTCTTGGAGGCTTTATTCATTTTATTTTTTCTCTAAACTTCCCTTCTTGCTTCATTTCATTCATTTCATCTTCTATCGCTGATACCCTTTCTTCCAGTTGATCGCATCGGCTCCTGAGGCTTCTGCATTCTTCACGTAGTTCTTGAGCCTTGGCTTTCGGCTCCATCAGCTCCTTTAAGCACTTCTCTGTATTGGTTATTCTAGTTATACATTCGTCTGAATTTTTTTCAAAGTTTTTAACTTCTTTGCCTTTGGTTTGAATTTCCTCCTGTAGCTCGTAGTTTGATCGTCTGAAGTCTTCTTCTCTCAGCTCATCAAAGTCATTCTCCGTCCAGCTTTGTTCCATTGCTGGTGAGGAACTGCGTTCCTTTGGAGGAGGAGAGGCGCTCTGCTTTTTAGAGTTTCCAGTTTTCTGCTCTGTTTTTTCCCCATCTTTGTGGTTTTATCTACTTTTGGTCTTTGATGATGGTGATGTACAGATGGGTTTTTGGTGTGGATGTCCTTTCTGTTTGTTAGTTTTCCTTCTAACAGGACCCTCAGCTGCAGGTCTGTTGGAGTTTGCTAGAGGTCCACTCCAGACCCTGTTTGCCTGGGTATCAGCAGTGGTGTTTGCAGAACAGCGGTTTTTCATGAACCGCGAATGCTGTTGTCTGATCATTCCTCAGGAAGTTTTGTCTCAGAGTACCTGGCCGTGTGAAGTGTCAGTCTGCCCCTACTGGGGGGTGCCTCCCAGTTAGGCGGGTCAGGAGTCAGGGATCCACTTGAGGAGGCAGTCTGCCCATTCTCAGATCTCCAGCTGCGTGCTGGGAGAACCACTGCTCTCTTCAAAGCTGTCAGACAGGGACATTTAAGTCTGCAGAGGTTACCGCTGTCTTTTTGTTTGTCTGTGCCCTGCCCCCAGAGGTGGAGCCTACTGAGGCAGGCAGGCCTCCTTGAGCTGTGGTGGGCTCCACCCAGTTCGAGCTTCCAGGCTGCTTTGTTTACCTAAGCAAGCCTGGGCAATGGCGGGCGCCCCTCCCCCAGCCTCGCTGCCGCCTTGCAGTCAGCGAGACTCTGTGGGCGTAGGACCCTCCGAGCCAGGTGCGGGATATAATCTGGTGCGCCGTTTTTTAAGCCCGTTGGAAAAGGCGCAGTATTTGGGTGGGAGTGACCCGATTTTCCAGGTGCCGTCTGTCACCCCTTTCTTTGACTAGGAAAGGGAACTCCCTGACCCCTTGTGCTTCCCGAGTGAGGCAATGCCTCGCCCTGCTTCGGCTAGCGCACGGTGGGCTGCACCCACTGACCTGCACCGTCTGGCACTCCCTAGTGAGATGAACCCGGTACCTCAGATGGAAATGCTGAAATCACCCATCTTCTGCGTTGCTCACGCTGGGAGCTGTAGACCAGAGCTGTTCCTATTCGGCCATCTTGGCTCCTCCCTGACCAAAAGCTTTTAAGCACGTGTACCAGCATGACTCTACCCTTTGCAACTGTGCCATGAATATTAGATAGGAAAAGTGTCCGTGGCGGAAACAGAAGCTGCTCCAGCACTCTTCAGGAAGAAAAATATAGCAGCAGCAGCAGCAGCCGCCAATAACATAAGGGGAATTAAAACCTGTCCATCAGACTGAATCAGGTTCAACATTTGAGCACATCTAATATTCTAAGATGTAGATTCTGAAAGCAGGTAAGCTCTTTCTCTTCCTGCAGATACTACTTCCACTTAATGTAAGAAAATTCCTAGCTTTGCCAGGCACAGTGGCTAACACCTGTGATCCCAGCACTTTGGGAGGCTGAGGCTGGCAGGTCATTTGAGGTCGGGAGTTTGAGACCAGCCTGGCCAACATGGTGAAACCCTGTCTCTACTAAAAATATAAAAATTAGCTGGGCGTGGTGGCACACACCTGTAATCCCAGCTACTTGGGAGGCTCGAACCTGGTAGGCAGAGGTTGCAGTGAGCTGAGATCAGGCCATTGCACTCCAACCTGGGTGATTCCATCTCAAAGAAAAAAAAAAGCTAGCTTTGATCTCATTTATAATTGTTTTTCAGAGGTACTGATATTAACAAATACCACTCCCTCCAAAATAACTAGAGTGATAATGACTGAAAAAGAAAATGACCAAAATAGACATGTTGGTAATGCTACTACAGTAATAAACATGTTTGTAAGAGAAATGACTTCTAATGATTTCAAATCCAGTTGAGACACTTCAGCATTTAAACATTTTGGTAACATATCACTGATAATGTTGCAGGTGACTTAAATGTTCTCTCTTTTGTTGTGCTTTCTTTCCACTAGGTTATGAAAACCTGCACTCATAAGTTACGGTTTTCAGAGACGGAGACTTGCTGTGTTGCTGAGGCTGGCCTCAAACTCCTGAGTTTAACTGATCTTCCCACCTCAGCCTCCCTCGTAGCTGAGACTGTAGGTGCAAGCCACTGCTCATATATTTAAATCATAAACTTAACCATCAACCAGCTGTTTGGTGTAACCTTTTAAATGTCGTAGTCCTGTGAGACCTAGCACAGGATTAAATTCATAAATTTAACAAGGTGAATAGGATTAGTAAAAAAATGAAGGGAAATGTGGTTTGCAAACCCCAGTCTCTGCGTTAGCCAGCATACTACTGATACATGTTTAAACTGGAGATTCTACTATATTTGAAATTTGCAACTATTGTCAGTGAAGAAATAGAACAATATCTAACATTATAAATAAGTAGAACCGTTGAGAACATCAACATATTTTTAAAAGAATGATCATAAGATGAAATCTGGCTGGGGATTTTCTGTCAGGGTAAACTGGTAATTTAAAAAAAATTTGGTCGGGGATTTTGAAAAAAATCCCATTTACAGGTAAATTTTGCTTTAGGCCTCATTTACATACAAATGCTAGGAGGACATGAGGCAGTTCACAAGTTCTGTGCTTTCTCACAGGATAACCACTGTCCTAATGGCAACTGCTGTGAGTGTGTTTAAAGATGGTCAGACTCTTTCAGACACCTACCTGAGAGTGAAAAGTGGTTCCATGTACAAGGAGAGAGGTTCCTGATGGCAATAAGAGGCTGGAGTACATTTTAGGGAGTGGAGAGTGGTTATTCTAAACTTTCTAATTTAAATCAGTGAACTTGCGTTACTTTGAATTCAAAACTTTTTTCCACAAAAATGGAAATTAGGGGCATTAATTTCTCAACTGTCACATCAAGTTTTGGGTAGGGAAAGCAATTGGAAAAAACAACTGGTTGTTTGCTTTTTTTTGAGATGGAGTATTGCTCTGTTGCCAGGCTGGAGTGCAGTGGCATGATCTTGGCTCACTGCAACCTCTCTCCCAGGTTCAAGCAATTCTCCTGCCTCAGCATCCCAAGTAGCTGGGATTACAAGCGCACGCCACCACACCCAGCTAATTTTTGTACTTTTAGTATAGACAGGGTTTCACCATGTTGGCCAGGATGACAACTGTTTTTTAAAAATAATCGAGGGAGTCACTTAAGATGGAAAACATTACTGATGACCAGAATAGCTCAAAAAGAAACAGCATTTACCTCTCCAGAGGAAGGGTACACCAAGCTTGCAGCTGCCACTGCCAACCAGGCCTTGATCCTGGCTGTGAGATCCCTCGCAGTCCCCTTATTTTTCTGAACCTGTTTCCTCATTTGACAATTCTACCATTCACAGTGATTGTTGAAATTAAATGGGTATATGTGAAAATGTTTTCAGCTGGGCGCAGTCG
Source organism: Homo sapiens (assembly GCF_000001405.40). Lineage (NCBI taxonomy): Eukaryota > Metazoa > Chordata > Mammalia > Primates > Hominidae > Homo > Homo sapiens. The sequence continues at coordinate 32,595,887 of NC_000019.10, forward strand.
CTCATGCCTGCAATCCCAGCACTTCGGGAGGCCAATGTGGGCAGATCACTTGAGGTCAGGAGTTCAAGACCAGCCTGGCCAACATGGTGAAACCCCATCTCTACCAAAGATATAAAAATTAGCCAGGCATGGATGGTGGCAGGTACCTGTAATCCCAGCTATGCGGGAGGCTGAGGCAGGAGAATTGCTTGAATCTGGGAGGCAGAGGCTGCAGTGAGCCGAGATGGTGCCACTGCACTCCAGCCTGGGTGACAGAGCGAGACTCCATCATCTCAAGAAAATGTTTTCAAAATTATATTGCACTACCCCAACATATTAGGTGGTGTCAAATGTGTGTATTTGTATCTTGAGAATACCTGTGCTGATAAACTGTATAGGATGTATTAATTAGGATGGTATAGAACCACAGCAGCTTCAGTCTATAAGGTGGTTTTGTTTAAAAGTAGGGAAGGCTGGGCATGGTGGCTCACACCTGTAATCCCAGCACTTTGGGAGGCCGAGGCGGGCGGATCACGAGGTCAGGAGATTGAGACCATCCTGGCTAACACGGTGAAAAACCCTGTCTCTACTAAAAATACAAAAACAAAAAAACAAAAACAAAAAAAACACTAGCCGGGCATGGTGGTGGGTTCCTATAGTCCCAGCTACTCAGGAGGCTGAGGCAGAAGAATTGCTTGAACCTGGGAGGCGGAGGCTGCAGTGAGCCGAGATGGTGCCACTGCACTCCAGCCTGGGTGACAGAGCGAGACTCCATCTCAAAAAAAAAAAAAAAAGGGAAAAGGAAAAATCAGAACAAAGAAATTAGCAAAGCAACAGGGCTCATTTCCTGTTTGTTTGGGGTAGGAAGCTGTATTCATTTTATTCTTCTGATTTCCAAAGAAAAACATTTTTGTGGGCCCGGGACACTGTGCCTACTGGGTTAAGTAGGCCTTGGTCAGTAGATGAATAATGAGCTAAGTGATCAAGTTCCCATGTTTCAATCTCACATCTATAACTGAAAAATGTATATCCATTCAATGGGGACCCTTTTTCTCACACACAAAGCACATGTTTACAGCAGACAGGCTGAGAAACATATCATCTGCAGCCAAACAACTAAAAAAAAATACCATGACACAGTCAAGAATCATAAAGTTTACTGTTTCTTTTCCATCATTTGGCACATATCCAAGGCACATTAGAAAATTAGAAATCATAAATTACTTTGTAGAAAAATAATCCCTCCCTTCCTTCTGTACATACACAAGTATTTCCAAGAACATGGACAAAACCATTTCCCTATCACAAGGTCATTTGAAAACGGACTCAGGACAAACCCATATACGTGTAGCTCTAGGCCAATAACATAAAAATAACAGTATAATCTATAGAAATTTATAAAAAGGAATAAATGGCAATAAATTCTAACCGAAAGTAACTCTGACCTGGTTTGTGCTGTTAAGTTTTGAATTTGAATCAAAAGACTAAGAAAAGATGTGCCAAATCTACTCTCTAATCCAGTAACCATCCCGTCAGGTGTGAGTGTGACAGACATTCAAGGGAGGTTCTCAACAAAAAGGGATGTTTCTAGAAATACTGCTACAGGTGCACGTGTAGTAACCGAATATCTGTACCTACTTGTTAGAAGGAAAATGATAACCACCCTTTCCCATGTGCATGATGTGGAACAGGTCTGATGCATCCTTTCACTAAAATGAATATCAAAATGGGATTGAGGCATCTTTTGGTTCGAGTGTTGCTTTGCAAAGAAACATTGTCCAGCTGCTGCTTTCTTCCTTCAGATATGACATTTCAGCCTGGCCTCTACAGTACCATGAAACCTAAATTACTTACTTCTCTCCAGCTTAATCCTAGGTGGAGGAATTCTAGCTGTGGTTTGTGAATGTACACAGGTCAGAGAGGTTTAGCACCTTTTGGGAGGAGGAGGTCAGAATGCGGTGGTGAAACCTCTCCCACTGTGACCAACAAACCCTCATACTTAAAAAGAAGCATGCACCTCTGGCTTAAGGATCTGGATGCTACTGGAATTTTTGTCTGTTTCAATTGTATTCATTAGCTTTGAAGAGGAGAGAGATGGTGGTGGTTAACTTTTTTGTTGCATTCTTTCCTGCCACAGAAAAGCTTTCAGGAACTTGGTGCTGAAGACTTCTCAAGCCAGTCTCATGGAAGCACATTTAGTTCTCAGATGTGTTCACGCTCAGCATCATCTTGTTGCATCCTTGCTTCCTAGCAGTGGGTTCAACAACTCCTCATTCCTGTTAGGACCGGGAAGCACTAACCTCTTGGGGAGTGGAGAGGGGGCCAGCAGCCTCCGGGCCCTGGGACACGACCGCATCCTCTACCGTGTGTCTCCGCAGCATCCGTCTGTGTCCAGGGCCAGTCTGTGTCAGTCCAGGCCTCTCTGGCCAGTCGCTGTTGCCTTTCTCAGCAGCATGAGATCCACTCTGAGCTGGCAGGTTATTCTGTCTCAGTGTGACACTTTGCCTCCCTGGCTAAAGAAAAAGTACATTTTTAACCGTTGACGTCCTCACTGTACTGGAAGCCACAACCATGACAGTGACAGCTGCCCCTTAGTGCCTAGTGTCACATAATGTGCTCAGTGCTTGACAGGCATAATTTCAATTCTCACATCCCTGTCGTGGTAACATGGCATGTGCATACTACATGTGTCAGAGTAAATGTTTCACTTGTTTTCACAATCTTTATGACTCTAGGAGGCATGTACTACTATTGTTATCCCCGTTTTACACCTGAGGAAACAGGATCAGCAAAGTTAAGCCACCTGCCTAAAGTCCTACAGCTAGCAAGGGAAAAGCTAGCACTTGATGGAACTCAGGCAGATTTCAACGATTCTGGCTTTCCCACAAAGCAGCAGGTCTCCTAGCAACACCACATAAGACTAAATATGGTATCAAAATTAGTCATGTTAATTAAAATCATTTTAATTATCTAAAACAATTTAGAACTTTTGTGTATTTGTTCCAACAAGCCTATGCTACATATGCTATAAATTCTCATCAGCAACAAGGAAAGCTGTGGTTCTGAGAAGAATCACTGTCTCCGATCACAGGTTTTCAATCAAGCTTCTGAGTGATTTAAAAATGCAGTAGGGTCCGGGCACGGTGGCTCACACTTGTAATCCCAGCACACTGGGAGGCCAAAGCGGGCAGATCACTTGAGGTCAGGAGTTCAAGACCAGCCTGGCCAACGTGGTGAAACTGCGTCTCTACTAAAAATACAAAAAAATTAGCCAGGAATAGTGGCACATGCCTGTAATCCCAGCTACTCAGGAGGCTGAGGCGGGAGAATGCTTGAACCCGGGAGGTGGAGACTGCAGTGAGCCGAGATCGTGCCACTGCACTCCAGCCTGGGCCACAGAGCAAGACTCTGTCTCAAATAAATAAATAAAAAAATGTAGTGGGAAGATGGCCACATAAAGAATTGTCTGAGCAACTGTACACCATACTTGGAGACATCATTTACCCATCTATATACAAACTGTCGTTTTCTTTCTTTGGTGATTAAAACCATAGTGAAATGTGGGATGTTTCATCTCCTATAAGCACCAAGACCTGTGGTTTCCCACACATGTAACACTTTCCACTCCTCTGCTCAGAAATGTACTTTTAGTTATAACAATCAGTGAAGTCTGTACTCTACACTGTCCCATGAAATAATTCCAGTTTTAACTGCTGCTAACTCATACGGCGCACGGAATAATGAAGATGACGATCAAGGAGACGTGTTTACCATGGATTACTTTTGACAAAGCCGGGCTTTAGAAAATATGATTAAAAGCCAGTGTTTAATAACTTACCTCATGCAAAGAACCTTCGGTTAAATTAGGGACACTTCTATCTCTTGCCATAATCTCCCTTGAAGTCTTTCCCCTAAAACCCAAAATAAACGAAAATAAATATTTGGGACAGTGGCATGAAACACTCTGGTTGGCCACAAGGTGGCAGCATTTTTGACATTAGTAGGTGCAGATTTGTCCATAACCAATTACAATTGAAGCAGCTTACGTGCAGCTTGGAGTAAACTAGGGGCAAAAGCACAGAAATCAACTTGAGTTTCATACTCACTTAAACTGACCAGCTGAGTGGACAAAGTAAAACTGTCTTGTAAAAGGCTCATCTGGTAGATCATACAGTTTTGAGTTCCCTGTAGATAAAAAGATAAACATCTAAAAACTTCAAAAACAGTTGTAAAGATTATTTTAAAATTACAGCACAGACACAATCTTTCTATTCTCAGATTTACAAAATTTAGAAACTGAAGCACTGAATTTGCTTAAAGAAACACAGCTAGTACCTATTTATAACAGGTTGAGTATCTCCAATCCAAAAATCTAAAGCCTAAAATGCCACAGGCTGGGTGCAGTGGCTCATGCCTGTAATCCCAGCAGTTTGGGAGGCCGAGGTGGGCATATCACTTGAGGTCAGGAGTTCAAGACCAGCCTGGGCAACATGGAGAAACCCCATCTCTACCCAAAATACAAAAACTTAGCCAGGCGTGGTGGCACGCACCTATAATCCCAGCTACTCAAGAGGCTGAGGCAGGAGACTCGCTTGAACCCAGGAGGCAGAGGTTGCAGTGAGCCGAGATTGCACCACCACACTCCAGCCTGGGCGACAGAGCAAGACTCCATCTCAAAAAAAAGCTACAAAATCCGAGACATTTTGAACTCTTTGACTTCATGCTCAGAAGAATCTGATTTCCTGATTTGGATCCTCAACCAATGAGTATAATGCAAATATTCCAAAACCCAAAACACTGCTGGTCCCAAGCATTTGAGATAGGGGGTAGTCAGCCTGTATTATGAGAACCCCCATGAAATAGAAAAATAAAACCTTAACTCCCTTAACTCCCCCAGCCACAACCAATTACGGTGAGACAGTCTCAGGGTTATCGAGATATGTGAATGGGTTTATCCATATTATTGTATTGCATTATTGCATACCTCACTGGATAATATTTCATATTGTAAATTAAAAAAAAAAGTAGAACAAGGACCCCTTCTAAACTTTTTAAAAAGAAGAAAATACTTCAGTCTCACTGCTGTTCGGCAACTGCTGTTTTAATTATAATCAACCTCCGTACACGTACAAACTTAAAAAAAAATCTTGAGGCCAGGCGCGGTGGCTCACACCTGTAACTCCAGCACTTTGGGAGGCCAAGGAGGGCGGATCACTTGAGGTCAGGAGTTTGAGACCAGCCTGGCCAACATTGTGAAACCCTGTCTCTACTAAAAATACAAAAATTAGCCAGGCATGGTGGCACGTGCCTGTAATCCTAGCTACTCGGGAGGCTGAGGAAGGGGAATAACTTGAACCCAGGAGGCAGAGGTTGCGTGAGCTGAGATTGCACCACTGCGCTCCAGCCTGGGTGACAGAGTGAGACTCTGTCTCAAAAAAACTAACTAAATAAAAAATCTTGGTGGCTCACACCTGTAATCTCAGCACTTTGGGAGGCCAAGGCGGGCAGATCACGAGGTCAGGAGATGGAGACCATCCTGGCTAACACGGTGAAGCCCCTCTCTACTAAAAATACAAAAACAAAATTAGCTGGGCGTGGTGGCTGGCACCTGTAGTCCCAGCTACTTGAGAGTGGGAGGCAGCTACTTGAGGCAGGAGAATGGCGTGAACCCAGGAGGCAGAGCTGGCAGTGAGCTGAGATCACACTACTGCACTCCAGCCTGGGTGACAGAGCGAGACTCTGTCTCAAAAAAAAAAAAAAAAAAAAAATCTTGAAAGGTAGCATTTACCCTGGATGTCCAGGAAATGCCCAGAACACCTGACTTTGGAACATGAGGCATGAAAGAAACTATCCCAGAGACTGTTCCCCATCTCCATAGGCAGACACCTGAACCTTCAAGGTAGTGTTGACAGTTTCTATCCTATTTCCTCAGGAAACATCATTACCATCAACCAGAAAACTAGTAACAAAAAAAGCTTACCCATAGTCTGATAAATTGGGAGGTAACATACATTTCTTTGGTGCCTGTATCTCCTCCAGGCATGATTATAATTACACTTTACATATACAATTAAATGAACACCAGCAACTACTCATGAATGTCTAAATATACCCAACTTGAGCGTGACAGAAAGAACGTAAACTCTTACATTTTTTCCTGATCTTAACAGTGACATACTCCTTGCGGTCAGTTTCAGCCACATCATCTAATGAAGCAACACAGCTTGGTACCACCTGAAGCAATTCCATTATTTTTGAATTCTGCAATTTGAAAGGGAAAAGGAACAGTAATGTTTTTATTCTTTTTTAATAGGTTATTATTTGTTTTTGATCTAAATGTCAGTATTAGTGTGACTGGGCAGAAAAAGCTCAGAAATAATTACAAATGGAGCTTGGAGGCCATAAAGCCCAGTGGTAAAAGCAGGCCTGCATGGGGAGCCCGGCTCTGCTTTTACCACTGGGTAAAAGCTCTGCCCTCTCTGTGGACTCCACGCTGGGGATTCAACCACTCCATGCAACCAGCTCAACCATAATAAGATCTACTATCATATGCTTATCATGAGGCTGTTGAGGGCCCCCATATAGTAAGTACTCATTGAAACACATTAATTAACTGGGCACGGTGGCTCACGCGTGCAATCCCACCACTTTGGGAGACTGAGGTGGGAGGATTGCTTGAGCCCAGGTGTTCAAGACTAGCCTGGGCAACATAGCAAGGCCCTGTCTCTATTTAAAAATAATAAAAGGCCAGGCGCGATGGCTCACGCCTGTAATCTCAGCACTTTTGAGAGGCCGAGGCGGGTGGATTGCTTGAGCCCAGGCAGTCGAGACCAGCCTGGCCAACATGGCAAAACCCTGTCTCTATTAAAAAAAAATTAGCTGGTCATGGTGGCACACGCCTATAGTCCCAGCTACTTGGGAGGCTGAGGTTGGAGGATCATCTGCGCCCAAAGGTTAAGGCTGCAGTGAGCCAAGATTGCACCATTATACTCCAGCCTGGGCAACAAATTGAGACTCTGTCTCAAAAAATAATAATAATAATAAAATTAAAAATTTTAAAAACCAAAAAAAATTCAACATAATCATTTAAGAAAGTACTAAACTGAGAGTTTAAAATATTTCAATTCTGTCACTGAAAATTAATATAAGGAGGCCAGGCACAGTGGCTCACGTCTGTAATCCCAGCACTTCGGGATGCCAAGGGAGGCGGATCAGTTAGGTCAGGTGTTCAAGACCAGCCTGAGCAATATGGTGAAACCCGTCTCTACAAAAAATACAAAAATTTAGCCAGGTGTGGTGCCACGTGCCTGTAATCCCAGCTACTCAGGAGGCTGAGGCACGAGAATCGCTTGAACCCAGGAGGCAGAGGTTGCAGTGAGCCAAGATCACGCCACAACAGAGCAAGACTCTGTCTTAAGAAACAAAAAATTACTCTAAGGAGCCTGTCCATGGAGTGGATTGATGGTGATGTTAGCTTCTCAGTTGTGTCACTTAACAGCCTACTCGCTGTCTATCTTGGGTAGAAAACAAAAGAAAGACTCAGCAGGAAAACAGGAACAGAAAGAGCTGCCGCTCGCCAGGGGAAAAGGACCCTTCCCCGCCGCTCTCCACGCAAGCATCCACAGCACTGGAGAAGGCAGTAGGCCAATAATCACGATTCCTACAGGACTCAAGGACTTTTACTTTCATTTTTTTGAGATAAAGTCTCTGTCACCCAGGCTGGAGTGCAGTGGCACAATCTCAGCTCACTACAGCCTTGACCTCCTGGGCTCAAGCGATCCTCCCACCTCAGCCTCCTGAGTAGCTGGGACTACAGGCATGCACCCCTATGCTCGGCTGATTTTTTGATTTTTTGTAGAGAGGGGGTCTCACTATGTTGCCCAGGCTGGTCATGAGCTCCTGCGCTCAAGTGATCCTCCTTCCTTGGCCTCCCAAAGTGCTGGGATTACAGGCATGAGCCACTGTGCCTGGCCTCAAGGAGTTTTAAATCCACCAACAAAACAAACCTTCTCCATCGTGCTGCTAAGACAACGGCTGTGTTCACACTGTGAGGATGGTGACACCAGAACATCATGACTTGCTCCTTCCTGAGTGCCTGACTCTATGTAACTACCGGACCACAGCCCTACTGCTAGCTGAGGGGGGGGCCCCTCCACTCAGGCCTTTGAAAACCACCTGTGAAAAGAATGATTCCTGGTTCCCAGAGCACCACCTCTGACCAGGAGACTGAGGACCAGCCATCTACCCACGCTGTGGACTTCTGGCACACCAACTACGCCCAGCCCGGCGATGCCAAGGGCCAGGTGTTGCTATTTTAGATCCAGCTTAAACAAAGGGATCCAGAGGGAGCTGTGAGGAGCTCAGGATTCCCTCGGCTCTTCGACCCTCTCCACCTACCTGTTCAGCACAGTCTACAGCCGTGCGCTGCCGCTTGTTCAGCACCTGAACTGACGCTCCGTGGAGCAGAAGCAGCTCTACCACGAAGACGTGCTTTTCAATCACAGCCTCGTGCAGCGCTGTGTTGCCCTTATTGTTAGAAGCGTTAATGGAGGCCCCGTGCTGGAAAGAGAAACCACACGATCAAAAGGAACGCTACGAAACGTCAGCATGGAATCTGGCTGTGGGTATACAGGTATTCGCTATAAAACACATTGTTTTTTTTATGTCTGAAAGTTTCCTTAAAATTTGGGGAGGAAAAGTAATACTGAGAAAAAAAGATTTATAGACAAAGAGTTCGCTGCAGCATTTATCCTAATAGCAGAGAAAACAGAAGCCACTTAAATGTACAGAGCAGAAACAGGTTCAAAAAAATCACTATGGTATATCCATAGTTATGCAACCATTAAAAATCAAAGTTTGAGTAAATAAGTTTCTACATTAAATAACATTAAGACAGAAAACAATACTTGGGGCCAGGCACAGTGGCCCATGCCTATAATCCCAGCACTTTGGGAGGCAGAGGCAGGTGGATCACCTGAGGTCAGGAGTTCAAGACCAGCCTGGCCAACATAGTGAAATCCCATCTCTACTAAAAAAAAACACCAAAAAACAAAAAAATTAGCTGGGCATGGTGGTGGGCGCCTGTAGTTCCAGCTATTCGGGAGGCTGAGGCAGGAGAATCGCTTGAACCCCGGAGGCAGAGGTTGCAGTGAGCTGAGAGTAAGCCACTGCATTCCTAGGTGACAGAGCGAGACTCCATCTCGGAAAAAGAGAAAACAATACTTGGCGAGGCCCCGTGGCTTACACCCGTAATCCAGCACTTTAGGAGGCCAGTGCAAGAGGATCGTTGGAGCTCAGGAGTTTGAGACCAGCCTGGGCAACATAGTGAGACCCCCATCTCTACTAAAAACAAACAGCAAAAACTAGCCAGGTGCAGTGGTATGTATCTGTAGTCCCAGTTAGCTGGGAGGCTGAGGCACCTGAGCCTGGGAGACTGAGGCTGCAGTGAGCTGTGAGGGTGCCATTGCATTCCAGCCTGGGCCACAGAGCAAGACCTTGTCTCAAAAAAAAATTAATAAATAACACTGAAACTATACACATTTGTCAAAAGTCCACCATAATGAGTTTCCCTTGAGTAGCACAGTCATGGACAGGTTGGTTTTTCCCTACTTCTTTAAGAAATTCTAATGCATTCACATAACCTTTTTCAAGAGCAGCAGGGACAGAGGCGGCCACTCAGCCCATGCTCAGGTAACAGCGTGACACATTCCCGGTCGGTGAGGTGAGACCCAAACCCTTGGCAAAAGCAGCGTCGGAGCCCTTGAGACCGCATCCCAGATGCTGGGGCACCATCTGTTCCCATCGGAGAACCCCGTGTGGGAAGACGCACGCCCTGCTCCTCTCCCCAGAGGCCTGGGGTTGATGGGTGGCCGGGCCTCTCCATCCCCAGTGCGCTGCGGGGGTCGCTGGGTGGAGGCGCCCTGTTAACTGGCGCAGGTGTGTAGAATGAGGACAGGAAGGGGCCCTCACCTGTAGCAGCAGTGCCACAAGCTCGTGATGGCCACCGGAGCAGGCGTAAATGAGGGGCGTGTTTCCACTGAGGTCCTTCTTATTGGGTTTTGCATTCGAATCTAACAGACACTTCACCACCTGGGCCAGAGAAGGAAAACGTGCAAACTTAATCAAAATTTCTGTCATTTCCTGCCAGAGAAAAATTATGAAAAATAAATAAATAAATAAATAAAATAAGAAAACAAAGTTTCTGGAGAGAAATGCTCAAGTTTGATATTCTTTTGACTTGTCTCTGAGCTTATTTTTTTGTTGTTGTTCTTTTTGGTTTTTCTTTCTTTTTTTTTTTTTTTTTTCCAGACAGAGTCTCGCTCTGTCGCCCAGGCTGGAGTGCAGTGGCGTGATCTTGGCTTACTCCAGCCTCCGCCTCCCAGGTTCAACTGATTCTCACGCCTCAGCCTCCTGAGCAGCTGGGACTACAGGCGCCTGCCACCACGCTTGGCTAATTTTCTGTATTTTCAGTAGAGACGGGGTTTCACCATGTTGGCAGGGCTGGCCTCGAACTCTTGACCTCAGGTGATCCACCCGTCTCGGCCTCCCAAAATGCTGGGATTACAGGCATGAGCCACCACGCCCAGCCGTCTCTGAGCTTATTGAGAAGACTTTAGACTCTCAGGAGAAAAGGGACCAGGTGAAGAGGGGAGGGCTACCATCTGCTGCGGGGCTGCTCTGTGCGGTTGAAGCGCAGGGTGACAGTGATCTCACTTCACCCGATGTGCTGGGCGACAGTGATCTCACTTCACCTTTCTATCCTTTCTACCTCAGGGAGAGCTGCAATCGCCACTCCGAATTTACAGATTAGGAAAGCCATGCCTGAAGCTCTATGCTAGGTGTTGGCGAGAGAGATGCAAGACCTGAAATATGGCTCCTTTCTTTAAAAAGTTAACAGTAGAACTGATAAAGGAAAATGAAAAAATATACACACAGTTTTCCTTAAAGAAAAGCAGGGCCTGGTGCTGTGGCTCATCCCTGTAATCCCAGTACTTTGGGAAGCCAAGGTGGGAGGATCGCTTGAGCTCAGGAGTTCAACACCAGTCTGGACAACATGGTGAAACCCCATCTCCACAAAAAAAAAAAAAAAAAAAAAAAAAAAAAAAAAAAGAAAAATTTATCTAGGTGTGGTGGTGCACGCCTGTGGTCCCAGCTACTAGGGAGGGAGGCTGAGATGGGAGGATTGTTTGAGCCCAGGAGATTGAGGCTGCAGTGTGAGCTGAGATTGCACCACTGCACTCCCACGCTCCAGCCTGGGAGACAGAGCAAGGTGATGTCTTAAAAAAAAAAAAAAAAAAAAAAGGCAAAAAACCCCAGCACTTTCAAAAAGTTAATCACTCCAAAATTCAAAATTCTTCCTTGAGCCCCTCTATGGGGCCCTGACTGTTCTTTATGAAGTGCTGAACTGTTTGGCCCAGAGCAAGGCACTGTCGGGGTGTAAAGGTGGTAAGATGACCATGGGGACAGTGCTCGGTGGCCACCACACGAGCTCAAGAGCCAGATCCTGCTGGGGGCAAGAATCAGAATGACAACCTCGGTATCACCCAGATGGGAGTGGCAGTGGGGCAGGGACTGGCTCCACCCCCAGGGAGCATCAAGGCTCTGTGCTCCGAGGCTGAGTGGCCTACCGTGTGCACCTCAGAATCTCAGGGCTCGGGGGAGCAGTGTCCTCCAGGGTAGCCACCAAACCCCTGCAGCGTTCCTACCAAGCACAAGGTCCTAGCCCAAAGCAGACACCCTGCTCCACCACCCCCAACACACAGCCCGAACCTGAAAGTGGCCCTGCTGGCAGGCCAGGTGGAGCGGGACGGCTTGGTCTGCGTTCCTGGCACCTGCGTTGGCCCCGTGCTTCAGCAGGAGGGGGATGAGGTCCGCCCGGCCGTGCAGGGCGGCGACATGCAGCGGGGAGGAGCCGTCCTGGCTGGTCACGTTCACACCAAGCCCACTGGCAGGAACCTTCGCCAGCCTCTGGGAAGCGCAGAAGATGGAAACACAAACGTCATCAGTATTGAAGAAACTGGGCTGGAGTGATTGGCACCATGTGCCCCCCACAGCTCCCACACACAATGCGGGATCATGGCGGGATCCAGGATGGATTCCAATTTGTTTAGAAGTATGTGGCATGCCAAAAAACAACTTCCTTTTTTTTTTTTTGAGACAGGGTCTCACTCTGTTGCCCAGGCTGGAGTGCAGTGGCACCACCATCATGGCTCACTACAGCCTCGACCTCCTAGGCTCAAGTGATCCTCCCGCCTCAGCCTCCCAAGTAGCTAGGTCCACAGGTGCAAGCCATTGTGCCCAGCTAATTTTTTTTTTTTTTTTTTTTTGTAGAGATGGGGTCTCACCAGCTGGCCCAGGCTGGTCTTGAACTCCCAGGTTCATGTGGTCCTCCCACCTCAGCCTCCCAAAGTGCTGAGACTGCAGATGTATGCCACTGTACCTGGCTAATTTCACTTTTTTTTTTTTCACCAGGGCTGTAGAGCCTCCAAATTTCCTTTGAGGGGCATGGCCACAGCCCCGCAAAGGCGACGAGATTCACTTGCTGTTTGCACCTCTGTTTAAACCACCGCTATAAGAAACAGTGATTCTTGGGTTTAGGTGAGAATAATTTTACTTTTTGATGATTAAAAATGTTACCTCTTTAAAAAAAAAAACTGTATGCTAAATTAAAGGCTGAATTTTATTATATGTAAATTATATCTCAAAAATAAAAAAGAAGCTGGAAAACACACATGTGCACATACATACACACACTAAATGAAATACCCTGCATATTTATCAGAATGGCTAAAGTTAAAAACTCAAGGCTGGGCACAGTGGCTCATGCCTGTAATCCCAACACTTTGAGAGTCCGAGGTGGGCAGATCACCTGAGGTCAGGAGTTCTAGACCATCCTGGCCAACATGGTGAAACCCCGTCTCTACCAAAAATACAAAAATTACCCAGGTGTGGCGGCACCTGCCTGTAATCCCAGCTACATTACAGGCATGCATTGGGCTGTAGAATCGCTCAAACCCAGGAGGCGAAGGTTGCAGTGAGCCAAGATCACACCACTGCACTCCATCCAGCCTGGCTCACTGCAATCTCTGCCTCTCCGGTTCAAGCGAATTCTCCTGCCTCAGCCTCCCAAGTAGCTGGGATTACAGGCGTGTGCCACCACACCTGGCTGATTTTTGTATTTGTAGTAGAGACAGGGTTTTGCCACGTTGGCTAGGCTGGGCAACAGAGCGAGACTCCATCTCCAAAAAAAAAAAAAAAAGTCAAAATACCAAATGTTGGCAGGGATGTGGAGCAACTGGAATGCTCAAACCCTGCTGGAGGGAACAGAAACTACTCCAACCACTTTGGAAAACTGGCAGTTTCTTTTAAGGTTAAACATATCCTTACTATATAATCCAGCAATTATACTCCTAGGTGTTTACCCAACAACGTATATATCCACACAAAGGCCTGTAACTCCTAGGTGTTTACCCACCAACGTATATATCCACACAAAGGCCTGTACACAAATGTTCACAATGGCTTTATTTACAAATCCAGAAGCAGGAAAACTACTCAGATGTCCATTAACAGGTGAATGAAACAACAAATTCTGGTGTGTCCACCCAATCAACTACTATCCAGCAATGAACTCCTGATCCAACATGGGTCTCAAAAATATCCTGAGTCAAAGAAGGCAGACATGAAAAGGGACATGCGTTAGAATTCCACTTACAAAAGATTCTCGAAAGTGTTAACTAATCCATGATGATGAAAAGCAGGTCACGGGTTGCCTGGGAGAGGCGATGGGGGAATGGGGGGGTCATAGTGGGGGGGAAGGCAAAATCTCACAGGAAACTCTTGCAAGTGAGGGAAACGTTGTGTATCTTGATGGTGGTGATGGTTTCACAGGTTTATATATCTGTAAAACTTGCCAAATTGTATACTTTAAATACATATGCTTTATGTAAATATAAATTATATAAATTATAATGTATATAATTATATTTCAATAAAAGATTTAAAAACAAATTCTAAAACACCACTGGAGACCGGGTGTGGTGGCTCACGCCTATAATCTCAGCACTTTGGGAGGCTGAGGCAGGAGGATCGCTTGGGCCCAGGAGTTCGAAACCAGCCTGGACAACACAGCCAAGACCCTGTCTCTACAAAAATAAAAAAAATAGGCCAGCAAGGTAGCTTACGCCTGTAATGCCAGCACTTTCGGGAGGCCGAGGCAGGTGGATCATGAGGTCAAGAGATCGAGACCATCCTGGCCAACATGGTGAAACTCCGTCTCTACTAAAAATACAAAAATTAGCTGGGCATGGTGGCGCATGCCTGTAGTCCCAGCTACTCAGGAAGCTGAGGTAGGAGAATTGCTTGAACCCAGGAGGCAGAGGTTGCAGTGAGCCGAGATGGCGCCACTGCACTCCAGCCTGGCGACAGAGCAAGACCCTGTCTCAAAAAATAAATAAATAAATAAAATAAAATAGCCCAGCATGGTGGTACGTGCCTGTAGTTCCAACCATTTGGGAGGCTGAGGCAAAAGGATCCCTTGGGCCCAAGAGTTTGAGGCTTCAGTGAGCTATGATTGCAACACTGCACTCTGGCCTTGGTGACAGACCAAGACCGTCTCTAAAAAAAAAAAAAAAAAAAAAGTTTAGGCCAAGCGCAGTGGCTCATGCCTATAATCCCAGCACTTTGGGAGGCTGAGGCAAGCGGATCACTTGAGGTCAGGAGTTTGAGACCAGCATGGCCAATATGGCAAAACCCTGTCTCTACTAAAAATACAAAAATTAGCCAGGTGTGGCGGCATGCACCTGTAGTCCCAGCTACTCGGGAGGCTGAGGCAGAAGAATGTCTTGAACCCGAGAGGCAGAGGTTGCAGTGAGCCAATATTGCACCACTGTACTCCAGCCTGGGCGACAGAGGGAGACTCCGTCTCAAAAAAGAAAAAAAAGAAGTAATACATTAAACACCACTGGAGGCCTGGTGTGGTGGCTCATGCCTGTAATTCCAGGACTTTGGGAGGCTGGGGCAGGAGGATCACTTGAGCCCAGGAGTCCCAAGCTGTAAGTGAGCTATGATTGTGCCACTGCACTCCAGCCTGGGTGACAGAGTGAAACCCCATCTCTAAAAATTAAAATAAAATAAAATAAAATAAAATAAATCACTGGGCTAGAAGAGGATGGGGGGAGTGGATTTTCATTTAATCACAGACATGAAGCAGTTTAGTGGTGTGTCTTTTTGAGAAATCACAAAAAGAGAATAAGAGGTTTTAGAAGTACAGGGAACCTAAGACTTCACCCAATTGAGTTCCACAGTATTTTACTGTGTAATTAAAGTGGGAAAACACAGGGAGGAGAAAAATGGCAAAAACAGCAGCAGCGGAGATGCAGCAATCTCGCCACACACAGGTACTGAGGGCCCGAGGGCTTCATCACTTCCCACCAGATGCTAGGGAACACCATCTGCCTTTCTTATCCTGTGTTTTCATAGCCACCCACCTCGGGGAAATTGTGTTCTGGACCATGTGCATCCAGCAGCAGGGGGCCAGGTCAAAAGGTGCACATCCCCAGTGTACATGTTACCTCACAGCTGAAAAATGTGTGAGGGAAAACTTTAGTCATTTTCAATATCCTTAGAGTCACCCACGCTGAAGTTCTTTTTAGAAATGGTAAAATTATCCTACAATATAAAGGCTAACACCACTCTATCTATTTTATAAAGTCAAATCCATTTTCTTTTTTTTGAGATGGAGTTTCACTCTTGTTCCCCAGGCTAGAGTGCAATGGCACGATCTCGGCTCACCGCAACCTCCGCCTCCTGGGTTCAAGCGATTCTCCTGCCTCAGCCTCCCGAGTAGCTGGGATTACAGGCATGCACCACCACGGCCAGCTAATTTTGTATTTTTAGTAGGGATGGGGTTTCTCCATGTTGGTCAGGCTGGTCTCGAATTCCTGACCTCAGGTGATCTACCCGCCTCGGCCTCCCAAAGTGCTGGGATTACAGGCGTGAGCCATCGTGCCCGGCCAAATTCATTTTCTATTTTCTATTTTATATTTTTAGTTTCTTAGAGACAGGGTCTTACTCTGTTGGCCAGGCTGGTCTCAAACTCCTGGCCTCAAGTGATCCTCTAACCTCGGCCTCCCAAAGTGTTGGGATTACAGGTGTATGACACTGAGCCCAGCCTAATTCTCTTAGTATGGGACATACACATCTATAATTAGATAGCTAACACATGAATGCATGCTATGTATGCAATACCATTTACAACTGCTTGAAAGAAGATGAAATACTGAGGTGTACACTTAACATGACACAGGCAGGATCTGTATGCTGAAAAAAAATCACAAAATGTTGATGAAAGAAGTCAAAGAAGGCCTAAATACTTGGAGAGATGTACCATGTTCATGAAGACTCAACATACGTTGAGTCATATGATGTTATTTCTCCCCAGTTCATCTATAGGTTTAATGTAATTCCTATCAAAATCCGAGCAAGGTATTTTGTAGACATACAAAAACTAATTCTAAAATTGATATAGCTCAGACCAGTCTGGGTACTATAAGAGTGAGTAAGTTAGTAAGTAAGCAATAGGTAAATAAATAAATAAAATTTACATGGCAAGGCACAGGCCATAGAATAGCTGAAATATTCCTGGCAAAGAAGAATAAATTAGGAAGAATCATTCAATCCAATACTGAGGCTTACTACACAGCATCAGTCATCAAGACAGCGCGGTACTGGTAGGATGGGCCCATAGATCAATGCAGCAGAACAGAGAACCCAGAAATAGATCCACACAATCTATAGCCAACTGAGGTGCAAAGGCAAGTCACGGGAGGAAGGAGAGGCTTTTCAACAAATGGTGCTGGCGCAAGTGGACACTTGTAGGCAAGAAAAAACAAAGAAGAACCTCAACCTAAATCTCACACTTTGAGTAAAAATTAACACAAATTGGATCATGGACTTAACTATAAAATATAAAATTATAACTTAAAAAAAACAGGAGAAAGTTGGAAATCTAGAGCAAGGCAAAGAATTCTCAGACTTGACACCAAAAGTATAATCCATAAAAGGAAATACTGACAAATGAGATGTCTAAAAACCTTTTTCTCTGTGAAAGCCCATGTGAGGAAATTATAGACAAGCTACAGACTGAAAGAAAATGTCTGCAAAGCACGTATCTAACAAATATCCACATATCTAGAATATATAAATTCAACGATAAAGCCAAAAACAAACCAATTAGAAAATGGGCAAAACAAATGAACAGACATTTCACTGAAGAACATATACAGATGGCAAATAAGCCCATGAAAAGCTGTTCAACAGCATCAGCCATTAGAGAAATGCAAATTAAGGCCACACTGAGATAGTACTACACACCTATCTGAATGGCTAAAACAGAAAATAATGACCACACCCAGTGCTGGGGAGGACGAGGAGGAACTGGATCACTCATACATCGCTGGTGGGCATGTAAAATGATACAGCCTGCTTGGGAAAAGACTGTCAGTTCCTTATAAAAATGAACCATGGAATTGCCATGCAATGACCATATGACTCCACAATTGCACTCTTGGGCACTTATCCTAGAAAAATGAAAACTTGTGTTCTTACCGAAACGTCTACTCTAATGTTTGTTCGTGGCAGTTTTATTGGTAATATTCCCCAAACTAGCAACAAACTACATGTCCTTGGACATTCCACAGTGAGTATATGCCACCATTAAACAAATGGAATGCCACCCCGCCATGGAGAAACAGACCTGATTCTAGGCAACAGTGTGGAATCAAACGGAGTGAAGAAAGTCAATCCCAAAAGGATTGTATACTGTGATTACATTTATGTAACTTTTTTTTTTTTTTTTTTTTGAGACGGAGTCTTGCTCTGTTGCCCAGGCTGGAGTGCGGTGGCACAATCTCGGCTCACTGCAAGCCCTGCCTCCCGGGTTCACGCCATTCTCCTGCCTCAGCCTCCCGAGTAGCTGGGACTAGAAGCGCCCGCCACCACGCCCAGCTAATTTTTTGTATATTTAGTAGAGACGGGGTTTCACCATGTTAGCCAGGATGGTCTTGATCTTCTAACTTCGTGATCCACCTGCCTCGGCCTCCCAAAGTGCTGGGATTACAGGCATAAGCCACTTATGTAACGTTTTTGAAGTGACAGGATTAGGGAAATGGAGAACAGGTAAGTGGTTGCCAGCGGTTGGGGATGGTGGGGTGGGCGTGGCAGGGAGAGAGGTGGGTGTGGCTGTAAGAGGGCAGTTTGAATGATTGGTCTTGTGAGAGAACTGTGCTTTCCGGTGACAGACACATGCTGCGTCTTGATGGTGGTGATGGCTTCACAGGTTTTACATCTGTAAAAGCTCACCAAGTTGTATAAATACATAGACTTTATTGTCTGTGAATTATACTTCGATAAAGGATTTAAAGACCAATTCTAAAACACTGGGCTAGAAAAGAATGGCGGGGTGGGTTTCAATTTAATCAAAGATATAAAGCAGTTTAGTGTTCTGTCTTTTTGAGACATTACAAAACAAGAACAAGAGGCTGTAAAAGAACAAGGAGGCCAGGCGCAGCGGCTCACACCTGTAATCCCAGCACTTTGGGAGGCTGAGATGGGCGAATCACTTGAGGTCAGGAGTTTGAGACCAGCCTGGCCAACATGGTGAAACCCTGTCTCCACTAAAAATACAAAAAATTAGCTGGGCGTGGTGGTGGGTGCTATGGTCCCCGCTACACAGGAGGCTGAGGCAGGGGAATCGCTTCAACCCGGGAGGCAGAGGTTGCAGTGAGCCAAGATCGCCCGACAGAGCAAGGCTCTATCTCAAAAAATAAAAAAATAAATAAATAAAAAGAACAAGGAGTATATAAAAGTATCTGTCACAGAAAATATCTTGAATGTGATGGTGGATACATAAACCTACACATGTGGCACAACTGTACAGAACTACATACACACACACGAGAACAAGCAGAACTGGGGAAATCTGAACTAAGATCCACGGATTGCATCAATGTTGATATCCTGGCTGTGATTCTGTACCACAGTTTTGCAAGGATGTTACCCCTGGGGAAAGCTGGGAGAGGGTTTGGGGATTTCTCTGCACTTGGAGGGAGAGTCCCCATGAAGAGTGAACTCAACTGAGTAAAAGCAACAGCAGAACATGCGTGCAGCTTCCCTGGGGGGCTTTAGGTACCTGGAAGGAGACCCTTGAGCATCTGTTCATAAGCTCCTGCCACGGGACTCAGGGGCCCAGATAGCAGCCAAAACGCTAATCATGGGACACATCTCTGCTCGCTTACCTGCCACGCAGGGAGCTGGCACCCGCCCTAGGCTAATGAGTCTCACCATATCTTGGGGAATACCTATTCACAGACATGCAGTACAGTAATTATCTGGCTGAGAAATCGAGAACTTTCCTGAGGGAAAAAGGAAGAATTTGCTGGCCAGGAGCAGTGGCTCACGTCTGTAATCCCAGCACTGTGGGAGGCTGAGGCAGGAGGATAGCTTGAGCCTGGGAGGCCGAGACCAGTCTGGGCAACACAGAAAGGCTGAGTCTCTACAAAAAGAAACAAATTAGCCAGGTGTGGTGGTGCATGCCTGTGGTCTCAGCTAGTCAGGACACTGAGGTGAGAGGATCATTTGAGCCCAGGCGGTTGAGGCTGCAGTGGGTCATGACTGTACCACTGCACTCCGGCCTGGGTGACAGAACGAGACCCTGTCTCAAAAAACAAAAACAAAAACAAAAACAAAAATTGCCTACATTCCCTGACCTCCACCAACAGAAACAAAGCCAAACCTTCTGAGCTGGGGCACACTTGGGGCACTGGCACAACGGGTGACAGAATTCGGGGTCCGCTGCACTGACAGTGTCCTCCGCATCCTCCAGGTCCTCCTCTGTCCATTCCAACAGGTAACGCACCTGGTGATGGAGAGTAACGGAAACAGGAACACATCCTCAGCGTCTTTGCATGCACAATATCTTAAACACACACCATCAACCGTTCCCAATCAGGGCCCACGCTTCCTTCTCCAACCCCACAGCCATTTATAACCGGCTTCTGCTCCCTCATGAAGCCTTCCTCAGTCCTTCCACTTCACAGCTTATGCCAGAGATTATTTTCTTCTATCATAAAAAAGGACAGGAAGATTGGTGCTGCCTCAGGGTGATGGCTTTAAAACTCTAGTCCTAGGGCTGGGCGCAGTGGCTTATAGGTGTAATCCCAGCATTCTGGGAGGCAGAGGCCAGAGAATCGCCTGAGCCCAGGAGTTCAAGGCTACTGTGAGCCATGATCACACCATAGCACTCCAGCCTGGGCAACAGAGCAAAACTCTCAAAAAAATAAACCCATCCTGGTCCTAGGGCACTTAGTGAGCACCTCACTCCCTCCTCCATTAAAAGTGGAAGATACGGGCAGGCATGGTGGCTCACGCCTGTAATCCCAGCATTTGGGGAGGCCTAAGCAGGCAGATCACCTGAGGTCAGGAGTTCAAGCCCAGCCTGGCCAACATGGTGAAACCCCGTCTCTGCTAAAAATACAAAAATTAGCTGGGTGTGGTGGCGCATGCCTGTAGTCCCACCTTCTCAGGAGGCTGAAGCAGGAGAATTGCTTGAACCCAGGAGGTGGAGGTTGCAGTGAGCTGAGATCATGCCACTGCACTCCTGGATGACAGCGCAAGACTCCGTCTCAAAAAAAAAAAAAAAAAAAAGTGGAAGACACAGTCCTTTCAAAGGGCCAAAGGCAAGCCAGGGGAACCTGTCCGTCAGAATCTAAGGAAGGCTGTCTCCAATGTCCACTCATTTCACTGTCAGATGTACCTAATGGTTAGGAAAGACGCCTTCCTTCAAGCCACGACATTCTCTCCAGGTGCCAGCCCAGGGCTGGCGGCTCCATCTTTATCCAGATACCTGCTTATGACTCCTCAGAGCCTCAAGCCTCAGGCCCCCTCTCGTGGCCCAGGAGTCCCAGCTGACCACAGCTTCTGCAGAACCTCACAAACACCACTGGGCTCTGCCTTCGCCTCTCTACTTCCTCCTCTCCCCAAGACGCTGCCCTCTCTTAAAACCAAGCTGCCCTCCTTGCACACTGGCTAGTGGGCCTGGGCTCTGAGCCCACACTCTGTGCCTCGGACATGGTCTCTGGTCTTGGCAACGTCTCATCACACTCCTGGAGTATGGACATCTGAAAGGCAGGGCCCACACTCGCTATGTGCCTGTATGTTGATCTGCCTCATTACTTGTCAGGAAAATATAACAACACCATTACCAAATATGCATTAAACATAGCGCCCTCTGCACAAAATCAGAGTCCACATGGCCCGAAACTGAACCGGAGACAAGAAACACAGGTGGGTGGCTGTTTTAAGCTAGAACAAGCTTTTTATAATAAAAAGCACTTCTAAAGCTGGGCAGGGTGGCTCACACCTGTAATCCAAGTACTTTGGGAGGCCAAGGCAGGAGAATCGCTTGAGGCCAGGAGTTCAAGATCAGACTGGGCAATATAGCAAGACCTTATCTCTACAAAAAATTTGTTTATGATTAGCCAGGCATGGCCGCGCACAACTGTGGTCCCATCTATTCAAGAGGCTGAGGCAAGAGGATTGCTTGAGTCCAGGAGTTCAAGGCTGCAGTGAGCCATGATCACGCCACTGCACTCCAGCCTGGGTGACAGAACAAGACCCTGTCTCTAAAAAATAAAAATAAAATAAAAAGCACTTCTAAAAACTCACCATTTCTAGATCTCCATCAGCAACTGCTCTCAAAAGTTTTTCTACCTTAATAAAAGGAACAAGAATGTTAGAAAAATGATTTCAACAATAAAATAATAATAGAAATAATATAAACATTCTGAAAATCTATTGGCTTGATTTGTGGACTTTTAACGTCTGATTTAGTTTTTTTTTTTTTTTTTTGAGATGGAGTTTCGCTCTTATTGCTCAGGATGGAGTGCAGTGGCGCAATCTCGGCTCACCGCAACCTCCGCCTCCCAGGTTCAAGCGATTCTCCTGCCTCAGCCTCCCTAGTAGCTGGGATTACAGGCATGCACCACCATGCCCGGCTAATTTTTTTTGTATTTTTAGTAGATACAGGGTTTCTCCATATTGGTCAGGCTGGTCTCAAACTCCCGACCTCAGGTGATCCGCCCACCTCGGCCTCCCAAAGTGCTGGCATTACAGGCGTGAGCCACCACGCCCGGCTGATTTAGTATCCTGTAAATGTGTCCCTAAAACTGCTCAGGGAGGGCATCCTAGGAAGTTGCTGGTGTGCGCAGAACCCACTGCCATTTAGGGAATAATAAACTGTAACTTTATCAGTGGAATTGTATAAATGTATATGTATATTTATATGTATATACATATAAATGTATATTTATCAGTGGAAAGGTGAGGCCATGGTCGCCTTGGAACACAAGTCCTTCCTAAGACGCCAGCCACCCCTATGATTTAGAAAAATACACTTAGCTAAGTGCAGTGGCTCGGCCTGTAATCCCAGCACTTTGGAGGCAATCCCCAGGAGTTTGAGGTTGCAGGGAGCTATGACTGTACCACTGCACTCCAGCCTGGGTGACACAGTGAGACCGTGTCCCAAAAAGAAAAAAAAAAAAAAAAAAAAAGAAATACTGAACTCAGCTATCAGTATCTGCTAGCTGGGACACCATGAGGGTGGACACCCCTCCCAGGGACAACTTCAGGTCTCCGTTAGACTCTGGACCATGTCTCTTGGCTGTCTCTGCTATGGCTTTGCATGGAGCTAAGCTCACTTGGTCCTCCAAGAGCATGTCACGGCTTGTGGGTAGTGGGACACTATGGTAGGGTCAGTGAGGGTTCAGCACCCATGGGGGGGCCATCGAAGGTGGTACATCCATTCAACAGTCCACTCCTCAGCTAAAGAATGAGGCAGATCTGGCCGGGCATGGTGGCTCACGCCTGTAATCCCAGTTACTTGGGAGGCTGAGGCAGGAGAATTGCTTGAACCTGGGAGGTGGAGGTTGCAGTGAGCCCGGATTGCACCACTGCACTCCAGCCTGGGCAACAGAGCGAGACTCTTATCTCAAAAAATAAAAAATAAAAATAAAATGATCTGAAATCAGCGGACTTCTACATGACCTGACTTGTCTTCTTCTTAGCCTATCCTCTCTTTAATACACAAACGCACTCTACCACACTAATTGCTGCTCAGGGAGTGGTCCATGAAGGGCACACCAAAATATACAGCACCGCGAGATGCTGCTGGGCCCAGCTTGAAGGCACCAACCTCGGCCACCACAGAGCAGCAGCGGCCTCAGCATGGGCAAGCAGGCTGAGAGGGCGGCCCTTGTCAGGCCACGGCTCTTCAGCTGGACACCACTGCCCAGGGCCGCCAAGGCCTCCCCTCCCCAGCCCTTCCTCTGGAAGCCTCACCTCTCTGTAGTCCTTCTTGGTCTCCTCCTGCCTTGAGCTGGCTGACATGGAGGAGAAGCTGGAAGTGGAGGACTCTTGGCTGATGGAGTCCACGGAGCGCTGCGGGGACTGCACAGGGGCCTGCAGCCAAGGAGCCCCAACGAGAGAGAGGACAGGACACAAGGACACGTGAGGACCAGAGAAGGCGCCCTTGGTCTCCAAGGTAACCTGACCTGCTCAGCCCGGCTGACTTACCTCGGACGACTTCTGCCTCCTCTCGAAGGACAGGTGATAGGCTTCCATTACAGACAGAATCTAGGGGGACAAGGGGGATGCCAACAGTACCCCGTGAGATGGGGGTCGTCTCAGCACAGTGCCATCACCCACACGCCCCACTGCCGGCCTAGCTCCTCGGAATGTCAGTGCAGTGAGCCTTAGGTCACGTGGCCCAGTCGCACCCTTGGATAGACAGAAAAACCAAGACCCAGAGCAGGTGGGAACTTACGCACGATCACCCCGAAGTCGGGGCTTCCTCCCTTCACGGCTCCTCCTGTCCCGTGGGAGGGCTCAGGGCTTCCCACGCATGGACGCAAGGGATAAGAGAAGCCAGACCCGCATGGAGCCTGAAAGGTGACTGCATCCAGCCCCCAGGCCTGTCTGTCCACAGGCATGAGGTGTGGCCTTTCCTCTAGCACCCACAGGTCTCAAGTAGGAACAGCTCAGAGCCAAGCCGAGAAGGCAGCCTCTCTTTTCCTCTGCAGATCTCCCTCTGGAAGGGCCTTTGGTAAACAAACGCCACGGCAATAGAACCCTCCTCCCAAGACATCCCAGCAGCCCCAGCCGTGGTGGCACTGCTCAGCCCAGTCAGCTCTGCCTGCCAGAAAGCTGCGACCTTGGCAGTATTCAGGGGGTACAGCCGGAGGCCCCTGAAGCCAGAAACAGGGATCTAACCCTTCACAAACTGTGCTTTACTGTAGTTCTTATGCTGTGTCCCTGCCACACACACACAAAATAATTTAAAAAAAAAAAAAAGAGGGAAGCCGGGCGAGATGACCCATAACTGTAATCCCAGCACTTTGGGAGGCCTAGGTGGGCAGATCACTTGAGGTCAGGAGTTCAAGACCAGCCTGGCCAACATGATGAAACCCCATCTCTAATAAAAATACAAAAAAAAAATAAACTAGCTGGGCTTGGTGACACACACCTATACCTCCCAGCTACAAGGGAGGCTGAGGCAGGAGAATTGCTTGAACCTGGGAGGTGGAAGTTGCAGTGAGCCAAGATCATGCCACTGCACTCCAGCCTGGGCGACAGAGCGAGACTCCGTCTCAAAAAAAAAAACCAAAACAATAAAAAAGAAAGATGAAAGCAGGGGCGGTGGCTCACACCTGTAATCCCAGCACTTTAAGGGGCCAAGGCGGGCAGATCACTTGAGGTCATGAGTTTGAGACCAGCCTGGCCAACATGGTGAAACTCCACCTGTATAAAAAATACAAAAATTAGCCGGGTGTGGTGGCGCATGCCTGTAGTCCCAGCTACTCGAGAGCTGAGGTGGGAGGATGCCTTGAGCCCAGGAGGCAGAGGTTGCAGTAAGCTGAGATCGCACCACTGTACTCCAGTTTGGGCAATACAGCCAAACCTTGTCTCAAAAAAAAAAAAAAAAAAAAAAAAAAGAGAACAGAAGTAAACTTTTGGAGGTGATGGATATGTTTATGGCGTAGATGGTGGTGATGGTTTCATGGATGTCCACTCTTCTCTAAACTCATCAAGTTGTATACACTGACTATATACAGCTTTCTGTATGCCAATCATGCCTCAATAAAGAGGTTTAGAGAAAACAAAAATAAAAACAAATTCAAACTGTGCTACTCCAAGAATAAGATGTGAACAAACTGAAAGAACAACCTGGAAGAGCTGGAAATTATAAAAGGGAGCAGTAAAACATCAAAAGGCAGAAAGCTGGCCAGGCGCAGTGGCTCATGCCTGTAATGCCAGCACCCTGGGAGGCCAAGGTGAGAGGATCACTTGAGGCCAGGAATTTAAGACAAGCCTGGGCAACACACTAAGATCTCATCTCTATTACTTTTCTAAAATCATATATTTTGGGGCTGGGCGCAATAACTCACACCTGTAATCCCAGTACTTTGGGAGGCCAAGGTGGGTGGATCACCTGAGGTCAGGAGTTCAAGACCAGCCTAGCCAACATGGTGAAACCCCATCCCTACTAAAAATACAAAAAATTAACCAGGTGTGGTGGTGGGCACCTGTAATCCCAGCTGCTAGGGAGGCTGAAGTAGGAGAATCACTTGAACCTAGGAAGTGGAGGTTGCAGTGAGCCAAGATTGTGCCACTGCACTCCAGCCTGGGCAACAGAGCGAGACTCCATCTCAAAACAACAAAAAAAATTAAATATTTTTGTAAAAAGGCAGAAAGTCAGGCCTGTACAAACGGGGCTCCCCTAGAGACCTGGAGTGGAACAGAATCCCTCAGGGGAGCCTCAGCTTGCAGATATTCTGGACGTCCATGCTGGGGTCTCCATTTCACAGGGCCCTGTGCTCCCCCTGGTCAGTCTGCCACATGCCTCTCTAACGATGCCATTCACCAGCTCTGCTGCCGGGAGACGAGAGTGCAGAGAACTGGCCTCTGCGAGCCACCTCCAAGCCCCACTGACTCACGAGAGGGGAGCACTTCACAACATGCTCCCCAAACTATGTCTCCAGAAATTACTACCAGAAAAAGGTGAGCTCATTAACAAATTATGTATGAAAGAAACCACACTCGATGTCCAGAACTGGCCGAGTCTCAATAAAGACTCTAGGCATTGAAGGTGAAGCACCGGGAAAAAAGAGTTCCAACACATCCTGCTCCCTCCCCAGTCCCTGCCCCTGCGGAGCCTCGTTTCTACCCACTCCATTTGCCAATAAATCAATAGCACTCGGCAGCCAGAACAAACTCTGCCTGCAGGAGTTCCTGGAACAACCCTGAGAAAAACGCCCACTCAAACCAAAAATAATATATCAGTAAAACCCATTAATGATGACGTCCCACATGCGGCAGAAAGGGTGCAAGCCAAGTTCTGCCCTCAGGCAATAATGCACAATTTGTCTAGTAGGCCAAGACCTAAGCTACGGACATCGATCTTCTTTCGAAGTCATCTTGCCCCTCAGAGATGGGAAGAGCTACCTTTGAGTTTAATGCACACTTGAGGGGCGTCTCCTTCAGTCTGTTCTGGATCTCGGTGGACGCTCCGTTCTGCAGCAATGTCTCTATGACGCCTTGGTAGCCCCAGCGGGCAGCAATGTGTAGAGGGGTGTCTCCTTTCTCATTGCCAATGTCAAGTCTGCACGACTCCACGTCGTAGTAAACCAGAGCCTTCACACACTGCAAAGAGATGGGGAAATGGCATCGCTCATGGATGTACCAAGCCTCGACAAGGTCCGTGCTCTCCTCGACCTCCTCACCAAGCAAATGTGCAGTAACAGACAGAACTCAGAAGTGTCACAGTATCTGATCAGGACACCTCATTCTCATTCATTTTTTTTTTCTTTTTCTTTTTTGAGACAGGATCTCTCTCTGTTATTCAGGTTGCAGTGCAGTGATGCAATAATAGCTCACTGCAGCCTTGAACTCCTGGGCTTAAGCGATCCTCCCACCTCAGCCTCCCGAGCAGCTGGGACTACAAGCATGCACCACCATGCCTGGATGGTTTTTTTTTTTAATTTTTTTTTTTTCCTGTAGAGACAGGGTCTCACTCTGTTGCCCAGGCAGGACTCAAACTCCTGGGCTCAAAAAATCCTCCCACCTCAGCCTCTCACAGTGCTGGAATTATAGATGTGAGCCACTGCGCTCAGCCAGGACACCTCATGCTTTCAAAAGGATGAAACTGCCAATCAATAAGAAGTGGCTGCAAAAACTGTGATGTCTCCATGTACAGAACAGAGTTACTACAGCAGGCCTGAGACTGCTAACCACTGAGAGGCCTGCTTGCAAGACTGCCTGTTGGCCTGAAACATTCTATGGGTGCCTGGATGTGGGGAGTGTTCCCAAAATTCCCTAACTGATTAGGTGGCTCACACTGGGCCTGAATTGTTTTATACAATGTGGTTTATGCTGAACGCCCGAGTTTCTTCTGGGAGTATGGCATTTTGGTACATGCTGTCCAGAAGGTGCTTACAGGACTAGCCTTCATTAACTCTTGGGGACTGAGTTCCTAATGAGCTTCCCGAGTGGACCACACTTCCTGTGTGTTGTTCCAACTCACTGCTGGAAGAACTGAGCCCATCCTGTGTGGGTCCATGAAAAGAGACCTGTTGTTTTTTTTTTTTTTTTGAGACACAGTCTCGCTCTGTCGCCTAGGCTGGAGTACAGCAGTGCAATCTCAGCTCATTGCAACCTCCGCCTCCTAGTTCAAGTGATTCTCCCACCTCAACCTCCTGAGTAGCTGGGATTATAGGTGTGTGCCACCACACACAGCTAATTTTTGTATTTTTTTAGTAGAGACAGGGTTTCACCATGTTGGCCAGGCTGGTCTTGAACTCCTGACCTCAGGCAATTTGCCGGCCTTGGTCTCCCAAAGTGCTGGGACTACAGGTGCCAGCCACTGTGCCCAGCCGAGAGAGACTGTTTGAAGCTCACCCCTGCTCTCCTCTCTGGACTCCACCACGTGCCTGTTCCCTTTGCTGATGTTGTTCTGTGTCCTTCTGCTGTAACAAACCACAGCTGTGAGTGCGACTATATGCTGAGTTCTGTAAGTCCTCCCAGCAAATCACTGAGCCCAGGGGTGGTCTTGGAGACCACTGACACAACACACGATAGATCACTGCAGCTATTAAAGAATGTGCTAGATGGCCAGGCACGGTGGCTCACGCCTGTAATCCCAGCACTTTGGGAGGCTGAGGCAGGCGGATCACTTGAGGTCAGGAGTTCAAGACCAGCCTGGTCAACATGGTGAAACCCCGTCTCTACTAAAAATACAAAAATTAGCTGGATGTGGTGGTATGTGTCTGCAGTCCCAGCTACTCAGGAGGCTGAGGCAGGAGAATCGCTTGAACCCGGGAGGCAGAGGTTGCAGTGAGCCAAGATCGTGCCATTGCACTCCAGCCTGGGCAACAGAGCAAGACTCCGTCTCAAAAAAAAAAAAAAAAAGAATGTGCTAGATCAACAGGGACTGACCTAGAGGATCTCTGTAACGTAGAGCTAAGTTAGGAAAGCAAGTGGCATAAAAGCATACAGGGCATGGTGTCATCTTCATACATCAACCACCTGGCCAGGCCTGAGCCCCACACACGTGTGTAAATCTATCCATATATCACTATGGAGAGAAGCCAGAAGGAGGGCGGGTAGGAAAAAATAAGCACATAGTGGTGAAACAGGACGTGAAAATGGAAATTACGCAATTCTTGGATATCATTATAAAAGTGAACCAGAAATGGTGGCTCATGCCTGTATTCCCAGAACTTTGGAAGGCTGAGGTGGGAGGATTACTTGAGTTCAGGAATGTAAGACCAGCCTGGGCAACATGGCGAAACCCTTTCTCTACAAAAATATAAAAATTAGCCAGGCATGGTGGTGTGTACCTTTAGTCCCAGGGGAAGCTGAGGTGGGAGGATGGCTTGAGCCAGGAGGCTAAGGCTGCAGTGAGCCAAAATCATGCCACTGCACTCCAGCCTGGGCAACAGAACAAGATCTTGTCTCAAAAAAAATTTGTTTTTCTAATTTTAAAAAGTAAAAAATAAAGGCCAGGTGCGGTGGCTCACTCCTGTAATCCCAGCACTTTGGGAGGCTGAGGTGGAAGATCACCTGGGGCCAGGAGATCCAGACCAGCCTGGCCAACATGGTGAAACCCCGACTTTACTAAAAATACAAAAATTAGCTGGGTGTGGTGGCACACACCTGTAATCCCAGCTACTCGGGAGGCTGAGGTGGGAGAATCGCTTGAACCTGGAAGGAGGAGGTTGCAGTGAGTCAAGATCCCATCGTTGCACTCCAGCCTAGGTGCCAGAGTGAGGCCCTGTCTCAAAAATAAATAATAAGTAAATAATAAAAACAGAAAATGTAAAAATTGAATATGTACACAAGTAAGAACCAGACGGTAGCAAGGAGAAATGAAAATGATTTGACTTCAGGATAAGATAATGAGTGACTTGTTTTAAACTTTGTTACTTCAATATGGCATCTGTAATATATTAAACATTCTCTTTTTTTTTTTTTTTGAGATGGAGTCTCACTGTCACCCAGGATGGAGTACAATGGTGCCATCTTGGCTCACTGCAACCTCCACCTCCCAGGTTCAACTGATTCTCATGCCTCAGACTCCTGAGTCGCTGGGATTACAGGTGCCCGCCACCACGCCCTGCTAATTTTTGTATTTTTAGTTGAGATGGGGGTTTCACCATGTTGGTCAGGCTGGTCTCGAACTCCTGACCTCAGATGATCTGCCCACCTCAGCCTCCCAAAGTGCTGGGATTACAGGCGTGAGCCACCGTGCCTGGCCTAACATTCTTTCATATTAAAAAAATTTACACACCCAATGTTCCAATAATTATCGACACAAAATACATTAATGAGAAATCCCGACTTCTCTACGAGTGGGAAAGGGTGAACGCAGCCCCCCCGGAACAGCAAGAGCCACTCACGTCCTCGTGGCCGTAGGTGCAGGCCAGGTGGAGTGGCGTATTCCCATTGTTGTCCTGCACTTCCGCGCTGGCCTTGTAGTGCAGCAGCAGCAGCTGCGGAGATAAAGGAAAGCGATGAGCAGGGCACAGCCGGCTCCCTGGGAGGCCCGGCCTCCAGTCTTAGCAGGGGGAGGTCATTTGCTCCCATCTTCGATCTTATTTATGCTACTATTCAAATTAAACCAACACCCATCATTCCTGACACTTGAGAGACTGAAGAAAAAAGTCTAAAGCCCCACCTTTTCTTCCCCCATATGATCAGGAAGTTTTTCTTTTTAGAGAACTCAGCCTGTCTCCCAGGCTGAAGTGCAGTGGCACGATCATTGCTCACTGCAGCCTCGACCTGCTGGGCTCTGGCAAACCTCCTGCATCAGCCTCTCAAGTTGCTGGGACTATAGGCACACACCATCATGCCCAGATAATTTTAAAAAAATATTTTTTGGTAGAGATAGGGTCTCCCTAGGTTGCTCAGGCTGGTCTTGAACTCCTGGGCTCAAGCGATCCTCCTGCTTTGGGCTCCCAAAGCACTGGGATTACAGGCGTGAGCTACCACATCTGGCCAGGAAGTTTCAAATCTAAACCTAACGATCTTGTCCAGGAGACTCAGAAAGTCTTCCCAGGAGACCCCGGGAGTCCTTGGACTCCCTGACTACTGCTGCAGCAGAGCTGGTGTGGAACGAGGGGGGCACAGCACCAGGAGACAGGGGTGCAGGGTAGCCAGCATGACCGTACAGTCACCACGCAGAACCAAGCTCACAGGAGCAAAGCGACAGCCCGCCACAAAGGCACCACTGCTCACCGTCACGCTCTGGTAGCCCTTCTGACAGGCCAGGTGGAGCGGAGTGGCTCCATGGTAGTCTGTGGCATTTACCATGGCGCCCTTGGAAACCAGGAGGTCGATGAGGGATGCCTGCCCTGCAGAGCAGAAGGACGTCACGATGGAGAAGGAAGGCGCAGAGGCCTTCCACACCTTAACTGTAAAACCACAACACTATTGCACCCTCCTAGTCCTGGGCATGAAACCCACGGTAGATACTTTTTCTGCTAGAGAGGAACTACAGCTAATATAAAGTAAGGCTCCGCAGACTCCAGACATGTTGGGGTGGGCCTTGGAGGGGACCCAGCAAAAGTCCACCTCTCAGCAATAAACAATAATGGAAAAGAGACTTAGACTTCCACAGGCTCCATGACTCATCAGTTCATAAGATGGAGTATTATGCAGCCATTAAAAAATACTGACAAGTAAACATATTCTTGCATAGTGCTAGGAGAAAAATAGCACACAACAGAATATTATGAGCCCTAGAGCACCACACACTTTATGCGTCCACACATCCACACAAGCATGCAGACACCCCAGACACTCATCAATCACAACGATCTCTGGGAGACAGGGATGGCCGGGGACTCTGGAGGACCTTATGTTTTCTATCTTGAATGTGCACTTTATTTTATTTATTTATTTATTTATTTATTTATTTATTTATTTATTTATTTATTTTTTGAGACAGAGTCTCACTCAGCCACCCAGGCTGGAGTGCGGTGGTGCTATCTCAGCTCACTACAACCTCCACCTTCTAGGTTCAAGCAATTCTTCTGACTCAGCCTCCCAAGAAGCTGGGATTATAGGCGTGACCACCACAACAGGCTCATTTTTGTATGTTTTGTAGAGACAGAGTTTCTCCATGTCGGCCAGGTTGGTCTCAAATGTCTGACCTCAAGTGATTTGCCTGCCTCGGCCTCCCAAAGTGCTGGGATTACAGGCATGAGCCACCATGCCCAGCCAAATGTATACTTTAAAAGACAATAATAATATTTTTTTAAAGGCAGGGCCACAAGAACTGCGAGCTGACGATTCTGAGACCGTTCTCATAGTTCAGATTCAAGCCTTCCCTTGCTGGGCCCCCAGCCTGCGGGAGCGTTAGGCAGTGTTTCCATGCCGTGGGACCCACGCAGGGGGGCTCAGCCAGCGCAGGAGGCAGCAGGGTGGCCGTCGAGGCCTGTGGAACGTTTGCTCCTCTTCTCCTTCCGGCCCTTGGAGGGTGGACCCACGATGCAGCCCCAACTGCCAACCCCCACCCAGCCCATCAGCCAGGCCTCTCTGCTGGGTCACCTTGGGCACCATCCCTTTGCTGTGACAGCCCCTAGGGGCCAGCCCAGGACCACATACCACAGACAGCAGCCACATGGAGAGGGGTGTGCCCCCTGTCGTCTCTGGAGAATGGAGTGACAACTGAGGGATCATTCAACCTCCTAAAATACAGAAAGAGATAGAAAACTACACAGGGGAATGGCACAGCAAAGCCTCTCCCTGACCAGGTAGATAGGCAGGTACCACAGACAGAAGGCGGCTCACAGGATGCCACCCAAGAGATGTGTGTCTCCGGCACTGTCCCAGTGCTCACCCAGCATGAGGAACAGAGGCACCTGGCCCTGGAGTCTCTCCCCCACCAACCCTTTAGGCCTCCACACCCAGCAAAATAGCCTGACAAGGATAATGGGAAACCAAAAATGTTACTGGGAAAAACTGACATTCCTCCCATCCTAAAACCCCCTTTCTGAGGCTGGGGCAGGCCCTATAACCAGCCTACCCTGGCAGCCAGCCCGCCAGTGAGCAAGTGCTTTGACAACCTCTAACCTATCTGATTCTCCAAAGGGGCAGCTGTTATCATCTCCACTGTACAGCAGAGGCAGCTGGGGGGCAGGGAGGACAGTCCTTATCTGCAGTCACACAGCGCACAGTGGAGAAGGTCCAGGAGGCCTGTCTCCTGCTTCCTGGCACTCTGAGCCTCCACCAGCACCCTCTTACCCAGAGACGAGTTTCTCACAGTCATCGCAGAAGCAGAGAGGGTGACACATCTTTTGGACGGTATCTTTATCATGGTCCTCTTGGCTCAGAAGTCTCTCCACTTCTTTCTGGTTACCTGATGCAATGTGCTGAAAAGTGACATCCAAGATGCTATCCACATGCTGGAATTACTCAATTATTAGGAGTAAATTTTTTGAGAGTCCTTTTTGGTTTTTTTGAGATGGAGTCTCGTCCTGTCGCCCAGGCTGGAGTGCAATGGTGTGATCTCAGCTCACTGCAACCTCTGCCTCCCGGGTTCAAGCCATTCTCCTGCCTCAGCCTCCCAAGTAGCTGGGATTAGAGGCATCTGCCACCACACCTGGCTAATTTTTATATTTTTAGTAGACACGGGGTTTTGCCATGTTGGCCAGGCTGGTCTCAAACTCCTGACCACAAGTGATCCACCCATCTCGGCCTCCCGAAGTGTTGGGATTACAGGCGTGAGCCACCAAACCTGGCCGAGAGTCCTTTTAGAAATGCTCATCTATGTGTTTATGGATGAAATGATTTGCACTCTGGCATTTCCTTTGTAATCATCTTGGTGGTAGGGAAAGTAGGTGAGGAGAGATGAAACAACTGCACAATGGTGGCCGGCTCATTCTACTACTCTATTTCTGGAAATGTTAAAAGTTTCCCATAATTAAAAAAACAATGACATGCCTGGAGCGGTGGCTCACGCCTATAATCCCAGCACTTTGGGAGGCCAAGGCAGGTGGCTCATTTGAGGTCAGGAGTTCGAGACTAGCCTGGCCAACATGGTAAAACCTTGTCTCTACTAAAAATACAAAACTTAGCCGGATGTGGTGGCAGACGCCTGTAATCCCAGCGACTCGGGAGGCTGAGGCAGGAGAATCACTTGAACCCGGGAGATGGAGGTTGCAGTGAACCAAGATCGCACCATTACACTCCAGCCTGGGTGACAGAGTGAGACTCTGTCACAAAAAATAAAAACAAACAAACAAAAAAACAACATGACAAAATCCATAAAGCAATAGGAATGGCGGGCAGACAACACATCTCTGAACATCAGTGTGGATTTTGCCACCTCACTAGAAAAAGCCTCAGCCCTGTTCCTCTTGTGTTCTTTTTTTTTTTTTTTTTTTTTTTCAGTGAATCCCTACAGGGTGACAAATAACAGAATTTATTTATTTATTTTTTTAGAAACAAGGTCTTGCTATGTTGCCCAGGCTGGAGTAGAGTGGCACAATCAGAGCTCACTGCAGCCTCAACCTCTCGGGCTCAAGTGATCCTCCCACCTTAGCCTCCCATATAGCTGGGACTACAAGTGCACACCACCATGCCCAGCTTCATCTTGTTATTTTTTTATTTATTATTATTTTTATACTTGCTATGGACTAGGGGATCCTCTTTTATTCTAATAGAGCATCAGCCTGTAAAGGAAAGAGAATAGCTGCAATGAGCAGGAAACCCCATCAACACACAAACCTGCAGAGCTCACCTGGTGCTTCCTGGACGTGCTCATTCCCCAGGACCCACTCTGGCTCCAGGTCGCCTGGAAGCACAGCAGCCTCCCCCAGGGGGCTCTGCCCTCGCCCAGCACTCACGGACTGCCCTGCGGGCACCTCAGCGGCCTGCCTGTGGCCAGTGTCTGAGCAGGGAGCTGCCCCCATGTGCCAGGTGACCAGACCACCAGGAAGTCAGGCACCGTGTTCCCAACCCAGTGCACACGCCCATAAACATCTGACAACGGGCTCCTCGAGCCCAGCGGAGGCATCAGCTCTGCCAGGGCTGCCAGCGGAGGCACCACTGAGCTGGCCTGGAGGAATTAGTAGTATTGCGAGGAACTGAGAAAGCAAGAGGCCTGGCCTGCGCCCACAGTGTGCCGCCCAGCACAGCTACAGCACAGCACGCTGGGGGAGGTGGGGAAACATGCCGCTCTCACTCTGCCACCTAGGCTGGAGTGCAACGGCACAATCATAGCTCACGGCAGCCTCCAACTCCTGGCCTCAACTGATCCTTCCACCTCAGCCTCCTGAGCAGCTAGGACTACAGGTGCCCGCCACCACACCTGGCTAATTTTTGTATTGTTTTGTAGAGACGGGTACTCATGATGTTACCCAGGCTGGTCTCGGGCTTCTGGCCTCAAGTGATCCTCCCACTTCGGCCTCCCAAAGTGCTGGGATTACAGAAGTAAGCCACCCCACCTGGCCTTGATCCCAAATTTAAAACCTCAGCATTCCTACTGCCCATTCTGAGCACAGAATGGAACTTCAGGGTTTATGCAGACCACCACCCTGATCATTTTTTTTTTCTTTTTGAGACAGAGTCTCTCTGTCGCCCAGGCTAGAGTGCAATGGCATGATCTCGGCTCACTGCAACCTCCACCTTCTGGGTTCGAACGATTCTCCTGCCTCAGCCTCCCGAATAGTGAGACTACAGGCATGTGTCACCACACCCAGCTAATTTTTGTATTTTTAGTAGAGGCGGCTGTTGCACCATGTTGGCCACACTTGGCCTTGAACTCCTGGCCTCAGGTTATCACCCACCTCGGCCTCCCAAAGTGCTGTGATTATAGGCATGAGCCACCATGCCTGGCCAACCCTGATGGATTTTATAGAGGCACCAAGAGATGCAGTGTTCCTCACCCACATTTACCCACAGAGATGTCTTGGTATCTCACCTTAAACAGGCAGTCGGTGGGAGACGAAGTCATCTGAGAGAGTAAGCTCATTCTCTGCTTAAGGAACAGCCTGTCTCCAAATCCCTCAGACTCCTGCAGGGAAAAAACCAAACACACCACGAGATGTCAGTGCAGATCCTTCAAAACCCAGCACCTCAGCAACAACCCCGGCTGTCTCTTCAGAGCAGTATCGGCTGCGCCTCTCTCCCGTCTCATATGGGACCTGCTCACTGAGACGGAGGACGGGCTGACGTCAGGTGGGGAGAAGGCTTCCTGGAAGTGGAGGCTTTGACGGTTGCTCCCTGTGGGGGATGGGGATGGTGGCGGCACCCTGACTGCGTGTATATGTGGAATGTGCCATCTCCAGCGTGGAATGCGGCGCACACACACCATTGTCCTCCAGATGGAAACTCACATTGCCGTGGCCTCCCTTCCTCCTCAAGCCTCTGACCAAATGCCTGCAGAGCCCAATTCCCTGCTGTCTTATCTGAGGCCTTTGGGCAGGAAAGCCATTTCACAAGCTGGTCTCAATTTCCCACTGTCAACCAGCAGGAGAGAGAGGGGTCTTGCTTTTTGGACGTGCCTATTAAATAATATGGCCACATGGCCAGGCGCAGTGGCTCACACCTATAATCCCAGCACTTTGGGAGGCTGAGGTGAACGGATCACCTGAGGTCAGGAGTTCAATACGAGCCTGGCCAACATGGTGAAACCAATCTCTATTAAAAACACAAAAAATTAGCAGGGCATGGTGGTACATGCCTGTAGTCCCAGTTACTTGGGAGGCTGAGGCAGAAGAATCACTTAAACCTGGGAGGCAGAGGTTACAGTGAGCTGAGATCACACCACTGCACTCTAGCCTGGGTGAGAGAGCGAGACTCCATCTCAAAAATAAATAAATAGGCCAGGCGCGGTGGCTCATGCCTGTAACCCCAGCACTTTGAGGGGCCGAGGCGCGTGGATCACTTGAGGTCAGGAGTTTGAGACCAGCCTGGCCAACATGGTGAAACCCCTCTCTACTAAAAATACAAAAATTAGCCGGGTGTGGTGGCGGGCGCCTGTAATCCCAACTACTCAGGAGGCTGAGGCAGGAGAATCACTTGAACCCCGCAAGTGGAGGTTGCGGTGAGCCAAGATGGTGCCACTACACTCCAGCCTGGGTGACAGAGCAAGACTCCATCTCAAAAAAAAAAAAAAAAAAAAAGGCAAAACTCTAGATACTTTCCATAATACTTTATGAAATCATTTCTCGCAAGACAGTTCAATGCTTCCTTGAGCACCTGCAACCAAACCATGTAATGACAAATTCGCTTCCTGAAAAGGGTCTTGGTGGGAAGTCAAGGGAATTTTCTCCAGCCAGCGGCTGCCAGAAAACCCCCAAACCCTGACAAATTTGTGGAATAAGGATGTCTCTTTACAGCCCTCTAAGTTTTGACTTGGAGGTCCACCTAAAGATAGAGCTGACAGCATCTCTGGGGATAGGCCATTCCTGGGGTCCTCTGCCATGCAGGGTCCTCCCAGCAGTCCCCCAGGAGGGTTAACTTAGCAAATGAACAGCAGCACCTGTGAGAGGCACTTCTGCCCCCAGCTGCTGTGTGCCATATAAAGCTCTAACAATCCACTTTACACCGCAATTCACAGCTGAGGAGCTTAGGGTCAGAGAAACATCACACATTGTTATCCGGGTAAATCCAGCACTCTTTCCGCAACTCTGGTTAACGATTTAGACAGCAGTGATGAAGACAGGTAGGTCTCCCAAGACTGAATCTTCAGGGAAGAATGAGCTATTGGAAGAGAGGGGGTATCAGCAAGGACTTACTAAAGAAATGGGTAAATCCTTTCTATGAGAAACCCAGTAACGTAAGGAAGGCCAGAAGCATGCAAAGCTGCAGACAAGAATGGTACAGGTTCTTTCTTGTTTTTTTATCTGTTTTTTTTTTTTTTTTTTTGAGACGGGGTCTTGCTCTGTCTCCCAAGCTGGACTGCAGTGGTATAATCATAGCTCACTACAGCCTTGAACTACCAGGTTCAAGTGATCCTCCCACCTTAGCTTCCCAAGTAGCTGGGACTAAAGGTGTGCCACCGTGCACCGCTAATTTTTTGTAAAGATGGCGGTCTCGCTACATTGCCCAGGCTGGTCTCGAACTCCTGGCCTCAGGTGATCCTCCTGCCTCAGCCTCCCAAAGTGCTGGGATTACAGGCATGAGTGACCAGGCCCAACCCAGATTCTTTCAAAGTTCTCTCTTTTTTTCATTCACAAAGGTAACTCTAGAGTCATCCCAGTAATTTATTTTCAGAAAGCTGAAGTCTTCATTTATGAACATGCTTAAAGAATGTTGAGCAGGTGTGGTGGCTCATGCCTGTAATCCCAGCACTTTGGGAAGCTGAGGTGGGAGGATCACATGAGCCCAGGAGTTCAAGCTCAGCCTGGGCAAAATAGCGAGACCTCATCTCTACAAAAAATTTAAGAATTAAAAAATTAGCCAGGTGTGGTGGCACACACCTGTAGTCCCAGCCACCCAGGAGGCTGAGGCAGGAGGATCCCTTTGAGCGCAGGAGTTGGAGGCTGCAGTGAGCTAGGATCACACCACTGCACTCCACCCTGGGTGACAGAGCGAGATCCTGTCTCTAAGAAAAATAAAAGCTTATGGTCATCTCAAGTATATTTTGCAGAGAAAATTTCCATGAAACTATATTATATAAAATCAATAGTAAAATCTAACTGGATGTCCTCATATTTAGTCCTTAATACTTTTCAGAAACCTCTTCTGCTGTGAGGAGATACACTTGGGATTTTTCCCTAGGAAACACCATCAATACATAGCAATGACTCTCTACATTCCTAAAGGGAACTTCATTACTTAAACCAGTGAGCAGCTAAGACAGAGGCCATGATACAGACAGAATCACAACAACAAGGAAGCCACGACGCCTGCTCCGTCAATTACAGGCCACAGTAAATATACGAGCATCTCTCAATACCTGCAGGGTGGGCTTCACAGCCAGCCGTGAGGATGATGCATACCTGTCTCAAGGTTTCACCAGAACCAACCATACTCCATCCAGGAGGGCAGAACCAGGGTCCAACACCCTGACAACAAGAGGGGTGCCTTGGGCTGTGACCCTCCCTTTCCCATCCAAACTAAACACTATCCTTAGGGGCATCCTTACACCCCAGATGCAGAGACAAACAGACATGCCCAAGACATCTGAGCCTATAGGAGTGGACTCAGGCTGGGCGCAGTGGCTGGTACCTGTAATCCCAGCACTTTGGGAGGCTGAGGCAGGCGGATCACTTGAGGTCAAGGGTTCAAGACGAGCCCAGCCAACATGGCAAAATCCTATCTCCACAAAAATACAAAAATTAGCCGTGCGTAGTGGTGCGTGCCTGTAGTCCCAGGTACTTGGGAGGCTGAGGCAGGAGAATCGCTTGAACCCGGGAGGTGGAGGTTGCATTGAGCTGAGATTGCACCACTGCACTCCCGTCTGGGTGACAGAGCGAGACTCAGTCTCAAAAAAAAAGAAAGACTGGACTCAAACCCTCAAACCAACACCAGCACGAGAGAAGGAACCTCTCAAATATTACTGCCAATGTGCCTGCAATATTTTCTGAAATAAAAGGAGGTGTGAGAAGCCGATGTATACTGTTTGGTCAGCCACCTCCTTACAACCTGGTGAAGGCCTCCACAGAAAATGAGAAAGCAGAAGACAGCCACGCTACAGGGAGCAGCAAGGGGATGGGAGCATCTTTGAGAGGTGGACACCTCCTTCCAGGTGACCAGAGACACCCTGGGCCCAGCAAGGCACAGCAGAGTGATTCCTCTGCAGGGCAGGAAAGCCGGCCAGGGAGTGAACTCTCAGACCAATCTGTTTCTTGCCCTGCAAGAACCAGAGGGCAGGGCAAAAACCACCGCAGGCACGGTGAGAGAAACACAAGTTCCCACAGCCTCATAGAAAACAAGTCAAACTCACAACTCTTACTCCCCAGCCTTGGAAATGAACAGAAATTCTGATCTGCACACACGCATAGGTAGAGACACAAGAGCACACACACACGCATTCTTTTTTATTTATTTATTTATTTGTAGAGACAAGGTCTCACTATGTTGCCCACACTGGTCTCCAACTCCTGGCCTCGGGTGATCCACCCGCCTCAGCCTCCCAGAGTGCTGGGATTATAGGCATGAGCCACTGCACCCAGCCCACATACATACTCTAGAATCTTGCTGATTTCCCCCTAAATATGGAAACAAGGCAGAAGAAAGAAACTTTTCAGAAGAGCCACAGCCAGCCACATCCGAGATGCGATGGATGACCCCCAATTTCACTGGCAGCTGAGTGGGGTGATTAAATCAGACTTCAGAGAAGAGCAGAGATTAATTCTTCAACAAGTACCTGAATACTGTCAACGAGTACAGCGAGATCATGATCTAAAATTTTGGTTAAAAAGATAACTGTGTTCATTCCTTGTTACCGCCAAGTCACGTGGAGGCAGAGGCTCAGGTGTGTTCAAGATTCAGCTGCGTCCGTGACCCACCGCCATAGCCAAGGAAGGCATTGTACTGCTACACCTGTGACCCACTGCCATGGCTGAGGAAGGTCTTGCACTGCTGCACCCATGACCCACAACCGTGGCTGAGGAAGACATTGCACTGCTGCACCCGTGACCCACTGCCATGGCCGAGGAAGACACTGCTGCTGGCGGTGTAATGGATGTTAACACTGATTTACAAGGGGTGCTGAAGGACGCCTTCATCCACGGTGGCCTAGCACATGGAATTCGCCAAGCTGCCAAAGCCTCAGACGACTGCTGAGCCCATCTTGGTGTGCCTGCATCCAACTGTGATAAGCCTGCATGTGCCACATTAGGGAGACCCTAGGTGCTGAACACCAGGTCAAACTAATTAAGATTGATGACAATGAGAAACGAAAGGAATGGGTAAGGCCTCTGTAAAACGACAGAGAGGGGAGACCCTATGAAGGGGCTAGCTGCAGCTATGTAGCAGTTAAGGACTTTGGCAAAGAATCTCGGGCCAAGGATGTGATTGAGGAGTGCTTCACATGCAAGAAATGAACGAATAAAATGCTGGCTCACATGCCTCAAAAAAAAAAAAAAAGATACAATTGTGTATGCACAGAAAAAAAGACAAATGCTAAAATATTAATAAGTGTCACCCCTGGCTAGTAAGTTTATGGGAAGTTTTTGTTGTCTTCACTGCCATTTTATAGACTGCAAATATTATTTGTAAGCAAATATTAGTCTTCTAATTAGGAAAAAATTAAGCTATTCTTTTGGGAAAAAAACAGTTCTCTCTCTCTCTCTATATATATATATATATTTTTTATATATATATACACATATTTGAGACAGAGTCTTGCTGTGTTGCTCAGACTAGAGTGCAGTGGTGTAACCTCAGCTCACTGCAACCTCTGCCTCCCGGATTAATGCAATTCTCCTGCCTCAGCCTCCCAAGTAGCTGGGATTACAGGCACCTGCCACCACACCCAGCTAATTCTTGTATTTTTAGTAGAGACAGGGTTTCACCATGTTGGCCAGGCTGGTCTCGAACTCCTGACCTCAGATGATCCACCTGCCTTGGCTTCCCAAAGTGCTGGGATTACAGGCGTGAGCCACCGTGCCCGGCCCAGCACACAATATAATTTCAATTATGTAAAATATACATGGGTAGGAAAAAGACTGAAAATGCATGAACGTGTCAATAACGAATGAATGGGGTGGAAATGCCTGCACCTGAGAGCACCTGGACAGGCTGATGCTGTCTCCCAGACGCTTTAGCTCATCATTATTTTGGGAGATTCTACATCAAAGTCTGACAAAGATGAATGTTCAATCCTTGGCACTCTCACCTTATAATACAGAGATCTTTTCATTTTATAGATTTCAACTTTGTGATTTCTGTATGATCACATTTTACTCATTGGTATGTAGTAAAACAGGCCAGCAGGACAACCATGGTTCAAGATTCTCACGATTCACATAGAAATATAATCACATCCCCTCGCCGACCCCAGCCAATGCTCAATAAAAACCAAGGAAACAATGGCAAGGCCACTGAGTCCTCAAATTGCACACATTAATGGTCTCACAGATGGCAGTGGCAGCCCATCGGGAGTGGCTGCTGCAAAGACGTAAGCTGCAGTGGAGGAAGCGCGGCCAGGTTTGTGCACTCTGCAGGGCCAACAGGAGCCAGGAACAGGCAGGAGCCCCCATCTCCTACTGAGCTGGCAGGGCGGGAGCCCTGCACTCCCAGGCGCAGCTGCAGCCGCCCAGCCGCAGCTCTGGATCCAGGAATCTCTGCACTCTCAGGGGCCCAGGAAGCATCCCTGCCGCCGCAGGCTCGTAAGTGCCTGCTCCCGCTCCTCCCCACTCCTGGCACCGACTTCAATTTCAGAGCAAAGCTGAGGCCAAGCCCGGGTACTGTTGCAACCCAGCCATGTGTGCACATGCTTGGTGTGACACTGACACACCAGCCTCCTGATGCCTCAGACCCCTCCAAGATTTTGGGCGCTGATGAGCATGGGAGAGTAGTCAAGGTAGGGGCTGAGGGCAGCTCAGTGCAGGCCTGCAGATGCCCCTTGGCACAAACAGCCTGGATGCACTGGCCAGCATGTTGATGGTGGCAGAAGGCAGACACGCTTCTGGGTGGAAAGGTGCAGGTGCCCAGTGAAGCCCCACCTTCAAGACAGGGACAGCCTAAAGCCTGGGGGCCGGGCTGTCAGTCCCAAGTGGAGTCCACGACCCAGACTGAGAACTCATGGTGCTTTCTCCAGGCCCACCTATGGACCAATCAGCACATACTCCCTCCCTTCTGAGCCATAAAAAACCCCGGACTCAGCCAGACTCAGACAGATGTCGGGACTACCAACTGCAGGAAGGAGCTACCTACGTCAGGCCTCTTTAACTCGTCAGGACGACCTGCCTGTGGAAAGAAGCTGCCCACTGTGGGTCTCCTGAGAGCTATTCTGCCGTTCAGTAAAGCTCCTCTCTGCCTTGCTCACCCTCCACTAGTCTACGTACCTCATTCTTCCTCGACATGGGACAAGAACTCGGGACCCACCAAATGGCAGGACTGAAAGAGCTGTAACATAAAGAGAGCTAAAACATGCTCCCGACTCACTACATTGCAGGTGACGAGAGGAGAGAAGAGCTCTGGCCCTTCAGGGAGCCCAACCTAGGAGTTCCCCGAGCCAGGGCTATGACACCCTCTTTGGGGCTCTGCAGTT
Source organism: Homo sapiens (assembly GCF_000001405.40). Taxonomy (NCBI): domain Eukaryota; kingdom Metazoa; phylum Chordata; class Mammalia; order Primates; family Hominidae; genus Homo; species Homo sapiens. The sequence goes on from NC_000019.10 coordinate 32,638,647, forward strand.
CCTGGTGTCTCCAAGCTTCCAGGCCCCACTGTGTTCCCCAGTGCCCACCGTGGAAGCGGCCTACAGTACGCCTGCTCTAGCTGCAGCCTTGCATGGAGCAGGACCCTGTACAAGCAACTTGGAGCTGCCCACCCCACCTCAGTCGGCACACCTGGTTGTGTGCAGTGGCCAGACCCTGCACTTGCTCACATACCCCTCGCCACTCCACACCTGGCTCGCCCTTGGCAGGCATGGGATCCAGGCCAGTAGCACAAGCCGAGCGCAGCCTGCCAGGCCAAGAGCGTGAAATGAGCCCAGCAGGCCCGAACAAAACTCAGGCAAAGGAGCCACCAGCCACAGAGGTTTCCGGCTGGAAAAGCGACAGTCCAGGGATCCCGTGACATCACTTCTTGACTATCAAGGTCAAGAAATCCAAATTCCCTACTTCTGGCTTCCCTTTGCACCCACATGTCTTTGGAGAGGATGGGGACTAATGAAGTAGGATATTAACAATGTAAATCCCAATGATAACCCACCAATTTTTACCACCAATTGAGGGCTTGGTGTTCTCTTCACTGAGTGATTTTTAAGACTCACAGCCCTCAAACAGCTGAGGCCCCATTCCTGGGAGGCAATTTAAGAATCCGTCTGCCCACATACCAACCCCAGCACCCTATCAAGGGAACCATGATGCCCACAAAGGAAGGCCAGGGCAGGGGTGAGATCTTACAGGGGGTTTAGCAGAGAGGCTTCCTTGCCGAATATATTCAATGGCAGCTTCGAATGAGGTCAGGCAGTATCCCAGTTCATCCTTTGCCAAGCTGCTAAACCTGAAGTTTTTGATGTAACTCAAATTTGCCATCCTAATGAAAGGAAGAAAAAAGTTATGTTGTTGTCTATCCAAGTCACACTTCTGCAAAAAAAATATCATTGGCTTGGGCAACTGATCAAATATCTAGTCAGTTGGTTCGCTCAGGAAGCTACGACCACCATCCCCTGGATCTCTCTGCAGAGTGTGTGCGATTAGGAACACAAGTAAAATGACTAGCTAGTTCCCTGAAATAGTCTTTAGCAAGCTGATTACCGTAAACTGAGCTGTGGGTTCCAGGGGAGAGATTATGGGTTTTGGGGCCAGAAAGAATGGCAATCAGCTTTCTGCTCAACCACTGTCTAGACACTCATTCCAGAACAAGAAATGTAAGCTCTCCGGGCCTTGGTTTCCCCATCTGTAAGTGGATGGATGAAGCAAGGGGAGGCCCCACACCTAGCTCGTAACAGGTGTCCAATTGAAGATGGGCTTTTCCTAGAGTTACATTAGAACTACCACAGTGCAGTGCTGCCATTTTTTTTTTTTGAGACGGAGTCTCGCTATGTCGCCCAGGCTGGAGTGCGGTGGCGCGATTTCAGCTCACTGCAAGCTCCGCCTCCTGGGTTCACGCCATTCTCCTGCCTCAGCCTCCTGAGTAGCTGGGACTACAGGTGCCCACCACCATGCCCAGCTAATTTTTTTGTATTTTTTAGTAGAGACGGGGTTTCACCGTGTTAGCCAGGATGGTCTCGATCTCCTGACCTCGTGATCCGCCCGCCTTGGCCTCCCAAAGTGCTGGGATTACAGGCGTGAGCCACCGTGCCCGGCCAAGCACTGCCATTTTCAAAAGAGTATCTTAAAAGAAAATGTTACCAATTAGGGATCTCCGTTTTCACAAGCAAGTATAACAGGACTGATAGCAGATCATCAGCACACATGGTCTCCAGGTTCACTGCAAAGGGGAAACACACATTCAATGCCATCATGAGATTCAAATGGACTGACAAGCATATCAACTCCCTACCACCGCACACCTTGTGAAACCACGTATCAGGGAGATCATACACTGGGGGAGAAATGTCATTGCACAAGCTCCTTTACAGCGTCCTGATCAGATGTCAGGTCCAGGGGGAAAAGAATGCCCAGCAATTTCAGAACATGACCAAAACAAGGTATTAGTAACTCTAGCCAGATACGGCAGCACGTGCCTGTAATCCCAGTGCTTTGGGAGGCCGAGACGGGAGAATTGCTTGAGGCCAGGAGTCTGAGGCCAGCCTGGGCAATATAGCAAGACCCCCACCTCTACAAAAAAATATGAAAATTAGCCAAGGGTGGTGGTGCATGCCTGTAATCCCAGGTACTTGGGAGGCTGAGGCAAGAGGATCACTTGAGCCCAGGAGTTCAAGGATGTAGTGATCTACAAATGCACCCAGCCTGGGTGACAGAGTGAGACCCTGTCTCTTTTTTTTGTTTGTTTGTTTTTGAAACGGAGTCTCGCTCAGTCACCCAGACTGGAGTGCAGTGGCGCAATCTTGGCTCACTGCAAGCTCCGCCTCCCGGGTTCACGCCACTCTCCTGCCTCAGCCTCCTGAGCAGCTGGGACTACAGGTGCCCGCCACCATGCCCAGCTAATTTTTTTTTGCATTTTTAGTAGAGACAGGGTTTCACCGTGCTAGCCAGGATGGTCTCGATCTCCTGACCTCGTGATCTGCCCGCCTCAGCCTCCCAAAGTGCTGGGATTACAGGTGTGAGCCACCGCGCCCAGCCGACCCTGTCTCTTAAGAAAAAAAAAAAATATGTTAACTCCAAGCAGACCATGCCTTGCCACCCCCTTGGACGCTGAAAGAGCCCAGGGAGGTGGCTTCAGTGATAAAAAATGAAGATGAGCCCAGAGCCATCACCTAAAGTCTCTTTCTTCCTAAAGTCACCAAGGTCCTTCCTAAGGTCACTTCCATTTTATAGACATGGAGTCCACTGCCCATGTGGAGTTTCACTTTTTTTCCATTTTGAAATTTTAAGTAATTCATTCACATTTAAAAATTCAAACAATACAAAAGAGCAAACTGTGAATGTTCCTCCCATCCCTGCCAGCCAGTCTCTTTTCCCAGAGGCTCCTGCTGTTGCTTCCTGCACATCTGTCCAGGACAGCTATGAGCTCACCATCATATCGTGGCTAAACAGCTATCCCCCATTCTTTGATGCTGTTGGCTGGAAGTCTACCATATGCATTCCTGTTTATTTCATTCCATACACTCAGGATCATCCCTTATCTACACATACAGCTATGTCTCTTCCTTACTGACTTTTTCTTGACTTGTTTTCTTTTACTTCTTCTTTTTTTTTTTTTTTTTTGAGAAGGGGTCTCACTCTATCACCCAGGCTGTAGTGCACTGGTGTGATCATAGCTCACTGCAACCTCCAATTCCTGGCCTCAAGTGATCCTCCCACCTTGGCCTCCCAAAGCACTGGGGTTACAGAGGTGAGCCACTGCACCCAGCCCCATAAAAATCCCTTAAGACAGCATCACTCTTTGCTTTTTCATCTGGATGTAGCATCTACCCCTTGGCCAGTCCCCTTTCCAAGCACAAACCTCTCTGGCTTGGAGACTGTGTAATGAGCTGCACCACTTTTCGCAAGCAGACAAGCTTCTGCTGTGGGGAGGTGCATTTGTTCAGCTGAGCCAGCTCTCTTTTGGCACGAGGTATGTTAAAGCTGTAAAATAATTTGGAAAGTGACAACTTCAGAGCACAGTAAGAGAACCCTCTGGCCTGGATCTAAGAACACATCTCAGGATCTACACTTCTCACAACAAACCAGAAGGAATGAAACACAAAAACAGATACTGAGAAGTCATCTGACTCAAGTCAGCGGCAAAACAGAAGAGCCTTCAATCCCATTCAGGCTGCCAGGTGATAGAGTTGTACAAGAAAAGCTGAAAAAAAAAAATCCTATTCCTAGAGGGAAACAACCCAAAGAGGGTTGTGGTAGGTGAAACATTTTTGTGTCCTAATGAAACTTAAATTAGGCTCGGCGCAGTGGCTCACGCCTGTAATCCCAGCACTTGTAAACCAGGGTGGGCAGATCACTTGAGGTCAGGAGTTCAAGACCAGCCTGGCCAACATGGTGAAACCCCATCTCTTCTAAAAATACAAAAATTAGCAGGGCATGGTAGTGTGCACCTGTAATCCCGCTACTCGGGAGGCTGAGGCAGGAGAATCACTTGAACTCAGGAGGCAGAGGTTGCAGTGAGCCGAGATCACACCACTGCACTCCAGCCTGGGCGACAGAGTGAGACTTTGTCTCAAAAAGAATAAAAATTAAAGAAATGAATTAACTCCTAAGTAGGTATCTCTATGGCAAGGTTCCCTTGGGTGGGCAGGTGGGATGTCCCCTGCACGCAGAACCCACATGGGCAAATTACATGCCCACTTGGGGACCAGCTGCACAAAACCCCGTGCCCAGCGGCTCCCATCCAGCTGGCGTGCTGGTGCAGTGTGGGAGGGGGACGGCCACACACAGTCACCTATAAAGGGCAGCCCTTTATCTTTGGTTGCAAGTAACTGCGCTGCTCCTCAGAACTAACCACATCAAACCAGCGTGTCACCTCTGCCACCGAGAGGGCCTGCTTCCGGGAGAAGACAGCACCCCTGCCTCTGAGGACACCAAGCCGCTGTGGCGCAAACCCTTACCTGAACTCCGGTTTCACACCAATATCTTTCTGCTGAAGATCTTGAAGGCTTCTTGTGATTTTGTTAAAGGCCGCATCCTAACAACAGATTTTAACGAACCTTCAAATTTCTCAAAAAGCACAGAAGAAGGCTTCCATCTTGGGTGATAATAACTGAGAACCTACCTCACTTGCCTCCATGGTCCCCACGTATTTAAAGATCAGGTTGTAAATTTCATGATGGACGTATATCTGTGGAATCAACAGACCCCATTCAGGGTGTGAGCGGGCAACAGGGTGTGCCTCCCAGCCACTCCGCCCCACCCTCACCTCCACTGCCTGCTTCATCAGGTTCATCTGGGCCTCCTGCTTGGCGAGCATTTTCTAGAGGGCAAGAAAAGCACAGTGAAAGGGCTTGGATTTGCATGGGGGTGCACCACAATTCTCCCTCTCAGAAGTCCTGCTGCTTACCAGGTGAGAGTCCCTCAGAAGCTGCTGGAGGCATTTGGTGTAGAGAGCATTCGCTGAGTCCTAAACCACATAGAGCAGAGGGACAGGCCACCCTTACCAGCAAGGCCATGACGGGGGAGCCGGAGCGGGTAAGGCGCACAGAGCTTCAAGTGCTAACACAAGCTTTATGAAGTCAATTACGTGATTTTTCTCAACTTTTTTTTTAGGTGTATATGCATTAAAAGCAGGAGAAACTTCCCCTTGGGGTTAACACAGAGGATAATAATACTCATTGTTATACTTCCCCATGACTTTACCACTTGGTTTGTTTTTTCTTTTTAAGAGACAGGGTCTCACTTTGTTGCCCAGAGTAGAGTGCAGTGGTATGACTATAGCACGCTGCAGTCTCAAACTCCTGGGCTAAAGCCATCCTCCCACCTCGGCCTCCCAAGTAGCTGGGAATACACGTGCATGCCACCATGCCTGGCTAATTTTTGTATTTTCTGTAATGATGGGGTCTTTTTATGTTACCCAGGCTGGTCTTGAACTCCCAGCCTCAAGAGATCCTCCCATCTCGGCCTCCCAAAGTGCTGGGAAGACAGGCTTGTACCACCATGCCCGGTTAAACTACTTTTATAGTTAGAGAGAAACATTTTTAAAAGACTTCAAACAGTGAGGCAGCACCAGGCAGTTCCAGAGGAAACTGAGGGCTCCCAGCACCCTGCACTGAACCGAGACAGGGCACGCCAGGCAGAGGACAGCACGGCTACTGACTATGTGGTGACGGAGGCTCTTTCTCTCGCATTCTCGGAATGTTCGATGGAAAGAGGCGATGTTCCTGTCAAATCGCTCGGAGTGTCTTCCCAAGAACTCTCTCACATCTTCAATGGTTTTCAGGGAAAAGGGATCTGAGGGTGCCAAAGGCTCTTCTGAAAAAGAAACAAACAGGTCAGGCCGGCTGAAGCCTCTGCTGGTTCCTGACTCTGTCCTATCCTACAGGGCCTAGGCCCTCTGGGGAGGAGGGCAAATGTCCTTATTTCAAGACACTACACAAGAACAGCCCAGTTACAGGACACCCTGGAGTCCAGAGAGCCTGGTCCTCTCAAGGCCTCTTCCTGGGACAAAACCAAACTATCTGGGACCATGGGCAAGACCCCAATTCCTGACAATAAGAGCATCAGTGTGCATCCAGCACATTATTATCTCAATTTTCTGGGGCAAATGAAGACTTATTATTTATTAAAAATAACGAAATCTCAAAGAGGCACAATGCTGGGGCTGGGCGCTATAAGAGACAGCCCTGAAGCTGACACCCAGAGACAAAGCTGGGGCTACTGCTTTGCATAACTCATGGGGGCAACAGTCACATCCCAGGCTGATCACAGGTAGGCTGTCTATGCGAATGCTGCCTCCTGGAATTGTGCAATGCCCGACCTGTGCAACAGCAGCCCCGATCCACACCTCCTTAGCCCAGTGACTTTAAAGTTCTAGTAGGAACCACTGAAAACAATTATATAGGTCTCCATGTGGCTCTTGAATATTTTCCATGATGTTTAACCTTTTTTAAAAAAATAATTTATTGGCCGGGCGCAGCGGCTCATGCCTGTAATCCCAGCACTTTGGGAGGCTGAGGCGGGCAGATCATGAGGTCAAGGGATCAAGACCATCCTGGCCAACATGGTGAAACCCTGTCTCTACTAAAAATAAAAAAATTAGCTGGGTGTGGTGGCGGGCGCCTGTAATCCCCGCTACTCAGGAGGCTGAGACAGGAGAATCGCTTGAACCCGGGAGCTGGAGGCTGCAGTGAGCCAAGATTGCGCCACTGCACTCCAGCCTGGCAACAGAGCAAGACTCCATCTCAAAAATAATTAAATAATAATAATAATAATTTATTTTATTGTTTTTGGAGATAGGGTCTTGTTCTGTAGCCCATGCTAGAGTGCAGTGGTGTGATCATGGCTCAGTGCAGCCTTGAATTCCTAGGCTCAAGTGACCCTCCCACCTCAGCCTCTTGAGTAACTGAGACTACAGGCATGCACCACCATGCCCGGCTAATTATTTTATTTTTTTACTTTTTATTTTTATTTTTATCTTTTTTTTGAGGCGTAGTCTTACTCTGTAGCCCAGGCTGGAGTGCAGTGGTGCGATCTCGGCTCACCACAGTCTCTGCCTCCCGGGTTCAAGTGATTCTCCTGCCTCAGCCTCCTGAGTAGCTGGGATTACAGGCACGCACCACTGCACGTGGCTAATTTTTTTTGTATTTTTAGTAGAGATGGGGTTTCCCCATGTTGGTCACGCTGGTCTTGAACTCCTGACCTCAGGTAATCCGCCCACCTCGGCCTCCCAAAGTGCTAGGATTACAAGCGTGAGCCACCACGCCCAGCCTACTTTTTATTTTTGAGACAGAGTCTCACTCTGTCACCCAGGATCGAGTACAGAGGCGTGATCTCAGCTTACTGCAACCTCCACTTTCTGGGTTCAAGCAATTCTCCTACCTCAGCCTCCCGAGTAGCTGGGATTACAGGTGCATGCCACCACACCTAGCTAATTTTTGTATTTTTAGTAGAGATGGGGTTTCACCACATTGGCCAGGCTGATCTTGAACTCCTGACCTCAAGTAATCTGCCTGCCTCAGCCTCCCAAAGTGCTGGGATTACAGGCGTGAGCCACTGCGCCCGGCTTGATTTTTTTAATTTTTTTATAGAGACAGGGTCTCACTATGTTTCCAGGCTAGTTTTGAACTCCTGGCCTCAAGTGATCCTTGTGCCTCGGCCTCCCAAAGTGCAGGGATTACAGGCGCGAGCCACCATACCCGGCCTTGTTTAACCTTTCAACAGCTAAGTCAGGAACAAGTTCAACAAACACATTTTTCTAAAACAGGAGAAAAAGGTTTTTTCTCCCAGAATACCTGAACTCTCTCTCTTTTCCAAAGGATGGGCTATACACAGGATGCTGAAACTCTCTTCTTTTTCATTGTAGAAAGTTTCTTCAAAGAGAATGGGCACTGAGAGAAGACAGGCAAAACCAGCTCCTAATTTAATCCTGTTCCCTTGAATAAAGACATCCTGGAAACAAGAAAGCCATCACTGCACCAGCAGCCGGGGCAACCACATCCCACTCTCAGCCTGGCCCCCGATGCAGCACTTAACCAGACCCTACGGCCTTCACCCCATTGTGGGTTTGCTGGGGCACAAATACTCTCCTGTTTTGCTCATTTTGATACTAAAATGTTTCCTCTTTGTTGGCCTAGTAGCTATGGCTGCAAGATACCTGAATCATTTCTATTTTCTTTTGAGACAGAGTCTTACTCCATCACCCAGGCTGGAGTGCAGTGGTGCGACCTCGGCTCACTGCAACCTCCGCCTCCCAGGGTCAAGCAATTCTCCTGACTCAGCCTCCTGAGTACGTGGCACTACAGGCACCCACCACCACACCCAGCTAATTTTTGTATTTTTAGTAGAGACACAGTTTTGTCATGTTGGCCAGGCTGCTCTTGAACTCCCAGCCTCAGGTGATCCGCCCGCCTTGGCCTCCTGGAGTGCTGGGATTACAGGCGTGAGCCACCACACCTGGCCCACACGATGCATTTGTTCATCTTTTCAGTTTCCTTTATTTGGAACAGTGCCTCGGTCTTTCTTTGCCTTTCACGACATTGACATTTTTGTTGCGTATCGCAGACTCTCCCTCCGTGTGTTTGGGAGGGTTTGTCTGATGTTTCCTGACAATTAGATTACGGTTTTACAGTTACACGTTTCTGATAGGAATGCCCTGAAAGGGATGTTTTATCTCCCTCTGTGTATCCTGTTGGAAGGCACATGATGTCAGCTTTTTTCACTGTTGATGTTAACCATGGGGTATGTGTCGTTTTGTTTTGTTTTGCTTTTAAAGCGGAAGCAGGTAGGTTCTGAGAGGGGGAGATTTTATTCCCATTCAGGAATGGCCCTGTTTTTCCCGGCATCCCCATAGTCAGGGAAGCCCGGCCACAGTGTCCTCACTGGGGCAGGGGCTGTGTTCAGATGCGGCAGCTGAGGTTTGTGGCGCTGTGACAGGGAGAGGAAGCACGGGGTTGTCAGTGCATCTGCTCTGCCCTGTGGCTCACAAGACACACTGCTGTTTTCCTGCTAGAGATCTGCTCACCCCAGCTGTCAGTCAGCTTAGTTGATTTGTTCTCTTTTGGACACCTAGATCTACAAAAAGGACAGGAGTCGGGCTTTGCGCAGCTGGTCTGCCCCCAGCACCCGGCCATGACCACAGTAAGCCATGCAGGGAGTAGCAGGTGGGATTCAGCCCTGGCCACACTGCAGCACAAGATTACTTCCATCTCTTAGATAGGGAGAGCTTTCTTACCTTTTCTTTTCACAAAGAACACAGAATTTCTTCTCCTAAAGAAACAGCTCAATGTTTTTTCTGTTGCAACATTTAAAAAGGATCCAGGCCGGGTGCAGTGGCTCATGCCTGTAATCCAAGCACTTTCGGAGACCAAGGTGGGTGGATCATTTGAGGTCAGGAGTTTGAGACCAGCCTGGCTAATATGGTGAAACCCCGTCTCTATTAAAAATACAAAAATTATCCGGGCATGGTGGCGAGTGCTTGCAGTCCCAGACACTCAGGAGGCTGAGGCAGGAGAATCACTTGAACCTGGGAGGCGCAGGTTGCAGTGAGCTGAGATCAAGCTACTGCACTCCAGCCTGGGTGACAGAGTGAGACTCCGCCTCAAAAGAAAAAAAAAATGTAGTGTGTGATTCTAGAGCTAAGAAGAAGTTTTTTTTGCTATGAAAGATATAATTGGTATAATCAGCACAGTCTGTATGAGGACAATATGTTGGAGGACATTCTATCAATGCTAAATTATCTGAGTGTGATCATTGCGTTGTGGTTACATAAGAGAATGCCTGTTCTTGGGAAATACACACTGAGCTGTCTTGGGCTAAAGGGCACAGTGCCTGCAACTTACTCTCAAAAGATTCAGGCCAGGCGCGGTGGCGCACGCCTGTAATCCCAGCACTTTGGGAGGCCGAGGCGGGTGGATCATGAGGTGAGGAGATCGAGACCATACTGGCTAACATGGTGAAACCTCGTCTCTACTAAAAATACAAAAAATTAGCTGGGCATGGTGGCGGGTGCCCGTAGTCCCAGCTACTCGGGAGGCTGAGGCAGGAGAATGGCGTGAACCTGGGAGGCGGAGCTCGCAGTGAGCTGTGATAGCGCCACTGCACTCCAGCCTGGTGACAGAGCAAGATTCCATCTCAAAAAAAAAAAAAAAGATTCAAAATAATAATAATATGTGTTGAGAGACAGCGATAAAACCAATGTGGCAAGAATGTTAACAGCTTGGGGGGAAGCACATTTAAGAGTTTTTTCAACTTTACTAAAACATTTGAAATTATTTCAAAACAAAAAGATTGTTTTTTGGGTTTGTTTTTTTTTTTTTTTTGAGACAGGGTCTCACTCTGTTGCCCAGGCTACAGTGTGGTGACACAATCATGGCTTACTGCAAGCTCAAACTCCTCAGCTTAAGCAATTCTCCCACCTGTGCCTTCCAAGTAGCTAGGACTAGAAGCACGCACCATCACGCCTGGCTAATTTTTTTATTTTTATTTTTGGCAGAGATGGGGTCTCGTTATGTTTTCCAGGCTGGTCTCAAACTCCTGGCCTCAAGTGATTCTCCTGCCTCGGCCCCCCAAAGTGCTAGAATTATAGGCGTAGGCCACCATGTCCAGCTGAAACAAAAAGCTTTTAAAAACTAAAATATTCATCCCTGATGTCCTATTCGGGACCAAGACACTGACAAGCTTTTCACGGCACTGGGATAAAACAACTTCCTTTGGCTCGGACATCAGCAAGGAGGAGGTGTTCCAGCGACACACGGCAGAAACCCCATCACGGGATCAGAGAGAGATGCTTGGCACCTCCCGGCCTCCAAGACAGCAGCTGGGGTCCAGCTTACCATCACTACCTCCCTTTCCTCCACCACAAAGGCAGGGTCCCTCCAGCCCCCCACGGGGCTGCAGTGTGTGTCAAATGCCACCATTGCCAGTAGCTGTGAAAGGCTGAGAACGGGACTCTCTTCCTCCCCTCTGGCCCCAAACACCGAGTAGGTGACCCTGGCTGATCCACCAAGAAATGAATACCTTTCCATTTAAGGTCTGAAAATGCTCTTCCACAGGTATCAAAATGTAGGACTCAAACTGACAAGTAGACTGGATGCTGCTCGACAGGCTTCCTTTGCAGGGTACTAAGACCTGGAAAAAACAATTCGGGGCAACATTAGACAGACGTGCCATTTACCACCTCAGCAGAACAAGGTGTCCCCAAAGGCGCTCCAGCTGGACACACAGCGGGACCTGCTGGCAGAGAGAACGCCCGAGGTCCCTTGCCAACACGGCCACAGTGGCTGCCAGCTGAGGTGATCTGCTGCTGCTGTTGTTGTTGTTGTTGCTGTTGTGATGGAATCAGCCTCACCCCACCACAGGCAGAGGGAGGAGGCGAACAGTACAAATCCTTCTCCACCTTCAGATGTGGAGGCTGACGGCTCCTTCCTACAATCGCTGGGTCCCCCCCAGGCTAGTGGCCCCAGGCTCCCTCTCTATTCTTAACAGCACAGTTATAAGGACCCAGGGGCTCAGGGACAAGCCCAGATGAAGAGAGGAGCATTTGGAAAGTACAGAAAAGGGAAGCTAAAAAATCACACTTTCTCCCACCATTCAAAAAAGAAACATGGCCAGGCGTGGTGGCTCATGCCTATAATCGTAGCACTTTGAGAGGCCAAGGCAGGCGGATCACTTGAGGTCAGGAGTTTGAGACCAGCCTGGCCAACATGGCAAAACCCTGGCTCTACTAAAAATACAAAAATTAGCCGGGGGTGGTGGCGCACGCCTGTAATGCCAGCACTTTGGGAGGCTGAGGCAGGCAGATCACTTGAGGTCAGCAGTTTGAGACCAGCCTGGTCAACATGGTGAAACTCTGTCTCTACTAAAAACACAAAAATTAGCCAGGTATGGTGGCATGTGCCTGTAATCCCAGCTACTCGGGAGGTTGTGCTTCAGCCCAGGAGGCAGAGGTTGCAGTGAGTTGAGATCACATGATTGCACTACTCCAGCCTGGGCTGCAGAGCAAGACTCTGTCTTTAAAAAAAAAAAAAAAAAAAAGAACACTTCACATGGATGATGGTTTCCTTCTATTCTTTTCTTTACGCTTTTATTTATTTTTTTTTTTTGGAGACAGTGTCTTGCTCTCTCACCGAGGCTGGAGTGCAGTGGCGCAATCATAGCTCACTGCACCCTCAACCTCTGGGCTCAAGCCATCCTCCTGCCTCAGCCTCGTAAGTAACTGGGACAACAGGTGCACACAACCATGACCAGCATTTTTTTTTTAAGTAGAGATGAGATCTCACTATTTTGTCCAAGCTGGTCTTGAATCCCTGGCCTCAAGCGATCCTTCCACCTTGGCCTCCCAAAGTGCTGGGATGACAGTCATGAGCCACTGTGCCTGGTCCATTGTATTATTCTTTGTTTGAAATTAAACATAATAATCTGAAATTTTAATAAAAAATTAAAATAAAGGGAGGCCCTTAGATGTTAGGCTAGAAGAAATGACCTCAAGGCTCCCAAGTGGCCTCACCACTGCAGTTGGCAGACAAAGAAAGAAGATCCTAGAGGCCAAAGTGGGCCACAGGCAATGGGATCTAAAGAGCCAGTCCTCGGGTATTTAATGCTTGAAGTCAGAGATGGCCCCCCCTCCAGCTGCAGCATGAAGGACTCACACCATCCCATTCAAGGAAGGGCCGTGGCTGGAGGGCCTTCATGTGGCCTCTGGGAAGCAGGAACTTCTTTTTTTTTGAGACAGATCTCGCTCTGTTGCCCAGGCTGGAGTGCAGTGGCGTGATCTCGGCTCACTGCAAGTTCCGCCTCCCGGATTCACACGATTCTCCTGCCTCAGTCTCCCAAGTAGCTGGGACTACAGGCGTCCGCCACCACACCCGGCTAATTTTTTTGTATTTTTAGTAGAGACGGGGTTTCACCGTGTTCACCAGGATGGTCTCGATCTCCTGACCTTGTGATCTGCCCACCTCAGCCTCTCAAAGTGCTGCGATTACAGGTGTGAGCCACCACGCCTGGCCTCGAAGCAGGAACTTCTAAGGGGCCTCAGAGAACTCTGCCCCACTGTGCCCACATGCTGCCCGCTTGTTTGCATCACCTTCTCCGCCTCCCTGACTTGCATAATGCACGTCTGGCCCCATTCACTGCATCCCCACTGTCAAGCACACTGCTGGACACGAGGCAGGTGCCCAGTGCATGTTTACTGGGTAAATCGGGGGCCCTCAGGACCAACCCTTCCCCCAACTAGTTTTCTGGCAGACATAAAAAGGAGCTCTAGTTCCTCCTATGCCAAGAAAGAGAGAGGCCCCTGCTGCCCAGAGCATTTCATAGCAACCAGAAGCCAACGCTGGGCTCCCTGGCTCCACCCACCATCCCCACAGCAATCCTGCTGAGACCGGGGAGGAGTTGCCTGGGATAGGGGGTAGAGAGCTAGGCCAACGGCCTCCAGGCTATCCCTTAGGGGGCTTCAGACTACTTCTGGAGTAGCTGTGGAGTTTTTACTGCTGGCAAAGACTTTCCAGAGTTACCGGCATAGACGAAGTTCAGAGTTACTGCGTTGACCAGAAGGTGGGGACCCAGAAATTTCAAGGCTTAACCAAAAAATGGTTTATTCTAGCCCCTTTAGAAAGAATTTTTTAAATCACAGTAATTAAAGAAAGGCCATGTGTGGTGGCTCACGCCTGTAATTCCAACACTTTGGGAGGCTGAGGCAGGTGGATCACCTGAGGTCAGGAGTTTGAGACCAGCCTGGCCAATACGGTGAAACCACGTCTCTACTACTAAAAATACAAAAATTAGCCAGGCGCGGTGGCAACCGCTTGTAATCCCAGTTATTCAGGTGGCTGAGGCCGGGAGGCAGAGGTTGCAGTGAGCCGAGATCGCACCACTGCATTCCAGCCTGGGCTACAAGAGCGAAACTCCATCCCGGGGGTAGGGTGTGGGGTTGGGGGAAAGAAAGTCCTGCAGGAGCTGCATTTTATGAGGAAAAACAAAAGGAGACAGGTGAGGTGGCTCACGCCTGTAATCACAGCACTTTGGGAGGCTGAGGCGGGTGGATCACTTGAGTCCAGGAGTTCGAGACCAGCCTGGGCGACAGGGCAAAACCCTGTCTCTACAAAAAATACAAAAATTAGCCAGGCGTGGTGGTGCACGCCTGTAGTCCCAGCTACCTAGGAGACTAAGACAGGAGGATCACTTGAGTCCAGGAGGTGGAGGTTGCAGTGAGCCAAGATCACGCCACTATACTCCAGTGGGAGTGACAGATCAAGACCCCATTTCAAAAGAAAGAAAGAAGAAAAGAAAAGTCAAATAAAAGGCAAGAATCTGCCTGAGTGGCACCTACTCCAGGGCACTCTCCTGCTTCTTCCCCAGGCTGGATTAAGCACTCCACAACTGCCCACGCTGCCTTCTGTCCTGATATTCCTCTGGCCTGCAAATGGCCTGTTCTGGAATTCCCTGAAGGCGTGCCAAGTTCCCCATTGATCGTGTAACCCTGAAACCTGGCACGGTGCCTGGCGTGGAGTGGATGGCCACGGCTTGTTGGAAGCATCTATACTAAATAAATTCTGAGAACTGGAGCAGGGGTCTCAGCGCCCTTAGCTCGGATGAAAGTTAGTTCCTGGGGCTTAGAAGACATGCTGCTAGGCTCCCAGACTAGGCCCCCGGAGCCTACTTACCCCATTAAATCAGACAACTCAATAAAAGAACCAAGTTCAATCTCCTTTGAAATTTTTGTTTTTCCTGTAGGCAAAGGGGCCAGTCTCCTGGTGCACCTGGGAAACCTGGAGGACTTTCAACTCTGCACTAAAGCCCCAGGGACGCAGACCTGCCCAGCCTGCTCTGAGGACGCCACAGGTGTGTAATTAGCCGGATAGTTGTAAGCACAGAGGTGACTTTTAGAAGCAGTGGGGTTGTCACAGGCCTCTGAAATTGAAATTTGAAATCTGGGTGAGCACAGGAGAAGGCGCTTCCACTGTCCAATCAGATAGCAGAGGAGGGCAGGAAGGAGACACCTGCCTGGATGTGGGGGCATCCCCACAAAAGGAGCACCTGCGAAGGAAGGCGCTTCGAGGCGTGGCGTGGCGGGGGCGGGGACGGGGTGGGGGTGGGGAGGGAAGGAGCAGTCAAGCTGCACCCTCAGCTGCCCCACACACACTGCTGCAGGGCCACATGGAGATGAGGCGGCCCAGCAGCGTGCACGCAGGGAGAAGCGTGGTGCGGTTCACTCTGCGGGAGACACATGGTTTTTTTTGTTTGTTTTTGTTTTTTTGAGACAGAGTCTCGTTCTGCTGCCCAGGCTGGAGTGCAGTGGCGTGATCTCAGCTCACTGCAACCTCCGCCTCCCGGGTTCACGCGATTCTCCTGCCTCAGCCTCCCCAGTAGCTGGGATTATAGGCATCTGCCACCACGCACGGCTAATTTTTTGTATTTTTAGTAGAGATAGGGTTTCACTATGTTGGCCAGACTGGTCTCAAACTCCTGACCTAGTGATCCGCCTGCCTCGGCCTCCCAAAGTGCTGGGATTACAGGCGTGAGCCACCATGCCTGGCCAAGACATGTTTTTAAGTGATTTCACATTTTTTGGAGCCTGATAAAGGACTCTGATCTCCAGGGCAGACTCAAGGGCAGTCAAACTTGGTACAAGGTTATGACCAGCCTGGGCAACATAGTGAGACCCCATCTCTACCAAAATATTAAAAATGAAATAAAGTTGGTACAATGTCCAAACTTCATGGAAAGATATTTGGCATTCAACTGCTGAGGCCACAGGGATCCCTTAGAGGTGACAGAAAGGATGGCATTTTCCTGGAGACCATCGAGATATTCGACTTTTTCTTTCAATCTATGAACATAGGTAGAGCACAACTGCGGACTGGACAGGTGTGGGTCCATGTCCCTCCTCACACGGACAAGAGGGGGCCGGCATGGGCCAGCAAACCTGACCAGTGTGACAGTGACAGCAGCTCCTGCACTCTGCTGATTTCTGCTGAGATGCTGGCCTCCCTGATTCTTTTTTTCTTTTTTTTTAGAGATGGTGTCTCACTATGTTGCCCAGGCTGGAGTGCAGTGGCTATTTAGAGGTGCAATCCCACTGCTGATCAGCACGGGAGGGTTTTTTGTTTGTTTTGTTTGTTTGTTTGTTTGTTTTTTGAGATAGAGTCTTGCTCTGTCACCTGGGCTGGAGTGCAGTGGCGCAATCTCAGCTCATTGCAACCTCTGCCTCCAAGGTACAATAGATTCTCATGCCTCAGCCATCCAAGCAGCTGGGATTACAGGTACGCACCACCACACCTGGCTAATTTGTGTATTTTTAGTAGATATGGGGTTTCACCATGTTGGCCAGTCTGGTCTTGAACTCCTGACCTCAAATGATCCGCCTGCCTTGGCCTCCCAAAGTGCTGGGATTACAGGCATGAGCCACTGTGCCTGGCAAAGCACAGGAGTTTTGACCTGCTCTATTTCCAGCATGGCAGTGTTCACCCCTCCTTGGGCAACATGGTGGTCCCCCATTCCTGGGAGGTCACCATATTGATGCCAAACTTAGTGTGGAGATGCAATCAGCATAGCTCACGACATCCCAGAGCTCCTGGGCTCCAGCGATCCTCCTGCCTCAGCCTCCTGAGTAGCTGGGACTACAGGCCTGCACCAACATGCCTGGCAACCTCACTGATTCAAGTCCACCAAACAAGGCTGAGGAAGACAAGAGGCTCACTGCTGCCCCATGTGGACCCCAGCAGTTCCTTGTGGATGCCTTGGATCTCAGGAGGAGCTGGACTGAGGGTCTGGGGTTCTGTGGGGCAACCCTGGATGGCACAGCCTAAGAAGAATCTCCATTCTCCGGTGTCCCTGAAAGGAAGGTGACAAGGCAGAAAAGTTCATTCAAAATCCCCCTTTTGCTAAAGTGGGCTTGAGTGGGATCCCATGACTTGTAGCTGAAAAGCACTTAGTTGGCCAGGCATGGTGGCTCATACCTGTAATCCCAGCACTTTGGGAGGCCAAGGCAGGAGGATCGCCTGAGGTCAGGAGTTCAAGGCCAGCCTGGGCAAGAAATTGAGAACGCCGTCTCTACAAAAATTACAAAAGTTAGGCCGGACACAGTGGCTCACGCCTGTAATTCCAGCACTTTGGGAGGCCAAGGCAGATGGATCACTTGAGGTCAGGAGTTCGAGACCAGCCTGCTCAACATAGTGAAACCCCATCTCTACTAAAAATACAAACATCAGTCAGGCATGGTGGTGGGTGTCTGTAATCCCAGCTACTTGGTAGGCCGAAGCAGGAGAATCGCTTGAACCCAGGAGGCAGAGGTTGCAGCAAGCCCAGATAGAGCCACTATACTCCAGCCTGGGCAACACAGTGAGACTCTGTTTCAAAAAAAAAAGAAGAAAAGAAAGAAAAGAAAGAAAAGAAAGAAAAGAAAGAAAGAAAGAAAGAAAGAAAGAAAGAAAGAAAGAAAGAAAGAAAAGAAAAGAAAAGAAAAGAAAAGAAAAGAAAAAGAAAAGCCTGAAGTGGCAGCTGCCAGGCTCACTAACACCATGCTGAGCAAGATAGAGCTTCCCCAAAGAGCTTCCACAGAAATAACTATGCCACAGTGTGACAGTTCTAAAAAGCTGGATAAAGATATATATGAAAATATGCACTTGTCTAGACAGTAGTTTAAAATATCATACAACGAAGACAGGAAGAGAGGAAATATTCCCGCAGTACGGCCAGGCCCTCCCTGATCCATGCCCACCTTGCGTCCCGTACTTTTCCTCTGCGACACTCACCACCACCGTAATTAGTATGCACTCGCTCAGTGAATGACCATCTTTCGCACTAGAATTTAAGCTCCATGAGGGTAAAGATGGTGATCTAGGGCCAGGCGTGACAGCTCATGCCTGTAATCCCAGCACTTTGGGAGGCTGAAGCAGGAGGATCACTTGAGGCCAGGAGTTCAAGAACAACCTGGGCAACATAGTGAGACCCCATCTCTACAAAAAATAAAAACCAGCCAGGTGTGGTGGCACATGCTTGTAGTCCCAGCTACTTGGGAGGCTGAGGC
The DNA here is from genome assembly GCF_000001405.40 of Homo sapiens. Classification (NCBI taxonomy): domain Eukaryota; kingdom Metazoa; phylum Chordata; class Mammalia; order Primates; family Hominidae; genus Homo; species Homo sapiens. The sequence continues at coordinate 32,656,691 of NC_000019.10, forward strand.
AGAAGGACTGCTTGAGTCTAGAGGTTTGAGGCTGCAGTGAGCCGTGTTCATGTCACTGTATTCTAGCCCAGGCTGGGGGACAAAGCAAGACCTTATCTCAAAAAAAAAAAAAAAGAGTGATGTGTGTTTCTGTTTCTTGGTGAATCCTCACCATCAAGCAAAGTATCTTGTATACAGCAGCTTTTAATAATTGCTGTGAAATGAAGAGATGACAGTGAATGTCTTTGGTGAATTTTATGAGATTTTTATTTGGAAAGAGCTATATATTCTAATTTTTAAAATAATGAACTTTTTGGCTTCTAAAATCTAAAGTAAGAAGATTGTGGTGAAGAAATATGAATCACAAAACTAATCATAAAAACTGGAAAAGATGTCAAGAAACCCAGCTTCTCTTTGGGAGATGGAGGTGGGCGGATAACTTGAGGCCAGGAGTTCAAGACCAGCTGGGACAACACGGTGAAACCCTGTCCCTACTAAAAATACAAAAATTAGGCCAGGTGTGGTGGCTCACACCTGTAATTCCAGCACGCTGGGGGGCCGAGGCGGGTGGATCACGAGGTCAGGAGATCGAGACCATCCTGGCCAACATGGTGAAACCCTGTCTCCACTAAAAATACAAAAATTAGTTGGGTGTGGTGGCACACACCTGTAGTCCCAGCTACTCAGGAGACTCAGGCAGGAAAATCGCTTGAACCCCGGAGGTGGAGGTTGCAGTGAGTCGAGATTGCGCCACTGCACTCTAGCCTGGGTGACAGAGCAAGGCTCTGTCTCAAAAAAAAAAAAAAAATTAGCCAGGCATGGTGGTTTGTGCCTGTAATCCCGGCTACTCAGGAGGCCGAGGCAAATCACTTGAACCCGGGAGGCAGAGGTTGCAGAGAGTCGAGATTGCGCCACTGCACTCCAGCCTGAGCAACAGAGTGAGACTCTGTCTCAAAAAAAAAAAAAAGAAACCCAGTTTCTGATGGCAGAGCTTGGCCTGGGCAAAATCAAAGTCAAGTCCAGGCCAGACACAGTGGCTCACGCCTGTAATCCCAGCACTTTGGGAGGCCGAGGTGGGCAGATCACCTGAGGCCGGGAGTTCGGGACCAGCCTGGCCAACATGGGTGAAACTCCATCTCTAGTAAAAACACAAAAATTAGCTGGACGTGGTTGCACACACCTGCAATCCCAGATACTTGGGAGGCCGAGGCAGGAGAATCGCTTGAACCTGGGAGACAGAGGTTGCTGTGAGCTGAGATCACGCCACCACACTCCAGCCTGGGTGACAGAGCAAGACTCTGTCTCAAAAAAATTTAATAAATAAAAATAAAAATAAATGAAAGTCAATTCCGGCGTCCGAGAGGCCGCTGAGAACCTGAAGCCACACTCAGCTAACCTGACTTCTCCTTCAGTTCAAACCCTCAGGCACCTCACATATCTAAGTAAAGTCGCCCCACGGGATAAGAGAAGTGGACATCCATTTGAGAGAGTAGGGGACAACAGACAAAAAGAAGACGGAAGACTCCTGAAGCAGAGGCCACAGATGACACAAATGCACCCGGGACACTGTGTCCCCCAGTGCCGTCTAAGTAGGATGCCCGCCAAGTTCACTGACCTGAGAACTGGAAAGACCCACAATGTGGGGCCCGCCCCCGTCCAGGCAGATGCCCCCACCATGACAGGCGACAGCGTCTCCTGCCTGCTTCTCATTCCTGTTACCTGGCTGCCCCTGAAGGCTTCTGAGGTTGTGGCCTCTACCAGAAAAGTTCTTTCATCATGGTGCTTTCCCTTTGGAAAAACCTTTCAAAGCAGTGTATGAATGTGTTTACTCGGTCCCTTATTCTATGAGGGTGAGCACCCACCTCCCAGACAGACCAGGACTCGTAAGGCCCCAGGGAGCACAACTCATTTTAGCCCTGGAGAAGCCTCCATAGGCAAGAGAGAAACGAGAGCACCGCAGCGTGAGACCAAGTGTCACTGGGGGTGCTCCACGAAAGGGCACAGTTAGCCACAGGCGGGGGCCAGGAGTTCAGAGAAAGTATTACAGCCTGGACTGCAGTCCCAGAAGGCTTCCTGGAGGGAGCGGCTCATGGGGGCCCCTCGCTGCTCACTCACAGACCAAGCACACTGCTGGGAGCTTGTTAAGCTGAGTTTATAACAAACTCCCTCCAAACTGAGCCTTAGTCTACCACGTCTCTGGAACCATTCATGCCTCAGGACAACCCCGAGGCTCAGTGCACTTACAATGCCATGGATTTGGGCCACTTTGCTGCACAAGTCAGGGCGGCACTTTTGCAGAGCCAGATAGAAAGGATTTTTCAGGAGGTCTTCATCATACAGAGCCATATGGACTTCAGATGGGTCAGAGCAAATCTCCTGCAATAAGGGAGGGAAAAGCAGTGAATAGCCATTTTCGAGTTTACGTAACACATGAAAGTCTGCATCTGATGCATCTGGCATTTTCTTTTTCTTTTTTTTTTTTTTTTTGAGACAGAGTCTCACTCTGTCGCCCAGGCTGGAGCGCGGCTCAGCCTCGGGAGTAGCTGGGACTACAGGCGCCCACCACCACACCCGCGAATTTTTGTATTTTTAGTAAAGACAGGGTTTTGCCATGTTGGCCAGGCTGGTCTTGAACTCCTGACCAGCAGGTGATCTGCCCGCCTCAGCCTCCCAAAGTGCTGGGATTACAGGCATGAGCTGTCACACCCGACCTGCATCTGGCAATTTCTAAAGAGTATCCTCCAAATAAAAAAGGATTCATGACGTGCCATTTTTTTCTCCCACAGACTCACTCCACCAGGAAATCTCAAATACAACCCACTAATTCCAAGATGACCCGTTTATTGGCTAACGTGTAAATTATGCTCAGAAAATCTTGTTAAACTCCAAGTCTTGGCTAAAGTATAAATGGCTATTTTTAGAATATCCTACATGACCAAAATTATGACATTCTCAAGATACTCATTTATTTTTAATGAAATATTTTAGCACATGGAAAAGTACTGAGTAATAATGCAAACCTAGCACCAGAATTAAGGAATCGTCACATTTTGCCATGTTTGCCTCAGATTTTCTTTTAAGAAATAAAGTGGAAGCCAGGTGTGGTGGTTCATGCCTGTCATCCCAGCACTTTGGGAGCCTGAGGTAGGAGGATCCTGTGAGCCCAGGAGTTCAAGACCAGACTGGGCAATACAGCAAAACCCTCACTTCTACAAAAATAAACAATTTATCTACAAAAAAAACCAATTATCTACAAAAATAAACAATAAAAATAAACAATTATCTACCTCTACAAAAATTAACAATTATCTGGGTATGGTGGCATGTGCCCGTAGTCCCAGCCACTCGGGAGGCTAAGGCAGGAGGATCCGCTTAAGACCAGGAGTTGGAGACCAGCCTGGACAATATAGCAAAACACTATCTCCTCAAAAATTAAAATAATAAAATTTCTGTTAGTCTGTGCTATGGTCTAAATGTTTATGTCCCCCAAAAACTCATATGTTAAAATACTAACCCGCTAGGCGGGGCCTTTGGGGGTGATTAGGTTACAAAGGCAGAGCCTTCATGAATGAGATCAGTGCCCGTAATTATGCAGCCGGGCACAGTGGCTCATGCCTGTAATCCTCCCTTTGGGAGGCCAAGTCGGGAGGATCACCTGAGGTCAGGAGTTCAAGACCAGCCTGGTCAACATGGTGAAACCCCGTCTCTACTGAAAATACAAAAATTAGCTGGGTGTGGTGGTGCATGCCTATAGTCCCAGCTTGGGACTGCCCAGGAGGCAGAGGTTGCAGTGAGCAGAGATCACGCCACCGCACTCCAGCCTGGGTGATAAAGCGAGACTCCGTTTCAAAAAAAAGAAAAAGAAAGAGGCCTGGGAGAGCTCCTTTGCTCCTCCGGCCACGTGAGGTTACAGAGAACAGACAGCTGTTTATGAAGCAGGCCCTCCCCAGACATCCAACCTGCAGGATCTTCACCTTGTACTTCCCAGCCTCCAGAACTGTGAGAAACACATTTCTGTCATTTTCAAGCCTTCTATTACAGCAGCCTGCATGGGCTGAGATAGTCTATGAGTATAAAGCCATATCCCACTGTTTTTCATTTTCATTGGTTCATTAATTAAATGAACTAAATTTCTTTCGGTTATGTAAACTGCCTGATCATGTCTTTTGCTCACTTTCCCGCTGGGTTGTTGGCCTTTTTCTTAGGATTTATAGTTCTTTACACATCTGTATACTAAAGTAAGTTTTAAATATCATCTCCCAGGCTGGCTGTAATCACAGCACCTGGGGAGGATGAGGTAGGAGGATCACTTGAGGTCAAGAGGTCAAGACCAGCCCAGGCAACATAGCGAGACCCCATCTCTACAAAAAAAGTTTTAAAAATTAGCCATGTGTGGCAGCCCATGCCTATAGTCCCAGGTACTAAGGAGGCTGGGGCAGGAGAATCACTTGAGCCCAGGAGGTTAAGGCCGCTATGAGCCATGATCACGCCACTGCACTCCACCCTGTGTGATGGTGCAAGATGCTGTCTAAAAAAAAAAAAAAAAATTATACACACACACACACACACACACACACACACATATACTCACACCATCTCCTAGTCTGTAACTTGCTTTTTCATTTTGTCAAATGGGTGTGTTCAGAAATAGAACTTTGGATGTTATTTATTTTGAGACAGGGTTTCACACTGTCGCCCAGGCTAGAGCTGGAGTCCAATGACATGATCGTAGCTCACCGTAACCTTGAACTCCTGGGCTCAAGTGATCTCCCACCTCCCACCTCAGCCTCCAGAGCAGCTGGGACTGCAGGCATGCACCACCACGCCCAACCTTTTTTTTATTTTTTACTTTTTGTAGAGATGAGATTTTGCTGTGTTGCCCACGCTGAACTTGAACTCCTGGCCTGATGCAATCCTCCCACCTCAGCCTCCCAAAACGCTGGGATTACAGGCATGAGTCACTGTGCCTGGCCAGAAGTTTTGATGTGAATGGACCGTCATCCCTCAGTATACTTGGGGGATTGGTTCTGGGATCCTCTTGTATACCCAAGTCCATACATACTCAAATCCCATGGTCGGCCCTGTGGAACTCACATGTCTGTGTCAGCCCTCCATATACAGAAATTTGCAACCTGTGAATATGGTATTTTCAACCTGAATTTGGTTGAAAAAAACACATATAAGTGGACCCACACAGTTCAAACCCATATTGTTCAAGGGTCAACAATAATTGGATTTGCCACTCTTTGCTTTTAAGGTCAGTGCTTTTTGAGCCTTAAGAAATCTGTAATTGGCATGCCTATCCTCTGGCAGGTCTTTTTGCAAAGTGACTTCACTATTCCCCCATCAGAAGATAGAGTAGGCCAGGCACGGTGGCTCACGCCTATAATCCCAGCACTTTGGAAGGCCGAGGCAGGCAGAACACTTGAGGTCAGGAGTTCGAGATCAGCCTGACCAATATGGCAAAACCCCATCTCTACAAAAATACAAAAATTAGTGGGGTGTGGTGGCATGTGCCTGTTATCCCAGCTGCCTGGGAGGCTGAGGCAAAGAATCGCTTGAACTCAGGAGGCAGAGATTGCAGTGACCCCAGATCCTGCCACTGCACTCCAGCTTGGGCAAAAGAGAAAGACTCAGTCTCCAAAAAAAAAAAAAAAAAAAAAAAAAGGAAGTAGACTCATTTCCGCAGCCCCTGAATCAGAGCCAGCCCTGTGACTTGCTTCAACCAACAGGCAGAATCGATGCTGTACAATTTGTGAGTGTCAGCTTCAAGAGGTCTTACAGGGGCTGGGCACAATGGCTCACTCCTGTAATCCCAGCACCTTGGGAGGCCAAGGCAGGAGGATCACTTCAGGCCAGGAGTTCAAGACTAGCCTGGGCAAAATAGCAAGACCTTGTCTCTACAAATAATAAAATACAAAAATTATCCAGGTGTGCTGGCACATGCCTGCAGTCCCAACTACTCGGGAGGCTGACATGGGAGGATCGCTTGAGCCCAGGAGTTTGAGGCTGCAATGAACTATGATTGAAACACTGCACTCCAGCCTAGGCAACAGAGTGAGACCCCATCTCTTTAAAAAACAAAAAAAAAGGCCAGGCACGGTGGCTCACGCCTCTAATCTCAACACTTTGGGAGGCCTAGGCGGGTGGGTCACTTGAGGTCAGGAGTTTGAGACCAGCCTGGACAACATGGTGAAACCCCGTCTCTACTAAAATACAAAAATTAGCCAGGCGTGATGGCATGTGCCTGTAATCCCAGCTACTTGGGAGGCTGAGGCAGGAGAATCACTTGAACCCAGGAGGCAGAGGTTGCAGTGAGCCGAGATCACGCCACTTCACTCCAGCCTGGGTGACAGAGTGAGATTCTGTCTCAAAGACAAAACAAAACAAAAAGTCTTAGTACATTCAAGAAATAAGAAAAGTAAATGTATATACATACATACACACTTATAAAAGGGCTTGCGGATTCCATTCTCATTCTCTTGGTACCCCAAGATCCCAATGCTATGAAGAAGCCCACATGATGAAAGGCCATGGGGGGAGAGCGAGGCCTAGGTGGCCCAGCAAGCACAGCCAACCCACCAGCAGAATACAGCCCCTTGAGGGATCCCAGCTGAGACCAGTAGAGGAACCACCCACCCAACTCACACAACGTAGGAAGTAATAAATTGTGGCAGTTTGAAGTCACTACATTTTGGGTGGGTTTGTTACACAGCAAAGGCTACCTGAAACCACGTCCTTTCCAATTTCAAAGCCATAAAGATAGTCCTTATGATTTCTAAAAAGAGTAAAGTTTTCTATTTTTAGGTCTTCAATCCATCTGGATTTTTGTACATGCTATAAATCAAGTGTCTAATTATATTTCTCCATATAGTAAGCCAATCGTCCCATCATCATTTTTTGAATATTCTATCCATTTCACACAGGTTGATAATGCTACGGCTGTCACACTCCAAGATCCCACGTATGTTTAGCCTGTTTCCAGGCTCTACTCTGTTTCAAGGGTCTTACTGTCACATGTGAGAAATACAATTATGTATATATTACATAGAAATACACAATGTCATTTTAAATTTTCTAGTAGCACATTAAAAAAGAAATAGGGGGCCGGGTGTGGTGGCTCACGCCTGTAATCCCAGCACTTTGGGAGGCCGAGGCGGGCGGATCACGAGGTCAGGAGATCGAGACCATCCCGGCTAAAACGGTGAAACCCCGTCTCTACTAAAAATACAAAAAATTAGCCGGGCGTAGTGGCGGGCGCCTGTAGTCCCAGCTACTTGGGAGGCTGAGGCAGGAGAATGGCGTGAACCCAGGAGGTGGAGCTTGCAGTGAGCCGAGATCCCGCCACTGCACTCCAGCCTGGGCGACAGAGCGAGACTCTGTCTCAAAAAAAAAAAAAAAAAAAGAAAGAAATAGGGTGCAATTAATTTTAATGATATATTTTATCTTAATATATCCAAAATATGATATTTTCAACATGTGACCATTATTTATTTTGTTTTTTAGAGACGGGGTCTTGCTATGTTGCAGTGGCTATTCACAGGCACAATCTCAGCTCACCACAGCCCTGAACTCCCAGCCTCAAGCAGTCCTCCCATTTCAGCCTCCCAAGTAGCTGGGACCACAGGTATATGTCACTGCACTTGACTTGATCATTATTTAAAAGTTATTGGCTGGGCACAGTGGCTCACACCTGTAATCCCAGCACTCTGGGAGGCTGAGGTGGGTGGATCACCTGAGGTCAGGAGTTCAAGACCCTGGCCAACATCATGAAACCCCGTCTCTATAAAAATACAAAAATTAGCCAGGTATGATGGCAGGTGACTGTAATTCCAGCTACTTGGGAGGCTGAGGCAGAACTGCTTGAACCCAGGAGGCAGTGGTTGCAGTGAGCCGAGATTGTGCCACTGCACTCCAGCCTGGGCAACAGAGCAAGACTCCATCCCCAAATAATAATAATAATAATAATAATAATAATAATAATAATAATAAAAAGTTCTTCATGATGGCCGGGCACAGTGGCTCATGCCTGTAATCCCACCACTTTGGAAGGTCAAAGCAGGTGGACTGCTTGAGTCCACGAGTTCGAGAAAAGCCTGGGCAACCCCATCTTTACAAAATACAAAAATTAGCCAGGCTACTCGGGAGGATGAGGCAGGAGAATCGCTTGAGCCCAGGAGGCAGAGACTCCAGTGAGCTGAGATTGCACCACTGCACAGCAGCCTGGGTGACAGAGTGAGACTCTGTCTCAAAAAAAAAAAAAAAAAAAACTGTTATTAATGATATATTTTACATTTTTTTATTCTTAAGTCTTTAAAATCTAGTGTTCATTTTACATTTACAGCACTTCTCGATTCATACTAGCCACATTTCATGTGCTCAATAGCCACTAGCAGCTATTACACTGGACAGGGCAGGGAGAGACCACATATGAACATTTATTTTACATGACTACAGCTTCATAATAAGCCTTACTAACTCACAGAGAAAAGCTCCCCTCCAGCTTGTTCTCCAAAGGTTATTCCTTGTCCTTTACAATATCAAATGAATCAGAATCACCTTGTCAATTACATGAAAAATCCTATTAGGATTTTTATTGGACCCGCACTAAATTCATGAATTTTTTTTTTTTTTTTTTGAGACAGAGTCTCGCTCTCTCACCCACACTAAAGTGCAGTGGCACAATCTCAGCTCACTGCAACCTTTGCCTCCCGGGTTCAAGCAATTCTCCTGCCTCAGCCTCCCAAGTAGCTGGGATTACAGGCACCCGCCACCACACCAGGCTAATTTTTGTTTGTTTGTTTGTTTGAGACAGAGTCTTGCTCTGTCACCCAGGCTGGAGTACAGTGGCATGATCTTGACTCACAGCAAGCTCTGCCTCCAGGGTTCACGCCATTCTCCTGCCTCAGCCTCTCAAGTAGCTGGGACTACAGGCGCCCACCACCATGCCCAGCTAATTTTTTGTATTTTTAGTAGAGATGGGGTTTCGCTGTGTTAGCCAGGATGGTCTCGATCTCCTGACCTCGTGATCCGCCCGCCTTGGCCTCACAAAGTGCTGGGATTACAGGCATGAGCCACCGCGCCCAGCCTGCCGTTTTTTTTGTTTTTCGAGACAGAGGTCTTGCTCTGCTGCCCAGGCTGGAGTACAGTGGCGCAATATTGGCTCACTGCAACCTCTGCTTCCTGGGTTCAAGCAATTCTCGTACCTCGGCCTCCCAAGTAGCTCAGACTACAGACTACACGCCACAACACCAGCTAACTTTTTGTGTGTATTTTTTGGTAGAGACGGGGTTTCGCCATGTTGGCCAGGCTGGTCTTGAACTCCTGGCTTCAAGTGATCTTCCTACCTCGGCCTCCCAAACTGTTGGGATTACAGGCGTGAGCCACCACACTCAGCCCTATAATTATGAATTTTATCATCCACATACATGGTATATCTTTCCATGAATGTCTTCTTCGATGTCCTCCGACTTTTCCATAAGGATCGTATACGACTTTTATTAGACTATTTATATATTCTGTATAGACTTTGCTGCTGTTGTGAAAGGGGTTGCTAAAATTAGATTGCTTATTTTAGGTAAGGTTCTAAAAGCAAAAGCCAAATGGACTTACATCAGAGTCACGCTGTACAGATAAAATAAGAATCAGTATGGAACACACCTACCACTACCATCAGAACTGGGACTTCTGAAGCCAGAGAAGACCCTTCCATGATTCATGACTGAAAGGTCTGTGAACGGCCAAAAGAAGATTACAGGTCAGTGTTCAACTCACTTTAGGAAGTAAGCTGTTTGAAGGATGTTGCTGTCTGCAGACTGCTCCATGCTGCTAACTAATGTGAACCAGTGCTTTGTGTGTTTCATGAAACATTCTATAGCTGCTCCTCATCACCCCTGGTCTGCTCCTCTGAGCCAATGAGCTCTCAGAGGGGGTGCCTACAAAATGGGCACAGAAAAGGAAATCAGATTTCTATTTTTTTTTTTTTTTTTTTTTGAGACAGAGTCTCACTCTGTTGCCCAGGCTGGAGTGCAGTGGTGCAATCTCGGCTCACTGCAACCTCCACCCCTGTGATCAAGTAATTCTCCTGCTGCCTCAGCCTCCCTCGTAGCTGGGATTACAGGTGTGCACTACCACTCCCGGCTAATTTTTTTATTTTTAGTAGAGACGGGGTTTCATCATGATGGCCACGCTGGTCTCAAACTCCTGACCTCAAGTGATCCGCCCACCTCGGCCTCCCAAAGTGCTGGGATTACAGGCGTGAGCCACCATGCCCAGCCAGGAGATCAGATTTCTAACCACGTCATCCCACCTCTCTGAGCCTCCATCTGGGCCTGCACCACAGAGAATGCTAATACCTGTCTGCAGGACTCTTATGAGGGTCATTTCCATGCCACCTTCACTATCTGTGACATGCAGTACTGCATATCAACATAGCACCAGTTACTGCAAGCTCACATGGGACCTTTGTGAGAATTAGAAACAGGCACCCGACTTCCCAGGGGGCGCAGCTCTGTGCAAGGGCACTAGGCTAGTGAGCAGCTCCTAGGTAACATGCTGCACGGCCCCTGCTGCTGGGCAGTGAACAACCTGCCCACAATGTGAGCACAATTTTGCCCAACAATTACACATAATGGCTCTCTTGCTAGTGTTTGACATTTTCCTTCAATAACTTATTGTCTTTATAAAAATGTATTTTCCTTTCTGTTTTATTTTTGTTTACTTTTGTAGAAATGGAGTCTCGCTGTGTTGCCCAGGGTGGTCTTGAACTCCTGGCTCAACAGGCATATGCCACCATCCTTGGCCTAAAATTTATTTTAAAAAGAAATCTTATTACTACTTTAAATAGAAAAATGGTATCACTTCCAACGAAGAGAAGATCATCTTAAAGTTAAAAATTATAAAGGTAATTACTGTTATTTAAAACCTCATAATCCCAGCACTTTCGGAGGCCGAGGTGGGCGGATCCAGCCTGGCCAACGTGGTGAAACCCCATCTCTATTAAAAATACAAAAATTAGCCGGGCGTGGTGGCACACACTTGTAATCTCAGCTACTCAGGAGGCTGAAGCAGGAGAATCGCTTGAATCCAGGAGATGGAGGTTGCAGTAAGCCGAGATCATGCCATTGCACTCCAGCCTGGGCGACAAGAGTGAAACTCCGTCTCAAAAAAAAAAAAAAAAGTCATTAGATGCTAAGCTTGAGCCTGGGGCCTTCTCTCTTCATTAAAATGAGAAAATCAGCAACTATTTAAAAAGCGTAAAAGTGAATTTATCCTTGATACAATTAAATGAATGAAATATGAAATAGGAGCTACTCTCTCACTATGTAACAGGGATCCAGAATGCTTCCTTGGGAAAACACTATGCATACATAACTGCATGATGAATTCTATTCCTTGGAACTAATGGTAAAAATAGCCACCATTTGGGAGAGTCCTTGTACCAGGCACTGCAATAACTTCTATACATCCTCATCTTTACTTACTTACCTTCATTTATTTATGAGTTGGGGTCTCACTCTACTGACCAGGCTGGAGTACAGTGACACAATCATAGCTCACTGCACCCTCAAACTCCTGGCCTCAAGCAATCCTCCCACCTTAGCCTCCTAAAGTGCCACAATTACGGGTATGAGCCACCTGGCCAAGCCTAAATTTTTTGTTTTGTTTTGTTTTTGGTAGAAACAGTGTCTCACTATGTTGCCCAGGCTGGTCTCAAACTCCTGACCTCAAGTGAGCCTCCTGCCCTGGCCTCCCAATGTGCTGGGGTTACAAGGCATAAGCCACTGTGCCCAGTCTTATCTTCATCTTTTTTTTTTTTTTTTGAGACGGGTCTTGCTCTATCACTCACACTGGAGTACACTGGTACAATCACAGCTCACTACAGCCTTGACCTCCTGGGCTGAGGTGATCCTCCTGCCTCAGCCTCCCAAGTAGTTGGGACTACAGGCATGAGCCACCATGCCTAGCTAATTTTTTTTTTATTCTTTGTAGAGATGGGGTCTCACTAAGTTACTTAAGCAATCCTCCTGTCTCGGACTCCAGGGTGCTGAGATTACAGGCGTGAGCCACCGTGCCCAGCTAATTTTTTAATTTTCAGTACAGATGGGGTCTCGCTACATTGCCCAAGTGATCCTCCTGCCTCAGCTCCCCCTAAGTGCTGGGATTATAAGTGTGAGCCACTGCACCCAGCACTCATCCTATCTTAATGCTCACAATAACTCTAGGCAAGTAGGTATCACTAGCCTGTGTCACAGATGAAGAAACTGAGATGCAGCTGGCTGACTCAAGGATAAATAAGAGCCATTCATTCATTCATTCATTTAGTAGAGATGGTGTCTCGCTATGTGGCCCAGGCTGGTCTCATACTCCTGGCCTCAAGTAATCCTCCCGCCTCAGCCTCTCACAGCGCTGGGATTACAGCGTGAGCAACCATGCCCAGCCTAAGAGTCATATTTTATTTCAACAGAAGAAAAGTCCACAAGACAGACAGCCACACAGGCCCCTCAACTAATTCCCCAGGTCCAGCCAGAACTGTCTTGGCTGCAGGTGCCCTGGGTTCTGCTTGAAAAAGGCCTGTGAGCTCTCCGCCAGTCCTCCTAGGGAGAAGAGACTAACATAAAAATGGTCGCATATAATCCCTGCCTGGGCCCCAGGGGTGCCTCTGCAATAACTCAGCTATTTGAATCATTAAATTCACTTATTACTGGAGCCCAGATAATCCTTTTATGAGTCTCCACCACAATGAGATAATGCAATTTTGCTGGGACAGAGTCACAAGAACACAAAACTCTTTCTAGTTCCTGACATAGTTGGTTCTATGTGGCACATTGCAAAAGTAAAGATGCTCTGGATGAAAGCCATGTGAGAAACAGGATGCAATATGGTCAGACTCAAGCTGGGAAAAGGCGCTCCTTCTGCTTCAGAAAAGATGCTGGAGGAACACCAATACTTCCACCCCGCAAGATGAGGCAACAAGGACAGGCTTCCATGGACGAACTAAAAACAGAGCTGGGAGGTAAGGACCAGAGACAGAAGAAAACAGCAGTGGTCGGGCGTGGTGGCTCACACCTATAATCTGAACACTTTGGGAGGCCAAGGCAGTGGATCACCTGAAGTCAGGAGTTCAAGACCACCCTGGCCAAAATGGTGAAACCCCGTCTCTGCTAAAAATACAAAAATTAGCTGGGCGTGGTGATGGGCACCTGTAGTCCCAGCTACTTGGAGGCTGAGGCAGAAGAATTGCTTGAACCTAAGAAGTGGAGGTTGCAGCGAGCCGAGATGGCGCCACTGCACTCCAGCCTGAGTGACAGGCTGAGATCCCGTCACAAAAAAAAAAAAAAGAAAGAAAATGAAAAAAACGGCAGGGAAGGGGATGAACTAGAGGATGGGAAAGTAGTAAGACTCCAAGCAGAGGCCAGAAAGGGGCAGAACAGCAAGAGACAGGAAGGTCACTGAGTGCCACATCAAAACATGCAGGTCACATGCAAGAACTGTGTAAACACACCACGCCCTTAACAAGCACTGCTGTGCGGACAGGGCCTGCTGTTATCCAGCCCCAAGTCATCTGCTTTATCTTGGACCTCAGTCTTCTTGGTCACTAAAGACTGAATCCTCTGTCCAGGAGTAGGGATTCAAAGAGCTCTGTCCTTTCATCCGTGCTGTCACATGAAAAAAAAAGAAGAAAAAGGACCTCTGTCCGACACTGTTCTCAACCTTTCTGTCCTAGTGTTAAAAATACGTAACATGCAGGGTGCAGTGGCTTGGGAGGCCGAGGCGGGCGGATCACCTGAGGTCAGGAGTTTGAGACCAGCCTGGCCAACATGGCAAAACCCTGTCTCTACTAAAAATACAAAAATTAGCCGGGCATGGTGGCAAACCCCTGTAATCCCAGGTACTCAGGAAGCTGAAGCATAAGAATCACTTCAACCCAGGAGGCGGAGGTTGCAGTGAGCCAAGATCATGACACTGCACTCCAGCCTGGGCAACAGAGGGGGACTCTGTCTCAATAAAAAATAAAAAATGTAAATTAAAATTTAAAAAAGGGCCAGGCACAGTGGCTAGCACCTGTAATCCCAGCACTTTGGAAGGCCGAGGCGGGCTGATCACTTGAGATGGAGTTCAAGACCAGCCTGGCCAACATGGTGAAACCCTGTCTCTACTAAAAATACAAAAATTAGCCAGGCATGGGCACCTATAATCCCAGCCACTAGGGAGGCTGAGGCAGAAGAATCACTTGAACCTGGGAAGTGGAGGTTGCAGTGAGCCAAGATCACACCATTGCACTCCAGTCTGTGTAACGGAGTGAGACTCCATTTCAAAAAATGACAAAAAAAAATCTGTAATATGCCAGGTGCAGTGGCTCACACCTGTAATCTCAGCACTTTGGGAGGCTGAGGCTGACAGATGATTGAGCCCAGGAGTTCAAGACCAGCCTGAGCAACAAAGTGAGACCCTGTCTCTACAGGAAAATCAAAAAATTATCTATGGGTATGGTGGCACACACCCAGCCAGGGGAGGCTGAGGCCAGAGGATCACTTGAGCCCAAGAGGTCAAGGCTGCAATGAGTTATGACTGCACCACTGCACTCTAGCCTAGGCGACAGAGGAAGACCCTGTCTCCAAAAAAAAAAAGTAATAATCTCATATGATCTGGTGCTTAATGCCAGAGTTGAATTCTTACATAAGGGTAAATGCTTAAAAAAACAGTTTTATACCCTGTCAAGTTTACCTGCAAGAATTAGTTTGCTGGCTGGGCACAGTGGCTCACACCTGTAATCCCAGCATTTTGGGAGGCCAAAGCGGGTGGATCACTGGAGGTCAGGAGTTTCAGACCAGCCTGGCCAACATGGTAAAACCCCGTCTCTACTAAAAATACAATTAGCTGGTTGTGGTGGCCCACACCTATAATCCCAGCTACTTGGGAGGCTGAGGCACGAGAATCTCTTGAACCTGGGAGGTGGAGGTTGCAGTGAGCCGAGATCGGGCCACTGCACTCCAGCCTGGGCAACAGAGTGAGACCTATCTCAAAAACAAAACAAACAAAAGAATTAGTTTGCTATTTTAAAATAACATGCAAAGAAAATGGACTTTTTCTTGTAAAACTGGAAAGATAAGTGAATCTTCTTATAAAACTTCTTTTAAAAAATTCCATCCCTGCCTGGGCTCAAATGATGGGAAAATGTACAGAAAATCCAGTTGAGTTAGCTGGAGATACCAAATACCTCTAAATGTGAGTTATCTGCAGTTATTCTATGAACAGGAGAGCCATGTGAGGCCTCAAACTAGTATTTCAGGGAGCAGCGTGCACACTCGTGGTTTTGTGGTCTTCAACCGTCCTGCTAGCCCAGATAAGTCTGGGTGGTCAAGAACCGTCTGGTGACAGCGTGCAGCCCAGCTCAGCAGAATTCAGCATGGGGGAATTCAGCCTCCTTAGAGATGCACTCCCTGCTGAAATCTCACTGCGATGGCCGTTCCCGCCCTTCCGGGGCTCTGACCAAACACTCTGACCAGGAACGCTTCCCAACAGATAAGCAGTATTCTCCATTTGGTCTAATTTATGATTCAGAAGGAAAAGGCGAAAAACGAAAACTTTCTATTCATCTATTTTTCACACCAATGGAAGCAATGTGGTGATGTATGTATGCTGTTACAGTCACTTGTGTCCTCCTGACCTATAACATTTAGAGATCCTGTCCATATTCTTCTCAAAGCTTCTCATTAAAGCACCCAGCCCTGCGCCTGGTTCCCTGCAGAGATGGAGTAACTGCTCACCCACTTGAACAAAACGATAGTGGGGCATTAAGAGGAAGCCCCAGCTCCCAGGGAGAGGTCATCTCTCACAAGAGCTGGAACTCCACTGTCCATATCCAGGGTAGGTGAGGGGCTAACCCCAGGTCATAGCCAAGCAAGCACAAAGGCAAAAAGCCCAAAACAATCAGGATGCTCAGTGCCAGCCCAACACAGTGATAGCTGGAATGGGCAGGGCTAGAGAGAAGCCAGGACTGGAACCAGGGCGGGACCATGCAGGGAGCGGGAAAGTTTGGAGGAGCACAACAGCCCCTCCGAATGCCACCGCATCACCCTGTTCCCGGACCACAGGGAGAAGAACCACCATGCACCCTCCACCAGTATCTTGGGCAGATGGGCAGGAGCTCTAGGGCCGCTTCTCAGTGTTCCTCAGATGGAGAATCAACCTCAGGACAAATCAAGTCTGGATCCTTCTGGGCTGAATCCTTTCTAGGATTGGTACCTATCATGACATGGTCACATTCCTCCACTCCTCTATGAGAGGATGGAGTCATTGGACACCAACCTAATGCTGGCAAATGACAGACAGGAAGAGCCCCAGCAGGGCAGATGCCACAGAAACCTTAACTGGGACACAGAAACATCACTAACAAAGACCCAGCAGCTGTCTTGGTGAGGGAGACACAGTCTAACAGTCACAAAGAGGCACAACGGAGACCCTAACCCCCGGCCCTCTGCAGACACCTCTGCCTGCCCTCCCAGGGAAGCTGCCGGCCAAGATTATTTCAGGTCACCAGGCAAGACTGGGTGTAACTTGGGAATGTAAGTCTATCCAATGTCAGATCCCCAGGTGCATTCCTGTCCCTATGGCTGGTCAGAAGAAGTCTCTGCTCCTGCTCCCATCCTGCATCCCCTCCTTCCAAGGCCTACGGGCTGTGCCTCCTGGATCTGCCCCCTGGATTTCACTCACGCCTGTCCACCAGCAACACAACAAAGCGATCTTTCCAGCGCCGAGCTCTGCAGGATTCCTCAAAGGATTCCCCTGCACTCCCCACCAGGTGAGCCCTCAACTTCTCTGCTAGGTGCTCAGGACCTGGCACATCTGGCCTCTGGCCACCTTTGCAGCTTCCTCACCCTCTGCTGTCTCCAAAGCTTCCCCCGAAGGGAAAGAGTATTTTCCCTCTTTCCACCCATTTTGTCCTGAAAACTACTATCCCCCTGGGAACGACCCTATGTAGCGTGTGGGTGGCTGAGAACCCCCCTTCCACACAATGGTCAAGGCCAGGAGTACCCAAGCCCTGGCAGCAAACACCCAGCCTACTGCTCACCCAGTTAAAGGACGGACCCCTGGGTGACAGCAGGCCCCGGGGCTCAGTACACCGGACCCTTAGGCCACCTCAACACCAGTCCTCATGCCAGGCTGATCTCGAAACGTAACAGCTACTGCTCAGCAAAACGTGGTGGCTAGTGCCTGTAATCCCAACACCTTGGGAGGCCAAGACGAGAGCATGGCTTGAGTCCAGGAGTTCAAGACCAGCCTAGGCAACCTGCTAGA
The DNA here is from genome assembly GCF_000001405.40 of Homo sapiens. Taxonomy (NCBI): domain Eukaryota; kingdom Metazoa; phylum Chordata; class Mammalia; order Primates; family Hominidae; genus Homo; species Homo sapiens. Next base: position 32,673,971 of record NC_000019.10, read on the forward strand.
CTCCATCTCTACAAAAAAAAAAAAAAAAAATTAAAAATTAGCCGTGCATAGTGGCATGCGCCTGTAGTCCCAGCTACTACAGAGGCTGAGGTGAAAGGATTGCTTGAGTCCAGGAGTTTGAGGCTGCAATGAGCTATGATGGCATCACTGCACTCCAGACTAGCCAACAGAGCCAGACCCTGTCTCAAAAAGAAAAAAACGAAAAGAAAGAAAAGAAAAAAAATATCCACTGCTCTACTCTTCGGCCAGTGGGAAGAGTGCATTTTTTAATCAAAATAGGGGCCTCTATCCATGAAACCCATCAACTTGTAAAATCTGAGCTCTCTGCAGCCTCACAGTCCCTCCAGCACTGCCAGCAGCCCTCGTTCCCTGCATGCTCTAAATCCTCAGCGAAGACCCGTCCCTTGCTCCCTCGCCCAGCACAGGCCGCGAGTGCCCACGTCCCCTGCACCTCGTGGGGCAGCCAAGGGGGCACCGCGTGGCTCGTGTGCTCCTGGGCAGTCCATTTTCAACCACAAGACGGAACAGACTCAGAATCCGGAACATCTCTCGGTGCTTAAGAGTTTTCCTTTAACAATCTTTACCTGTGGGAATGCAGAGACCCCCCCGCCCTGCGAGAGGCCGGCAGCCAGGGATTCCCCGCTCCGCGCCCTCATCACCCCCCGGAAACCACAACCGCTGCGCGCGCGGCTCGGACCCCCACCCGCCGCTCCCCTCCAGCAGACCCTAGGCCTCCGGGAAACCGCGCGGCGACCGCCCCGCGCCCCGCCAGATCCGAACCGCCGGACCCGGCACCCCGGCCACACCCGCCGGTGTCGACGCAGCGAGGCTCGGAGGGTGCATTCTCCGCGCCGACCGCTCCCCTCCTCCAGACCCGAGGGGCGGAGTGGGCAGGGCGCGCCGGCTGCGCACCGGGCACCCACCTGGGGACGCGGGGGCTGGGGCGGCGCGGGGCCACCTGGCGGACCCGGGAGCGGACTCCGGAGAGCAGGGAGCCCCTCCCCCCTCACTCTCCGGGCCCCGCCCGGCCGCCGCGCCCCGAGGCGCAGCCATCCCGCGGGAGGGGAGGCGCAGGAGGAGGCCAGCGCGAGGACACTTACTTAAAAGGCTACATCGCTTCATTCCCAGCCCATCCTGGGCGACGGCGGCACCTCCCTCGTCCGCTGCTGGGACCTCGATGCCCACCACCCTCGCGCGGCGATCTGGCCCTATAGCCCACCCCTTACTCCGCCGTGGGGCGGAGCCGCGCCACAGCTGACCCAATGAGAAACCGTCGTTTCCCAGAGTGACGTGTACGCAGAGCAATCATGGAGTCCAGCCCAGCCGGGGGCGGGGCTCAGGCGGCTCCCTACGCTTCCTACTCCAGCTGGCCCCGCCCCACGCCCGCAACTGCGCGTGCCCAGAACGTGAGGGGCGGGGCTGGGAGCCGGGCTGACACTAGAGGTGGGGTTAGCGCTTGGAAGCACCGACCAACGTGAGCGCAACGCGGCAGGGACACCTGACCCCGGCGGCGCCCAGCCCCTCGGATTGCCAGTCACTGCTCGCTTTGGGGCACGGAGGTGCCCAGTCCTGCGGGGCACCCGACGTCCTGTCGCCGACAGGGTCCGGGAGTCAGTATAGCTGGGTTCTAGTCCCATCACAGGCAAAAACTCCGCGGGAGCCTGGCCCGCTTTTTACCTGGGCCTCAGTTTCCCCATCCGTAAAATAGAACGGGTTGGATCTCCCGAGCGCTAACATTCCAGAACTCGGATGGGGCGAAGGGGAGGGAGGGATGGGCCACCCACACGTGACCTCCCCGCGTGGAGCCCCGCCTACCACTGATCCAGGGGGTGGCAGCTCCGGCCGGGACGAGCGGGGTGGGCGGGTCCTAGGAAACCCTACCCGGCCGCCCTTGGCAGCGCCTAAGGCGGAGCGCGCGGCTCTGCAGCCTGCTTGCCCCGGAGTTGGCACCCACGGAGGATGGGGACCGCACCCTCAGCTTCGCAGGGAGCCACCGTGGAGGCCAGGGCGGTGCAGAGACACGACGTGTGACTCGGAGTGCGCCTGGGGAGGATGGACGAGGGAGCGGGGGACCGCTAACGGGGCTCCCTCTGCGCGCCCCGTCCGCAGAGGCGCACGTCGAGGGTCCCGGGCGGGCTCCGTGGACGTTGGCGGTAGCGCCGAGCGAGTCACGGACCATGAAGAGCGTTCGTGCCGCGCGGCCCAAGGCCGGGATGGGGGTTAGCCACATCCTGCCGCGCTGAGGGGGAGGCTAACGGGCGCGGGCGGCCGGGCCCAGCCGGAGCCCACCGCGATGGCGAGGGAGGAGTGCAAGGCGCTGCTGGACGGGCTCAACAAGACGACTGCGTGCTACCACCACCTGGTGCTGACCGTCGGTGGCTCGGCGGACTCGCAGAACCTGCGGCAGGAGCTGCAAAAGACGCGCCAGAAGGCGCAGGAGCTGGCGGTGTCCACCTGCGCCCGGCTGACTGCTGTGCTGCGCGACCGGGGCCTGGCCGCCGACGAGCGCGCCGAGTTCGAGCGGCTCTGGGTGGCCTTCTCGGGCTGCCTGGACCTGCTGGAAGCGGACATGCGACGCGCGCTGGAGCTGGGCGCCGCGTTCCCGCTGCACGCGCCGCGGCGGCCGCTGGTGCGCACAGGTGTGGCTGGCGCCTCCTCCGGCGTGGCGGCGCGCGCGCTGAGCACCCGCAGCCTGCGGCTCGAGGCGGAGGGCGACTTCGACGTCGCGGACCTGCGGGAGCTGGAGCGCGAGGTCCTTCAGGTGGGCGAGATGATCGACAACATGGAGATGAAGGTCAACGTGCCCCGCTGGACCGTGCAAGCCCGGCAGGCGGCGGGCGCCGAGCTCCTGTCCACGGTCAGCGCCGGCCCCTCCTCGGTCGTGTCCTTGCAGGAGCGCGGGGGGGGTTGCGACCCCAGGAAGGCCCTGGCCGCCATCCTTTTCGGCGCCGTGCTGCTGGCGGCTGTGGCCCTAGCCGTGTGCGTGGCGAAGCTGAGCTGACGGACACCCGACGGCCGCCTGCTGCTGCCGCTCCCTCCCCTGAGAAAAGACTCGGGATGGGTGTGGGGTCTGGCCTGTGCAAGGGGAGTGGTCCTAAAACCCCGTGTGTGCATGGGTACACGCGCGTTTCCAGTGCACATCTGCCTGGGCAGGACACGGTTTCCTCTTGCTGGCCCGGGAGGAGTTAACTTTGCGCCGGCCGTCAGGGCATTACCGCTAACGTCTGCAGGAGCTTTATTCCCTATTAATAGAAAACCGTCACAGTGACCCTAGATCCCTCCGAGTTAATGAGTTAACACATGTGCTGTTGGGGCGTCTTTACAGGGAGTCCGAGTTCGGTGCCCACCCCTGCCAGCGTCGCCCCCTTTCTGCGTGGGACAGTTTGAAAAGGTGGGTGGGGTGGAGTGAAGTTTGGAGAGGGACGCTGTTTGGTTCTATGTGGTTGGTCTGTTTCCCGGACAAGAAAAATTGCAATCAAATGTCAGCAGCTTTTATTACCTTAATCTTTCAGGGCCTAAATTTAGGAGAGTGTCCCGAGAGCAGTTCATACAAAGGGCTTTCTCTAAGACGCGCTACAGCCCTTCCTAGCAGAGTTTATCCATTCGTCCCCAAGAGCAGCTAGAAGAGATTTGAGGTCATGACCTCCCACTGCCGCTCAGGGGCTGACCCTATTTAGGAAACCAAAGAGGGTGGGTTGAACCTACTCTCACGGACTTGGATCCAGTGCGCACACTTGCCTGCGGAAAAGGGCTCTCCCCAGCCACCCGGAGATGGGGGTAAGAGGAAGAGCAGAGGCTTGGGGTAGGGCCACCTGGTGTTTAAACAGGCACTTTCTCCTTCTCTGGGGCTTATTTTTGTTCAGAACTAGACCAGAGTGTTTGAACCTCCTTTGCAGGAGGGCTGGGAATCCTCTTTAGAGCACTTAATCCTATTTATCCCCTGGAATGTGCGTGCTGGCCAGTAGGAGGGCTGGCTTTGGCAGCTCCCTGACCCCCGCGCTGCCCGCCCCTCCGGGGTAATGTGGCATTACTGGCCCACAGAGGTTTTGAGCCAATCAGCTCTGAGACTGGGTTAGAATGTAACAGCTTTAACTTGGGATTTAAGAAGCTTTTAAAAGGTAATAATACTCTGAAAGAAAAATGACGTAACCACAGCGTGTACTATGAAAGCTGTTATTTTAATAAAGAACGCTGGGCCATGAACTCATACCTGCCAATGAGTCAAACATAGTATCTTTATGTAGATACTTAGATTACTAAATATATATTTCATCTACTTCTGAAGTTGATAGTCTTCCCCCCCCCCCACTTTTTTCTTTTTTGAGACAGGGTCTCCCTCTGTCACCCAGGCTGGAGTGCAATGGTGTGATTGTGGCTCACTGCAGCCTCCAAATCTCGGGCTCAAACTATCCTCCTACTTCAGCCTCCTGAGTAGCTGGAACTACAGGTGTGTGCCACCGCACCTGGCTAATGTTTTTAAGGCAGTTAATTTATTTATTTATTTTTATTTTTCTTTAGAGATAGGATCTTGTGGTGTCGCCCAGGCTGGAGTGCAGGGGCGCAATCAGCAAACCACAGCCTTGAACTCCTGGGCTCAAGCTCTCCTCCCACCTCACCCTCCCAAGTAGCTGGGACTAAAGGTGTGCATCACGGCACTCAACTAATTTTTTGTAGAGACAGAGTTGGGCTATGTTGCCCAGGCTGGTCTCAAACTCCTGGCCTCAAGTGGTCCTCCCACCTAGGCCTCCCAAAGTACTGGGACTACAGGCATAAGCTACTATGCTCAGTCTAAAATCAATATTCTTTATTTTTTTCTATAATTTCACTGCAAAATAAAATCTATATTCTTGAGTAGCCACACAAGTGTAAATGACAGAATGTTAAGTGGCCTTTAATTCTTTTGATCAACAAGTAAGAAAATGCTTGGTCCTTGGTCCCAGGATGACATCTGCCTGAGCAGTGCTGCCAAATCCTGCCTGTGGTCCAGAGAGAGCTCTGTCCCATTCTTGGGTAAGTTAGGCTGTAAAAACAGATGCATTTAACTTTCTTTTCTTTTTCTTTTTTTTTTTTTTTTTTGAGATGGAATTTTACTCTTGTTGCCCGGACTGGAGTGCAGTGGCGTGATCTGGGCTCACTGCAACCTCTGCCTCCTGGGTTCAAGCAGTTCTCCTGCCTCAGCCTCCCGAGTAGCTGGGATTACAGGCGATTGCCACCATGCCCGGCTAATTTTTGTATTTTTGGTAGAGATGGGGTTTCACTATGTTGGCCAGGCTGGTCTTGAACTCCTGAACTCAGGTGATCTGCCCACGTCAGCCTCCCAAAGTGCTGGGATTACAGGCGTGAGCCACCTCGCCAGGCCACATTTAACTTTCTAAAGGTAATTTGCAATAAATTCCAGAGACTTTGGCTGAAAACTGACAAGGATTTTTTTTTTAATTCTTTTTTACCCCAGAAGTGAGAACAGGGGTGACCAGGGGAAAGGAATTGGCCATTTTTCACATGGGCCGCTTGGAGGACCAAGGGGCAGAGGTGGATAGCAGAAGGGATGCTGTCAGGACACCCAGACTTAAGATTCACTCTCCCCCCAACCCCCCACTATTCCTCAGGAGGACCAAGAGATTCCAGCAGCTCAGATAGGGCAAATGTAGGATCTGTGTTTGTGTCTGTGATCATGCTTTTAAAAGACCCACAAGGTCTTAAGCTGATTAAATGTTTTGCAATTACTTTTTTTTTTTTTTTTTTTTTTTAAGATACTGGGTCTCTATGTTACCGGGGCTAGAGTACAGTGTCACAATCATAGCTCACTGAAGCCTCAAACTCTTGCGCTTGAGAGATCCTCCTGTCTCAGCCTCCTGTCTGGGACTACAGGCGTGCACCATCACACCCTGCAAATTTTTAAAATATTTTTATTTTTTAGTTCTTGTACAAATGGAGCCTTCACTATGTTGCCCAGGCTGGTCTCAAACACCTGGGCTCAAGCAGTCCTCCCACTTCAGCCTCCCAAAACCCTGAGATTTATAGGCGTGAACCACCATGCTTAGCTGACAATTACTAATAACAAGAACCTCTTGCTTCACCCAGTGTGGGTGAATCTGAATAGGGGCCACTTCAAATTCTTTTGCACCTGGTTGCCCAGAGTGCCTTTGAAAATGACATAGAACGTTTTTAAGCCACTCCTCCCACATATGGACTCTCTCGTTACCTTCCCCAGAGTCTCATCTCTGGCAAGAGAAGGCTGGGACATTTCATTACCCTGTGTTGGAAAATATACCTAGGCCAGCACAGTGGCTCAAGCCTGTAATCCCAGCACTTTGGGAAGCTGAGGCAGGTGGATCACCTGAGGCCAGGAGTTCGAGACCAGCCTGGCCAACATAGCGAAACCCGATCTCTACTAAAAAATATAAAAATTAGCCGGGCATGGTGGCACATGCCTATAGTCCCAGCTACTCAGGAGGTTAAGGCAAGAGAGTCGCTTGAATGCAGGAGGTGGAGGTTGCAATGAGCAAGATTGTGCCACTGCACTCCAGCCTGGGCAACAGAGCAAGACTCTGTCTCAAAAAAAAAAAAGAAAGAAAAGAAAATGTATCTAAAAATGAAGTCCTAAAGGTATTCTACTGTTTCTAAGACTGGGAACCTTTGTTCTTATCAAGGTGTTTCGGGTTATGAATTTTTTTTTTTAAAATGGTTTAGCAGAACCTATTGTTGAAACAACCCATCAGATGTGTGTTTCACTGAGGGCAGTGGGAAAAACAAGGTTTTTCTTTTTGAGACAGGGTCTCAATCTGTCACCCAGGCTGGAGTGCAGTGGTGCAATTGTAGCTCATTGCAACTTCAAACTCCTGGGCCCAAGCGATCCTCCTTCCTCAGCCTCCTGAATTGCTGGGACTACAAGCTTGCACCACCATGCCCGGCAGGATAAACAAGTTTTTGTTGTTGTCACTCTTTCTACCCACTTGGCTGATCTTTGGGTATTTAGTTATATGTGGATCAGATGTGTACTTGATTCTGAAGGTCTTCTGCTCGCTGAAATTAGTGATAAAATATTGCAAAAAAAAAAAAAGCTGAATTACAATAAATATACTCACCCTGTTGGACCTATTAACATAAACAGCTCTTTGAGTTTGAAAATTTTAAGTATTAGGGGTATTTGGTATTATTTGGAGTTATGACATTGCCTAATAGAACTTCTGCTATACGACAAGCAAAATCACTTTCTGCCTTGTGCAATAGGCTGCTCTCTAACTAGTATCTCTGCTCTCATTTTTATATGTAATGCAAGAGATTGCTTTCTAATAGAAGCCTGATTAAATTGAGATGTTTGATGCATAAGTCATTAATTTTCTGTGAACATTTAGTATGACCTTAAACTATGATACAAGTGTAGGAAAAAAAAACAAAAAATTCAAACTGTGTTAGCTGACACTGAAAAGACAAAAACTTGGAATGTCAAGGCTTTTATCATGGAAACTTTGATTTCAGAAGAATGTGATCTGGGCTTTTGTTATTAGTAAAAATAATATTTGTAGGAGAAAAAAATGCCTGGCAAATTATTTTTATGTATTCTAAGAACATATGCTTTTTTTCTTTTCTTTTCTTTTTTTTTTTTTTTTTTTTTTTTTTTTTTGAGACAAGGTCTGGCTCTGTCACCCACGCTGGAGTGCAGTGGCACAACTTTGGATCACTGCAGCCTCCACTTCCTGGGCTTAAGTGATCCTCCTGCCTCAGCCTCCCAAGTAGCTGGGATTACAGGCGCCCAGCTAATTTTTTTTTTTTTTTTTGTAGAGATGGGGTTTCACCATGTTGCCCAGGCTTGTCTTGAACATCTGAGCTCAAGCAATCCACTAGCCTCGGCCTCCCAAAGTGCTGGGATAACCAGCATGAGCCACCACGCCTAGCTGCTTTTTTTTTTTTTTTTTTTTTTTTTTGAGACGGAGTCTCGCTCTGTCACCCAGGCTGGAGTACAGTGGCAAGATCATGACTCGGTGCAGCCTTGAATTCCTGGGCTCCAGTGATTCTTCCACTTTAGTCTCTCGAGTAGCTGGCACTACAGGTGCATGCCACCACACCCAGCTAATTTATTTTAAAAATTTTGTGTAGATATGGGGTTTCCCTATGTTGCCCAGGCTATCTTGAACTCCTGGGTTCAAGTGATCCTCCCAGCTCTGTCTCCCAAAGTTCTGGGATTACAGGCATGAGCTATTGTGCACAAGCTAAGAATATGTGCTTTTAAATCCCATAAGGAAAAAAATATTTTTGGTAAATAAAATTAAAGCATAAATATCATGATTTACCTGACGTTTACCGTAAGCAACATAAAAGATATGTGATACTGAATGACTAAAAAGTAGTTTTGGTTAAAGAGAGTTCTAGTTTCCATGAGGACTCTGACAATGCTGCATTTTATTTTGCTTTTTAATGTGCACATTGGTACATGTTTAACTACTCTACTCCTGTTCAAAATGTACTTCTCTGTTCTGCAATGAATGCTTTTTAAGGGTGCGAGCCCCAGGGCGTGAAATGAATGTGGTAGAACTGGCCTCTACATTTCTTTTGGGTGTGTCTCCTCCTGCAAGGCCTGGCCAGCTGCGATGGGCAGAGGACACTGCCTCGCTCTCCAAGTACCTCAATAAGTCATTGACCTACTTGTGCCTCATGTCTCTCATTTGCAAAATGAGGGTCCTACCTGATTAACTCAAAGATTCCCCTTCTAGAGCTTAAAACATTGAACAAAATGCAGTTAAACAAGAAAGGGCTATGTTTGTTGGTTTTGTTTTTGTCTTTTTTGGTGTAGTTGGTTGGTTTTGTGTATAATGGAATGGAATCATATCATTTGCTGGTTATTGTCTAATATTAGTTTCAAAAACTAATAAAAATACTTTAAACTTCAAATTAATTTTCAAAATCAGAAGTAACTAAGCATATCATGCTTTCAGTGCACATCAGAATTAGTGTATGGGCTTAAAAGCAAATGTGTGTAAATGCTACTTATTGGTAGTATTTAAATTAGATTAGGAATTTAAATTCAGGCTCTAAGTCGGAGTCTAAGAAAGCCCACTGATTATTAAAACAGTCTGTTTTACCCAGCAATCCAGGCCACCTGAACATCAGAGCCTGGGAAACAGTAGATAGGAAGCTCTGTCATTTGTCTTGGAGGCTGGGAGAATCCTATCCCATAAGTAACTTGGTAGCCTTAGAACTGCATGAGCTGCTTTACCACTGGGAAACACGAGCACAGCCTAGCTTGATTTTGTATGTGGTATCAGATCTAAGGTGGATGGAATTCAGGACTTCCTGTCTACTCTTTGATTTTGTTTTATTTTTAGAAATGTTTTATTTTGTTTTATTCATTTATTCATCTTCAGAGACATGGTCTGGCTCTGTTGCCCAGGATGGAGTGCATGGTGTGATCATAGGCCACTGCAGTGTTGAGCTCCCAGGCTCAAGCGATCCTCCTGCCTCAGCCTCCTTAGTAGCTGGGACTATAGGCACATGCCCTACCATGCCTGGCTTTGTCTACTTTTTGAATGATGTCTCAAACTAGAAGGTCTATTAATTTAAAAAATTAAGGATAGCATGCCATAATTAAAAATAATAACAGTGGGAAAAGGCACCTTCCAATGATTCAGACATCAACTTGTGATTTAAAAAAACGAAAAATAAATAATAGGAAAAAAAGGGGAAAAAGTTAAATAAAAATAAAATTAAAAAAAAAAAAAGAAACAGGGCCTTGCTATGTAGCCCAAGCTGGTCTCAAACTCCTGGCCTCACGTGATCCTCCACCAAAGTGCTGGGATTACAGGTAGGAGCCACTGTGCCCAGCCTCAACTTGTGATTTTTTTTTTTTGAGACAGAGTCTCACACTGTCACCCGGGCTGGAGTGCAGTGGTGAAATCATGGCTCACTGCAACCTCCACCTCCTGGGTTCAAGGATGAGCCACCACACCTGGCCTCTTCTTTTTTCCTTTGAGATGGAGTTTCATTCTTGTTTCCCAGGCTGGAGTGCAATGGCATGATCTCGGCTCACTGCAATCTCTGCCTCCTGAGTTCAAGCAATTCTCCTGCCTCAACTTCCCAAGTAGCTGGGATTACAGGCATCTGCCACCACACCCAGCTAATTTTTTGTGTTTTTAGTAGAGATGGAGTTTCACCATGTTGGCCAGGCTGGTCTCAAGCTCCTGAACTCAGGTGATCCACCCGCCTCAGCCTCCCAGAGTGTTGGGATTACAGGCATAAGCCACTGCACCTGGCCTTTTAAAAATATATATATTCTTAATTTTTGATATTTGAGTGGGAGTGAACATCCTGATCAATGTATTTACCCTTCACAGATTTCATTACATAAGAAGATGTTCAGGATTATAAATCTCCAAGTGCTTTTCTGCAATGTGATTTTTTTTTCTGAGACAGTCTCACTCCCGTTGCCCACACTGAAATGCGGTGGCACGATCACGCCTTACTACAGCCTCTACTTCCTGGGCTTAGGTGATCCTCCTACTTCAACCTCCTGAGTAGCTGGGACTACACATGTGGTGCCACCATGCCCGGCTAATTTTTATATTTCTAGTAGAGACAGGGTCTCACTATGTTGCCCAGGCTGTTCTCAAACTCCTGGGCTCAAGCAATCTGCCTGCCTGCTTCAGCCTCCCAAAGTGCTGGGATGACAGGTGTGAGCCACCCTGCCCAGCCCAGCCCACAATATGATTATACTCAGATTTTAATGCAGGATGCAATCCAAGAAGATAGGTCTCCATATGAAAGATCTTTGGCTATGGTCAACACAGATCAAAGTCATATTTCAAATATTGTTTTTTCTGGCTGTTAGGAACTGACTGAAGGTCATGTTGCAGTCTTCTCTCCATGAGGACAAGATGAATAATATCTGGAAAGATGTTTTTCTCACTTATTTTTCATCTAATTCCATAGAAGAGATTCTGGATGTTTTTATCGCAGTACCATGAGATCTTGGGCATACTTGTTCTTTGGTGTTTGAGAATTTTTTTTTTTTTTTTTTTTTTGAGACAGAGCCTTGCTCTGTCAACCCAGGCTGGAGTGCAGTGGTGCGATCTCAGCTCACTACAGCCTCCACCTCCCGGGTTCAACATTCCCATGCCTCAGCCTCCAGACTACCTGGGATTACAGGTGCATGCCACCATGCCCGGATAATTTTTGTATTTGCTAGAGATGGGGTTTCACCATGTTGGCCAGGCTGGTCTCAAACTCCTGATCTCAAGTGATCTGCCTGCTTTGGCCCCCCAAAGTGCTGGGAGTACAGATGTGAACCACCGCACTGGCTCGAGAATTTTAAAACTTTAAGGCTTATTAAGACCAATGTAAATAAGCCAAATAAGAGCTCCTGTTGTCAAAAGGATTTAAAGAGTACTTCTGGCCAGGTGCAGTGGCTCACGCCTGTAATTCCCAGCACTTTGGGAGGCTGAGGTGGGCAGATCACTTGAGGTCAGCAGTTCGAGACCAGCCTGGCCAACATGGTGAAACCCCATCTCTACTAAAAATACAAAAATTAGCCGGGCGTGGTGGCATGCATCTATAATCCCAGCTACTTGGGAGGCTGAGGCAGAAGAATCACTTGAAGCCAGGCAACAGAGGTTACAGTGAGCCGAGATCACACCACTGTGCTCCAGCCTGGACGACAGAGTGAGACTCTGTTTCAAAAATACATATATTTAGGCTGGGCGCGGTGGCTCACGCCTGTAATCCCAGCACTTTGGGAGGCCGAGGCGGGTGGATCATGAGGTCAGGAGATCGAGACCATCCTGGCTAACAAGGTGAAACCCCGTCTCTACTAAAAATACAAAAAATTAGCCGGGCGCGGTGGCGGGCGCCTGTAGTCCCAGCTACTCGGGAGGCTGAGGCAGGAGAATGGCGTGAACCCGGGAGGCGGAGCTTGCAGTGAGCCGAGATTGCGCCACTGCAGTCCGCAGTCCGGCCTGGGCGACAGAGCGAGACTCCGTCTCAAAAAAAAAAAAAAAATACATATATTTAAAGAGTACTTTTAATATGCTAGTACCAGAAAGCAAAGTTGAGTGTCCCCTGCTTGTATGTACGTATTAGGCATATGGAAAGATCTACAGGGAAGTAAAGAAATAAAAATATTATTAATATATATTAATATTAACAAAGTGGTAGGATTATGAATGGTGTTTTTCAGTATTTTTCCGGAATGAGATTATATTGTTCTTACGATAAAATTTTGAATAATTTTGTCATCTAGAAAATATTATTCTGTTGTTTAAATTGGAATCCCAGCTACCTGGGAGGCTGAGGCAGGAGAATCACTTGAACCTGGGAGGCACAGCTTGCAGTGAGTTGAGATCATGCCACTGCACTCCAGCCTGGGCGACAGAGCAAAACTCCATCTCAAAAACAAACAAAACAAAAGTAAATACAGGCCAGTTGTGGTGGCTCACGCCTATAATCCCAGCACTTTGGGAGGCTGAGGCAGGTGGATCACCTGAGGTCAGGAGTTTGAGATCAGCCTGGCCAACACAGTGAAACCCTGTCTCCACTAAAAATACAAAAATTAGCCTGGTGTGGTGGTGCACGCCTGTAGTCCCACCTACTAGGGAGGCTGAGGCACAAGAATCACTTGAACCAGGGAGGCAGAGGTTGCAGTGAGCTGAGATTGCACCACTGCACTCCAGCCTGAGCGACAGAGTGAGACTCTGTCTAAAAAAAAAAAAAGTAAACACAGTTAAATTCACTCTAAACATGTGCAATAATGTACCAATAATGTAAACACTACTACAGCCAAGAAGATATAGAACATTTCCATCACCCCTAAAAAGCTCCCCCATGTCACTTTGTAGTTCTCATCCAAAACACCATGGGATATCAGTTTGTAAAGGTCTCTCTCTTCAAAGAGGGAAAGGGCAGGTTGGGTTTTATGCATCCCAGGGTCTGTATTACACAAGAAAGTCATATTCAGCAGGTTTTGGGGGAAAGCTGTACATATTTATGAGGGGGTTGACCACATGTGCAATGGGTAAACATACAGGTAACATACATCACCCATGTTTATTTTGGAGCAAGTTTGTGTCAGGCGTTTGAACCAGAGCAACTCCATCTTGTATAGGGGCTGGACAAAATGAGGCTGAGACTGGTACAGGAGTTAAGAAGAATTTACTTAGGCAGATAGTGAAGGCATGGAAGTCCTCCGTAAAGTTTTCCTTTCTAACGAAGAGCAGCCTGTAAAATCCAGCTGCAGACATAGATCCGACAGTTGTGCCACTCCTGTTGAAGATGGCGGCTCCATCTTCCCTTCTCTTTGTCGGCCACATGTACTGTAAGAAGCAGACAAGATGACACCAATCAACTGGAAAGCCCATTTGCATGATAAGATTAGGGTGGGGTGACCAGCCTTCCCCAAGATCATGCCACTGCACTCCAGCCTGGGGTGACAGAATGAGTGAGACCCTGTCTCAAAAAAAAAAAAAAAAAAAAATGCCAGGCACAGTGGCTCAGGCCTGTAATCCCAGCACTTTGGGAGGCCAAGGCGGGTGGATCACATGAGGTCAGGAGTTCAAGACCAGCCTGGCCAAGATGGTGCAACCCTGTCTCTACTAGAAATATAAAAATTAGCCAGATGCGGTGGCAGGCACCTGTAATCCCAGCTACTTGGGAGGCTGAGGCAGGAGAATGGCTTGAACCCAGGAGGCGGAGGTTGCAGTGAGCCGAGATCATGCCACTGCACTCTAGCCTGGGCAACAGGAGCAAGACTCCTCATAAAAATAAAGGCTCATGTTGCTGCGTTAGCTCATGTCTGTAATTCCAGCACTTTGCAAGGCCGAGGCAAGTGGATTGGTTGAGCCCAGGAGTTCAACACCAGCCTGGGCAACAAAGCAAAACCTTATCTCTACAAAACATACAAAAATTAGCCCGTTGTGGTGCTGTAGTCCCAGCTACTCAGGAGGCTGAGGTGGGAGGACCACTTGAGCCTGGGGGTGTCCAGGCTCTGGTCAGCTGTGATAGCATCACTGCACCTGGGCCGCAGAGTGAGACCCTGTCTCAAAAAAAAAAAAAATGAATAACCACCTAAAAATAATTTCTCAGAATGATTTTTAAAAAGGTTTTTTTTCTTTTTTCTTTTCTTTTCTTTTTTTTTTTTTTTGAGATGGAGTCTAAGTCTGTCGCCCAGGATGGAGTGCAGTGGTATGATCTTGGCTCACTGCAACCTCTGCCACCTGGGTTCAAGCAATTCTTCTGCGCCACCATACCCAGCTAATTTTTGTATTTTTAGTAGAGACGGGGTTTCACCCTGTTGACCAGGCTGGGCTCAACTCCTGACCTCAGGTGATCCACACATCTTGGCCTCCCAAAGTATTGGGATTGCCAGGTATGAGCCACTGTGCCCAGCCTGAAGTGTAACTTTTGAGGCTAAGTCATAAAAGGCATCATGGCTTCTTCCTCTCTCATGGATCATTCTTTCTGGGAGAAGTTTACCCACCAAGTCCTGAAGACATTGAAGCAACCCTATGGAAAGATCCATGCGGTAAGGAACTAGGCCCCCTGCCAACAGCCATGTGAGTGAGCCATTGAGGAAGTGGATCTCCCAGTGCTGGACAAGCCCTGGCTGACATGCTGATCACAGCCTCATGGGAGATACTGAGTTAGGATCACCACATGGAGGTGGTCCCTAATCCCTGATCAACAGAAAAGGTGGGATAATCAATGTCCATTGTTTTTTGTTTGTTTTTCTTGTTTTTTTTGTTTTGTTTTGCTTTTGATTTTGAAACAGAGTCTTGCTCTCTCACCTAGGCTGCAGTGCAGTAGCACTATCTCAGCTCACTGCAACCTCTGCCTCCCGGGTTCAAGCGATTCTCCTGCCTCAGCCTCCCGAGTAGCTGGGATTACAGGTGCCCACGACCACACCCAGCTAATTTTTATTTTTATTTTTTGTATTTTTAGTAGAGACGGGGTCTCACCATGTTGGCCAGGCTGGCCTCAAACTTGTGACCTCAGGTGATCCACCCACCTCGGCCTCCCAAAGTGCTGGGATTACAGGTGTGAGCCACTGTGCCCCATCTTTTTTTTTCTTTTGAGGCAGAGTCTTGCTCTGTCACCCAGGTCGGAGTGCAGTGGCGTGATCATGGCTCACTGCAGCCTCCAACTCCTGGGCCCAAGCGATCCTCCCATCTCAGCCTCTTGAGTAGCTGGGACTACAGGCATGTGATACCACACCCAGCTAATTTTCTTTTTCTTTTTTTTTTTTTTGAGACGGAGTCTCACTCTGTCACCCAGGCTGGAGTGCAGTGGCGCAATCTCAGCTCACTGCAAGCTCTGCCTCCCGGGTTCTTGCCATTCTCCTGCCTCAGCCTCCTGAGTAGCTGGGACTACAGGCGCCTGCCACCACACCCGGCTAATTTTTTGTATTTTTAGTAGAGATGGGGTTTCACCGTGTTAGCCAGGATGGTCTCGATCTCCTGACCTGTGATCCGCCCACCTTGGCCTCCCAAAGTGCTGTGATTATAGGCGTGAGCCACTGCACCTCCCCACTAATTTTCTTTTAAGAGGAGGGGTCTCACTGTGTTTCCCAGGCTGGTCTTGAATTCCTGGCCTCAAGTTATCCTCCCGCCTCGCCCTCCCTAAGTGTTAGGGTTACAGACATTACCCACCATGCCTGGACAATAAGTGTTTATTGATTTAATCCACCAAGTTTTTGACTAATTTGTTAACAGCATTAGGTAAATAACATATCCACAAATTATCCTGTGAGCAGAGCACTTTAGATATGAATATGATATCTGTATCTCTTTGAATGCTCATGGATAGTTCTTTGCTTCTGTATCATTTCTTGGCTACAGTTCAGATAACTGAGTTTATATGACATGATCTCTGAATCCATAAACTGTAATTGTGTCATCTCAGTGCCCCAAATATGACAGTCATGGCAGTGTGCACATTTTGGACACTGTTCTGTGTTGGTTAAGGTCCAGTTTCTGCCAGGTGTGGTGGCTCACACCTGTAATCCCAGCACTTTGGGAGGCTGAGGTAGGCAGATCACTTGAGGTCAGGCGTTAGAGACCAGCCTCACCAACATGATGAAACCTTGTCTCTGCTAAAAATACAAAAATTAGTCAGGCGTAGTAGCATGCGCCTGCAATCCCAGCTACTCCAGAGGCTGAGGCAGGAGAATTGCTTGAACCCGAGAGGCAGATATTGCAGTAAGCCGAGATCGCACCACTGCACTCCAGCCTGGTGAGAGCGCCAGACTCCCTCTCAAAAAAAAAAAAGGTTCAGTTTCTGTTGTTTTGCTATGCACCCAGGACCAGGACTTGGTCATCTCACTCATGAGTAACCAGCTTCTGTGAAAACCAGCTGATGTTGAAACACACACATTCACCTACAAAACCACGGTGTTATTTTACAGCAAAGGGAGTAGTATGTTCTTAAGACCCTTAATCCCTCCATAAATGGTTAGTCATCTGTAAAATAGTGGTAACTGTTTCCACTTCATGGGGTTTTGTAAGAATTACACAACTAATACTAATAAAGTTCCTAGTGCCTCACACACTGTACCCAGTAACTACTAATATTATTATCCCCTAGGATTATTATTACTCCTAGTATTGAAGACATGTTACTTTAATCACCTGAGTGCCTTTCTCTCCATTGCTCTGTATTTTTATTTTATTTATTTATTTATTTTTTTGAGACAGAGTCTCGCTCTGTCACCCATGCCGGAATGCAGTGGCAGGATCTTGGCTCACAGCAACCTCCACCCAGATTCAAGTGATTCTCCTGCCTCAGCCTCCTGAGTAGCTGCAACTATAGGCGCGGGCCGCCACACCCAGCTAATTTTTGTATTTTTAGTAGAGGCGGGGTTTTGCCATGTTGGCCATGCTGGTCTTGAAGTCCTGGCCTCAGGTGATCCGACCACCTCGGCCTCCCAAAGTGCTGGGATTACAGGTGTAAGCCACAGCGCCTGGCCAGAGACCAGGTCTCTTCAAACAAAAAAACAAACAAAACCCCTAAATATTGACAATGTCATCTGTGGATTCTACCCAGGAAATAACCCACATTAAAATGATGGTTTGTGAGGGTCGGCAGGGGTATAGTGTATTTCATCCAAAAACATAACAAATGTGTGATCCAATTATAATAGCAATTATGGGAAAAGCTGTCGGTGACTGATAAGGAGTTATAAAAGAAAAGACTCAAATTTACACAGGCTTTTCAAAAGATCATAATCCTGCTATTGGAGGTGGAAGTCTTCTAGACACTAACAAGGTGGAGAGAAATCTCCATGTGGAGGCCCAGATTAAACATCTCCCATCAAAGTGGAACTCGTCAAATGTCCTAAGACACCTAAGGCCGTCCCCAGGCGCCCTGACAATAAAAGGTAACCAGAACACGAGAGAAATTACTCTGGGAGTACCTTTCACATTCAAGGTGTGCAGTAGGAAATTTATAAATTGGCATCTGGCTCGTCCATTCATTTCTCATTGGTGTGGTTCACGTGTGCTTGCAAAGGTCAGACTTCTGCCCTTCGAATGTCCTCTCTCCCTCTCCCACAGAAAACACCCACATGTGGGTCCTTGTTTAAAGCAGAAAGTCCTAGTCCTTAGCTTTTAGTGAGGTGGATGTCATCAGGCCTGGGTTGGCATCCTGTTTTTTACCATGGCAAGTCATATGCGCCCTTAAGCATTCCTGCTTTTGGTCCAAGCTTCCTGCGTGGGAATACTGCGGTCCTCCTTTCAGGCAGCTGTGAATGACAAACGGTCGCTGGCTGCCGTGACACCCATTGTCCCGCGAGAGTGCCCTAGCTGGGCCCCAGTGCACTCGAGGCGGTCCCTGCTCGGGTGCCCCTCCCACAGGCAGGCGCCGTTGCCGACCAAACGCCCAGGTTCACCCAACGCCAGAGGCTCGTCCTCAATTCCCGCGAGGCCCCCGGAGGTGCTGGGGTCCCTGCAGGGCCGGGCCACCTGCCGTGGAGCTCAGGCCGCGCCAGAATCGGATCCGGGAAGCTGCGCGCCATGAGCAGCTCCCTGCGGCCGGGCCCCAGCCGCTGGCGGCGGGCGGCCAGCATCGTCCTGGCGGCTGGCTGGTCGCGCCCGGAGACCGCCACCCCGCCGTCGCGCCCGCCGCCGGCCGAGGGCTTCCGGCTGCTGCTGCTGCAGCGCTCCCCGCACCAAGGCTTCATGCCGGGCGCGCACGTCTTCTCCGGCGGAGTGCTGGATGCGGCCGACCGCTCGGCGGACTGGCTGGGCCTCTTCGCGCCGCACCACGGGCCGCCGCGCTTCGGCCTGGGCCCGGCGCCATTCAGCCGCACCGCTTTCCCGTCGCTGCCCGACACCGATGACCACAAGACCGACAACACTGGGACGCTGCCTGAGGACGTAGCCTTCCGCATCTGCGCCGTGCGGGAGGCCTTTGAGGAGGCGGGCGTGCTGCTGCTGCGGCCCAGGACTTCCCCACCAGGCCCAGCACCCGGGCCTGGCCTCGCCCTGGAGCCACCGCCGGGCCTGGCCTCCTGGCGCGACCGCGTGCGCCAGGACCCGCGCCACTTCCTGCGGCTGTGCGCCCACCTCGACTGCACACCCGACATCTGGGCGCTGCACAACTGGAGCGCCTGGCTCACCCCTTTCTTGCGGGGCACCACTCGCCGCTTTGACACGGCCTTCTTCCTGTGCTGCCTGCGCGAGCCGCCGCCCGTCTACCCCGACTTGGCGGAGGTGGTGGGCTACCAGGTAAGGCCTGCTCAGGGCCTTGCTGCGGACCGCCAGGACGTGAGAGGGAGGACCCCTCCCAGCGGCCCAGGCCCCCAAGGGACCCCCGCATAGGCCAAGCCCAGAGAGATTAAGCAGCAAGGAACGCTTAGACGGGCTGGAAACTCTCACCCCTGTAGACCAAAGCCATGCTCTTGGTGAAGTGCTCTCTGCTTTCCTAGGCTTTGGGGTCTCAAGGCCTGGAGCCTGTCTCTCCACGTGGTTCCTCCAGCGTGGCCACTGTGTAAGCACTTGTACATGTGTAGACATAGTACATCTCCACAGCCGTTTAATTTGGTTTTCTTGGAGAACAGACTTAATATGATCCAGTCTTCCTATTTTTATTTATTTTTGGTACAGATGGGGGTCTTGTCTCTCTGTGTTGCACACCCAGGCTCGTCTCCAGCTCCTGGTGTGTCCAGAATTGGTTCCTTCCAGTGGGTTCTTGGTCTCGCTGACTTTAAGAATAAAGCCGCGGACCCTCGAAGTGAGTGTTACAGTTCTTAAAGATGGTGTGTCCAGTTTCTTCCTTCAGATGTTCAGATGTGTCTGGAGTTTCTTCCTTCTGGTAGGTTCGTGGTCTCGCTGACTTCAGGATTGAAGCCGCAGACCTTCGCAGTGAGTGTTACAGCTCTTAAAGGTGGTGCGTCAGGAGTTGTTTGTTCCTCTTGGTGGGTTTGTGGTCTCGCTGGCTTCAGGAGCGAAGCTGCAGACATTTGTGGTCAGTGTTACAGCTTATAAAGGTAGTGCGGACCCAAGGAGTGAGCAGCAGCAAGATTTATTGCAAAGAGCAAAAGAACAAACCTCCCACAGCGGAAGGGGATCAGAGCAGGTTGGGTGCTGGTGGCTGGGTGGCCAGCTTTTATTCCCTTATTTGGCCCTGCCCATGTCCTGCTGATTGGTCCATTTTGCAGAGTGCTGATTGGTCCATTTTTACAGAGTGCGGATTGGTGCGTTTACAAATCTTTAGCTAGACAGAGCACTGATTGGTGCGTTTTTACATAGTACTGATTGGTGCATTTACAAACCTTTAGCTAGACACAGAGCACTGATTGGTGCGTTTTTACAGAGTGCTGATTGGTGCATTTACAAATCTTTAGCTAGACAGAAAAGTTCTCCAAGTCCCCACTGGACCCAGGAAGTCCAGGGGCTTCACCTCTCAATCCCGCCTCTAAACAGGGCACCCCATCTGCTGTTGGGAATTGGGCAATGACTGCTCTAGCTACTTCCTGCTGGACAGGGGCAAAGAAGGGGCCCTGCAGTTGTAGTGTCCTCCAGAGGGGAACTCTCTAGGCCAGTGAAAGGGCCAGTGGGTCGGTCCAGGGGTCCTCGGTAGAAGTTGTTAGTTGAGCTCATTTGGGTTTCCGTTTGTAAGACCATCTGTAGTTTGATGGCCTTGATTCTAGAGGAAACAAATTTGACAAGGAGGTTAAAAATACAGGGCCCGAAGGCGAGTAATAGTAAAACGGCTGTCACAGGATGTAGAAAGGGGAGAAGCCATGTTGCCCAACTCCAGAGGTTGGTATAAGAGTTTGAAAGGCGTTGTCTGATTTCAGAAACCTTTTCCTGTAAATGCCGGGCGGCATCTTGCACTATCCCTGACTTGTTAGTGTAAAAACAACACTCTTCCCCTAAGGTGCAAAGTCCTCCTTTCTCAGCAGTGAGGAGGTCTAGGCCTCGGGGGTTTTGGAGAGTCACTGCTGCCAGAGTCTATTTGGGATTGTAGTTACTATCCTTACTGAATAGATTTTGTTATTTCTTGCAAACTGTCTGAGAAATACTTTGAGAGTGTGTGGTAGTAAGATAATGAAGTAGATAAACTGGCTATTCCGGTTCCTGTAGCAGTGGCCATTTCTAGCCCTATAAGTAGGGGTATCAGTTGTATGGCCCTGTGCTGATGGACTTGAGCTTTGAGGGGCACTGATAGGGTCTGATGTCCATAAGATTAGAAGTTAGGATAATATGTGTTACACTGTTAACTTTTAGCAAACTTTACTTTTGTTGAAAACCTTAAGTTTGGGATTTCAATTATTCTTTGCTATTAATAAGACCTCGTTCAGTCCATATTCACTTAAAATTGGTATAGATGGCTCCTTCCTGATTCTGTAAGTACTTTAAGGTTTGGCTGAGTGCAAACAGCTTGCACATTTGAGCAGACCAATTATTAGGCAATTTTCCTAACTCTGCTTCTGTAAGAGTTTCCTTATCACGTACTGAGTACCCATTGTGTCTTTTTCCTTAATCGCCCAGGAGGAAACATCTATCATCCTGTCCTGAAGGGGGTTCCTCCTATGTCTGGTCAGACCTTCAGATTTAGATCCCCTGTTAGGAACCTGCTGGGTTAAGGATTTTTGATAGGAAGGCTACAGGTTGTCAGTGGCCTCAGTGCTTTTGGGCTATGCCCTTGTTTACACTGACAACAAGGTGGTATTGGAGTGTTACAGGGTTACAGAGAAGACCTTCAATTATCAATTGTAGGTTTTATTTTTCATTTTTATTTTTTTGGAGATGGAGTCTTGCCCTGTCACCCAGGCTGGAGTGCAGTGGCATGATCTAGGCTCACCGCAACCTCTGCTTCCCGGGTTCAAGCAATTCTCCTGCCTCAGCCTCTGGAGTAGCTGGAATTACAGGCGCCCGCCACCACACCTGGCTAATTTTTGTATTTTTAGTAGAGACGGGGTTTCACCATGTTGGCCAAGTTGGTCTCAAACTCCTGACCTCATGATCTGCCCGCCTTGGCCTCCCAAAGTGCTGGGATTACAGGCATGAATTATATATTTTAAATTTACCCTGGCTTTTAAAGGAATAGGGTGCACTGTTTTTTCTTTACTACTTCTATCTCTTTCTCTCTGACTCCTTTGTCTCTTCCTCTCTTTCCTTCTGTCTTTGACTTTGCCTCTTTCTCTCTGCTGGTCTTTCCCTGCCTCTGCCAGCCGCTTATGCTGCCGTTCTCCCTTCTCCTTCCCCTTTTTGATGGCTTCGGCAGTGTAAGACTGCCACCTCCTTGGGTTTTTGCATTGAGTGCAATAACTCCATGATTTCCTTGTGGTATTTAATGGGGGTTCCCCCAGAGGTTAGGAACGCTCTTTCTTTACATATTGCAGCATGGGCATGTAGGATTAGATAAGCATACTTGCTATCTGTATACACGTTTTTTCTTTTTTCCTTTCCCAGTTCTAAGGCTCGGGTAAGTGCCACTAGTTCTGCTAACTGGGTGCTGGTCCCTGGGGGAAGAGGTTTACTTTCAAGTACGGTTACATCACTAACTGTGGCATAACCTGCCCTTCGTATCCCATTTTCCACAAATGAACTTCCATCGGTATATAGGTTAAGGTCAGGATTAGCTAACGGGACTTCTAAGAGATCCTTTCAGGCGGCATAAGTCTGGACTACTACCTGTTGGCAGCCATGCTTGACCCGCTCCCTATCCTCTGGGAGAAAAGTGGCAGGGCTGAGGGCCACACATGTATGCACTTGAAGCACTGGTCACTCAAGGAGTAGTGCCTGGTATCTAAGCAGGTGGTTTTCTGATAGCCATAAACTTCCTTTGGCACCTAGTTTGCCATTTACATCATGAGTAGTCCAGACAGTGAGATCCTTTCCTTGTATTATTTTGATAGCCTCTGACACTAAGACAGCCACTGCCACAACTACCCCTAAACAGTTAGTCTAGCCTTTTGCTACTGTATCAGTTTCCTTAGGTATGCCACTGGTTGTGGAGTTGTCCCATGAGTCTGAGTAAGGACCCCAAGAGCTATTCCTGCTCTCTCTGTGACGTTTAAAGAAAAGTTTCGTCCTGTGGGAAGGCTTAAGGCTAGAGCTTGAGTTTGTTCCTTCCAATGCCCAGACTTCAGGGTTGATTCCCTCCCCAAGCAGGGGACAACAAATGGGTAACTTGTTCCCCATATTCATGTAGATAATAGCTCCAGCTTTGGCTAATATATCCCTCCCTAATAAGGGTGTGGGACTTTCAGGCATAACAAGAAAGGCATGTGAAAGGAGCAAAGTCTCCCAATTACAACTGAGGAGGTGGGAGAAATACCTGGTTACAGCCTGTCCCAGGATTCCTCGGATGGTAACAGACCTTGAGGACAGCTCCAAGACAGGAAATTAACACTGAGAAAGCCACGCCAGTGTCCAGGAGGAAGTCAATTTCCTGGCCCTCAATGGTTATACATACCCAGGACTCAGTGAGAGTGATGACATGAGCTGGTGCTTTCCCTGGGCACCCTCAGTCTTGTTGCATCATCTGGTTGGTGGCTTCTGTCCCAGAGAACCTTTGTCCTCTGGGGCAGTGTGTCTTCCAGTGATTGCCTCGGCATAGTGGACATGGGCGAGGGGGCAGCTTGTTTCTCATAGGACAATCTTTTTTTTAAAAAGTGTCCTTGTAAACCACACTGATAACAAGCCCTACCAGGTGATTGGCCTGCTCCATTCTCTGTCCCCTCTGAACCACCAAGGTTTGTTTGTCTGAGGGCCATGACTAAGTCTGCGGCCTTTCTATTATCTCACTTTTACTTTTGGGCCTGTCCATCTTGGTCCCTATTATAGAACACTGAGGTTGCCAGGTTTAATAATGCTTCCAGAGTTTGTTCAGGGCCCAGGGCTCGCTTTTGGAGCTTTCTCCTGATATCCACAGATGATTGGGTAATAAACTTGTCTTTTAGGATCAATTGACCCTCAAGTGAGTCGGGTGACAGGGGAGTGTATTTTCTTAAGGCCTCCCGTAGCTGCTCGTGGAAGGCAGAAGCATTTTCTTCCTTTCCCTGAGTTATGGTGGACATCATTGAATAATTCATGGGCTTTTTCCTAATACTCCTTAGTCCTTCTAGAACACAAGTCAGCAGATGTTTACGACTCCAGTCCCCATGATCTGAGTCGAGGTCCCAGTGGGGATCCATACTGACTTACTGACATACGGCTTGCTGACTAGTAAGGAATTTGTCCCTTTCTTCAACTGTCATTCTATCATTTACTGGACTAAGATACCAGGTATCTCCAAACTCTTGGGCTGCAGCTAAAGCCACATTCTTTTCATTAAAGGCCAGGGTTTGATCTAACACTAGCATGACATCTCTCCAAGTGAGATAGAAGGTTTGCCCTCGACCCTGTAGGACATCTGTATACCTATCAAGATCAT
This sequence comes from Homo sapiens, assembly GCF_000001405.40. Lineage (NCBI taxonomy): Eukaryota > Metazoa > Chordata > Mammalia > Primates > Hominidae > Homo > Homo sapiens. Next base: position 32,697,833 of record NC_000019.10, read on the forward strand.
CTGAAAGCTTCCCAAGGTCTGCCTTGATCTGCTTAAAATCAGAGAGGGAGAAGGGAACATGTACCTAGGTTGGGCCAAATTCCGCTCCCCCTACAGCTTGAAGGGGACATAACCGATAGCCCGGGAAGGGGGCGTTTGTGATCCTTTGGAGATTTCTTTGCTTATTTCCTTCTGGGCAGCGGACATTAGAGGAGGATTATCATTAATAGGAAGGGGAGCTATAGGGAGGCTAGGATATGGAGGTAAGCTGAGAGGTCCTCCTGTGGGATGTAAATTGCAAGCTTTGCATACTTGGGTATTCTCCTTCAATGAAAAGAAAACTTAGACATAAGGTATTTCACTCCATTTGCCTTCCCTCTTACAGAAAAGGTCAGGCTGCAGGATAGTACTGTAGTTTATACTTCCCTCAGGTGGCCATTTTTCCCCATCAGAGAGAGAAATTGGGGCCAGGCTGTAGTATAGAAAAAAATGAGCCACCTCTTTTTCAGGGTTTGTGGGTCAAATTGGTCCCAGTGGCTTAGGATGCATTTCAAGGGTGAGCCTGTTGATGCCTGAGTGTTTCCCATCTGAAAGACAAAACCGCCTGTGGTTTTGGTTTGTTTGTTTCTCCCCCTGCCCAAGAACCTGCAACGGTCCCTGGACCCTGCTGATCGGAATAGTTGTGCTCACCAATGCAGCAGCAGAAACACCTCTTGCCCAAGAACCTGCAACAGTCCCCGGACCCTGCTGATTGGAGTAGTTGTGCTCACCAACGCAGCAGCAGAAACAACCCCTGCCCAAGAACCCGCAACAGTCCCTGGACCCTGCTGATCAGAATGGTTGTGCTCACTGACACAGCAGCAGAAACACTAGTTCTCCTAGACCACAAGGAGGAATGAGGAAGGTCAGATTTCGTGGCCCTTACCAACACATTCTCGAAAACCTGCGCCCTTTCCTGTCCTCCTAGACCTCAAAGAGGACTGAGAAAAATCAGATTTAGTGGCCCTTACTGATGCATTCTTGGAAAACTGTTGGAGTCCTAAGCATTCTCCTGTTAGTATTGGGACCTTACCCATGTCCTATAAAGATGTTATGCCCCCAAAATGAAGTGGAGGGCCATACCCTGAGGGAGGGAAGGGATCTCCAGAGTTGGAAGAGTGAAGCCTTTTATCCCCAGTTATATGAATAGGAAGGATACAATTTCTGAGGCTCCCGATATCCTAGTTTCAGGAATAGCTTTTGTTAGGCCTGCTTTTCTGAGGAGGGATTCTAAAATTCCAGATAATCCCCCCTACGATGGGGCTTTGAGCAAAAACTGTGTCTTTCTGATTGGTGAGCCCGGGTGTCTAAAGAAGGTAACAGAGTCCTGAAGTTTATCCTAGAAATCATTCTTACAGGAGAAACTAGAAAAGCACCAGAGATGGAGTGGTTTTTAGAAGTGGGACTAGCCTCAAAGAAAGGCGAGAGGAAGTTTGTCTGACAGGCATTAGGACCCAGGAGGCAAGGGTCAGGATAGATAGGATAGATGGGTGAGTCTCGCCTGTGCGACGTGACTTTCAGAGTTCCATTCATGGCTGCAGGGTCAACCAACTTGTTGTCGGGACCCCGGAGCTGAATGGCTTTCCTCGCTGTCGACCCTCGGCTCAGCCCAGAAGTACAGGAAAAGCAGAAGCTGGTTCCAGGCAAACCAACGCTCCCCACTCCGAAGAGTCGGGGGTTGTTAGCCCTTTCCCAGAAAGCCTGACACCCGTGTCTTTAGTTCAGCAGCCACACTAGTCGCTTTTAACTGGCCAACATGTCCCCATATTTAGCTCTCAAATTCTAAGGAAAAATAGGACAGAATAGCAAGCGAAAGGGGTCCAAAGGCACTCACCGCTTAGTGATAGGTAATAGTCCCTTCGTGGTCACCAAAATGTGTCCAGAATTGGTTCCTTCTGGTGGGTTCTTGGTTTCGCTGACTTCAAGAATGAAGCTGCAGACCCTTGCGGTGAGTGTTACAGTTCTTAAAGATGGTGTGTCTGGAGTTTGTTCCTTCAGATATTCAGATGTGTCCGGAGTTTCTTTCGTTGGGTTCGTGGTCTCACTGACTTTAGGAGTGAAGCCACAGACCTTTGCAGTGAGTGTTACAGCTCTTAAAGGTGGCATGTCTGGAGTTGTTTGTTCCTCCTGGTGCGTTCCTGGTCTCGCTGGCTTGGAGTGAAGCTGCAGACCTTCGCGGTGAGTGTTACAGCTCATAAAGGTAGTGTAAACCCAAAGAGTGAGCAGCAGCAAGATTTATTGCGAAGAGCAAAAGAACAGAGCTTCCACAGCATGGAAAGGGACCCGAGCGGGTTGCTGCTGCTGGCTTGGGTGGCCAGCTTTTATTCCCTTATTTGGCCCTGCCCACATCCTGCTGATTGGTCCATTTTACAGAGCGCTGATTGGTCCATTTTACAGAGTGCTGAGTGGTCCATTTTACACAGTGCTGATTGGTCCGTTTTTACAGAGTGCTAATTGGTGTATTTACAAACCTTTAGCTAGACACAGAGTGCTGATTGGTGCGTTTTTACAGAGTACTGATTGGTGCGTTTACAAACCTTGAGCTAGACACAGAGTGCTGATTGGTGCATTTTTACAGAGTGCTGATTGGTGCATTTACAAACCTTTAGCTAGACAGAAAAGTTCTCCAAGTCCCCACTCGACCCAGGAAGTCCAGCTGGCTTCACCTCTCACTGGGCTGAAGTGATTCTCGTCTCAGCTTCCCGGGTAGCTGGGCCCACAGGCACCTGCAACCACGCTTGGCTAATTGTTTTATTTTTTGTAGAGACCGGATCTCACTATGTTGCTCAGGGAGGTCTTGAACTCCTGGCCTCAAGCGACCGTCCAGCTTCAGCCTCCCAAAGTCTTGGGGATTATTGGCATAAGCTACTGTGCCTGGCCAGTTTCAGTCTTTTAAAATTTATTGGCCAGTACAGTGACTGATACCTATAATCTCAGCATTTTGGGAGAAGAAGGCCAGAGGATCAATTGAGCTCAAGAACTCAAGACCTGCCTGGACTGTAACATACTAAGACCTCATATCTAGAAAAAATTTTAAAACTTAGCTGGGCATGGTGGTACATGCCTGTGGTTCCTGTTACTGAGGAAGCTGAGGTGAGAGGATCCCTTGAGCCTGGGAGGTTGAGGCTGCAGTGAGCTATGATCACACCACTGCACTTCAGCCTGGACAACAGAGTCAGGCCCTTTCTCAAAAAAAAAAAAAAATTATTGAGACTTGTTTTATGGCCATGAATATGTTCTATCTTGGTGAATGTTCCCTTTGCACCTAAGAAGAATATGTATTCTGCTATTTGTTGGTATTTTGGTAAAAATGTAAAATTAGGTTGAGTTGTTCATAGCATCTTGCAGGTTTTTTTTTTTTTTTTTTTTTTTTGAAACAGAGTCTTGCTCTGTCACCCAGGCTGGAATGCAGTGGTCTGATCTTGGCTCACTGAAACCTCTGCCTCCCAGGTTCAAGCGATTCTCCTTCCTCAGTCTCCCAAGCAGCTGGGATTACGGGCGCCTGCCACCATGCCTAGCTAATTTTTGTATTTTTAGTAGGGACGGGTTTCACTGGGTTGGTCAGGCCAACTCCTGACCTCAGGTGATCCACCTGTCTGGGCCTCCCAAAGTGCTGGGATTACAGGCGTGAGCCACTGTGCCTGGCCAGTCTTGCAAGTCTTCTATATCATTTCCTTGTTTCATCAGGTGCTGAGAGAGGAATGTGGAAATCTTCAACTAATAATTGTGGAGTTGTCTTTTTCACCTTTTAGTTCTATCAGATTTGGCTTCATGTATTTTGAAGCTCCCATGTAAGGTACTGACTGTATCTACATTTAGGACTTTTAAAAGTTCATGGATTAACTCTTTGATGATTATGAAATATCCTTCTTTATTCCTGGTTATAATCTTTATTCTGAAATCTGAAGTTTACTCTGTTTGATATTAATATAGCCCCTCTGACTTTCTTTTGATTCATGTTAGTATATTTTTCTATCCTTTTAAACTATCTGTGTCTTTATTATTTAAAGTGTGTTTCTGGCTGGGTGCAGTGGCTTACACCTATAATCCCAACACTTTGGGAGGCCAAGGAGGGCTGATCACCTGAGTTCAGGAGTTTGAGACCAGCCCAGCAACATAGCGAAACCCCATCTATATTAAAAATACAAAAATTATCCAGGTGTGCGGGGGTCTGTCCTGCAGACCCTGACCCAATGATGGATGAATAACGTGCACTGATACAGATACTCTGCTTTGCCAGTCTGACTGAGCATCAGGGCTACTTACAGACTCCCAGGAGAGTGCTGTAAAAAGTTGCGACCTGGGCCTTGACCAGCCAGCCAGACTCATGTTTATTCAGTAAAGATTAATTGACAAAGGCTTGAGTCAACACCATTAGAGGGTAATTGACCTTGCAGACATCCCAGATAGAAAGCAATTAAGCACCTGCGGTAGATCCAAGGTTAGTCTTAGGACCACATGAGTAAACAAGCTAGTTAGATAAACTCCCCACATTCCTTTGTATCTACTTTAATTTATTTAATTAAAGGTAAGCGGACTAGGCTGCCTTCAGCCAGATCTGTTACCGAAGTTATGCAACTCTCAGGCCTTCCAAGAGGGTTTCTGGCTATTATAACTAAATTTTTTCCCACCAGCCTGACTGAACCCTCACACAGGTGGAGACAGGAGAATTGCTTGAACCCAGGAGGCAGCGGTAGCAGTGAGCCAAGATCATGCCACTGCACTCCAGCCTGGGTGACAGAGCGAGACTCCATCTCCAAAAAGAGAAAAAAAAGTGTGTTTCTTGCAGGCAGCATATAGTCTTGCTTTTTATCCAATATAAAAACTTTTGCTTTTTAGTTGGAGTGTTTATTTAAATTTGTTATTGTCAATAAGGTTAGATTCATATCTACCATCTTACTGCTCATTTTTTGTTCCCATCTATTTGTACTGTTTTTCTTATGACTGTTTTATTTCCATTATTAACTTATTAACTATGTCTCTTTGTAGTTGCTCTAAAATTTGCAATATACATTTTTCATTTCGTTTATAGAGTTAGAACCTTGCAGCAATATACTTATTTGTTCCCTCCTGTCCTTTATGCTATTGTTGTCATACATTTGACTTTTATTATAAACTCTACAATACACTGTGATTATTTTTGCTTTAGACCATCAATTTTTTTTTTTGAGACAGTGTTTCACTCTTGTTGCCCAGGTTAGAGTGCAGTGGCATGATCTTGGCTCACTGCAACCTCCACCTCCTGGGTTCAAGTGATTCTCCTGCCTCAGCTTCCCCAGTAGCTGGGATTGTAGGCATACGCCACCACGCCCAGCTGATTTTGTATTTTTAGGAGAAACGGGTTTTCTCCGTGTTGGTCAGGCTGCTGTCGAACTCCCAACCTCAGGTAATCCGCACACCTCGGCCTCCCAAAGTGCTGGGATTACAGGCATCAGCCACCACACCCAGCCTAGACCATCAGTCTTAATGAGAAAAAATGTCTTATGTTTACCTGCATATTTACTATTTTTTTATTGAGATGGAGTTTCATTCTTGTTCCCCAGGCTGCAGTGCAATGGTGCCATCTCAGCTCACCACAGCCTCTGCCTTCTGGGTTCAAGTGATTCTCCTGCCTCAGCCTCCCAGGTAGCTAGGATTACAGGCATGCACCCACCATGGCCAGCCAATTTTGTATTTTCAGTAGAGATGGGGTTTCTCCATGTTGGTCAGGCTGGTCTTGAACTCCTGACCTCAGGTGATCCACCTGCCTCAGCCTCCCAAAATGTTGAGATCACAGGTGTGGGCCACTGTGCCCAGCCTTTTTTTTTTTTTTTTTTTTTTTTTTTTTTTTGAGACGGAGTCTCACTCTGTCACCCAGGCTGGAGTGCAGTGGCATGATCTTGGCTCACTACAACCTCCGCCTCTCTGGTTCAAGTGATTCTCCTGCCTCAGCCTCCCGAGTAGCTGAGATTACAGGCACCCACCACCATGCCCAGCTACTTTTTGTACTTTTAGTAGAGATGAGTTTTCACCATGTTGGCCAGGCTGATCTCAAACTCCTGACCTCAGGTGATCCACCCAGCTGGGCCTCCCAAAGTGCTGGGATCACAGGCATGAGCCACCATGCCCAGCCACATATTTACTATTTTTAGCACTCTTTATTCCTTTGTGTAGCTCTAAATCTATCTCTGGTATCCTTCTGCCTAAAGAAGTTTCTCTAATATTTCTTGTAGTATAGATCCTGTGACAATGAATCCTCTAACTTTTGCTTGCTTGAAAATAACTATTTTGCCTTTGTTTTTGAAAGATACTTTGGCTAGGTATAAAATTCTAGGTTGATAGGTTTTTTTCCTTATGTACCTAAAAATATTGCTCCCTTATTTGCTAGTTTGCATAAATTTCTTAGGAGAGGTCTGTTACCACTCTTGCAGGTAACTTTTTTTTTTTTTTTAGACAGAGTCTTGCTCTGCCGCCCAGGCTGGAGTGCAATGGCACGATCTTGGCTCACTGCAACCTCTGCCTCCCAGATTCAAGCAATTCTCCTGCCTCAGCCTCCTGAGTAGCTGGGATTACAGGCGCATGCCACCATGCCCAGCTAAGTTTTGCATTTTTAGTAGAGACGGGGTTTCGCCATGTTGGTCAGGCTGGTCTCGAACTCCTGACCTTGTGATCCGCCTGCCTTGGCCTCCCAAAGTACTGGGATTACAGGCGTGAGCCACCATGCCCAGCCTCTTGCAGGTAATATTTTTTATTTCTTTCATCATGTTGATCTTTTCCTTTGTATCTTTACAGCATTGTTTTTAATGCCCTTTTCTGCTAACTTAATCCTTGCTATAATTTCTGGGTCTGTTTCTGTTGACTTATTTTTTTTCTAGTTTTGGATGACGTTTTCCCACTTCATCATGTCTTGCAATTTTTATTGAATGTTGGATATTGTGACTTTATGTTGTTGAGTGCTGAATCTTGTCACATTCCTTAAAGAGTATTGGACTTTGGGCCGGGCATGGTGGTTCACACCTATAATCCCAGCACTTTGGGAGGCCAAGGCGGGTAGATCACCTGAGGTCAGAAGTTCTAGACCAGCCTGGCCAACATGGTGAAACCCCGTCTCAAGTAAAAATACAAAAATTAGCTGGGCATGGTGGCAGGCACCTGTAATCCCAGCTACTTGGGGGGCCAAGGCAGAAGAATCGGTTGAACCTGGGAGGCAGAGATGCAGTGAGCCGAGATCACGCCATCGCACTCCAGCCTGGGGGACAAGAGCAAGACTTCATCTCAAAAAAAAAAAAAAAAAAAAAAGTATTGGAACTTGGCTGGGTGCAGTGACTCACGCCTGTAACTCCAGCACTTTGGGAGGCCAAGGTGGGTGGATCACGAGGTCAGCAGTTCAAGACCAGCCTTGCCAACATTGTGAAACCCCATTTCTACTAAAAATACCAAAAAAATTAGCCAGTCATGGTGGTGGGCGCCTATAGTTCTAGCTACTCTGGAGGCTGAAGCAGGAGAATCGCTTGAACCCAGGAGGCAGAGGTTGCAGTGAGATGAGATCACAGCACTGCACTCCAGCCTGGGTGACAGAGCGAGACTCTGTCTCAAAAAAAAAAAAGAAAAACAAAAAGAGAGTATTGGACATTTCCTAGCAAGCAGTTAAGTGATTGCAAATTACCTTAATTGTCTTGAGGTTTAATTTTAAATGATTTTAAGTGATTTTAGCATGGGCCTATAGTAGCCTTTATTCTAGAGCTAATTTAGCTGCACTTTTTTTTTTTTTTTGAGACATACTTTCACTCTGCCACCCAGGCTGGAGTGCAGTGGCGTGGTCTTGGCTCACTGCAACCTCCTCCTCCCTGGTTCAGGTGATTCTCATGCCTTAGCCTCCTGAGTAGCTGGGATTGCAGGCACATGCCACCATGCCTGGCTAATTTTTGTATTTTTAGTAGAGTCCGAGTTTCACCATGTTGGCCAGGTTGGTCTTGAACTCCTGACCTCAGGTGATCCACCCACCTCTGCCTCCCAAAGTGCTGGGATTACAGGCATGAGCCACTGCACCTGGTCATTAGCTGCACTTCTAAATGTATGACCCTCATAAGGTCTACTTGAGTGCTGCTTGTGTTCAACATGATCTCTCCACTGTGATTGGAAGGAATTCGAATAATCCTTGGCCCCAGGTGACCTCTGGGAGTTTAATCTTAAGGCTCTCAGGTAATTGTTCTTTCTTCAGAAATCATTCTCTCCTTATGTATACAATGGTGAATAAAGTAAAATACTAATAATAGGAAAAAAAAGAGGCATCATTCTTTCCTGGTCTCATGTGGTTTCACCTTATGCATACATAGATAAGTGTTGAGCAAAGATTCAAGTGCACCCTACACAGATTTCTAGAGCTCTACTCTGTAGGTCTTTCCTCTCAGGTACAGCTTTATCCCTGGTTTCTCTTTCCATGGTTTGAGTTACCCTCAGTCAACCAAGGTCTGAAAATATTAAGATATTTGGAGAGAGAGAGAGAGACCACATTCACCAACTTTTACTACACGAATTGTTATCATTGTTCTAGTTTATTATAAGTTATTGTTGGCTGAGCACGGTGGCTCATGCCTGTAATCCCAACCCCTTGGGGGCCGAGGCGGGCAGATTACCTGAGGTCGGGAGTTCGAGACCAGCCTGACCAACAGGAATAAACCCCGTCTCTACTAAAAATACAAAATTAGCCAGGTGTAGTGGCAAATGCCTGTAATCCCAGCTACTCGGGAGGCTGAGACAGGAAAATCGCTTGAACCCAGGAGGTGGAGTTTGCAGTGAGCAGAGATCACGCCATTGCACTCCAGCCTGGGTAACAAAAGCGAAACTCCATCTCAAAATGATAATAATAATAAGTTATTGTTAATATCTTACTGGGCCTAATTCATCAATTAAATTTTATCATAGGTGTGTATGTGTAGGAAGAGCATAGTTTGTATAAGGCTTAGCACTTCCTTGATTTCATGCGTCCACTAGGGATCTGGGAAAGTATTCCTCTTGCATAAGGGGAGACTACTGTATGCTGCTTCCCAAATTCTGCTGTATGGGCTTCCCAAAATTCAAGCTGTGTCTCAAGTCAGTGAAAATCCCAGGCTCTGATTAGTCTCTTGCTCCTTGGGTTGCAGTCTGGGAATTCCCTTTAAGCAGTAACCCTGGCCATGGTAGGACTCACCTCCCATTGTAGCCTCCCAGGTGGCTGTGATTACAGGCGTGAGCCACTGCACTCAGCAGGAAAGCATTGCATTTTGTACAATGCTTTACTAGTAAGAAGTAATCAGTAAGTGATAAGGTATTGTAACCTGTGGTCTGGACTCACCTGAACAGGTTGGATTAAGTGGGTTGATGCCTGCCATTTAACCCTTTGTCTTCGTTGTTATCACTGAACTCATACGGTTGCCTTGGAAATAACATAGAGAGATTGGGTGGTCCTTTGAGGCCCAGGGCTCTGTTTTTTAAATGCCATTTTGGCCACCTGCAGAATGATTAGGGGACTCACTGAACTCATAGATTGCTGGACACCATACCAGGGCCCTGGGAATGTGAAGGCTTCACAGACTTCTCAGTCAATGTTTAAGCATGTACGAGCTTGCAAACCTTTGACCTACAGTCATCTAAAGCAGAAATCAATTCCAAATCCCAGGGCTTGGGGGCGAGAATCAGTTTCTCCTAGGTGTATAAGTGGATATTTAGTAAACCAAGTAAAGAACAACCTTATGGCCAGGCGCGGTGGCTCACACCTGTAATCCCAGCACTTTGGGAGGCCGAGGTGGGTGGATCACGAGGTCAGGATTTCAAGACCAGCCTGGCCAAGATGGTGAAATGCCATCTCTACTAAAGATACAAAAATTAGGCCGGGCGCGGTGGCTCACGCCTGTAATCCCAGCACTTTGAGAGGCCGAGGCGGGTGGATCACAAAGTCAGGAGATCGAGACCATCCTGGTGAACACGGTGAAACCCCGTCTCTACTAAAAATACAAAAAATTAGCCGGGCGTGGTGGCAGGCACCTGTAGTCCCAGCTACTCGGGAGGCTGAGGCAGGAGAATGGCATGAACCCAGGAGGCAGAGCTTGCAGTGAGCTGAGATCACACCACTGCAGTCCAGCCTGGGAGACAGAGCAAGACTCCGTTTCAAAAAAAAAAAAAAGATACAAAAATTAGCCACGATGGTGGCGGGTGCCTGTAGTTCCAGCTACTTGGGAGGCTGAGGCAGAGAATTGCTTGAACCCGGGAAGTAGAGGTTGCAGTGAGCCAAGATTGCGCTACTGCACTCCAGCCTGGGCGACAGAGAGTACTCGGTCAAAAAAAAAAAAAAAATCACGACTGTAATCCCAGCACTTTGGGAGGCCGAGGCGGGTGGATCATGGGGTCAGGAGATCGAGACCATCCTGGCTAACACAGTGAGACCCCGTCTCTACTGAAAATACAAAAAATTAGCCGGGTGTGGTGGTGGGCGCCTGTAGTCCCAGTTACTTGGGAGGCTGAGGCAGGAGAATGGCGTGAACCCAGGAGGTGGAGCTTGCAGTGAGCCGAGATCGGGCCACTGCACTCCAGCCTGGGTGACAGAGCGAGACTCCGTCTCAAAAAAAAAAAAAAAGAACAACCTTTGAGGTTATTCCATATCCATTGAATCAGCTCTTTTTATCTAAATGTCTATGGAAAGAAGGCTCAGGAAGGAGAGGAGGTTGTAGAATGAAGCCACTGAAGTTTTCCGGGCAAATACTGCCTGGCTGAAACCCTACCAAGTTATTACTCTCTTGACTGTAGGCTGAGTCATGCCAGGTGACTTCCTGAAAGCTGCTGTTGCTCCTGATGCTTCACCGCCGTTGTACCATGTGGCACACATCACCACATCACAAAGCATTTTGGTTGCTGAAGTCCCCATAGGGCCTAGGAGAGCTTTGTGGTGTCCATCATTATATCCTCAGGATCTAGCCAAGTACCCATTTCCCAGAGGAATGAACAGGCACCAAATTCTCCATCTACTGTGATGAGTTTACCCTTCAGAGTCTTTCTTCTTTCAGCAGGGACCGGAACCACCTTACCCTCTCTGCATCTCCCACCTCTTATGCTGAACAGCTCTCCCAGGTCAAGCCTCAGGGGTCTGCCCTGGTTTATTTACTAGTTCTGAGGATCAGTGTCCTAATAAGCAACCTCTTAAGAGGATCAACCCAGCTTTCTTCACTGAATCTTTTCATGTTGTCTTTGAGGGATCTCACAGGGCGCATTAATGAATTCATTTTACACATTCAGTTCTACCTTAGGTACTGGTCTGACTGTCTCAAGTCTCACATTGTCTATGGCATAAACCTTAAGAAACCCTGCCTTTGTCTTTCACAGTGGTCATCTCCATCAGAGGCAACTGAAAGTTTCTTATCAAAAGAAATTTGGTTGCCACCCCCACAGTTCTACGAAGTGAGAAGACTTGCAAACTTTGCCTCTCTCTCTGACTTGCACAAATTTTGTTTGGGTCGTGCATTAGAAGGACTGGAAAGGTGGCTGCCGATCATCTTGTTAACTGCTGATGGGATGGTCCATCTTTTACCAGGTAAACCAGTGAAGCATCGGTGCTTTTGTTAGTATTCACATTCAGTGCCCTGGGCTGCATGGCTGTATTGCCCAACGTAGAGACAGGAATTACAGTCTGTGTTTTGTAATCTACAGGGTATTAGCTAAGTAAGATCAAAGCCTATAAAATATCCATATTATTATAACCAGAAATTCTGCATAATGTCATATACATACACATACATTTATATTAATATATTTCCTAGACATTGACAAAGGTCTTTCTCATATAATTTCTCACTTTTTTTTTTTTTTTCTGAGACAGTTTCCCTCTGTCACCCAGGCTGGAGTGCAGTGGCACAATCTTGGCTCACTGCAACCTCCACCTCCCAGGTTCAAGCAATTCTCTGCCTCAGCCTCCCAAGAAGCTGGGATTACAGGTGCCCACCACTGTGCCCGGCTAATCTTTGTATTTTTTTTTTAGTAGATACGGGGTTTCACCATCTTGGCCAGGCTGGTCTTGAACTCTTGACCTTGTGATCCACCCGCCTTGGCCTCCCAAAGTGCTGGGATTACAGTCATGAGCCACCATGCCTGGCTGATTTCTCACTTTTTTGCATTTTAAGTTTGAATTACGAGAACTCGTAAGTTGTCATCTAATTTGAATTAGGGAGCTTTTTTTTTGAGACAGAGTTTTGCTCTTGTCACCCAGGCTGGAGTGCAATCTGGGCTCACTGCAACCTTTGCCTCCTGGGTTCAAGCGATACTTCTGCCTCAGCCTCCCGAGTAGCTGGAATTACAGGCATGTGCCACCACGCCTGGCTAATTTTTTTGTATTATTAGTAGAGACAGGGTTTCACCATGTTGGCCAGGCTGGTCTTGAACTCCTGACCTCAGGTGATCCGCCCGCCTCAGCCTCCCCAAATTCTGGGATTATAGGCATGAGCCACTGTGCCCAGCCAACTTTGTTTTTTTTTTTCAGTTGGACATAATTTCAATTGAAATTATGAATTATGAAATTATGAAGAAAATAAAGTAAAATGTTAACTCTATCTCAACTGAAAATACAAAAAAAAAAAAAAAAAACAAATTAGCCAGGCATGGTGGCACACACCTGTAATCCCAGCTGCTCAGGAGGCTGAGGCAGGAGAATCACTTGAACCCAGGAGGTAGAGGTTGCAGTGAGCCAAGATCATGCCACTGCACTCTAACCTGGGCGACAGAGCGACACTCTCTGTCAAAAACAAAACAAAACAAAAGGCTGGGCGCGGTGGCTCACACGTGTAATCTCAGCACTTTGGGAGGCTGAGGCGGGTGGATCACCTAAGGGCGAGAGTTCGAGACCGGCCTGACCAACATGGAGAAATCCCGTCTCTACTAATAATACAAAATTAGCTGGGCATGGGGGCGCATGCCTATAATCCCAGCTACTTGGGAGGCTGAGGCAGGAGAATCACTTGAACCCAGGAGGCAGAGGTTGTGGTGAGCTGAGATTGCGCCATTGCACTCCAGCCTGGGCAACAAGAGCGAAACTCCATCTCAAAAAAAAAAAAGATTTATTACTCAACCTACAGTGGGAAAATTTAGCAGTTTTGATGGAATTTCTCTAAATTAACCTGAAGATGATAAGAACAGCCCACTTTGAAACATCAAAAGTATATGAATATCAAGGCCAATCTTAATATCAGTATTGAATAGAATAAAGAGAGTCATGAACTGGTATAATAGTTACAGTTCACAGTGGAAACATACCAGTCACAGATGTTTATGGGCCCAAAGAAAACTCTTGGCTGGGGTGTTGTAAGGGGATATTAAAAACACAAGAAAGAGGACAGGCGCAGTAGTTCACGCCTGTAATCCCAGCACTTTGGGAGGCCGAGGTGGGTGAATCATTTGAGGTCAGGAGTTTGAGACCAGCCTGGTAAACATGGCGAAACCTGTCTCTACTAACAATACAAAAATTAACCAGGCGTGGTGGCAGACACCTGTGATCCCAGTTACTCGGGAGGCTGAGGCATGAGAATTGCTTGAGCCCAAGAGGTGGAGGTTGCAATGAGCCGAGATCGCGCCACTGCACTCTAGCCTGGGCAACAGAGTGAGACTCCATCTCAAAAAACAGATAAAAAAACACAATAAAGAAATTGAGGTAAGCTCATAGAATTAGATTAGTTAACAACTATCTCAGTTCCAAACATATTAAATAGATCAAAATAAATACTGATTTAACAACTATCTCAGTTCCAAACATATGAAATAGATAAAAATACTGATTTGTATTTCATTAGTATATTGGAGTGATTTATAAAATAATACTCGATGGAATTAAAATTTTATACTTTCTGCCATGGTGAAAAATAATTTTGTATTTAAAAATAAAATCAGATTTTTTCCTTTTTCAGGTGATGAGCTATATTTAGAAGATTCAGACTTTTTGGAAAATCTTATGTCTACTGAAAAAAAGACTGAGGAAATCATGAAGGAAGGCAAGCAGTTTCACCGGATAGTGACATACCATCGCCACCTTTATGATATCCACGTGACTGTTCAGCCAAAGTATAAACACGTTTATCCTAAGAACTCTGTAGTAAGAAAAAGCCATTTGTAGGGTGCTTAAGCTTGTTTGTAAAATGGCCTACTTGAAGTCCTCATGAATAATGAGGGTTGACTTTCATTTGCTTGAAACTTAAGGAAGTTTGTGCCTATAAAAGTTACTGCAATTCAGTATTTCTTTATTTTTTTCGAGACAGAGTCTCAATCTGTCGCCCAGGCTGGAGTGCAGTGGCATGATATAGGCTCACTGGAAGCTCTGCCTCAGGGGTTCATGCCATTCTCCTGCCTCAGCCTCCCGAGTAGCTGGGACTACAGGCGCCCGCCACCATGCCCAGCTAATTTTTTTTTGTATTTTTAGTAGAGACGGGTTTTCACCGTGTTAGCCAGGATGGTCTCAATCTCTTGACCTCGTGATACGCCCGCCTTGGCCTCCCAAAGTGCTGGGATTACAGGTGTGGGCCACCACACCCAGCCTTTTTTTTTTTTTTTTTTTTTTTTTTTGAGACAGAGTGTCTCACTCTTGCCCAGAACCCAGGCTGGAGTGCAGTGGCCCAATCTCGGCTCACTGCAACCTCCACCTCCCAGGTTCCAGCGATTCTCATGCCTCAGCCTCCTGAGTAGCTGGGACTATAGGCATGCACCACCATGCCCCACTAAATTTTGTATTTTTAGTAGAAACAGAGTTTCACCATGTTGGCCAGGCTGGTCTCGATCTCCTGACCTCATGATCTGCCCGCCTTGGCCTCCCAAAGTGTGGGATTACAGGCGTGAGCCACTGTGCCCAGCATGGTGTTTCTTATATCAGGTGTTTTAGGGAGCTCGCTTGCTTATTCCATTCTTTAATCCTTACAGTGTGCCACACGTATAAAGTTTATAACGTATTAATGATCTCATTACCCAAAACCAGAACATAATTTCACAAGGGTTCCTACTTCTGTATTGTTTTATTATCTCAAAAATTTAAATAACATGTTCTGCTGTTTATTGTTCTTGTTATCCACTGTATTAGCACCTTCCCTGATGTGCTTTGGAGGTTGATCAATGAATTTCTGAGACTTTCTGCTGGAATTACTTTAAGGGTGTCTTATTAGATGATGAAAAGTTGGCTGAGACACCCTTCAAGTGACCATGTCATTGTTTTCTTGCTATGTCTTTAGCTTAATGATTAAGATACAATTCTTTTTAAAATCAAATGGTATTAGTTATTATGTTTCCCAAATTAGAAATCGATTTTAGTTAACATTTTATTTTATTTTATTCTATTTTATTTATTTTTGAGACAGAGTCTCGCTCTGTTGCCCAGGCTGGAGTACAATGGCGCAATCTCAGCTCACTCCAATCTCCGCCTCCCAGGTTCAAGCGATTTTTCTGCCTCAGCCTCCCGAGTAGCTGGGATTACAGGCACCCACTACCATGCCCAGCTAATCTTTGTATTTTTAGTAGAGACGGGGTTTCACCATGTTGGCCAGTCCGGTCTCGAACTTCTGACCTGAGGTGATCTGCCCACCTTGGCCTCACAAAGTGCTGAGATTACAGGCTTGAGCCACCACGCCTGGCCTAGTTAGCATTTTAAAGAAACACAAAGCCATAACAAAAACCATCATTGTTTGTATTCCACACTGTTAATGAATGTAAAGAGGTTAGAAATGTAGTGTTTGATTAATGATGTTTATTTTTACTGTATTTAATATGAGTAATTTTTCATCATCTTTCAAGAGGAATAATGTTTATTGATTAAAGGTGAGAAATGATAGTTAAGACACCAATTCCATGTCCAGATCTTTGACTGTATCATGCATTGTACAATTGATTTCATATTTTATGAAATGCCTTAATTTTCCTACTATAACATAAAGACAATGATGAATAAAGTTTATGTGTATGATTAAATCCAGATTAGAGAACTATATCTAGCACAGCAGTCCTCAGCCTGGGCACTTTTGCCCTAGGGAACATTTGGCTATGTCTGGAAACATTTTTGGTTGTTGAAACTGTGGGCAGAGTGGGTGGGTGGGGGAGTATGCTACTACCATCTAGTAGTAGGGAGAGGCCAGGGATGCAACTGAACAGCCTGCAATGCGCAGTCTCACCCATAGCAAAGAATTACCTGACCAAGGATGAGACACCCAATCTAAAGTAAAATCTTTTTTTTTTTAAATAAATGGTTCCAATATGTAAATTTTGAGAACCACAGATACTATTATTCTGTCTGCCTTTTGAATCTACAAAAATGGGAAATTACGTCCAATTGGAAAAAAAAAAAAAGTTGGCTGGGCTGGGCGCAGTGGCTTATGCCTATAATCCCAGCATTTTGGGAGGCTGAGGTGGGCGGATCACCTGAGGTCAGGAGTTCAAGACCAGGCTGGTTAATGTGGTGAAACCCCATCTACTAACAATACACAAAAATTAGCCAGGCATGGTGGCCTGTAATTCCAGCTACTCAGGAGGCTGAGGCAGGAGAATCGCTTGAACCTGGAGGTGGAGGTTGCAGTGAGCCCAGATTGCACTCCAGCCTGGGTGACAAGAGGAAAACTGTCTCAAAAAAACAAAAACAAAAACAAAGTGTACAAAAATTTTTGTTGTCTTTTGATTTTTTTGAGATAGAGTCTCACTTTGCTGCCCAGGCTGGAGTGCAGTGGTGCAATCTCAGTTCACTGCAACCTTCACCTCCTGCGTTCAAGCAATTCTTGTGCCTCAGCCTCCCAAGTAGCTGTGACTATAGGCGCCCGCCACCACACCCAGCTAATGTTTATATTTTTAGTAGAGACAAAGTTTCACCATGTTGGCCAGGTTGGTCTTGAACTCCTGACCTCAGGTGATCTGCCCGCCTCAGCCTCCCAAGGTGCCCGGGATTATAGGCATGAGCCACCATGCCCAGCCTAGCTTTGTCTTTTGACTCTCAAAGATTACTAGAATGTTGCCGCTGGAAGGGACCTCATTGAACACCATGATTTTGCCAGTGAGAAAACCGAGACACGCAGCTGGTTAGTGCCACAGTCAACTCCCTCTTCACTGGAGTTGCCATGGCTCAGTGGGTGATATTAGAAGATGTCATGATAAAGTAATATGACCAGTTTTTCTTCATAGAAAAGATCGTTTTCACACCACGTTTCCCTCATGTATGCTTTTTTTTGTTTTTGTTTGTTTGTTTGTTTGTTTGTTTGTTTTGAGATGGAGTCTCACATTGTTGTCCAGGCTGGAGTGCAGTGGCGTGCTTTTGGCTCACTGCAACCTCTGCCTCCTGGGTTCAAGCAATTCTCCTGCCTCAGCCTCCCGAGTAGCTGGGATTACAGGCACGTGCCACTGCACCTGGCTAATGGTTGTATTTTTAGCAGAGACAGGGCTTCACCGTGTTGGCCAGGCTGGTCTTGAACTTCTGACCTCAAGTGGTCCATCCACGTCATGCTGGCAATACAGGTGTGAGCCACTGCGCCTGGCCTGTATGTTGTTGTTTTTAATCTGAGTGAACCTTGTCTCCTTCCAAGAATTCCTTTTGGGAGACTTGTCACATGACTTCCTACCTATAGTGATATCTTGCCCATACCCCATAACCCCAAATAATATGAGCTGAAAAATTAAGTTTTAGAATTCAGATTACTGGTGTTCATGGCATTTATGACACACAGTTTTTCTTTTCTTTTCTTTTTGAGACACCTTCTCGCTTTGTTGCCCAGGCTAGAGTGCGGTGGTGCGATCTTGGCTCACTGCAACCTCTGCCTCCTGGGTTCAAGTGATTCTCCTGCCTCAGCCTCCCAATTTGCTGGGATTACAGGCATCAACCACCACACCCAGCTAATTTTTGTACTTTTAGTAGAGACAGGGTTTCACCATTTGACCAGGCTGGTCTCCAACTCCTGACCTCAAGTGATCTGCCCGCCTCAGCCTCCCAAAGTGCTGGGATTACAGATGTGAGCCCCTGTGCTGGGTCAGAAATATTTTTAAAGTTAAAAACAAAATTCGGCTGGGCATGGTGGCTCACACTTGTCATCCCAACACTTTGGGAGGCCAAGGTGGAAGAATCGTTTGAGCCCAGGAGTTCAAGACCTGCCTGGGCAACATAGGGAGACCATGTCTCTATAAAAAAATTCAAAATTAGCTGGGTGGGCCAGGCACGGTGGTTCACGCCTGTAATCTCAGCACTTTGGGAGGCTGAAGTGGGTGGATCACAAGGTCAGGTGTTTTGAGACCAGCCTGGTCAATATGGTAAAACCCCGTCTCTACTAAAAATACAAAAATTAGCTGGGTGTGGTGACACATGGCTGTAGTCCCAGCTACTTGGGAGGCTGAGGCAGAAGAATTGCTTGAACCCAGGAGGCGGAGGTTGCAGTGAGCTGAGATCGTGCCACTGCACTCCAGCCTGAGTGACAGAGCAAGACTGTCTCAAAAAAAAAAAAAAAAATTAGCTGGGTGTAGTGGTGCATCCCTATAGTTTTATCTTCTCAGGAGGCTGAGGTGGGAAGATACTTGAGCCCAGGAGATAGAGGCTGCAGTGAGCAGCGATAAGATTGCGCCACTGTACTCCAGCCTGGGCAACAGAGCGAGACCCTGTCTCAAAAAAAAAAAAAAAAAGCACCATGAGACAGGGTGAAGAAAAAGGAAGCCTTGTGAATCTTTAAAAAAGTGTTTTCCGCTAGCACCAGAGTTGGAGGAGGGCAGGTTACAGTACAAATGCGGACCCCTTTTAACCTTGGGGAGACTGGGTGGCTGGACCCCCAGGGCAGTGAGTGTCTTGACTATGGGAGTGTAATATATAAATATTTCCATTTTCTGTGAGCCATGTTGTAAAAAGATTGGGAAATACCGTACTGTAGCACAGGATCTAGTCAAACAAAAAAGTGTCTCCCCACACCAAGAACTGGGAGAAGTCTATATTACCCATTTTTGTGGATTGGGAACTGTTTTGGGACTTCCTATTTAAGATGGGGTTTTGCTATGTTGCCAAGGCTGGGCTCCAACTTCTGGCTCAAGGGATCCTCCCATCTCACCCTCCCAAGTAGCTGAGACTACAGGCACATGTCACTGCACCTGGCTACAAGACCTCCTGTTTATTTTATTTTATTTTATATATTTTTTGAGACAGAGTTTTGCTCTGTTGCCTAGGCTGGAGTGCAGTGGCATGATCTCAGCTCACTGCAACCTCTGCCTCCTTGGTTCAAGCGATTCTCCTGCCTCAGCCTCCTGTGTAGCTGGAATTACAGGTGCTTGTCACTATGCCCGGCTAATTTTTGTATATTTAGTAGAGACAGGGCTTCACCATATTAGCCAGGCTGGTCTCGAACTCCTGACGTCAAGTGGTCCACCCACCTCGGCCTCCCAAAGTGCTGGGATTACAGGCCTGAGCCACCTCGCCCAGCCAGGACCTCCTGTTTAAATCAGATCCTGTCATTTTCCATCTCTTTTTGGCAAGGTCTTGAGCTTTCAGGTGAGTTGGCCATACCAGGTGCCTTGATTGGAGGGGAGGCCTTGTCAACCTAATTTCAGGAACAGGTGAACATCACGCACTTTGCAGCTGTGTTTTTCTCCCGACTGGCAGCTACACACCTTTCCTCTGCAACCATCCTGCCTGAGAGTTTAAGTGCATGTTATCTGTGGGACCTCGTGCAATCCAGTTTTCTTATAGAACTGCATGCTTATGTGAGCATTCTGTTCCCCAAATAATAACTCCACAGTTTCCATGCTCTCTCCAAACTCTTGCAGTCTTTTGTCATCTTGTTGGTTCCCTTACTAGCAAATTAACTCGTTTAGACTCGGAGAGCCCTGCCAGTTGAAGTCCAGCTGGGAAGAAATCCAGGACCAGGAACCTTTCCAAAAGGTGCAGATCAAATGGAAATGTTGCCAGGAGGCCACGAAGACCCAGGGATTCATGACTGTCCAGGACTCTTCCTCACCACCAAGGCTTCCAGCTCACAGCGTTTAAGGGGTGTAGGCTGGCCTAGAGAAAGCAGGAGGACAGGGGCCCCTTAGCAGGCAACAAGGACCAACTGAGGGCCTGGTGTGGTGGTTCATGCCTGTAATCCTAGCTGCTCAGGGGGCTGAGGCGGAAGGATGGCTTGAGCCCAGGAGTTCAACACCAGCCTGGGCAACACAGCGAGACCCCCATCTCTACAAAAAAATTAAAAAATTATCCAGGCGTGGTGGTGCATGCCTGTAGTCCCAGCTACTTGAGAGGCTGAAGATGGAGGATCAACTGAGCCCAGGAATTCAAGGCTGCAGTGAGCCATGATTGTGCCACTGCACTCCAGCTTGGGCAAGAGAGCCATATCCTGTCTCTTTAAAAATAAAATAATGAACTTGTAACCACCTAATGGGTTCACCTTGCCCGCTGCCTAGACAGAGCCAATTTATCAAGACAGGGAATTGCAATGGAGAAAGAGTAATTCACGCAGAGCCGGCTGTGTGGGAGACTGGAGTTTTATTATTACTCAAATCAGTCTCTCCGAGCATTTGAGGAACAGAGTTTTTAAAGACAATTGGGCGGGTAGGAGCTTGGGAAGTGGGGAGTGCTGATTGGCCAGGTTGAAGATGGAATCAGAGGTTGTTGGAGTTTTTCTTGCTATTTACTCTTCCTGGTTGGTTTGGCAGAACTGGTTGAGGCAGATTATCGGTGTGGGTGGTGTCAGCTGATCCACTGAGCTGATTCAAGGATTGTTGTCTCATGCCTCCCTAAAATGTAAAAGACCAAGTGAGGCAGGAAAATAGGGTCTGGAGGTAGGGAACATAAGGCCGATTCACGCTTCAGCTATAAGGGGAAATACCCTCTCCATAGGGCATACACCGAGTAAATGACTTCGTAACTTTACTTCACCGTCTTCATTTACATCGGGCGTACCCCAAGCAGAAGGTATTTAAATTCACAGAAATTCTGCCGGGCCTTTGAGTCCCTGTGTTCAGGCCTGCTCCCACACTGTGGAGTGTACTTTTTCAATAAAACCCTTCATTCCTTCCTTGCTTTGTGTGTGCCTTTTGTCAAATTCTTTCTTCAAGACACCAAGAACCTGGACACCCTCCAACTTTAACACAAGCTGTGCCTCGACCACGTCTAGCAAATGTCGTTAGGACTTCCTGTGTCAGGGGCGCCTGTCCTCAACCTTGGCAAAATTTTTTGTTTTGTTTTGTTTTTTGAGACAGAGTCTCACTCTGTCGCCCAGGCTGGGGTGCAGTGGCCTGATCTCAGCTCACTGAAACCTCTGCCTCCCGGGTTCAAGCGATTCTCCTGTCTCAGCCTCCCAAGTAGCTGGGATTAGAGGCGCTCCCCACCATGCCAGGCTAATTTTTCTATTTTTAGTAGAGACGGGGTTTCACCATGTCGAGGATGCTAGTCTCCAACTCCTAACCTTATCAGGTGATCCGCACCCCTCGCCTCCCAAAGCGCTGGGATTACAGGCCTGAGCCACCTCGCTCTGCTGGCCAAATAAACTTTCTAAATGAACTGAGACCTATCTCACATTTTCAGGATTCACAGGCTCTTATCAATTTTGTTTCAGAGTCAAACCATGGACTGAATTCCTTCCCAAGGTTAGTTGGGCTTCCGCCCAGGAATAAACAAGGACAGCTTAAAGGTTAGAGGCAAGATGGAGTTGATTAGGTCTGATTTCTTTCACCATCACAATTTCCTCAGTTACAATTTTGCAAAGGTGGTTTCCAACGGACTCAGCCGCACGCGGCCCCTCTGTCCCTCCGGGGGACAGGCGAGTGTCCCTGGGGCCTGCAGGGCAGTCCTGCTGGCTGCAAAAGAGAGAATCACGCGACCCCTAGCCGGGCCTCCCAGGGCCTCCGCGCGTCAGTCCTCCTGGCCACCGCGTGGCGCTGTGCCTTACGTTGTTGGGCCGTTGGGTGGACCACGTGGTCTCCGACGCCTCAAGGCCTGCTCAGCGTGCGCGGGCATCCGGTGGGTGCGGGAGGCCCGAGGCCAGGCAGGCAGGGATCCCGCAGCGAGGGGCTGGTTACTGCCAGGACGGAGCGCATTGCCTCGAGCCGACCCCGGGGTCCGCGAGGGCTCCTGGGGACGAGGAGTGTGGGGCACCTGCCGCGGGGGGCCCAGGCGCTAAAGGTGGAGGGAAGGAACGCACTCGCGGCGGGGGCCTGGCCGGGGCGGACGCAGCCAGCCTCACCCGCGACGGTAGGGGACTTCCAGGGCGAGGGGGCCCATCTGCCCTCGGGCGCCAGGAGGATGCTCCAGCTCCTGGTGCTGAAGGTGAGCGCCGCCAAGCCAGACCCACGCCAGACCCACGCAGTCCCCCACCCCCACCCCAGCCGCGCACAGCCTCCCACCCCCACCCCAGCTCCGCACAGCTTCCTACACCCACCGCAGCCCCGCACAGCCTCCCACCCCCGACCCCAACCCTACACAGCCCCCACCCCTCCCCCCATCCCAGCCTCCACATCCCTCCACACCCACTCCTCCCAGCCCACGCATCCCCCCCATGTCCACTCCCTCTCAGCCCACACCTACTCCCCACGCCCACTCCTCCCCCAACCCACACATCCTCCCACACCCACTCCCACCCAGCTCCACCCCCACACTCACACATGCCCCCACCCCATCTCACTGCTGCACACTCCATCCCACTCCCACACATCCCAACCCCGTATATCCCATGCCGCCACACCACGCCCCCACTCCCACCCCACTCCCACCCCAACCCATCCCACTCCCAACCCCACACACCCCCAACTCCTACCCTAGCCCCAGCTCCCACCCGTTTCCTTATCGCTGCCCACCCCACAGTCACACCCTCGCCCCTGTCCCCACCCCATCCTTATTCCCACCGCCCCCACTCACACCTCCACCCCAACATTTCATCCCCCCACACTCAGCCCCACACACCCCACCACCACCCCATCTCCACTCCCACCTGCACCCCAGCCGCAGCCCACCCCACCTCCACTCCAACCCCACCCCGCCCTCCCCCACCTGAACCCTCCCTGCGCCCCCACCAGGGGGCACCCCGGGCTGGGAGCTGGGGTAGAACCCGGATGAGCCCGGGTTTCACGGGCCCTGGCGTGCTCCGGGATGCACCTGGAGGAGCGCGGAATTGGTTGCTCCTCCGAATGCTCGATCACCCGGGCCAAGCGACACTGGCGTCCCCAGGGCCCCGCTCTCCGTACTCCACGGGGCCCTTAGGCTCGGCGCCTGGACAGGGTCGGGTGGCCCGGGCAGCCCCAGCCCATGGGTCCGGGCTTCCCTCATGCCCCCAGTCTCTGTTGCCCTATCCGCTCACCGCGTGGGCTCTGCGTGGGCGTTGTTCTAGTCCTCGGGGAAGGGACGCCCGCCTGGACCCTTGCTTTTCCCCCTTGGAGTCCAGTGAGGGCTCATTGGTGAAGGGGAAAGCGTTGCTGGAGGAAGGAGTTGACAGGCCAGAGCAGAGGGGTGGGTATGGGTTATTGGAGAAAGGAAATCTAAATACTTTGAAAATCACACTTCAGTGGGCCCAGGAGCTGGACGTAGCAGATTGTGGGATTGTTTTATTTTATTTTATTATTTATTCATTTATTTTTTTGAGATGGAGTTTCGCTCTTGTTGTCTAGGCTGGAGTGCAGTGGTGTGACCTCAGCTCACTGCAACCTCCGCTTCCCGGGTTCAAGTGATTCTCCTGCCTCAGCCTCCCGAGTAGCTGGGATTACAGGTGCCTGCCACCACACCTGGCTAATTTTTGTATTTTTAGTAGAGACAGGGTTTCACCACGTGGCTGTTCTCGAACTCCTGACCTCAGGTGATCCACCTGCCTCCGCCTCCCAAAGTGCTGGGATTACAGGCGTGAGCCACCGTGCCTGGCCTATTTTATTTTATTTTATTTTATTTTATTTTATTTTATTTTATTTTGAGAAGGAGTCTTGCTCAGTCACCCAGGCTGGAGTGCAGTGGCGCGATCTCAGCTCGCTGCAAGCTCCGCCTCCCGGGTTCACGCCATTCTCCTGCCTCAGCCTCCCAAGTAGCTGGGACTACAGGCGGCCACCACCACGCCTGGCTAATTTTTTTTTTTTTTTGTATTTTTAGTAGAGACGGGGTTTCACCATGTTAGCCAGGATGGTCTCCATTTCCTGACCTCGTGATCCACCCGCCTCGGCTTCCCAAAGTGCTGGGATTACAGGCGTGAGCCACCACGCCCGGCCGGTGCGATTTTTAAAACCAGCACTCTCCTGCTCTTACTTGATGTCTTGTGTAATCTCTCTGAACAAAGATTCACAAATGTTTGAGGAAGCTGACTCTTACAGAGAATTTGCCCTCAGACTTTTAGGTGTTCAGATCCACCAGGCGAGCTCCTCTCCTCCAGTCAGATGTTGTCTGTCAGTCCTAACGATGCTAGTCCGATTTCTTCTTTAGAAGAGACAGGGCTCTTCCAGGGCTACACATCCTGAAACATGCACAACCATCCCGGCAGAACTTTGATAGCAGGAGCTGGACTTGCTGCCTCCTGTTCGCGAACCCCTTTCCTCTCAGTTGGGCCCAGGAACTCTTTCATTTACCTGCTCAACTCTGATCTGCCCCCACTTCTGGCCCTCAACCAGCTCACCCCCTGAGCAAATTCTGTCCTGAATAGGAGTGTCTCCCCAAGTGCTGTGTAGGTACCACCTGTCCTGCAGATGAAGTTAGCTTTTACAAGGATGAAATATTTTTCCCTCCATGTATCCATCAACAGATGACTGGGTAAACGGAAGGTGGTTTGTACATACACAATGGCATATTATTTAGCCTTAAATATCTGAGAAATCTTTGTCTGACTCACAGTCACAAAGATTTTTTTCCCCCATGTATCCTTTTATTATTTAAAAAAAATTTTTTTTTTTTTTTTTTGAGACGGCGTCTCGCTCTGTTGCCCAGGCTGGAGTGTGGTGGAGCAATCTCGGCTCACTGCAACCTCCGCCTCCCGAGTTCAAGCGATTCTCCTGCCTCAGCCTCCTGAGTAGCTGGGATTACAGGCGCGTGCCACCACAGCCGGCTAATTTTTATATTTTTGGTAGAGACGGGGTTTCAGCATCTTGTCCAGGCTGGTCTGCAACTCCTGACCTCAAGTGATCTGCCCTCCTCGGCCTCCCAAACTGCTGGGATTACAGGCAAGAACTGCTGCACCTGGCCCCCCCATGTAACCTTTTAGAAGTTTTATAATTTTATATTTTACATTTAGATATATGATCCGAGTTAATTTTTGTATATGGTGCAAGGAATGGATGAAGTTTCATTTCTTTGCACGTGATTATCTAACTGTTCCAACATCATTTGTTGAAATGACTATCCGTCCTCCTTTGTGTCTTATCAAAAATCAATTGACTATATGTGTGATTATATTCCTGTTATATTGATTTATGCACAATACCACACTGTCTTATTACTGTAGCTTTATAGGTAACTATTTTGTTTTTTTTTTGAGACGGAGTCTTGCTCTGTCCCCCAGGCTGGAGTGCAGTGGTGTGATCTCGGCACAGTGCAAGCTCTGCCTCCCGGGTTCATGCCATTCTCCTGCCTCAGCCTCCCAAGTAGCTGGGACTACAGGTGCCCGCCACCATGCCCGGCTAATTTTTTTATTTTTAGTAGAGACAGGGTTTCACTGTGTTAGCCAGGATGGTCTCGATCTCCTGACCTCGTGGTCCACCCATCTCGGCCTCCCAAAGTGCTGGGATTACAAGCATGAGCCACCGTGCCTGGCCCTTTATAGATAACTCTTGAAGTCAGGTGATATGAGTCTTCCAACTATATTCTTTTTCAGAATTGTTCTAGTTCCTTAGCTTTTGTAATATGCATTTTGTAATTGCTTGCTGAGTCTACCAAAAAAAAAAAAAAAACCATGCTGGAATGGAGTTGTATTTATAGATGGGTTCAGAGAAATATATATTAATACAGTATATCTATACTTATTTAGATCTTTCATTTCTTTCCGTCAGTGTTTTATAACTTTCAGCATAGGAATTTTGCACATATTTTTAAGATTTAGACCTTTAAGTAATTACTGGGTTTTGTTTTGTTTTTCAGTAAAAGACACAGGGTCTTGCTTTGTTGGCCAGGCTGGAGCGCAGTGCTGTAATCACAACTTACTGCAACCTCAAACTCCTGGGCTCAAGGGAGCCTCCTGCCCCAGCCTCCTGAGTAGCTGGGCCTAAAGGCATTTGCCCCCACTCCTGGTTAATTAAAAAAAATTTTTTTAGAGACAGGGTCTCACTGTGTTGCCCAGGCTGGTTTCTCAAACTCCTGGGCTCAAGCAATCGTCCCACCTCAGCCTCCCAAAGTAATGGGATTATGGGAATGAGCCACCACTCCCAGCCTTTTTGTAATTTTAAATTTCCAATTTCCATTTCTGGAATATAGTAATACGATTGAATTATTATTTTTTAATTTAATTTTAAGTTCCAGGATACAAGTGCAGGACCTGCAGGTTTGTTACATAGATAGACATGTGCCATGTTGGTTTGCTGCAACTATTAACCCATCATCTAGTTATTAAGCCCCGCATGTATTAGTTTTTTTATCCTGATACTCTCCCTCCCCTCTGTCCCATAGGCCCCAGTGTGTGGTTCCCCTCCCTGTGTCCATGTGTTCTCATTGTTCAGCTCCTGTTTATAAGTGAGAACATACGGTGTTTGGTTTTCTGTTCCAGTGTTAGTTTGCTGAGGATAATGGCTTCCAGCTTCATCCATGTCCCTGCAAAGGATATTATCTTGTTACTTTTTATGGTTACCTAGTATTCCATGGTGTATATGTACCAAATTTTCTTTATCCAGTCTATCACTGATGGGCATTTGGGTTGATTCCATGTCTTTGCTATTGTGACTAGTGCTACAGTGAACATACGCATGTATGTCTTTATAACAGAATGATTGATATTCCTTTTGGTATATACCCAGTAATGGGATTGCTGGGTTTTTCTGGTTCTAGATCTTTGAGGAATCACCACACTGTCTTCCACAATGGTTGAATTAATTTATACTCCCACCAACAGTATAAAAGCATTCCCATTTCTCCACAGCCTTGCCAGCCATCTGTTGTTTCTTGACTTTTTAATAATTGCCATTCTGACTGGCATGAGATGGTATCTCATTGTGGTTTTGATTTGCATTTCTCTAATGATCAGTGATGTTGAGCTTTTTTTCATATGTTTGTTGGCTGCATAAATGTCTTCTTTTGAGAAGTGTCTGTTCATGCGCTTTGCCTACTTTTTGATGGGGTTTTTTTCTTGTAAATTTGTTTCAGTTCCTTACAGATTCTGGATATTAGATCTTTGTCAGATGGAAAGATTGCAAAAATTTTCTCCCATTCTGTAGGTTTTCTGTTAACTCTGATGATAGTTTCTTCTGCTGTGCAGAAGCTCTTTAGTTTAATTCAATCCCATTTGTCAATTTTTACTTTTGTTGCAATTGCTTTTGATGTTTTTGTCATGAAATCGTTGCCGTTGCCTATGTGTTGAATGGTATTGCCTAGATTTTTTTCTAGGGTTTTTTTTTTATAGTTTTAGGTTTTACATTTAAGTCTTTAATCTATATTGAGTTAATTTTTGTATAAGGTGTAAGGAAAGGGTCCAGTTTCAGTTTTCTGCATACGGCTAGCCAGTTTTCCCAGCACCATTTATTAAATAGGGCATCCTTTCCCCATTGCCTGTTTTTGTCAGGTTTGTCAAAAATCAGATGGTTGTAGATGTGTGGTCTTATTTCTGAGATCTCTATTCTGTTACATTGGTCTATGTGTCTGTTTTTGTACCAGTACCATGCTGTTTTGGTTACTGTAGCCTTGTAGTATAGTTTGAAGTTGGGTAGCATGATGCCTCCAGCTTTATTCTTTTTGCTTAGGAGTGTCGTGGCTATATGGACTCTTTTTTGGTTCCCTATCAATTTTAAAGTAGTTTTTTCTATTTCTGTGAAGAATGTCAATGGTAGTTTAATGGAAATAGCATTGAATCTATAAATTACTTTGGACAGTACGGCCATTTTCACGATGCTCTTCCTATCCGCGAGCATGGAATGTTTTTCCATTTGTTTGTGTCCTCTTTTATTTCCTTTGTTAGTTGTATTCCTAGGTATTCTCTTTGTAGCAACAATTGAATTATTTCAATAATCTTGTGCCTTGTAGCCTTGTAAAGTCAATTATTAGTTCTGGCATATATTATATATTTTTTATTGTAAAAAACATGTAACGAAGTTTGCCATCTCAACCATTTTTAAGTGTACAGTTCATGGTATTAAATACATTCATAATTTTTTTTTTTTTTTGAGACGGAGTCTTGCTCTGTCGCCCAGGCCGGAATGCAGTGGTGCGATCTCAGCTCACTGCAAGCTCTGCCTCCTGGGTTCACGCCATTCTCCTGCCTCAGCCTCCCAAGTAGCTGGGACTACAGGCTCCCACCACCACGCCTGGCTAATTTTTTGTATTTTTAGTAGAGACTGGGTTTCACTGTGTTAGCCACGATGGTCTTGATCTCCTGACCTTGGATCCACCCGCCTCAGCCTCCCAAAGTGCTGGGATTACAGGCGTGAACCACCACACCCAGTCAAATACATTCATAATGTTGTGCAACCATCACCAATGTCCCTCTCCAGAAGTCTTTTTCCTTTTGCAAAACTGAAACTCTGCTTTCTCTATGAATTTGACTACTCTGAGTGCCTCATATAAGTGGAATCATACAGTTTATCCTTTTGTGACTGGCTTATTTCACTCAGTATAATGTCCTCAGGGTTCATTATGTTGTACCATGTGTCAGAATTTCCTTTCTTTTGAAGCCCAGTGCAGTGATGTGAACGTGAGGACCCAACTACTTGGGAGGCTGAGGTGGGAGGATTGCTTGAGGTGAGGATTGCTTGAGGTGAGGATTGCTTGAGGTGAGGTGGGCAATATAGCAAGACCCTGTCTCTTAAAAAAACAAATATATGTCTTTTTTTAAAAAAAGAATTTCCTTCCTTGTTCAGACTGAATAATAGTCCATTCTGTACCACATTTTGCTTATCCATTTATCTGTTGAGGGACACTGGGTTGCTTCCACATTTTAGCTATTGTGAATAATGCTGCTATGAACACAGGTGTGTACGTATCTCTTCAAGATCTTTCAATTCTCGTGGATCTACACCCAATAGTGGAATTGCTGCATTATATGGTAATTATAGTTTTAATTTTTTGAGGAGCCACCCTACCATTTTCCACAGCAGCTATGCCGTTTTACATTCATACCAACAGTGCACAATGATTCCAGTGTCTCCACAGCCTTGCCAACACATTATTTTCTGTTTTAACACACCTTCCAGCACACTGAATTTTCAGGTTTTTTTTGACAGTAGTTATCCTCATGAGTGTCAGGTAGTATCTCACTATGGTTATGATTTATATTTCTCTAATGATTAGTATGTTGAGCGCCTTTTCATGTACTTATTGGCCATTTGTATATCTTCTTTGGAGAAATGTCTATTCAAATCCTTTGCCCATTTTTTAATTGGTGGTTTGGGTTTTTGTATTGTTTTAGGAGTTCTCTGTATATTCTGGGTATTAATCCCTTATGAGATATAAGCCTTGCAAATATTTTCCCCCATTCCATAAGTTGACTTTCTACTGTGGTGATAGTGACTTTTGATGCACACAGTTTTTAAATTTCAATGAAGCCCAGTTTGTCTATTTTTTCTTTTGTTGCCTGTGGCT
The DNA here is from genome assembly GCF_000001405.40 of Homo sapiens. NCBI lineage: Eukaryota > Metazoa > Chordata > Mammalia > Primates > Hominidae > Homo > Homo sapiens. Next base: position 32,727,513 of record NC_000019.10, read on the forward strand.
TTGGTGTCATATCCAAGAAATTTTTGTCAAATCCAACGTCACAAAGCATTTGCTCTGTGTTTTCTTTTGTAGTTTTAGGCCTTCCATTTAGGTCTTTGATCCATTTTGAGTATGGTGTCACATAAAGGTCCAAATTTATTCTTTCATTTTTATTTTTATTTTTATTTTCTTTTTGAGACAGAGTCTCACTCTGTTACCCAGGCCGGAGTGCAGTGGTGCAATTTCGGCTCACTGCAACCTCCACCTCCCAGGTTCAAGTGATTCTCTTGGCGTAGCCTCCTGAGTAGCTGGGATTACGGGCATGTACCACCACACCCGGCTAATTTTGTATTTTTAGTAGAGACGGGATTTCACCATGTTGGCCAGGCTTGTGTCGAACTCCTGACCTCAGGTGATCTGCCTGCTTTGGCCTTCCGAAGTGCTGGGATTACAGGTGTGAGCCATTTTGTCTGGCCTCCAAGTTCATTCTTTTGCATGTGAATATCCAGTTTTCCCAGTGCTCATTTGTTACAAAACCTTTCCCTGAATGGTTTTGGTACCCTTGTCAAAAATCATTTGACTAGACCACAAGGGTTTATTCTGGACTCTCTATTCTACTCTGTTGGTCTATATGTCTGTCTTTATTTCAGTACCATACTGTTTTGATTACTGTAGCTTTGTAGTAAAGTTTTGTGATCAAGTGTGAGTCCTCCAGCTTTGTTCTTTTTTGATATTGTTTTGGCTATTTTGGGTCCCTTGGGATTTCATGTGAATTTTAGAATGTGCTTTTCTATTTCTGAAAAAATATCATTGTGGATTTTGGTAGGGATTGAATTGAATGTGTAGATTGCTTTGAGTAGGATTGACATCTTAATGATATTAAATCTTCCAGTCAATGAATGTGGGATGTCTTTCCATTTATTTATGTCTTCTTTAATTTCTTTCAGCAGCGTTTTATAATTTTCATTGTAGTTCTAATTTTTTAATAGACTCCTTAAGGTTCTCTGTGTAGACAATTGTGTTCTTTATGAATAAAGACAATTTTATTTATTCCTTTCTAATCTTCCTGACAGTCTTTTTCCTGTCTTACTGTACTAACTGGGACCTTTAGTACAATGTTAGCGAGTATACCCCTTGTGAAATTTTTCTTTTCCTTTTTTTTTTTTTTTTTGTGACAGAGTCTCACTCTTGTTGCCCAAGCTGGAGTGCAGTGGCGCGATCTTGGTTCACTGCAAGCTCCGCCTCCTGGGTTCACTCCATTCTTCTGCCTCAGCCCCCTGAGTAGCTGGGACTACAGGTGCCCACCACCACACCTGGCTATTTTTTTTTTTTTTTTTTGTACAGATGGGGTTTCACCATGTTAGCCAGGATGGTTTCGATCTCCTAACCTTGTGATCCGCCCGTCTCGGCCTCCCAAAGTGCTGGGATTACAGGCATAAGCCACCGTGCCTGGCCTAAATTTTTATTTTTCATTTATGAAATTTACGTTTTCCACAGCTTGTGTGTGTGTATCTATATCTATACATGTATAAATAGATACATATCTATATACATATAGAGTTTCCATTTCTTAAGTGAGATTCTTTTGTTTTCAACTCACTCTAACCATCTCATCTTTAAGTTCTGTATTTATAATAGCTGTTTTTAAGTCCTCGCCTGTTAATTCCAATATCTGGGTATCTTGGGTTCACTTTCTGGTGACTGCTTTTTCTTTTTCTTTTTTTTTTTTGTTTTTTTTTTTTGTGAGATGGAGTCTTGCTCTGTCGCCCAGGCTGGAGTGCAGTGGCGCAATCTCGGCTCACTGCAAGCTCCACCACCCGGTTTCACACCATTCTCCTGCCTCAGCCTCCCGAGTAGCTGGGACTACGGGTATCTGCCACCACGCCCAGCTAATTTTTTGTATTTTTAGTAGAGACGGAGTTTCATCGTGTTAGCTAGGATGGTCTCGATCTCCTGACCTCGTGATCCGCCCGTCTCGGCCTCCCAAAGTGCTGGGATTACAGGCATGAGCCACCGTGCCTGGCCTAAATTTTTATTTTTCATTTATGAAATTTACGTTTTCCACAGCTTGTGTGTGTGTATCTATATCTATACATGTATAAATAGATACATATCTATATACATATAGAGTTTCCATTTCTTAAGTGAGATTCTTTTGTTTTCAACTCACTCTAACCATCTCATCTTTAAGTTCTGTATTTATAATAGCTGTTTTTAAGTCCTCGCCTGTTAATTCCAATATCTGGGTATCTTGGGTTCACTTTCTGGTGACTACTTTTTCTTTTTCTTTTTTTTTTTTTTTTTTTTTTTTTTTTGTGAGATGGAGTCTTGCTCTGTCGCCCAGGCTGGAGTGCAGTGGCGCAATCTCGGCTCACTGCAAGCTCCACCACCCGGTTTCACACCATTCTCCTGCCTCAGCCTCCCGAGTAGCTGGGACTACAGGTATCTGCCACCACGCCCAGCTAATTTTTTGTATTTTTAGTAGAGACGGAGTTTCATCGTGTTAGCTAGGATGGTCTCGATCTCCTGACCTCGTGATCCGCCCACCTCGGCCTCCCAAAGTGCTGGGATTACAGGTGTGAGCCACAGCACCCGGCTAAAACTGCGTATTTCTTTCAGCCTTCCCACCATTGGTCTTCTCTGGACTCCTTGGGGTCTCATTTCTGCCAAGAATGTGACAGGTGTTCTTATGCAGACTTTAGGGCTCCCCCTCTGTGGCTCTCCGTTTAGGAATTTTACCCTTTAATTCTCAAGCTGCTATGGCAGCCCCAAACTCTGTTCTCTGATTCCTCAAGCCACAAACATGACTTTCTCCTTGAATTGCAGCTGGTTAACACCACGTGGACTGGGGAATGGGCTCAGGGGAAAAGCCGTGTAAAAGTGGATCTCACCCAGGGAAGTTTCCTTCTTTCAAGGGTTGAATCTCCTTCAGGTTCTGCTTGCTTTTGGTAGCTCTTCACTGCCTTCAAATAGTCATTTTTGTATTTTTTCCAGGGTTTATTATTGTTACCCACAGGTGATATAGAAACTATTCTATTGTCACTGGAACCAGAATAACTACTGTTCTTTTTTCTGATCATTTGTTATAAAAATGTTCAAACCTTCAGAAAAGTAGAAATAATACTAGTGGGAATACCTGTATTCTTGCCACCTTGGGCAAAGATGTCATTTTTGCCCAAATCTTGAGATGTCATTTTTTCTAGGCAGAGTTAGGTAATACTTTTGAAAAATCATGAGTTCTTGGCTGGGCGCGGTGGCTCACGCCTGTAATCCCAGCACTTTGGGAGGCTGAGATGGGCGAATCACCTGAAGTCAGGAGTTCAAGACCAGCCTGGCCAACATGATGAAATCCTGTCTCTACTAAAAATACAAAATTAACTGAGCATTGTGGCGCACGCTTGTAATCCCGGCTACTCAGGAGACTTAGGCAGGAGAATTGCTTGAACCCAGGAGGTGGAGGTTGCAGTGAGCTGAGATTGCGCCACTGCACTCCAACCTGGGTGACACAGCGAGACCTTTTGGTATTTTCAATCCAAATTTAACTTTTCACTTTATATTTGTGTCTTTAACAATGAAAATCTTGGCTTCTAATAACAATAGTACATAACAAAATACATTCCAGGAAGTCTGACTTTCTTCCGTGTCCCTTCTCCATTTCTCTCCTCCCCTTAGACCATGATTTGCATTTACTTTGGTTTATCTGCCATTATTATTTTTTTTATTATGAGCAGAATGTACTTATATTCACATTGCTTTCTCTTTCTTACAAAAGAAGAATACAAATCAGGCACAGTGGCTTATGTCTGTAATCCTAGCACTTAGGGAGGCCGAAGTGGGAAAATTGCTCGAGCCCCGGAGTTTGAGACTAGCCTGGGCAAAATAGCGAGACACCATCTCTATTTTTTTTTTAATTAAAAAAATTTTTTTTAACAAACAAAAGTACTAAAAACATTGCTCTGAACCTTGTGTTTGTATATTACTATGGATTTTTCAGAATATGGGAGATTGAGGACATCCGTTCGTTATTTGAGTCACAACACATAATTGAGAATTACATACTGTTGGTTATGTGTTTTAGAATTTTATCTTCGGTCTAACCATTTAAGCAAAGGCATTTGTCAAGAATTTGTTAGGTCACTTAAATTAGAAACAGTAATCGTGGCTCTAAAGTTTATTTTGTGGTACTACTTTTAAATCATACGCTGTTCTGTTTGTCTTTTAAAAAATTTACAGATTGAAGATCCAGGTTGCTTCTGGGTTATTATAAAAGGGTGTAGTCCCTTTTTAGATCATGATGTCGATTATCAAAAATTAAATAGTGCCATGAATGACTTCTACAACAGCACGTGTCAAGATATAGAAATAAAACCCTTAACATTGGAAGAAGGACAGGTATGTATCTAAATGTTCTTTAATCACTGTGTATTGAAACACCACTCAAAATATAAACTATTTTGGCAACGATGATGATTCAAGCTTTTAGAGTATTTTAGTTTCTTACACTCAGTGCCTTGTGTTAGGTTTTTTTTTGAGATGGAGTCTCGCTCTGTCACATAGGCTGGAGTACAGTGGCACCATCTGGGCTCACCGCAACCTCCGTGTCTCGGGTTCAAGCACTTCTTCTGTCTCAGCCTCCTGAGTAGCTGGAATTACAGGCATGGGCCACCACACTCAGCTAATTTTTGTATTTTTAGTAGAGACGGGGGTTTCACCGTGTTGGCCAGGCTGGTCTCGAACTCCAGACCTCAGGTGATCCACCCGCCTCAGATTCCCAAAGTGCTGGGATTACAGGTGTGAGCCACTGTGCCCAGCCAGTGTAAGGTTCTTTAGGTTGCACAAGATTCAGGCTAGTCATGGAAGGGGGTGGCCGCCATGTAAGGTCCATGTGGGGCAAAAGTAGACAGAATGTCATCTACACCCAGGCATTAGGGCCATCCCTCTGGGGCTGGGAACCAGGGGGTTATTTGAGATCCCACAGAGGTGTAGGGATCTCAGCAAAGAGGGAATAGGGTCTTCAGTGTAGGGCCAACGCCTCCCTTTTGGTTGCATGACTTTGGCCAACTCAGATGTCTTTGTTCTCCTTACTCCACGCCGTGGCCCCTCCTTGCCTTCTTGCAGACTCAGCTCTCACTGCCCCTTGTCATGGTTGCCACAGCTCAGCTACTTTTCAGAAGAGAGTGAATTTTTGTAATGGTATAATAGGAAAAGGTTTATAAACTCTTTATGAGAAAAAGCAGAAATAATTTGAATCCACTTCCCCCAAATCATCATTAATAACATAATTTATTTTAGTATATGTGCTGCCGAAGCAAGCACAATAACATAATTTGTTTCCACGCCATTGACTAATTGAAGAAGTTAAACCAGGTCAATTGTTTTTAAAAATATTCCACATTTTGGGTTGGGCATGCTGGCTCTTGCCTGTAATCCCAGCACTTTGGGAGGCCAAGGAAAGAAGATTGCTTGAGCCTAGGAGTTTTGTGAACAGCCTGGGCAACATAGTAAGACCCTGTCTCTACAAAAGATAAAAAGATTAGTGGGCATGGTAGCACGTGCCTGTGGCCCCAGCTACTCTGGAGGCTAAGGCAGAAGATCACTTGAGCCTGGGAGGTAATAGCTGCAGTAAGCTGTGTTTGCGCCACTGCACTCTAGCCTGGGCGAGACAGCGAGACTGTCTCTTAAAAAAAATATGCGTAGCCGGGCGTGGTGGCCCACGCCTGTAATCCCAGCACTTTGGGAGTCTGAGGCAGGTGGATCACCTGAGGTCAGGAGTTCGAGACCAGCCTGGCCAACATAGTGAAACCCCATCTCTACTAAAAATACAAAAAATTAGCTGGGCGTGGTGGCAGGCACCTGTAATCCCAGCTACTAGAGAGGCTGAGGCAAGAGAATCACTTGAACCTGGGAGGCGGAGGCTTCAGTGAGCCGAGATCACGCCATTGCACTCCAGCCTAGGCAACAAGAGTGAAACTCTGTCTCAAAAAAAAAAAAAATGTATATGTGTGTGTGTATGTGTATAGTTAAATATAAAGCTTTGGGTAGATTTAAGGTTGCTTCTGTTTTTCAAGAATAGGTGTACTGTGAACTTCATGTGAACTTCATGTTGAATTGAGAGATGATGTTTTCAGTGATGCTGAGATTGACCAGAGGGGACATCCTGACCCTCCTTGTGGCCTTACCTGTCAGCATTCATGTGATGGCTTCTCCATTCAGTGACCACTGCTGCCTGAATCAGCTCTTTTATTCAGGCACTCGATGTGGGGTTTTCTCTCATTCCTTCTGCATTCATCAGCTGGAATTCTTCTGTTATAGAACTTTCCCTGATCTCTTAAGACTGTTTGATTACCCTGAAATAACACTGTTCCTTTTTTAAATTTTTTTAATTTATTTTTTTAATTAATTAATTTTTTTTTTTTTTGAGACAGAGTCTTGTTCTGTTGCCCAGGCTAGAGTACAGTGGCGCCATCTCTGCTCACTGGAAGCCCCACCTCCCGGGTTCACGCCGTTCTCCCGCCTTAGCCTCCCGAGTAGCTGGGACTACAGGCACCTGCCACCATGCCCGGCTAATTTCGTTTTTGTATTTTTAGTAGAGATGGGATTTCACCCTGGTAGCCAGGATGGTCTTGATCTCCTGACTTCATGATCCACCCGTCTCAGCCTCCCAAAGTGCTGGGATTACAGGCGTGAGCCACCGCGCCTGGCCTTTTTAAAAATTTTTTAAATCAGAAGGCCTATGAATGCAAATAATACAGTTCATACTGCAAAGAAAGAGAAATTGTGTGGATCAGTTTTCAACTTAGTGCTTTGTGCCTAGTTATCACATTTTTGGTGTCGAGAGGGTGGTTTTGTTTTTCTCTCCTCCTCCTCCTTTTCTTTTCTTTTCTTTTTTTTTTTTGAAGATGGGGGTCTCACTCTGTCACCCAGGCTGGAGTGCAGTGACTCTATCTCGGCTCACTGCAACCTCCGCCTTTTGGTATCGAGCAATCCTCCCACCTCAGCCTCCCAAGTGGCTAGGACTAAAGGCATGCACCACCACACCTGGCTAATTTTTTTGTATTTTTTGTGGTGACAGGGTTTCGCCATGTTGCCCAGGCTGGTCACGAACTCCTGGGCTCAAGAGATCTGCCCGCCTTGGCCTCCCAAAACGCTGGGATTACAGGCATGAATCACTGCGCCTGGCCCTTTACACTTTTAAGTACAAACAGACCTCATTTTATTGTGAATTCGCAGTAACTATGTTTTTTTACAAATTGAAGGTTTATGGCAACCCTTCATGGAGCAAGACTATAGGCACCATTTTTCCCACAGCAGGTCCTCACTTCATGTCTCTGTGTCACATCTTGGTAATTCTCCCAGTGTTTCGAACTTTTTTGTTATTATTCTATCTGTTATAGTGATCTGTGGCCAGTGATCTTTGAGGTTAGTATTTTAATTGTTTTGGGGTGCCACGAATTGCACCCATGTAAGATAGTGAATTTTATCAATAAATGTGTGTTCTGACTGCTCCACCATCTCTCTCCCTCTCCCCAGGCCTTCCTGTTCACTGACACACAATTGAAATTAGGCCAATTAATAACCCTACAATGGCCCCTAAGTGTTCAAGTGAAAGGATGAATCACATTAAATTAAAAGCTAGAAATGATTGAACTTAGAGGAAGACATTTTGAAAGCTGAGATAGGCTGAAAGCTAGGCCTCTTGCACCAAACAGTTAGCAAAGTTGTGAATGCAAAGGAAAAGTTCTTGAAGGAAATTAAAAGTGCCACTCTGGAGAACACACAAATGAAAAAAAAAATGAAAAAAGAAGCAGCCTTATTGGTAATATGGAGAAAGTTTTATTGGTCAGGATAGAGGCTTAGAACCAGTTACTACATTCCCTTCAGCCAAAGCCTGATCCAGAGCAAGGCCCTAACTCTCTTCAATTGTATAAAGGCTGAGCAAGGTTAGGAAGCTGCAGGGAAAAAATGTGAAGCTAGCGGAGGTTGGTTCATGAGGTTTAAGAAAAGAGGCCATCTCCACAACATAAAGTGCAAGGTGAAGCACAAGGGCTGATGGAGAGGCTGCAGCAGTTTCTCCAGATGTAGCTATGATCATTGTTGAAAGTGGACACACTAAATAAGAGGTTTTCAATGTATACAAGACAGCCTTCTATTGGAGAAGATGTCTTCTAGGACTTCCAGAGCTAAATAGGAGAAGTCAGCCAGGTGTGGTGGCTCACACCTGTAATCCCAGCACTCTGGGAGGCTGAGGTGGGTGGATCACCTAAGGTCAGGAGTTCGAGACCAGCCTGGCCAACATGGTGAAACCCTGTCTCTACTAAAAATACAAAAATTAGCCAGGTGTGGTGGCGGACACCTGTAATCCCAGCTACTGGGGAGGCTGAGGCAGGAGAATTGCTTGAACCCGGGAGGTGGAGGCTGCAGTGAGCTGAGATGGCACCACTGCACTCCAGCCTGGGTGACAGAGAGAGACTCCATCTTAAAAAATAAATAGGAGAAGTCGGTGTCTTTAAAGGACTAAAGCTTTAAAGGTCAGAGTGGCTTTCTTTTTAGGGGCTAATGCAGCTGGTGACTTTTAAGTTGAAGCCAGTACTCATTTACCATTCCAAAAGTCCTGTGACCCTTAAAGATTATGCTAGCTCTACTCTATCTGCTCTACGAATGGAACAAGAAAGCCTGAATGACAGCACATCTGTTCACGCATGGCTTACTGAATATTTTAAGCTTACTGTTGAGATCTATGCTCAGAAAAAAAGATTCCTTTCAAAATATTACTGCTGAGCTGGGTATGGTGGCACGTGTCCACAGTCCCAGCTACTTGGGAGGCTGAAGCAGGAAGATCACTTGGGCCCAGGAGTTTGAGTCCAGCCTAGGCAATGTAGTGATGAGACCCTGTCTCTAAAACAAAAAACAACAAACAATTAGTGCTCATTGACAGTGCACCTGGTCACTGAAGAGCTCTCATGGAGATATATGAGATGAATGTGGCTTTCATGCCTCATTTTGAAGGTTGGCTGGCTGTGTGAATTATTAACTATTCATGGTATTTCTACAAGATGCTTTGACTTCAGCATTAAATAGAAATACCCTTCATCCTTTGTCAGGATTTCTGTTGAATTATTCGAGTTTTGAGTTATGTGAGGTTCTCTAGAACCTGTGCCTTGCAGTATGGCTGTACTGTATTTTCCAACTTATTCCCAAGGACAGCAATCTCTATCAGTCCCCTTCCTTTCTGTCTGAGCGCAGCTCTCCTGCTGGACTGCTTTATAAACCTGTGGTTAGCATACGGTTTATTAGTTGAGTTGGCTGTGGCCTGGCAGTCCTGTGGTACAGTCAGGATGCCAAGGGTTGTCACCTCTGCAGGGTGGTTCTCCTTAAAAGGGGCTGCAGGCATTTACAGATGCTTCTTAACTTACGATGAGGTTATGTCCTGATAATTGTAGGTAAAAAATGGGCTTAGTACACCTAACCTGCTGACCAGCCTAGCTTACCCTAGCCTACTTAAATTTGCTCAGGACACTTAACATTAGCTTATGGTTGGGCAAGATCACCTAATACAAAGCCTATTTTGTAGTAAAGTTTAAATATTTATGTATTTTATTGAATACTGCACATTATGTAAAAATTGCAATAGTTTCACACCATCATAATGTTGAAAATTGTAAGTTAAACCATCATAAGTCAGGGACTGTGCACTTATTCAGCCATCAAACAGGCAGTTTATTGATTGATTGAGACAAACTCTCATTCTGTCGCCCAGGCTGGAGTGTAGTGGCGCGATCTTTGGCTCACTGCAACCTCTGCCTCCCTGGCTCAAGTGATCCTCCTGCCTCAGCCTCCTGAGTAGCTGGGACTACAGGCACATGCCACCATCCCTGGCTGATTTTTGTGTTTTTAGTAGAGACGGGGTTTTTCCATGTTGGTCAGGCTGCTCTTGAACTCCTGAGCTCAGGTGATCCACTCACCTCGACCTCCCAAAGTGCTGGGACCACAGGCGTGAACCACCATGCCTGGCCCAGGTAGTTTATTTTTAAAACATTTTATTACTGTTATTTTTTTGAGACAGGGTCTCACTGTGTCACCCAGGCTGGAGTGCAGTGGTGCAATCATAGCCCACTGCAGCCTCCAATTCCTGGGTTCAAGCGATCCTCCCACCTCAGCCTCCTAAGTAGGTGAGACTACAGGCACGTACCACCATGCCTGGTTCAAGTAGTTTTTGAAGACTTAGTATATGCCAGGCACTGCTAGGTGCTGGGAATTTGGCAGTAAACAAAACAGACAAAAATCCATGTCATCAAGGAGCCAGCGTCCAGTTATGACAGATAGTAAACAAATGTCAGAGGCCAATAAGAGTCATGGGGAGGCTGGGTGCGGTGGCTCACGCCTGTAATCCCAGCAGTTTGGGAGGCCGAGGCGGGTGGATCACCTGAGGTCAGGAGTTCGAGGCCATCCTGACCAATATGATGAAATCCTGTCTCTACTAAAAAAATTTCTTAAAATTATCTGGGCCTGGTGGCATGCGCCTGTAATCCCAGCTACTTGGGAGGCTGAGACAGGAGAATCGCTTGAGCCCGGGAGGTGGAGGTTGCAGTGAGCCAAGGTCGCACCATCGCACTCCAGCCTGGGCAACAAGAGCAAAACTCCGTCTCAAAAAAAATAAAGAGTCATGGGTAAGGGAGTGGAAGGATGAGCCTGGTGGCAGCTTCCTGTTGGTCAGACACATGATTGACAATCATTCCTAAGCATTATTTCCTGATTTAAGAAGGTAAATGAATGCATTTTTCTTATTTTACTTTCTAAAAATTGTCCTCAGTTAAGGAGTGGAAACAATTGTAGTAAGAAAAACAGTGACCTAGTACTCAGACGGCCTGTGTTCCTGAGGTTTTCTTATGGGCAGAGTGGCTCAGCTTGGGTAGGCCCGGCCTCCTGGCATCTCTTTCCTCTGCTGTAAAGGAGAATGTTGACTGGGATGGTTTTGAGAGTACCTTTTACCTCTCTTGTTCTTTGATGAAATGTTAACACTGACCTTAAAAAACCTTTCTGTTGGCCAGGCGTGATGGCTCACGCCTGTAATCCCAGCACTTTGGGAGGCTGAGGCGGGCGGATCATGAGGTAAGGAGTTTGAGACCAGCTTATCCAACATGGTGAAACCCCATCTCTACTAAAATACAAAAATTAGCCAGGCATGGCGGCAGGCACCTGTAATCCCAGCTACTTGGGAGGCTGAGGCAGGAGAATTGCTTGAACCTGGGAGGTGGAGATTGCAGTGAGCTGAGATTGTGCCACTGCACTCCAGCCTGGGCAATGGAGTAACACTCTGTCTCAAAAAAATAAATAAATAAAAATAACTCTCTGTTTATTTTGCAGGTGTGTGTGGTCTATTGTGAGGAGCTAAAGTGCTGGTGCAGGGCCATTGTCAAATCAATTACGTCTTCCGCAGACCAGTACCTGGCAGAATGTTTCCTTGTGGACTTTGCCAAGAACATTCCAGTCAAATCTAAAAAGTATGTACATGTTTATCTCACCTTACGCTCTTTTCAGAGACAAATGTCAGTTTCAAAGGAGAACGTCCATTTTAAAGTACGGGGCTAGAGGTCACTACACTGAGAAAAGACAAAACTGGAGTTCTTTAGCTTCCAGAAGGGGTGCTTTCTGGGTTTCAGGTCTGCACCCACTGACTGGCAGAGTGGGTGGGCAGGATGAAGGCTGAGGTGGCTCTGGCCCTCTCCCACTGTCCGTCCTGGCAGGACAGGCAGGTTCAGATGGTGTTCTTTGCATCTCCTGGCTGCTCTCTGCATCTCCTGGCTACTCTCTGCATCTCATGGCTACTCTCTGCATCTCCTGGCTACTCTGCATCTCCTGGGTTCTCTATCACCTGGCTGCTCTCTGCATCTCCTGGCTGCTCTCTGCATCTCCTGGGGTTCTCTCTCTATCACCTGGCTACTTTCTGCATCTCCTGGCTGCTCTCTGCATCTCCTGGGGTTCTTCCTGCATCTCCTGGGGCTCTTTCTGCATCTCCTGGCTGCTCTCTGCATCTCCTGGGGCTCTCTTTGCATCTCCTGGGGCTCTCTTTGCATCTCCTGGCTGCTGTCTGCATCTCCTGGCTGCTGTCTGCATCTCCTGGGTGCTGTCTGCATCTCCTGGGTGCTCTCTGCATCTCCTGGTGCTCTCTCTGCATCTCCTGCTGCTCTCTGCATCTCCTGGGTACTCTCTGCATCTCCTGGGTACTCTCTGCATCTCCTGGGTGCTGTCTGCATCTCCTGGGTGCTCTCTGCATCTCCTGGTGCTCTCTCTGCATCTCCTGGGTGCTCTCTGCATCTCCTGGGTGCTCTCTGCATCTCCTGGGCACTCTCTGCATCTCCTGGTGTGCTCTCTGCATCTCCTGGTGCGCTGTCTGCATCTCCTGGGTGCTGTCTGCATCTCCTGGGTACTCTCTGCATCTCCTGGGTGCTCTCTGCATCTCCTAGGTACTCTATGCATCTCCTGGGTGCTGTCTGCATCTCCTGGGTGCTCTCTGCATCTCCTGGGTACTCTCTGCATCTCCTGGGCACTCTCTGCATCTCCTGGTGCTCTCTCTGCATCTCCTGGGTGCTCTCTGCATCTCCTGGGCACTCTCTGCATCTCCTGGGTACTCTCTGCATCTCCTGGGTGCTCTCTGCATCTCCTGGGTACTCTCTGCATCTCCTGGGTGCTGTCTGCATCTCCTGGGTGCTCTCTGCATCTCCTGGGTACTCTCTGCATCTCCTGGGCACTCTCTGCATCTCCTGGTGCTCTCTCTGCATCTCCTGGGCGCTCTCTGCATCTCCTGGGCACTCTCTGCATCTCCTGGGTACTCTCTGCATCTCCTGGGTGCTCTCTGCATCTCCTGGGTGCTGTCTGCATCTCCTGGGTGCTGTCTGCATCTCCTGGGTACTCTCTGCATCTCCTGGGTGCTCTCTGCATCTCCTGGGTACTCTCTGCATCTCCTGGGTACTCTGCATCTCCTGGGTGCTCTCTGCATCTCCTGTGTTCTCTGCATCTCCTGCGTTCTCTGCATTTCCTGGCTGCTCTCTGCATCTCCTGGGGTTCTCTCTGCATCTCCTGCGTTCTCTGCATCTTCTGACTGCTCTCTGCCTCTTCTGGGTGCTCCTTGCCGGCTGCTCTCCTGCCTGTCCTCAGTTTCCTTGTGCCCTTTAGGGAGGCTTGGCTGCAAGAAAGACACTTCCAGGAGGTAGAGAGAAACGCCTCTCTCCACAGAAGGGGGGTTGCTGGCATAGTCTCAGGGTGCACAGAGCAGAGCTTGTACTCATGTAGGTATCCCTGGTTGTCCTGCTTAAATGAGGGAGGGTGTGACCATCAATGAGGTTGGGAGATGGCTCAGAATGAGCTGTTGCCAAGATGGTGCTGTGCAGTCTTCACTGCTTCTGGGACCACACGTGATTGTGTTCGTTAGAATACACCAGCAACAAGTCAGTCTTGGTGTTTTGTGATGACTTTTCCATAGTTTCCCGTCCCAGGGTAAGAGGATGTCAGTTTAATAAATATGAGGATTCTGATTTCACTGAAGAAAGAGCAATACCAAATAGACTTGATTGTGATAAGAGGTGTCTATTTTGTTTTGTTTTGTTTTTTTGAGACAGTGTCTCACTCTGTCTCCCAGGCTGGAATGCAGTGGCGTGATCTTGGCTCACTGCAATCTCTGCCTCCCAGTTCAAGCGATTCTCCTGCCTCAGTCTCCCGAGTAGTTGGGACTACAGGCGTGTGCCACCACGTCCAGCTAATTTTTGTATTTTTAGTAGAGACAGGGTTTTGCCATGTTGGCCAGGCTGGTCTTGAACTCTTGACCTCAGGTGATCCACCCGCCTCGGCTTCCCAAAGTGCTGGGATTACAGGCGTGAGCCACTGCGCCAGCCAAGAGGTGTCTATTGAATAGAAGAATTTCATGGCATACGTGTTTATCAGACATTGGGAATTTGCAGTACTTACTGTAAGAGTAGGTGCCATTCGAGCTTGTGATCCTGCATTGCATACAACCGTAATCGCTGCAAAAACAATTATTGTGTTTAACTGTTTGGGGAGCTTTTGTTTTTGCGTTTGATGTTTTACATTTAGTTTGTTTTGGGTGAGAAAATCGTATGATTAAATAGAGCTTCAGGAGACTTCAGGGGGCCATGGGTGCAGCCACCTTTCCCTAACCTGTCTGAGACAGAAGATGGCCAGGCTGCCCAGACAAGGCATAATAGGAACCCTGGAAAGAAAGCCAGTTCATGTGGAAATAGTACGTGGAAGTGGTTTTTCGGCCAGGGGTGGTGGCTCACGCCTGTAATCCCAGCACTTTGGAAGGCCAAGGCAGGAGGATCGCTTGAGGCCAGGAGTTCAAGACCAGCCTGGGTAGCATAGTGAGACCTGGACCCTACAAAGAAAAAAATGTAAAAATAAAGTGCTCTGTCGTTTGCCAAAGAAGAATGGAAATTAAATTGCCAAACTTATTATTTAAAAATCTCAGTCCTGCAGCTCTTTTGTGCAAAGTTGGCAAATACTAATTATTAAACCATCTGTTCATTTACAGAAACTTTTAAGGTAATTTTGGTCATATATTGAGATTGATATTTAGAAAATCTTGAATAGAATTTGCTTTACAGGTATGTTCATTAGTATCCAGTATTTGTCCACCTAAGGAGCCTTATTAGACTTTTTTTTTTTTTTGAGACAGAGTTTTGCTCTTGTTGCCCAAGCTGGAGTGCAGTGGCACAATTTCAGCTCACTGCAACCTCTGCCTCCCAGGTTCAAGCAATTCTCCTGCCTCAGCCTCCTGAGTAGCTGGGATTATAGGAGTGCACCACCACGCCCACCTAATTTTTTGTAGTTTTAGTATAAGAGACAGGGTTTCACCATGTTGGCCAGGCTGATCTTGAATTCCTGACCTCAGGTGATCTGCCTAACTCGGCCTTCCAAAGTGCTGGGATTACAGGTGTGAACCACCACACCTGGCCAGGAGGCTTCTTAGACATTGTTTTCCTAAACTCCTACCCCTAGGTCATGAAATGTCAATTTCACTGATACACTATCTATGTGCCATATCCGTGCTTTATGTATCAAAAGAGTACGATTTTTTTTCAACCTCCCAAGAAGCAGTTTTTCCCTCTTGGCCAAATGTCTCCAAGCACTGTTGGTGGCCATATTAGAAACAGAAAGAATTGTTTTTTGTGTGTTTTGTTTTACATTAAGTGTATTAATAAAATAGGTATACTTTAACGGAGTATGTTATATATAATTTTCTATATAATGGAGCTGT
Organism: Homo sapiens; assembly: GCF_000001405.40. NCBI lineage: Eukaryota > Metazoa > Chordata > Mammalia > Primates > Hominidae > Homo > Homo sapiens. The sequence continues at coordinate 32,742,763 of NC_000019.10, forward strand.
TTCTGTTTTACTTTTTAGCATCCGAGTTGTAGTAGAATCGTTTATGCAGCTTCCCTATAGAGCAAAAAAATTCAGCCTGTACTGCACAAAGCCTGTCACATTACACATTGACTTCTGCCGAGACAGTACTGACATTGTGTAAGTACAGTTTCTTAAGTCCTTCGAATCATTAGTAAAAGCCTTCTATCAAGTGCACGATCTTTGTATGAAGTCAGTTCCTCTGTAGAAGTGCTGAGCAGGAGGTCTCTGTTCTTCAGGAGGGGCTTCTGAGTCAGTGTTTGTCTGACCTGGCTGTGGTTGAGGGGGTTTGGAGCAGGGCCTGAGCTCTGTGCTTCTTGCCTTTGTTTCAAACTTACAAAAAGTAATAAATTAACTGTAAAGAAAAATATTCATAAAACATAGGATCATGGAGTATTATACATGTGTACACGCGCACGCGCGCACGGTCTCACCCTTTTGCCCGGGCTGTAGTGCAGTTGCATGATCATGGCTCATTGCAGCTTCACCCTCCTGGGTTCCAGCAATCCTCCTACCTCAGCCTCCCAAATAGCTGGGACTACAGGCACATGCCACCATACCCAGCTAACTCCCCTCCCCTCCCCTCCCCCACTCCCTCTCCCCACCGCCCCTCCGCTCTCCTCCCCTGCTCCCTTCTTGCTTTCTTTTTTTGAGATAGGGTCTCACTATCTTGCCCAGGCTAGTTTCAAACTTCTGGGCTTAAGCGATCCTCTCACCTTGGCCTCCCAAAGTGCTGGGATTCCAGGCATGAACCACTGTGCTGGGCCCATGGAGCATTATAAAAGAGTCCATTGCAATTTTCTCCAGGCCCACATCTTTCCTCCTGGGAGGCCTCTGTGATCTTTTCCAGCTCTGAACTTGCAGGCCTTTGTCAGTGCTTTTACACACACTTATCTATGTGGAGCTTTTAACGAAAATTAGAACATACTGTCCTATTTGCAGAATTAACTTAAGAATATGTGTTGAGGCCAGGCGCGGTGGCTTACACCTGTAATTCCAGCACTTTGGGAGGCCAAGGCATGGGAATCACCTGAGGTCAGGAGTTCAAGACCAGCCTGACCAACATGGCAAAACCCTGTCTCTACTAAAAATACAAAATTAGCCTGGCGTGGTGGTAGGCATCTGTAATCCCAGCTACTCAGGAGGCTGAGGCAGGAGAATTGCTTGAACCCGGGAGGCAGAGGTTTCAGTGAGCCGAAATCGCACCACTGCACTCCAGCCTGGGCAACAAGAGTGAAACTCCATCTCAAAAAAAAAAAAAAAAAAGTATGTTGAAACTCTTTGTCAACATACGTATCTCTTCTTTCTACTTTTAGTCTTTTTCGTGGGTGGATGTGATTGACATACTTGCTGTATTTAATCATTCCCCTCTGTGTAGCCACTAGGTTGTTTCCAAACCATTTGCACAGTACAGTCCCGTAAGTATATGGATGAATCTGACCGGGCCTGGTGGCTCATGCCTGTAAGCCCAGCACTTTGGGAGGCTGAGGCAGGCGGATCACTTGAGGTCAGGAGTTCGAGACCAGCCTGGCCAACATGGTGAAACCCATCTCTACTAAAAACACAAAAATTAGCCAGGCGCAGTGGTACGCGCCTGTAATCCCAGCTACTCGGGAGACTGAGGCAAGAGAATCGCTTGAACCCAGGAGGTGGAGGTTGCAGTGAGCCAAGATTGCGCCACTGCACTCCAACCTGGGTGACAGAGTGAGACTCCGTCTCAAAAAAAAAAAAAAAAAAAAAAAAACAAAAGAATATAGATAAATCTGTATAAAATACACAGACGTAGAGGCATATATATATACGTGTGCCCCGCACCCCATCTTTGCTCCCTTTTTCTAGTGTTTGACTGCATCGCTAGTGTTTGTACAGGACAGATCCCTGCCCTGGGCAGTTCCCTCTCGGGTGCGGGCGCCATGTCTGCTGTCTTGAATGAGCACTACCGAGTGGCCTGACTTCTGCCTCCTGTGGTCTGTAGAGACATCAGCCCCATCCTCCCACCCGGTGCTCCTCCTCTTCTCCCTTCCCGGGACGATGGCATTATGGAAGGAAAAGCCACAGGGAGCAGTCCAGTTCTGACTCCACTGGCATGCCATGTTGCACTGTGTACTCTGAACTCAGAAGCTGCCTTCATGGGCTGTTTGGTGACCTTCCCATTCTCCACTCACCCCAGCCCCCACAGTTTCCTTGTGGTGGTGAGTGCATCACTCTTGCGGCTGGCGTGGCATCTACACTGATGTGAGGATAAGTCCCTGCTGAGGCCAATGCGCCCTACCAGGCCGCCCTCCAGCCAGCCCCCCCCACTACTCACCGAAGGCTCTGGGAGTGGGATTTGCTGCACACAGCAGCCCCTGCCCCCTGTACTGCCCTCTTTCAGAGCGGCCCACTGCCCACCCTTCAGGCATGATTGGGGCCCCTGTGTGTGCAACCCAGCTCCCCTCAGAGGCAGTTGGTCCTGTCTTTCTTGACCTTCTCTGCATGGGCTCTTCCCAGAACAAATGTGGGCTTCCGGGCCCTTCCCCACCCAACCTAGGATGCCCCCAGGGAAGGGCCTACTGGGGTTTGGTCACCTTCTTTGACATCTGATGCCTTTGTGTTTGTGTTTTATGCAGAACACCCTTTTAACGTGTGTATTACAGTTTTACAGATTTTGTCAAATTCCCCTTCAAAAAGACTAGCAATTTATACTGCCATCATTGGGGTATGGAAAGCACTGTTATTCCCACACAATATTGAATATCGTTAGACTTTCTAATTTCTGCTTGTTTGCTCAGTAAAAATGGTATTTTTATTTTTCTGACTTGCAAAGCTGTCACATGTATTCATGTGATTATTGTGTATGTGTGAAAGAGGGAGAGAGAGAGAATGGCTGATGTGGTTATTCTGTGTGTGTGAGAGAGAGGGAGAGACTGGCTGATGTGGTTATTCTGTGTGTGACAGAGAGTGGGAGAGAGACTGGCTGATGTGGTTATTCTGTGTGTGTGTGAGAGAGAGAGACTGGCTGATGTCATTCTGTGTGTGTGTGTGTGTGTGTGTGAGAGAGAAGGAGAGAGACTGGCTGATGTGGTTATTCTGTGTGTGTGAGAGAGAGAGTCTGGCTGATGTGGTTATTCTGTGTGTGACAGAGAGTGGGAGAGAGACTGGCTGATGTGGTTATTCTGTGTGTGTGTGTGAGAGAGAGAGAGACTGGCTGATGTGGTCATTCTGTGTGTGTGTGTGTGTGAGAGAGAGAAGGAGAGAGACTGGCTGATGTGGTTATTCTGTGTGTGTGAGAGAGAGAGTCTGGCTGATGTGGTTATTCTGTGTGTGACAGAGGGGGAGAGAGACTGGCTGATGTGGTTATTCTGTGTGAGAGAGACGGGGAGAGAGACTGGCTGAAGTGGTTATTCTGTGTGTGAGAGAGACGGGGAGACTGGCTGATGTGGTTATTCTGTGTGTGAGAGAGAGAGAGAGTCTGGCTGATGTGGTTATTCTGTGTGTGTGAGAGAGAGAGAGTCTGGCTGATGTGGTTATTCTGTGTGTGACAGAGGGGGAGAGAGACTGGCTGATGTGGTTATTCTGTGTGTGACAGAGAGGGGGAGAGAGACTGGCTGATGTGGTTATTCTGTGTGTGACAGAGAGGGGGAGAGAGACTGGCTGATGTGGTTATTCTGTGTGTGACAGAGAGGGGGAGAGAGACTGGCTGATGTGGTTATTCTGTGTGTGACAGAGAGGGGGAGAGAGACTGGCTGATGTGGTTATTCTGTGTGTGACAGAGACGGGGAGAGAGACTGGCTGATGTGGTTATTCTGTGTGTGTGAGAGAGAGAGAGTCTGGCTGATGTGGTTATTCTGTGTGTGTGAGAGAGAGAGTCTGGCTGATGTGGTTATTCTGTGTGTGACAGAGGGGGAGAGAGACTGGCTGATGTGGTTATTCTGTGTGTGACAGAGAGGGGGAGAGAGACTGGCTGATGTGGTTATTCTGTGTGTGAGAGAGACGGGGAGAGAGACTGGCTGATGTGGTTATTCTGTGTGTGAGAGAGACGGGGAGAGAGACTGGCTGATGTGGTTATCCTGTGTGTGTGAGAGAAGGAGAGAGACTGGCTGATGTGGTTATTCTGTGTGTGTGTGTGTGAGAGAGAGAGAGAGAGAGGGAGAGACTGGCTGATGTGGCTATTCTGTGAGAGAGAGAGAGGGGGAGAGACTGGCTGAGGTGGTTATTCTGTGAGAGAGAGGAGGGGAGAGACTGGCTGAGGTGGTTATTCTGTGAGAGAGGAGGGGAGAGACTGGCTGAGGTGGTTATTCTGTGTGTGTGAGAGAGGGAGAGTGACTGGCTGATGGGGTTATTCTGTGTGTGTGAGAGAGGGGGAGAGAGACTGACTCATGTGGTTATTCTGTGTGAGAGAGGGAGAGACTGGCTGATTTACTTGTTCATATGTTAGATTGGGTTTTCTCTTGGGTTGTTTGCCTTTTCATTATTAGTAATCTACTACATTTTTCTTTTTTAAAAAAGCTAATTATTAGGTAATTCTTTGTGTGTAACAAGGTTTTAGAACCACTGCCTTTACTGCCTTTTAGAAATCCTTTGTAATTCTCTTGAATTGTTTAATATCTTTCTTATAAGAATAAAAATAACCAACATTTTTGAGTAATGATTATGTCCAGGCACTGGGCTAAGTGTTCTATGTACATTATCTCATTTGATCTTTAAAAGAATTCTTGGAGGATGGTGGTGGCATCTCTGGTACATAAAATCAGAAGAAACATAGAACATCATTCTGACCTGACATTTTATTTTTTTCCTTGCTTCCAAGTTTCTCCTCTTTCCCCACTGCCTACAGCTTTTCCTACAATTTTCTTTGCAAAGCATAAGAAAGATGTAGAAAGGACAAGATGACAGGGGTAAAATGGGAGCCAGTGAGAGGGCGCTAGGGTCAGCAGAGTGAGGAACAGTAGTTTTATAGTAGCCGAGACCCAGTGCGTTAGCTCACGCCTGTAATCCCAGCACTTTGGGAGGCCAAGGCAGGAGAATCACTTGAGCCCAGGAGTTTGAGACCAGCCTGAGCAACATAGCTAGACCCTCTCTCTATTAAAAAAAAAATTTTTTTTAATCGCTGAGTGTGGTGGGGCACACCTGTAGTCCTAGCTACTCAGGAGGCTGAGATGAGAGGATCCCTTGAGCCCAGGAGTTCAAGGCTGCAATGAGCTGTGTTCATGCCACTGCACTCCAGCCTGGATAACAGAGAGAGACCCTGTCTCAAAAAAACAAAATGAAACAAAGATAGTATCTGGCTCTCCCATGACTGCCTGTGAGGGTGTCGGTGTACCAGCATGTGTCGCGCCCTCTCTGTGCCAGACTGTGTTAGACACCCCACACTCAGGATCCCTGTCCCAGGAGCTTGTGTTCTGGTTGAGGAGACTGATTTGTCTGGGGATGGTGGTGGTGTGACAGACAGTGCAGTGGTGAGCACAGGTTGGTCTCAGTGGGGCCTCTGTGCTATGAGTCTGCACCGGTGCAGGTGACAGTGTTGAGACGAGCGTGTTGCAGGATGCAGTGGGATCCTCACCCCCAGAGCAGGGCCAGTGCCAGGTGCCCCATCATCTGCATCACGTGTTCCATATGTAGTGTGAGAAATGTCCAGTGCATGGTTTACAAAATGCTGTTGGTGTGCTAGCCTCAGATTTTTATGTAATGGAGTTGCATCTGTTCACTGTTCCAGACCTGCCAAGAAGTGGGACAATGCAGCTATTCAGTACTTTCAGAACCTTCTGAAAGGTAAGCCAGTGCCTGATCACTGCAGCCTGCCTGGAAGTGACACCCACAGAGGCCTCAGCTTCTGCTGCTGGCGGGGGTTGGAGATGCCCCTGTTGGCCAAACGGCCCTCCTCAGAGGAGTTCCCTAAGCTACCTGGGGCTTCCTCCAGCTCAAGTGCCACAGTAACTCTGCACCCCTAGTGGCAGTGGATGTCAGTAATTGACAGCTGAGATCAGCAGGGGGCTGTTTGTGCAGGGGAACCCTTACACAGTAATAATACCTGCCTCTTCGTTTGCATAAAAGCTGCGGCGCTGCAAAATAAATTCATGTGGATTTTATTGTACCAGCAATTGATGAAAAACCTAGCATTTTTAGTGAGCAAGAGATAGTAAATGGATATTTATTGTGTAATATTCATTACTTCTAATTTAAGATGCATAAAATGTCTTCAGCTGTTCTTTTTATTTTATATCAGTGACTATAAACAGTGTCTTTTGTGGGATCTGTCTTAACCTCTGGCAGTCAGATACCTGGTTTTAGTGATAGGGTTGGTGGATGGGAAACACCTGGGGTGCTGCCTGGTGCCTCGTTGGGTCCTGGCCCCACTCCTGTGCTGTGTCATCATCTGGGTAGAGGAGGAGCCAGACCCTTTGACCTGGGAGCAGTGGGAGGCTGGGAGGTCACTGTGACTGGAGTTTTGGCCCCTGTGAGCCATGGGGGCTGCTGGGAGATGAGAATGCGGGTCTGGAGGAGGCCGGCCACTTAGTCCTCAGTGGCTCAGGCAAGTGACTTAGCCTCTGAGCCTGGTCTCCTCACCTGTGACATGACCACTGTACTTAACCTTGAAGGTAGTGGTAAGAACTCAGCGAAAGAAGGTTTCTAAAGGACTTAGCACAGCACCTGGTAGGTGGCAGTGATGCTGCTGCTGCGGGGTTTTGAGTCTCTAAGGGAGTAGCCGGGTGCTGCACTCCGTGGGGCTTTGCAGGGTAGAATGGACCTCAGATGAAGGCCTGGGACTGGAAATCTGGGTTTGGGAGGCATGGAGAAGAGAGGACCACAGGGTGGCACAGGAACCTGTTGACAGGGACAGGACCCATAATCCACTCCACAATCAGGAGTGCCTTTTCCTAACATGCTCCCCCTGGTCCTGCCCGAGGAAGACATTTGGGCACTCTTAAGTGGTTAGCAGAGGTTACTAGGTGGGAAATCGTCATGATTGTTTCAAATATACTTTTAACATCAGCTGATTTGTGTTTTCATTTATGCTATTTAGCAACTACCCAGGTGGAAGCCAGATTATGTGCTGTGGAAGAAGATACATTTGAGGTTTACCTTTATGTAACTATAAAAGATGAAAAAGTAAGTGAAAGAATTGTATTTTTATAATATTTCATCATTTTAAATTTTACTTTAATAAAACAGAATAAATGCCAAGAAAAACACTGTAGTTCGTACAGCATAGAAATTGTCTTAATCTCTTAAGGTCTATCTTAGACCCGAAGTTAGCCAGGTCTGTGTTTTCTTCTTTTGATTACTTTAAAAAATGACTTTGGCATTTTATTTAAACATGGTCAAGAAATTATTCCTATAGTGATGAGCATGAAATGTTGTTTTCTTCTCAGGGAACATGATTTTTATAAATATACTAATTTGCTGTAGCGTTAGTTCACTGCCTTTCCCCCTAGACTTTCTCACTGTATGTAACGTGCTTGCTGTAAATAATTCAGATCACAAGCAGAAAGAAAGCGGACATCATATGTGAGTGGCCCCTACCTCTGCCAGGTGCCAGCTGCTAGCATTTTGGCCTCTGCCCTTTCTGAAGGATGGCTCAGGGCACACCTCAGCACCAGGCAGAGGTGGACAGAAGGGGCACACATCCAGGGCTGCTCAGAGCCCATGGAGGGTACCTTAACCATGGATTTTTTAAAAATTGTATTTTGAAATAGACTTACAGAAGAGATGCAGAAATAGTGCAGAAATTTTGGGATATGCTTTGCCCAGGTTGTCCTGATGTTAACATAGCACAAAACCACAGTACAGTTTTTAAAACCAGAAAAGTAACATTGATAAAATACCACTGAAAACCTGCAGGCAGGTGAATGTTGACAGTTTCCCGGCTGATTTCCTTTTTCTGATGTAGGATCTGCTCCAGCACCTCCCACTGCGCCTGTTTGTCATGTCTCCTTCCCCTCCTCTGGCCTGTGACAGCTCCTCAGTACTTCCATGCCTCTCATGGCATTGACTGCTTTGGAAGAGCAGTGGTCAGTGGTTTTGTAGAATGTTCCTCAATTTGGTTTGCCTGATGTTCCTCATCATTGTATTAAGGCTATGCATTTTTGGCAAGAAGCCCACAGAAGTGATACTGTGCCCTTCTCAGTGCATCCCAGCAGGGGTTTATGACGTCAGTATGTCTAATTACTAGTGATGTGAATGGTTTTTTTCCTTCAGCTTCTAAGTTTGGGGTACCTGTGCAGGATGTGCAGGTTTGTTACATAGGTAAACATGTTCCATGGTAGTTTGCTGGCCAGATCATCCCGTGACCTAGGTATTAAGCCCAAAACCCATTAGCTATTCTTCCTGATGCTCTCCCTCCCCCCTCCCCACCCCCCGACAGGCCCCAGTGTGTGTTGTTTCCCCCAGTGTCCATGTGTTCTCATCATTTAGCTGCCACTTATAAGCGAGAACATGCAGTGTTTGTTTTTCAGTTCCTGCATTAGTTTGCTGAGGATAATGGCTTCTAGCTTCATCCATGTCCCTGCAAAGGACACAATCTTGTTCCTTTTTATGACTGCATGGTATTCCATGGTGTGTATGTACCACATTTTGTGATGTGGATGTTGATCACCTGGTTAATGTGGTGTTTGCCAGGTTTTTCCTGTACAGAGATGTTAGTTTTTCCTTCTGAAATTAATAAGTATCTTGTGGGGGCCTACTTTGAGGCTGCAGATAGCCATTTCATCAATGATTCTTGGCTGTGAAAGATATTACTGTGGTGTATACCTGTTTCATCTTTCCCTCTACATTTTTCTCCTCTCCTCTCCTCTCCCTTCCCTTCCCCTCTCCTTCCTTCCCCTCCCTCCCTTCCCCTCCCATCCGTCTCTCTCTGTCTCCTAGGTTGGAGTACAGCGGCACAATTGTAGCTTGCTGCAGCCTCAACCTCCTGGGCTCAAAGGATCCTCCCACCTCAACTTCACAAGTAGCTGAGACTATAGGTGGGCACCACCATGCCCATGAGTTGCGATCTCATTATGTTGCCCAGGCTGGTCTCAACAGGCAGTCTTCTCGCCTTGTCCTCCCAAAGTGCTGGTATCACAGGTGTGAGCCACCACACCCAGCACCTTCTGCATTTTTAATTTTTATTATTTATTTATTTATTTTTTTGAGATGGAGTCTCACTCTGTTGCCCAGGCTGGAGTGCAGTGGCGCAATCTCAGCTCACTGCAACCTCTTCTTCCCGGGTTCAAGTGATTCTCCTGCCTCAGCCTCCTGAGCAGCTAGGATTACAGGCAAGCATCATCACACGCAGCTAATTTTTATATGTTAAGTAGAAACGGGGTTTTACCAAGTTGGCCAAGCTGGTCTCGGACTCCTGACCTCAAGTGATCTGCCTGTCTCAGCCTCCCAAAGTGCTGGGATTACAGGCATTAGCCATCACACCCAGCCCCCTTCTTCATTTTTTCTTTTTTTAGACAGAGTTTCATTCTTGTTGCCCAGGCTGGATCTCAATGGTGCGATCTTGGCTCACTGCAACCTCCGCCTCCCAGGTTCAAGTGATTCTTCTGCCTCAGCCCCCTGAGTAGCTGGGATAACAGGTGCCTGCCACCACACCGGCTAATTTTTTGTATTTTTAGTAGAGATGGGGTTTCACCATGTTGGCCAGGCTGGTTTCAAACTCCTGACCTTAGGTGATCCACCCGTCTTGGCCTCCCAAAGTGCTGGGATTACAGGCGTGAGCCACCGTGCCTGGCCCCCTTCTGCATTTTTAATTGGAATTTTATACCAAAGAACCCTCCCTCCTCCCCCATATATTAATTATTCGATAATTTGTATTAGTATGGACTTTTGGAAATGTATTTTATTTGGGGAGTTATAATCTATAACTATCATTATTGCCTTGCTCACATTACCTTGGATTCTGGCCATTAGGTGCTCCTTCAAAGGGGCTTTTGTATACTTTCAATGTGCCCCATCATTACTTGAACACTCTTTACTCTCTGATGCCACAATGTTTATCATTTTGTTATTTGCCAGACCTAGCCCTAGAATCAGCCACTTCTTCCTTTTTTTTTTTTTTTTTTTTGAGATGGAGTCTCACTCTGTCGCTCAGGCTGGAGTGCACTGGCGCGATCTCGGCTCACTGCAAGCTCCACCTCCTGGGTTCATGCCATTCTCCTGCCTCAACCTCCCGAGTAGCTGGGACTACAGGCACCCGCCACCACGCCTGGCTAATTTTTTGTATATTTAATAGAGACGGGGTTTCACTGTGCTAGCCAGGATGGTCTCGATCTCCTGACCTCGTGATCCTCCCACCTTGGCCTCCCAAAGTGCTGGGATTACAGGCGTGAGCCACCGCGCCCGGCCACTGGAATCAGCCACTTCTTCAAGCAGCTCTGGTTCCTTTTATTGAAGAATGATATTTAAATATCTAGATGAGGGCACTTGGTGTGCTTGTTCCAACTGGGGTGTCATGATTGTAGGTCCTCTCAGCAGAAAATATTAGGAAATATATGTATGTACTTGCTCCCATGCACACACAAATCTATATTTCTGTATCCATCTGTACACATATTAAGAGCTTTGATATCTCTGATTTGAATCCAGCACCATAGGGTTCATTCTTACCCTCTCCTTTCCTTATTTATTCATTTATTTTTTGGAGACAGGGTCTTGCTATGTTGTTCAGGCTGGCCTTGAACTCCTGGGCTCAAGTGATCCTCCAGCCTCACCCTCTCAAGTAGTTGGGACTATAAGCGCATACCACCATGCCTGGCCTCTTATTCTTTTTTTTTTCCTGAAACGGAGTCTTGCTGTCACCCAGGCTGGAGTACACTGGCGCGATCTCTGCTCACTGCAAGCTCCACCTCCTGGGTTCACACCATTCTCCTGCCTCAGCCTCCTGAGTAGCTGGGACTACAGGTGCCCGCCATCACACCTGGCTAATTTTTTTTTTTTTTTTTTTTGTATTTTTAGTAGAGACAGGGTTTCACTGTGTTAGCCAGGATGGTCTCGATCTCCTGACTTCGTGATCCACCTGTCTCGGCCTCCCAAAGTGTTGGGATTACAGGTGTGAGCCACCACGCCCGGCTGGCCCCTTATTCTTAATGCCTTTCTCCACCAGTGAGAAACCTACTCTCGTTGGCCGCAGTCTACGTATTTGATTCATCCATGTATTCACATTAAGTAATTTCAGGATTGCTAACCCACACTCCTGTGAAAACAAAATTTGTATTTAGTCTTCACATTATGCAGCCAAAATACTGTTTGCCAAAGTTACTTAGGTTGTTTTTTCTCTTTCGCACCTTCTTCAGTGTGATTATGTTATTCTTTTGTAATGGGGTTCATTTGTTACTGCTTATATTGCATGTTGGGTTCCCTAAATGTTCCTCACATCCTGGTTCATTTTACCTATGACTTTTCATTACTTATTTTATAACTTAGTAAAAATACCAAAATCAGCCAAAGGCTGTGACTTACACCTGTTTAATCCCAGCACTTTGGGAGGCTGATGTGGGTGGATTGCTTGAGCTCCGGAGTTTGAGACCATCCTGGGCAACATGGTGAAACCTTGTCTCTACAAAAAATACAAAAATTAGCTAGGTGTGATGGCTTGCACCTGTAGTCCTAGCTACTTGGGAGGCTGAGGTGGGAGGATCACTTGTGCCTGGGAGGCAGAGAGCCAAGATCACACCACTGCACTCCAGTCTGGGTGACAGAGCAAGACCCTGTCTCAAAAACAAACAAAAAAAACCGCCAAAATATTGGCTGCAGAACCAGTCGTTTTTTTTCATTTTTTTAAACCTGAGAGATCTATCCTGTAAGGACCAGTCTTGTAAAATATCTTTTTTTCAAATAAATTCTCTATAAACTTGCTTTCTTCTTGCTTTTCAAAAGTAGATCTCTTTCTAACCATGTAGGTTGTATGTTGATAATGACTCTATCTTTTTTTTTTTTTTTTTTTTTTTTGAGATGGAGTTTCGCTCTTGTTGCCCAGGCTAGAGTGCAATGGCGCAATCTTGGCTCACCGCAACCTCTGCCTCCTGGGTTCCAGTAATTATCCAGCCTCAGCCTTCCCAAGTAGCTGGGATTATAGGCATGCGCCACCACGCCGGGCTAATTTTGTATTTTTAGTAGAGACGGGGTTTCTCCATGTTGGTCTTACTTTAAGGTGGTAAAGTGCAGAAGGCAGGGAGGTTCGTGCTTAGCTGAGAGAGCTTATAATGCATGCATGAGATCATAACTGCCGGAGGAAAAAATGTGGGCCAGCAATCCTTTACCAGCTCCCAAAGGTGGCAACAGGATGTGTCCCAAGGTGTTTTCTTTTTTGGTCTGGCTTCTTTCATTTGGCAAAATTATTTTAAGATGCATCCACGTTTGTTGTTGTTGCCAAGTCCTCTTCCATTGTGTGGATATACTACAGTGTATTTACCCATTAACTCGTTGATGGATATTTGGGTTGTGGCCATAGGCCCCTTACAGATATTTATGTACAAGTCTTCCTGTGGATCTGTGCTTTCATTTCTCTCGAGCATTACCTAGGAGTCAAACTTTTGGATCATATTGTAGGTATTAAGAAGCTGCCATATTGTTTTCCAAAGTGGTGGACTATTTTACCTTCCCATCAGCAATGAGAGTTCTAGTTCCTCCATGTCACTTGTGTAAACATTCGGCTAAGTGTGCAGTAGCACCTCATTGTGGTTTAAATTTGCGTTTCCCTAATGATGGTTTTATATGCTTATTTGCAATCTTCAGACTTTGATGAAGCAGACATTCAGATTGTTTGCCCATATTTTAATTGTGTTGATTTCGTTTTATTGAGTTTTGAGAGTTCCTTATATATTCTGGATACATGTCATCCGGATACTTGATTTTAAAAGAATTTTGCCTCATCTGTTTATTCTCTTGAAGAACAGAAATTTAAAATTTTGAGCAAATCCAATGTAACAGTCTTTCCTTTGATGGTTCGTGTTTTGTCTCTGTCCTCCCACCAGGCTTTTGCCTGGCCAGGTAGTTTTAGTGCTACAGTGCGTATGTCCAAGAAGACATCTCATGTGTTTCACACAGATGCTTGCTGTTTTTCCTCATCAGGATTGGTGGGAAGTATTTGGTTTACCAGAGCAGGAGTCAAATCTGTTTCTCTCAGATTATGTTCTGTAAAATAATTTCTCTGAAGGTAGAACTTTGGGGTTAAGTTTGGAATATTTCCTTTAAAATCGCTTGACTATATTTGTCTTATTAGTCATGAAATGTTTAAAATTTTACAGGTTTGTGTTAATGATGATCTTGTTGCAAAGAACTATGCTTGTTATATGTCACCTACAAAGAATAAAAACCTTGATTATTTAGAAAAACCAAGATTGAATATAAAATCAGCACCCTCCTTCAATAAACTCAATCCAGCACTTACACTCTGGCCAATGTTTTTGCAAGGAAAAGATGTTCAAGGAATGGAAGGTGAGTAGATTCTCATCATATCAATTTCCCTTACATTGTTTTATTAATAATCTTAGTGTATAGATATAAGTTGTACAGACTTTTCCCCACATGGAGACAAAGACTTGGACTCTGTTTAAAGTTTAATCCTGATGAGGCTGTGACACATTGTAAGGTCTTAAAGTGTTACAGTTTGTGTTTATGAGACCAGGAAAAAAACTGCCCTCGATTTCTGTTTTTTTTTTGAGACGGAGTCTCGGTCTGTAACCCAGGCTGGAGTGCAGTGGTGTGATCTCGGCTCACTGCAAGCTCCTCCCCCCAGGTTCACACCATTCTCCTGCCTCAGCCTCCCGAGTAGCTGGGACTACAGGCACCTGCCACCATGCCTGGCTAATTTTTTTGTATTTTTAGTAGAGACAGGGTTTCACCATGTCAGCCAGGATGGTCTCAATCTCCTGACCTCATGATCCGCCTGTCTCAGCCTCCCAAAGTGCTGGGATTACAGGCGTGACACCGCGCCCGGCCTCAATTTCTTATTAACATTGAGTTATGTTGTTAGAAGTCCAAATGTTTGCAATTTAGAGATACTAAGAAAACAAATTTTGAATATTTAGACTTTAGACACCTTTAAAAAAAAGAGCTATTTATCACAAATAACCCTTAGCATAAAAATATAAGAGCTAGTCACGGATTGTGGAAATAATTTCCAATGTTTCTGTCCACATCCAGTTTTTAGTCCCCTCACCTTGTGTCCCCTAGTCAGGTTTCCTGTAACCTCAGAGCAAAAGCAAGAGCAGAAGTAATGTACTAACGAGTTCACATTTTTATTTTGGGCTTTATTTCATGCTTTAATTCTGAAATTTATTCTTTCTATCAGATTCACATGGTGTAAATTTTCCGGCACAATCTCTGCAACATACATGGTGCAAGGGTATTGTCGGTGACCTCAGGCCAACAGCCACAGCACAGGGTGAGTTCTGCTAATGTGGTTTATTTCATAGGCAGCATGAAAAAAATATTCTTAGCTTTTTAAAGATTAGAAAGGTTGTCTAGAAAGGCCATGGTAATTCTTTCTCTTTTCTTAATTTAATGTAACCAATTTGTGATGTAGATCCTGAAAGAGTTCATGTGTCCTGCATTTCATACTTAGAAATTTTACTGTCACGTAAAGAACATAACAGGCACCAGTTCATGTGCAGGACTGATTTATTCCAGCCTAGCCATCGACCAGTAATCACTGTCTGTCCCTAGAGTGTACATATGTATTTATTATTGATTTTTCACTTAGGCAACAGGATGCATAAAAATAGGGAAGACATGCTTATGAGGGCAGAAATACGTAGTTTTAAATTCCAGTCTTCAAGATATTTAATGAATTGGAATTGCTGGGTGAGGGTGAAATTTTTCAGCCCCTTTGATGACTGGCTCGCCCTCTGTGGTGGTTCCTCCACCATTTCCCTCTTATGCTGGATGTGTGTCCAGGAAGGCCTCACTTCATGTCTTGGATAGGTTCTTGGAAACTGACTTTAAGTGAAACAATGTTATAACGAAACAACCTTGAGCAAAGCAACTTAATTTGAGGGGCTGCTGTACTTTGTTTCCCTTAAATCTGTGGTTTCCAAGAACCTACTGATGAGTCAAGTGAGGACTTACTGATACCTGTGGGTGTAATATTTCATGTGTATCCATAGTAAACCACAACTACATTAAAGCTTTAGCCAACTAAAATATTTCCTGTACTTCAGATTATTTTCAATTACTTTGGTAATGTTGCTTATCATAGAGAAAGAAAGATACAAAGGGTTTTTCTCAGCCACTTTGCCAACTAGGGTCCTCCATGGCTGGCAGTGCCCACCCCGTCCCCGACCTGGGCCTCACTCAGCCCTGGGCCTGGCCGCTGGAGGCTCCCTACCCACTCAGCCCATCTGTGCTATAGATTGTATCCGCATTTGGCAGTTCCCAAGCTCTTGTCCTGTGTCCAAGAAGAATAAGGTTATGCTGACAGAAGGGTGAGGATGGGCAGAGAAGAATTTTATGGAGCGATGGAATAGCTCTCAGTGTAACCTCATTCTTCTTGGATGGGTGGTTTCTCTCTCAGTGTGTCCGGGCTGGCACTTTTTATGGACTCAGAATGGGGAGTGCCTGCTGATTGGTTAGTGAGTATGCAAAAAAGGTTAAAGCAAACACACCACTCAAAGGTGGGTATAGCAGTGTAGAAAACCAACTAGGAAAGGGTAGGTGCATATGAAATAAGTGAAAGGTAGACATCAATCAGAGGAAAAAATGCCAAACGGAAAGACAGTTTCTCAATCCAGTCTGTGTATTACCCGAGACTTGTAGCTAGGCTTTAAACTGGTTTCTGCTTGAAAATTGGTTTTCACCAGGGACCCACCCCATCTCGCTAGGCATTTGACTGCCTTTTGCTGCTATCAATAGCCCAGATTGTAAAAACCTGTCATCTCACTAACTGCTTTTTAAAATTGTAGAGTCAGGGCCAGGTGCAGTGGCTCACACCTGTAATCCCAGCACCTTGGGAGGTCAAGGCTGGCAGATCACTTGATGCTGGCAGTTCAAGACCAGCCTGGCCAATATGGTGAAACCCCGTCTCTGCTAAAACTACAAAAATTAGCTGGATGTGGTTGCACATGCCTGTAGTCCCAGCTACTCGGGAGGCTGAGGCAGGAGAATTGCTTGAACTGGGAGGTGGAGGTTGCAGTGAGCCAAGATTATGTCATTGCACTCCAGCCTGGATGACAGAGTGAGACTCTGTCTCAGAAAACAAAATAAAATAAAATTGTAGGCTGGGCACGGTGGCTCATGCCTGTAATCCTAGCACTTTGGGAGACCGACACAGGTGGATCACCTGAGATCAGGAGTTTGAGACCAGCCTGGCCAACATGGTGAAACCCCGTCTCTACTAAAAATACAAAAATTAGCCAGGCATGGTGGCGTGTGCCTGTAGTCCCAGCTACTCAAGAACTTATTTGCTGCATGATGAAATGAGAAACTAGGATGTAAAAAGGAGGAGTGAACCCTGTAGACTCTTTTGCATTGAAGGTAAGGGTGGCAACACAGTGTAGAGAGAACAGGCTCGGGGCTAGAAGCCAGGAGACATGTGTTCTAATCCTGGGTCTACCACTGGCTTGGTGGGAGCCTCGACCTTCCAAGAGCCTGCAACTGCCCATATGTACACGGAGGGGAGGTAGGGGTAGACTAGAAGGCCCCTGGAGTTCTAGCATGTCTCAGTCTGGGAATTTTTTTTTTTTTTGAGACGGGGTCTTGCTCGGTTGCCCAGGCTTGATTGCAGTAGTGTGATCACAGCTCACTGCAGCCTCAACCTCCTGGCCTCAAAGGAGGCTGCGGCAGGAGAATCACTTGAACCCAGGAGGCAGAGGTTTCAGTGAACCAAGATTGTGCCACTGCACTCCAGCCTGGGCGAGTGAGACTCCGGCTGAAAAATAAACACAATAAAATAAAATATTATAGAGCCTTTCTTTCCAAAGTTTTCCAGACGGTATTTATAAAATTTTTATTTCACAGAAATGGGGTCCTACTATACATACCTCTTTGTAATGTATTTTACTTAGTATATGGCTGAATTCCCTTTCTAGGTCAAATATATCCGGTATAATGTGTTTAAGGACATAAACTCTGATGTGAGACTGCCAGGGTGTCAGGCCGCTTCCTTCTCTGGGACATGGGATGTCATCCCCATCCCCCTGGGAGTTACTGAATGGGCCATCGTGCAGCGTGCTTGGCTCAGCGCCTGGCCTGTGGCAGCCTCAGCGCATGTGGCCCCTGCCCCAGATTCTGATATGCCTCTTGTAGGGGGTCCCCAGGTGAGAATTACAGCAGAAGGTAGCACCTGTTGTTGATGGGCATGTATTCTTTCCATTTATATTCTTTTTCCATTGGAGGAATAAAAATACCAGGCACTACATCATCGTGTTTAATTATTGCGTGGCTTTCCATTGCTTGATATGTCAAAATTATTTTCAGGAGTCCCAGCTTGCTGGGCAGAAATTGTTTCCTGCTTATTACAATCAGTACTGGAATGAACTATGCTTATCTTTGAAAAGGAAAAGGTTATGGTGAACAATAACAAAAAAGATAATGTGAGGTGTAACTGAATTGGCATGTAAAAAGCAGAATTATTAGATGTTACTTTTCTAAGTATAGATTTCCCTTTCCTTTAATTATTGTGAGAAGGTACTTCAGTTATATTTCAGTTAGTTTTTGGTGTTTCTCTTTGAAGTTGCCTAATATTTTTGAGAATCAAAGTATAATACTTGGCTAATACTTGATTTGCTAATACTTGATTAAACAATCACATATTACAGAAGGGCTACAGTGAAAAATAATTTTTTTATTTGCAACCTCTTCTTACCCCAGGATGTCCCCTAGAGATAAACTCACTTTTTAAAGTTGTTTATTTTGGTATTATCTCCAGATTTTAAAATAATTGTGTATATTTTACTATTACTAGGCTTCTTCACTTTAGACATTGTCTTGATTTCTAGGGAGATTCACTCTCGTGCCCCTAACCCACATTCATTCATTCATCAGATATTTATGACGCCCTCACTGTCAGGTGCTTTTCTAGGGATTCTTAGGAGGGAAACAAAGTCTGTGCTTCCATAGAGTTTACATCCATCTTCTCAATAAATTTTTTATTTTACAATAATCACAAACTTACAGAAAAGTTGGAGAGTATTACAAAGAACTTTTTTCCCAAACCATTTGAGAATAAGTTGCTAACCTGATTCCCCAATACTTGAGTTTTTCCTAGAAAGAAGGACATTCTCAAAAATATCCACAATGCAATCATCAGAGTGTGAAGATTAACACTGATATATTGTGATCATATAACTCCCAGGCACCATTCAGGTTTTGCTGGTTATCAAAGAGACGTCGTTCAGCATCACTTGTTGCATTTAGAGAAGACGTTTCTTGTTTTTGTTTTGTTTAGTTTTTGAGACGGAGTCTCACTCTGTCTCCCAGGCTGGAGTGCAGTGGCACATCTCAGCTCACTGCAAGCTCCACCTCCCAGGTTCACACTATTCTCCTGCCTCAGCCTCCCAAGTAGCTGGGACTACAGGCGCCCGCCACCAAGCCCAGCTAATTTTTTATTTTTTTATTTTTTGTATTTTTAGTAGAGACGGGGTTTCACCGTGTTAGCCAGGATGGTCTCGATCTCCTGACCTCGTGATCCGCCCGCCTCGGCCTCCCAAAGTGCTGGGATTACAGGCATGAGCTACTGCGCCTGGCCGAGAACACATTTCTTTAGTCTTTCCTCTGGAACATTTCCTGGGTCTCCTTGATTTTCATGACCTTGCACTTTGGAAGATTACAGACCTATTATTTTGTAGAATGTGTTCTGGATTTTGGTCATTCTAATAGGGGTGTAGTGGAATATCATTATTTTAATTTGCATTTCTCTAATGACGTAGGATGTGAGCATCTTTTCATATGCTTATTTGCTGTTGGTATATCTTCTCAGATGAGATATCTCTTCAGGAGTTCCTTATTTATTTATTTATTTATTTAGAGATGGAGTCTTGTGCTGTCACCTAGGCTGGAGTGCAGTGGTGTGATCTCAGCTCATGGCAACCTCTGCCTCCCAGGTTCAAGCCTCCTGCCTGAGCCCCGCGAGTAGCTGGGATTACAGGTGCCCGCCACCATGCCTGGCTAATTTTTGTATTTTTAGTAGAGACGGGGTTTCACCATGTTGGCCAGGCTGGTCTTGAACTCATGAGCTCAAGTGATCCACCCACCTCAAATGATCCGACTGCCTCGGCCTCCCAAAGTGCGGGGATTACAGGCATGAGCCACCCACCATGTCCGGCAAGGATTTGGCTATTTTAAATTGACTTTTTTGTCCTCTTAGTGTTGAGTTTTAGGAGTCCTTTGTACATTTTGGATAACAATCCTTTTTTTACATGTGTCCTTTGCAAACATTTCCTCCTAGTGTGTGGCTTGTCTCTCATTCTCTTGACAATATCTTTCACAGAGCAGAAATGTTTAGTTTTAATGAAGTCCAGCTGATCAGTTGCTTCTTTCATGGATTGTGCCTTTGGTGTTGTCTCTAAAAAGCCATTGCCATACTCAGGGTCATCTAGGTTTTCTCCTATGTTATTTTCTAGGAGTTTTGTATTTTGCATTTTTCATTTAGATCCATTTGAGTTGATTTTTGTGAAGGGTGTAAGGTCTGTGCCTAGAGTCACTTTTCTGCATGTGGATGTTGAGTTGTTCCAGCACCATTTGTTGAAAAGAGAAGGTTGGGAGTTTTATTAGAGAAATCTTACATATTGTTTTGAAAGGAAGCTCATTGACGCTAGAGAAGTTTTTGGGAGCTGGCAAGCTCTGATTGGTAGGTAATGGCGGTAGGAAAAACTAGTCTTAAAGTCATGGCAGGTTATTTCAGTAGCTACCAGGTAAAACTGGTGTTGGGATTCTAGCAGTGCACCTCAACAGCGGGGCCAAGAAGGTGCTCTGTGCCTCGAGTACTTTTCCTCTGGCCCCTCGACTCTGATTTAGTTGGAGATGAAAGAATGACCTAGTTTGTATAATTAACTTTCACAGGACCATTGGGTTTAAAGTGATTATTTATATACAGTCATGTGTTGCTTACTGATGGACTATGTTCTGAGAAACACGTCATTAGGTGATTTTGGTGTGCAAACATCATAGGGTGTACTTACCCAACCTACATGGTGCAGCCTACTACACATATAGGCAATATGGTATAGCCTATGGCTCCTAGGCCACAAACCTGTACAGTATGTTACTGTATTGAATGCTGTAGGCAGCTGTAACACAATGGTAACTATTTGTGTTATCTAAACCAATTTAAACGTAGAAAAGATAGTGATTATGCTATGATGTTGCTAGGCAATAGGAATTTTTCATCTTCATTAAAATCTTATGAGACCACCATCGTATATGTGGTCTATTGCTGATGGAAGGTTGGCATACGGCACGTGACTGGAGTTGGATTACTGTCTGCCATGTTTATTACTGTATTTGATTTATTGCCCTTGTTTTTTTGTTCCTCTTTTGACTTTGCTCTTTTTCTACCATTTGTGATTTTAATTGGGCATTTTGATACCATATAAATGGTAGGAGGGGTGGAGAGAGGGAAATAAATGTCTAGAGCCCTGTAATTAGAGTCAGTCTTCTAGGGAGCCTGTACCTTTGGGCTGCACGCTTCTCAGGTGCCCCTCAGCATCCCTCACCTCTCACCTTATGTGGGACAGGATGGCTGGAAGGGACTGAGTTGTGTTATTTTCCTCCCCCACCAGAAGGTTAAATCGGGCTGTATTTCCCTTCCTCTAGGTTAGATAGGTTCTGATAAACTCCAGTAGTTTAGGCTCTGGTTCAATAGTTTCTCCTGAGGTCAGGCCCTTTTGGGAAGGAACAGCACGCCCTTTATATTTCCAAGTAGTTACTTTTCCCCTCTTCCTGTCGAAGCACGAGATTTTCCTGTGGTATTCACTGTGAGAACCTGCTAGAGCTCCAGGAGGCAGAACTCACAGAAGTGTGGCACCCAGCCCCTGACCCCGGAGTTTTAACTAACGGAGGTGTCCGTGCCGACCCTCCAGCAAATTGTCAGTTTACAGTTCAGGTTTCCCTCCTCACTCCTGGTCCCATAGAAGTTTATTCTGGGTTTCTGCCCCTGTCCATTCTGAGTCTCTCTGTCCATCTGTCAGTCTCTCCAGTGCTGGGGCAACAGTTTGCCCTGTGACCTCACTTTGATGGACCTAGGAAGAATTCCTGATTTTTCAGTGTGTTCAGCTTTTTACTTGTTGTTAAGATAGAGTGATAACCATCAAGCTTTTTACATGCTCGACTGGAAACTGGAAATTACACTAAATTTTAAAGTGTAAGATTGACAAATCTTGGAGATTCTAATTGCTTTTCTTTTTTTACTTGTATTGTCCATCTTTTTTTTTTTTTTTTTTTTTTTTTGAGATGGAGTCTCACCCTGTTGCCCAGGCTGGAGTGCAGTGGCACAATCTCAGCTTACTGCAAGCTCCGCCTCCCAGGTTCACACCATTCTCCTGCCTCAGCCTCCTGAGCAGCTGGGACTACAGGCGCCTGCCACCACACCTGGCTAATTTTTTGTATTTTTAGCAGAGATGGGGTTTCACCGTGTTAGCCAGGATGGTCTAGATCCCCTGACTTCGTGATCTGCCCACCTCAGCCTCCTAAAGTGCTGGGATTATAGGCGTGAGCCACCATGCCTGGCTATATTGTCCATCTTCATTGACTCCTTAAGTTGTTCCAGATTCTCATTTATGGAACCCTATATCTGTGTGATTTGAATCTTTTAATATCTATTGAGACTCCTATTATGATTCAGGTATGATCTCTCTTGGAAAATATTCTGTGTCCACCTTAGAAAAATAGGTGCTTTGCTGTTGTTGGTTAGAATGTTATAGAAATCTTAATTAGGTCATACTGGTTGATAGCATTGTTCAAATCTTCTTTATCTTTATTGATTTTCCATTAACTGTTCTGGCAATTATTGAGAAAGAGGTTTTGAAATAGCCAACTATAATTGTCTTGTTTTCTCTTTCCAGTTCTGTCAGTTTTTCCTTCATGTATTTTGAAGGTCTGTTACTTAGGTGCATAAAGGCTTAGAATTTTTATGTCCTCTAGGCATGGGCAAGGACTTCATGTCTAAAACACCAAAAGCAATGGCAACAAAAGCCAAAATTGACAAATGGGATCTAATTAAACTAAAGAGCTTCTGCACAGCAAAAGAAACTACCATCAGAGTGAACAGGCAACCTACAGAATGGGAGAAAATTTTTGCAATCTACTCATCTGACAAAGGGCTAATATCCAGAATCTACAATGAACTCAAACAAATTTACAAGAAAAAAACAAACAACCCCATCAGCAAGTGGGCAAAGGATATGAACAGACACTTCTCAAAAGAAGACATTTATGCAGCCAAAAGACACATGAAAAAATGCTCATCATTGCTGGCCATCAGAGAAATGCAAATCAAAACCACAATGAGATACCATCTCACACCAGTTAGAATGGCAGTCATTAAAAAGTCAGGAAATAACAGGTGCTGGAGAGGATGTGGAGAAATAGGAACACTTTTACACTGTTGGTGGGACTGTAAACTAGTTCAACCATTGTGGAAGTCAGTGTGGCGATTCCCCAGGGATCTAGAACTAGAAATACCATTTGACCCAGCCATCCCATTACTGGGTATATACCCAAAGGATTATAAGTCATACTGCTATAAAGACACATGCACACATATGTTTATTGCGGCACTATTCACAATAGCAAATACTTGGAACCAACCCAAATGTCCAAAAATGATAGACTGGATTAAGAAAATGTGGCACATATACACCATGGAATACTACGCAGCCATAAAAAGGATGAGTTCAGGTGCTTTGTAGGGACATGGATGAAGCTGGAAACCATCATTCTCAGCAAACTATCGCAAGGACAAAAAACCAAACACCACATGTTCTCACTCATAGGTGGGAAGTGAACAATGGGAACACTTGGACACAGGAAGGGGAACATCACACACCGGGGGCCTGTTGTGGGGTGGGGGTCGGGGGGAGGGATAACATTAGGAGATATACCTAATGTTAAATGACAAGTTAATGGGTGCAGCACACCAACATGGCACATGTATACATATGTAACAAACCTGCACATTGTGCACATGTACCCTAAAACTTAAAGTATAATTTAAAAAAAAAAAACAGAGCAGCTGAAAAAAAAAAGAATGTTTATGTCCTCATGATGAATTGATTCCTCAGTCATTGTTAAATGGCTCTCTTTATCCCAGATAGTATTCTTTGCTCTGAAATCTACCTTAATATTAATATAGCTTATCTAGATTTATTTTGGTTAATATTAGCATAGTATATCTTTTTATGTCCTTTTAGTTTTAACCTATTTGTGCCTTTATATTTGAAGGGGAGTTCTTGTAGGGAGCATATAGTTGTGTCCAATCTGTCAATCTCTGTCTTTTAATTGGAGTATTTAAATCATTTCTATTTAGTGCTATTTATTTAAAATTTTTTGTCATTTAAAATTTTTGTGGGCACATAGTAGGTATGTATATTTATGGGGTACATGAGATATTTTGATACAGATATGCAATGTGAAATAAGCACATCATGGAGAATGGGATATTCATTCTCTGAAGCTTTATTGTTTGCATTACAAACAATCCAGTTACATCTTTAAGTTATTTAAGACTTACAGTCACCCTGTTGTGCTATCACGTAGTAGGTCTTACTCTTTCTGATATAATGTAATGTATTGATATTGTTGGCTCTTAATCTAGCATCTTGCTGTTAGTTTTCTGTTTGTCTCATCTGGTTTTTGTTCCCTTTACCCTATTTTTTTGCTTTCTTTTGGATTAAGCACCTTTTGTGTTCCATTTTAATTCCTTTGTTAGCTTATTAGCCATAATTTTTTTTTTTGAGACAGAGTCTCGCTCTGTCATTCAGGCTGGAGCGCGGTGGTGCAATCTTGGCTCACTACACCCTCTGCCTCCTGGGTTCTAGTGATTCTCCTGCCTTAGCCTCCCGAGTAGCTGGGACTACAAGCATGCACCACCACGCCCGGCTAGTTTTTGTATTTTTAGTAGAGACGGGGTTTCACTATGTTGGCCAGGCTGGTCTCGAACTCCTGACCTTAAGTGATCCGCTGGCCTCAGCCTCCCAAAGTGCTGGGATTACAGGCACGAGCCACCATGCCTGGTCAGCTGTAATTTTTTGTTTTGTATGTTTAGTGGTTGCTTTAGGGTTTAGAGTAAACATCTTTACTTCTCATAGTCTACCTTCAAGCAGTATTACGCACTTCATGGATAGCATGAGGAACTTAACAGCAGTCTCCTTCCATTTCCTCCCTCCTGGCCTTTGTGCAAGTGTTTTCATGCATTTTATTTATTTATTTATTTATTTATTTATTTATTTATTTATTTATTTATTTTTGAGACGGAGTTTTGCTCTTATTGCCCAGGCTGTAGTGCAGTGGCGCCATCTCAGCTCACTGCAGCCTCCACGTCCTGGGTTCAAGCGATTCTCCTGCCTCAGCCTCCTGAGTAGCTGGGATTACAGGTGTGCACCACTATGCCCGGCTAATTTTTGTATTTTTAGTAGAGATGGGGTTTCATCATGTTGGTCAGGCTGGTCTGGAACTCCTGACCTCAGATGATCCACCCGACTCGGCCTCCCAAAGTGCTGGGATTACAGGCATGAGCCACTGTGCCCAGACTGTTGTCATGCATTTTAATTCTACATATATTAGAAACCCCACAATAATTCATCATTTTTTATTAAGTAGTCAATTCTTTCTTTTTTTGAAAGAAGAAAGAAGTTGAATTTTCTAACATGTCATAAGCGTGCAGGCAGGTCATCAGAGTCTGTGCTGTTTCTGTCTTGTTGGCCTTGCCATCCTGAAGGTTTTGCCGCCATCCTCCTATTCAATTTATTTATCACTGTATCTCCCTTCCAGCTAGCTGGGGGGCAGGGAGAAGAGGTGAAGGGGGTACAACTCAGAGGTTGCACATGGTGCTTTCTCTCTCATTTCTTTGGCCAGAATGTTCTTGTGCAGCCATGCTTAATGGGAGATGAAGGTCTGGGAGAGGTTGTCCTCCTTTTGGATTGCCAGGCTCCCACTAAAAATCAGGGGTTCTGTTACCTCAGAGTTAGAAAACTGCAGCCATGGGCCAAATCTGGTCTACCACCTATTTTTGTGCTACCTGTAAGCTAAAAATGATTTTTCCATTTTTAAATAGTTGAAAAAATCCAGAGAGAAAGAATATTTTGTGACACATTAAAATTATATGAAATTGAAATCTCAGTAGTTACAAATAAAGTTTTACTGAACATAGCTGGACTCATTTTCTTACATATTGTATACAGCTGCTTTTGCACTGTCAGAGCTGAGTTGAGTGGCCGCGCCCCAGGCCACCTGTCCCACAATCCCACAAAGCCTGCAGTATTTACCAGCTGGTGCTTTGCAGAAGGAGTTTGCTGACCCTGATCTGGAGCAAGGACTGAATGATATTCCAGGATAACTAACAGACCCTGCCACACTCCCCAGCACAGAGACTTCAGATTTTGTGTGTCCCTGTAAATTTTAATTCTCTTTTAAAGAGATTTTTAAGATAAGAATATATGTTTTTATATTTCCCTTCATATTTATCATTTCTGGTGGTGGTCTTTATTCTTTTTTTTTTTTTTTCTTTTCAGAGACAGGGTGTTGCACTGTTGCCCAAGCTGGAGTGCAGTGGTGTGATCATGACTCACTGAAGCCTCAAACACCTCAGCCTCCCGAGTTGCAGGGACTAGGCTCACACCACCATGCCTGGCTAATTTTCAAATTTTATTTAGAGACAGGTTTTCATTATGTTGGTCAAGCTGGTCTCAAACTCCTGACCTCAGGTAATCTTGCCCGCCTCGGCCTTCCAAAGTGCTGAGATTACAGGTGTGAGCCACTGCACGCTGAGACCTTTCTTTGGCTTACTTTGCTTGGATGGAGCACATCCATACCCTAAGGGCAGGGTATGGGAGCTGTTTCTCAGCTCTTGAGCCCTGTTACTCTCATTGCAATGGCAGAGGTGGCTTTCTGGATTGCAGATCAATTTCCTCATTACTTATGACACTGCACATATTTTCATGTTCCTTTTGGCAATTCGTCTGTTCTCCTTTGTGAAATTCCTGTTTACGTGTTTTCTTATAATAAGCTTTGAGAGTTTTTATTTTTTATGGAGACAGAGTCTCCATATGCTGGCCAGGCTGGTCTCAAACTCCTGGCCTCAAGCAGTCCTCCTGCTTCAGCCTCCCGAAGTGCTGGGATTATAGGTGCAAGCCACTGTGCCTGGCTGAGTTTTTAAAATATATTCTGGAGACGTCATTTGTATTATAGATAGATTTCCTTCTAGTCTGTGGCTTTTCATTTTCTTAATGGTATTTTTCAGAGGAGAAGTTTTTGATTTTTGGTAAAGTCTAGCTAATCCTTTTTCTTTTAGGATTTTATGTCCTATTTAAGAAATCTTTGCTTTCTCTATATTTTCTACTTTTGGCTTTTACATTTAATTCTAGGATCCATCTCAAGTTAGTGATGTGAGGTAAGGGTCAGGATTTGGTTTTGTTTTTTCCATGTGGGCATCCAGTTGTTCCACTACATATTATTTTGTATTTGTGGAGCTGCATCTTCAAGGTGGGTTCCTGGAAGAAGGGTTTCTGGTCAAAGAATGGTTTTATCTCTGTTGCCAGGTGCTGTGGGTCCTGTATCATCTGGGAGTCTCATGGGAATCTAGGAGACTGCCTGTTTGCCCATAGCCTCACCAGCAGAGTTTCAAGTTTTTGGATCTTTTTCAGTTTGCAGTGAGAAATAGTATCTTAGATGAGTTTGCATTTGCATTTCTCTTATTATGAGTGCCACTTATGATTCTTTAAGAAGTCACATACATTAATTGTGATTTTTTTTTTTTTGAGACAGAGTTTTGCTCTCATTGCCCAGGCTAGAGTGCAATGGCACGATCTCAGCTCACCACAACCTCCGCCTCCTGGATTCAAGTGATTCTCCTGCCTCAGCCTCCTGAGCAGCTGGGATTACAGGCATGCGCCACCACACCTGGCTAATTTTGTATTTTTAGTAGAGACGGGGTTTGTCCATGTTGATCAGGCTGGTCTCGAACTCCCGACCTCAGGTGATCCACCCGCCTCAGCCTCCCAAAGTGTTGGGATTATAGGCATGAGCCACTGTGCCCAGCCTTGTTGTGATTTAATATATATTTGGACGTCTTTTCATCATCTCATTTTGTGGGTATGTGTTCTTTTTTTTTTTTTAAGACAGAGTCTCGCTCTGTCACCCAGGCTGGAGTGCAGTGGCTCACTGCAGGCAGTGAGATCATGGCTGACTGCAGCCTCTGCCTCCCAACTTTAAGCAATTCTCCCACCTCAGCCTCCCAAGTAGCTGGGATTAAAGGCACGCACCACCATGCCCAGCTAATTTTTGTATTTTTAGTAGAGACAGGGTTTCACCATGTTGGCTGGGCTGGTCTTGAACTCCTGACCTCAAGTGATCCACCTGCCTTGGGCTCCCAAAGTGTTGGGATTACAGGCGTGAACCACCACTCCTGGCCTCTTTTTGTGTTTTCTATTGACCGTAATTTTCCTTTCTATTTTCTTTATTATTTTCTGCCTCCTCTTGAATTGACCATTTTCCCCCTCTTCCTTTTTTACTCTTATATATATTGTATTTCATTTCTCTGAGCCTTAAATTTTATATATAGCTATACTTTCTAATGAAGTTTCAAGGTCATCATTGTCTGTCCTCACATCAAGAACGTCACATTTTCTTTTCTAAACTCCTCTTTTCATTTCTGTTCTGTTTTCTAAAATTTTAATTTAACTTGTTTTGTAAATGCATTTTGCACTCAGTTTTTCTTTCAAGTTCTTTGGAGTGGAATTGCTTGGGTTCGAATCCCAGATCTGTTCTTTATTAGCTGAAATAAACATGGGCAAGTTATTTCACCTTTCTGTGCTTGCTTTTCCTAATCTGAAAAGGGGGAAATAATTGTGCCCGTAGAGAAATCACATGGAATTCAATAACGCACATGGTACCTATCACATAGAATTGAATCAGTTAATTCATATAAAGCATTTAGAATAGTTCTTGATATAAGTACTAAGTAGATGTTGATTATATAATTAATATTATTGTACTACTGGTTTATTTTTCTCATTCCCCAAATATATACTTCGTAGTTCTTTAAGTAGGGAGGTGTCTTTGTTCACGTTGCTGTAAAGGAATACCTGAGACAATAATTTAGCAAGAAAAGAGGTTTATTTGGCTCACAGTTGTGCAAGCTGTATAAGAAGCATAGAGCTGGCATCTGCTTATGGTGAGGCCTCAGGAAGCTTCCAATCATGGCAGAAGGGGAACAGGAGCTGCATGTCACCTGTCAAGAGAGGAAGAGAGAAAGTGGAGGGAGTGCTAGGCTATTTATTTATTTAGATTTTTTGAGATGGAGTCACACTCTGTCACCCAGGCTGGAGTGCAGTGGCACAGTCTCAGTTCACTGCAACCTCCACTTCCCAGGTTCAAGTGATTCTCCTGCCTCAGCCTCCCAAGTAGCTGGGACTACAGGTGTGCGTCACCACGCCTAGATAACTTTCATATCCAGGATTTCACCATGTTCAGCAGGCTGGTCTTGAACTCCTGACCTCAAGTGATCCACCCACCTCAGCCTCCCTAAGTGCAGGGTTTACAGGCATGCTGTTGCACTTGGCCTGTTTGGTTTCATAAATACTATTACTTCTTTTATTTCTTGGATATTTTAATTCAGTTTATTTGAAAGTCCTTTTCAGACAGATGTTTTATCTTCATATCGTCAGATGTGGATATTTCTCTCCCAATCTCCTTTTTTTTTTTTTTAACTCTTTATGATGGCATTGAACTACTTTGCGGACTTAGTGATTTTTGTTTGAGAGCTTATCTTGCATGAACATTTCTCTCTTGGCGAATTTTAACTACCACCTCCACTCCTGGTTCCAGAGTTTATCTTTTTGGCTAAAAGGTTAATTACCTGATAATGTAATTCCAAACCAGAAGACCACGTGACATGCAGACTTGGGTTCCAAATTACTTTAAAGAAGGGTTAGGGCATTTTATAATATTTCACATTTCTAGTGCTGCTGCTTATTTCAATGAGTTATTTAATAGGTGAAAGGCGTATCTTGTCATTTCAATTTGTGTTCCTTTTATTAATAGTAGGACACTTTTCTAGAATTGCCTCTGTGTTTCCCTCATAAATGATTGCCGGGTAAAACAACAGCCATTTTATAATGCTCATGGGTTCTGTGGTCAGGAATTCGGAATGGGCATGGCAGGAGGGTTTGCCTTTATTCCACACTGTCCAGGGCCTCAGACAGGGAGACGTGAGGGCTGGCATTAACTAAGTGGGGGCAGTGATCTGAGGACTCAGGCACGTTCTGGCAGTTGATGCTGGCTTTTGGCTGGGACCTCAGCTGGGACTCTTGTCCGAAATGTCCTGGTATCCTTTCCATGTGGCTGCTTCCCCACAGCGTCATGGCTGGGCTTCAAATGTGAGCGTCCAAGACCACAGATCCTGAGTATGTGGCCTTTTCGTAATGTCACTTTAGAAGTCTCACAGCACCACTTCTGGGTGGGTTATGAGCCCACCCAGGTTCACAGGAAAGGATCATAGAGCCCACCTCTTGGCAGGAGGCAGAGTCGCATTGTAAGAAGAGCCTGTGTGTTGGGAGATGTTGCCATGGTCTTCTGAGGGAAATGTCATCTGACAAGTTGGGAAAATACTATTGTGTTCCGTTATTAGCTGGTATGGGAATTTTTAGAACATTTTAATTGTTTTTACAATAAAGGTTGAGACAAGATTTTAAAATTTAATCCCCTCGAGTAAGGTTTACTACAAATTCATATTCCATAAAAATTTAACATATTAAGATTTTATAATGGTATTTGCTTTTATTATATTCCTTTTTATCCTATTTTCTATTAATATCACTTTTTGGTGTAGCTTTTTTATTACCATTTTTATTTTGCAGACAAAGCTGTAAAATGTAATATGGATTCATTGAGAGATTCACCTAAAGACAAATCTGAAAAGAAACACCATTGCATCTCTTTAAAAGATACAAATAAGGTTGTATTTTAAAAATGTTCTTTAAATACAAAGTTCATATAGTGTTAATTTTCAAATTTTCTCTTTTGAAATCTATCTGAAACCAAAAATATGTTTTCTATTAAAAAATCATTGGCCATGATAGTTTCCTTCATGAGAAAATATAGTTTGCTTGTTTGCTTATTTTGAAAGGAGAAAGTAGCTCCAGCTTCTTCATGTCGAGCTCTTGTTCTCGGCCTAGTTTTCTTTCTACAAAATTGGATATTGATCCTCCTTTTAATGAAGGTGTGAAAATCTGGGATTCCAGGGCATTGTCCTAGTGAAGTGCAAGTCTAATCTGCTCTCCGTCCCTTTGACAAGACAGGTTGAAAGTAATTGCAGGACATTTTAAGTACTGACGATCTGGAATGCCAGCTGCCTGCCATTTGGACATTTAATGTAGTGGTTATAGCGCTGGCATAATCACCCAACTTTCCAGTTTTTTATCTCTCTATCTCTGTGTGTGCATGAAAGATGTCTGGGATGGTTGTTCATGAGAATAACTCCCATGGAATTTTGGTTCCAAAAGAATGTATATTATGTTGCTAGCATACACATTCTTTCTGAAGAAAAGTTTTCTTTTACAGCGTGTTGAATCCTCAGTGTACTGGCCAGCAAAAAGAGGCATAACCATATATGCTGATCCAGATGTACCAGAAGCAAGGTATGATTTGAAAATTCAAACTGGGTGTGGTGGCGCCTGCCTGTAGTCCCAGCTACTGGGGAGGCTGAGCTGGGGGGATCGCTTAAGCCCAGGAGGTCGAGGCTTCAGTGAGCTATGATCGTACCACTGTACTCCAGCCTGGGTGACAGAGTGAGACTCTTATCTCTAAAATAATAATAATAATAATTCGGTGTAATTGACAAGAGACTTAAGAGTGATGTTGTCTTATACAGTGTTCTATAAGATTGATGATTGGAAAATAGTCCATTTTCAAAGAGTGGCCCAGGAAATTTTGGTTAAACATATTAACTTAAAGGAAAAATGTGACACCTGGTTGGCAGCAAAGTTGACTGAAAACTGGTAGTGGCCCTAGAGTCTGTCTCCTCTTTGCCTTTTTGGACAGAGTTGTCCCTGTAAGGCAGGTCTGAAGATTGGCACAGAGTGGTCCTGATGAGAGGGATGGCCTCACGTGGCCAGATGGCAGCACAGGGTGGGTGGTTACCCAGGGCGGAAAGAGAAGAATGGTTTCGTGAGTATCAGAGGCTGGGTCTGTACTTTGTCCTCTTCAAGATACATGTCAGTGACGTTAACAAAATTGCAGAAAGGATGTAATGTTGTACCACTTCTTGAATGGTCTAAGAACACACTTCCCCTCGTGTCGTGGACTTTATGCTGTGGTTGTCATATGTTGTACTTTTACATATATCATAAATGCTAGACTCTATCTCACTTTTATTTAAATAGTCAATTATATTCTAGAGAGAGTTAACTAACAAAAATATCTTCTCTCTTTACCTGTGTGGTTGCATTGGTGTTCTTTACTTTTTGTGTAGCTCCATATTTCCATCTGGTATTATTTTCCTTCCACCTAAGGGCTTCCTTTAATATTTCTTGCATTGCAGGTCTGCTGTTGATGAACTCTTTCAGCTTTTTTTTTTTTAAAAGTATTCATTTTAGGTTCATTTTGAAAAGGATACCTTTGCTAGGTGTAGAATTCTAGGTTGACAGCACTTTATTTAAAGATGTTGTCCCACTGTCTTCTCTCTTGCATTGTTCCCAGCACTGCCTCTGCTGTCACCAGTGCCTTTGTTCCTCTGCTGTTTCCTCTGACTGCTTTTCAGATTTTCTTTTGATTACTGGTTTTAGCAATTTAATTATGATATACTGGCCAGGCATGGTGGCTCACGCCTGTATTCCTAGCACTTTGGGAGGCCAAGGTGGGCAGACCTCACCCGAGGTCAGGAGTTCAAGACCAGCCTGGCCAACATGGTGAAACCCCATCTCTACTGAAAATAAAAAAAAGTTAGCTGGGCGTGGTGGCAGGTGCCTGTAATCTCAGCTACTCGGGAGGCAGAGGCATGATAATTGCTTGAACCCAGGAGGCGGGGTTTGCAGTGAGCTGAGATCACACCACTGCACTCCAGCCTGGGCAACAGAACAAGACTCCGTTTCAAAAAAAAAAAAATCATAATATACCTTGCTGTCGTTGCTACCATATTTCTTATGCTTGGGGTTCATTAATGTTCTTTGTTTGTAGCTTTCTTACATCAAATAGTCATTATGTCTACAAATATTTTTTTCTGCACCAATCTTTTTCCTCTCCTTTTAGAGACTCTGATGAAACAAATGTCAGATATTTTGATATTGTCCAAAAAGTCCCTGAGGCTCTGTTCATTTTTTCAGCCTTTCAATCTTGCTATTCTGCAGATCAATGATTCTACTGATCTGTCTGTACATTCATTATCTTCTGTCATCCACATTCTGCTATTGAGCCCATCCTGTGAGTATTCTATTTATTATATCTATATTTTTTTGCGACAGGATCTTGCTCTGTTACTCAGGCTCTCAAGTGCAGTGGAGCAATCATAACTCACTATAGCCTTAAACTCCTGGGCTTAAGCGA
The DNA here is from genome assembly GCF_000001405.40 of Homo sapiens. Taxonomy (NCBI): domain Eukaryota; kingdom Metazoa; phylum Chordata; class Mammalia; order Primates; family Hominidae; genus Homo; species Homo sapiens. The sequence goes on from NC_000019.10 coordinate 32,775,436, forward strand.
TCCTCCGGCCCCAGCCTCCCAAGTGGCTAGGACTGCAGGCATACACCACCACAGCTGGCTAACATTTTAATTTTTTTGCAGAGATGGAAGTCTCGCTATGTTGCCCTGGCTGGTCTCCAACTCCTGAGACCAAGTGATCCTCCCGCCTTGGCTTACCAAAATATTAGGATTACAGGTGTGAGCCACTGTGCCCGGCCTATATTTCTTGTTTCTAAAATTTTCCTTGTTTTTTTTTTTCAAAAGTTTATATTTCTTTGCTGAGAACTTGTGTGTTTCCACTTGGGAGTGCTGGCCTTTTCTTCTTGTGGAGTGAGTGTCCAGAGATTGCCACCCTGAGCCACCAGAGGTTGGCACCTGCTGATTGTCGTTTCCCTTGGCAGTCGATCTGGTTTTCCTGGGCCCGTGTGTGCTGAGTAACTTTGGACTCACTCTGGATATTTTGAATGTTATGTTGCGAGATTCTGGTTTCTGTTAACATTCTCTAGAGAGTGTTGGTTGGTGTCATTTGTCTTAGCAGGAGGTCGGTACCTCCATGAGGTCCGGCCCTCATGTTCTGCCTTGCGAACTGTGGGTGGCGGTGGCCGTGTGAGCTCAGGCTCTGGGCCCTCGATGCTGCCTGGGGCCTGTTCTGCATCTGCTTAGCTTGGGGCGAGTTGGGGCTTGTGTTGGGTCATGAACCACCTCTCTTTCTTTTCAGAATTTCCCTCACAGTTACCAATTTCTAGGGCCTCCTTCCCCGTATTCCTCTGGCCAGATAGTTTCTCTTGGAGACATTGGTGTGCAGTAATGTGGAATTGGGATACCTTGAGAATAAAACAAGTAAGGGAGAAAAAAGGTGGAGATTTTCCTCACGCAGTCTTTGGACCACAGCTCCCATCTCCCAGTTCCTCTGGCTTCAGGTGCAGGTTTTCTCTCAGGGTTTAAGGTCACCACACTGCTGTTGCTGTTGCTGGGTGCAGCCCCAAGATCAGAGCTGGCCTTGGGGCCCGGTGAGGAAAGAAAAGAAAAACAATGGGGATTCCCCACACTTTCTGGTTTAAAGGGCGCCTCTTCCCGCTTCTCTGGCTTGAAGGAAGAAGTCTCTCCTGGAGATTCTGGCGTCTGCACCTGCCACAAAGTCATCTTGAGGTCAACACAGAGACACAGAGAGAAAAAAGACAAGAAAGTCCTGGTGATTCTGTTTTTCAAGTGTTTGACTTCTCTCCCCTGCTGTTGGGGCCTCATCCAGAATCTCTAGTTGTGATCAGCAGGAGAGAGAGGCTGTGGCAGGCCTACTCCATCCTGTCCAGCACCACCACCAGAAGTGTCAGAAATGACTTTTATACTTAAAGGACTAAGCTCCAGTTCTCACAGAAATGTGCTTATGTAGATAAACCAATTCCTCAGTGGTGCTTCTTAAATTTTTAATCCAGAAAATAAAGATATTTTCAGGATTGGGGTAAAGGGGTTCACAATTTTTCATTTTTTTAAGAGACAGGGTCTTGCTCTTGTTGCCCAGGCTGGAGTGCGGTGGCACAATCACAGCTCACTGCAGTGTCCAACTCTTGAGCTTAGGCGATCCTCCCACCTTGGCCTCCCGAGTTGCTGGGACTATAGGTGCACACCACCATGCCCGGCATTTTTTATTTTTTTATTTTTGTCGAGATGGGGACTCACTGTGTTGCCCAGGCTGCTGTTCACAAATTTTAATGAATTTTTTTTTTTCATTTCTAGTGCTTTAAGTCAGAAGTCAAATGAGAAACCTCTTAGATTGACTGAGAAGAAAGAATATGATGAGAAGAATAGCTGTGTGAAGTAAGAATTTTTTCCTTGGCCTGAATTGTGTATTGAAATAATTATAATAAAATTATAAACAAGAGAAATCTACACATTTTATTATTAATTTCAAACCTGCATTCCCATCAAAAAATAAATGTACAGTATATCTCCTGTAGGGTTTGAGGTTAATTTTTGCTTTTCCATCCACTTGGGCACATTTTTCTGTTTAAAGCTTTGTTCCAGTGTAAGTAGTCATTTTCTACCTTGCCTTCTGGATTCTCTTGGTGAAGTGAACAGTGTCACAAATCAAATTAGATACAGTTGATCTTTTGGGGCTGTTGATGTTCTTTGGGTTGGTCTTTGCTTTCTTTCCAGTTCTCTGAGGCAACACTGCTAGAGAAACTGAGCAGTTTGCCTTGATTTCATACTTGTGTAATCTGTAAAATATTTACATAGCAATTTTCGTTTTGAGACAAGGTCTTCCTCTGTCATTTAGGCTGGAGTGCAGTGGTGCAGTCACAGCTCACTGCAGCTTCGACCTCCTAGGCTCAAGCGATCCTCCCACCTCAGCCTCCCAAGTAGCTGGGACCATAGGCATGCACCACCATAACTGATTTACATATATATATATATATATATATATATATATATATATATATATATATTTTTTTTTTTTTTTTTTTTTTTTTTTTTTTTTTGTAGGACGAGGGTCTCGCTATGTTACCCAGGCTGGTCTCAAAGTCCTGGCCTCAAATGATTCTCCTACCTCTGCCTTTCAGAGTGCTGGGATTGCAGGCATGACCACAGCTTCCAGCCTCATGCCATTTTTATACTTTTTACCATATTGGCCTCAACAGTTTTACATTCCAAGTAACTGTAGCTGCCCTGGAGCTCCCAGAGTGACAAAGTGTGAGACAGGTCAGAGGTGGGGAGGTCCTGCTGTTTCCACTGGTTGGCCTTGGGGGTTGGAGCCAGGGTGTGGACTCTGCAGCCATGTGGGCTTCCCAGCTTCCCAGAGGCCATGCTGATGACCTGCCAGGGCTTCTTACCCCACAGGACACCACCCAGGATTTCAAGGGTGAGGCTTTGAAAGCTTCCACGAGCCCACAGAGTTGGGGATGGCTGTTGATGCACCTAACTGACACCCCCCTCCCAGGGCAACCTCAGCCCTAATACCCAAAGGTTTTGCTGTCACAGTCGTTATTTTCCTTGGAACAGAAGGCCATACAGCTTATTTCTTTCTTTTATTATTTTCAATTATAACCTGGCAAATTAACCCTGGAATATTCTTTTTTTCATTATTTATTTATTTATTTTTTAATTGGAGACGGAATCTTGCTCTGTCACCCAGGATAGAGTGCAATGACATGATCTTGGCTCACTGCAACCTCCACCTCCTGGGTTCAAGCAATTCTCCTGCCTCAGCCTCCTGAGTAGCTGGAATTACAGGCGCCTGCCACCACGTCCAGCTAATTTTTGTATTTTTAGTAGAGATGGGGTTTTGCCATGTTGGCCAGGCTGGTCTCGAACTCATGACCTCAGGTGATCCGCCCACCTTGGCTTCCCAAAGTGCTAGGATTACAGGAGTGAGCCACTGTGCCCGGATGACCCTGGAACATTCTATTCCCTTTTATTTTCGTATTAAAAAGTTCTGTCTTGTCTCCTGTTCTGTTAAAATGCCCTTTACTTAGAACCCACTGATTAAACAACATCAGTTATCCTGTCAGTCTCCTGTGGGTTTCAGGGAACTTTGAGGTAATTCAGGATTAAACATCAAAGAAGGCTTTGAGTTCCTTAGGGACACAGGGATGACCTGGTGATCCTGGGACCCTCCCCCTTGACTGCGCAGAGGTCCAGCATTGGCTGCACTGCGTCCAAAGCCTGGGGAACCCTGTGCTGTCATTTCTGGCGAGATAGCCAAGGCAGCCTGGAGGAGAGGCACCCTTTCCTTAAGGATGGCCAGTCAGAGACCCGCATTGCCGCATCCCCAAACCTCACTTGGGACTATGATAACGACTGTCACAATGTGGGCAGAGGGGCACAGGGACCTTGGCTCATTGCCAGGGGCCAGGTGTCCCACTAGCCTCCTCTGTGTGACACCTGTGGTTTTCTTTTCCTGTCTTTTTGTCTCGCTGATGGAGTTGCTCAAGCCTGTAAGTACCAGTAAGCGGTTGTATTTCTTTCTCCTCGGGCCTGTTCCTTCATATAACTCATTTGGAAACCCCCAAGTTACAGTACATTCTGGAAGAGGTCACCCCAGATGCAGTCTTTCCCATTCCAGGATCACATACCACCAGGATCCCCTTGGGAATCCTGGATACTTGGGTAGCAGAGGAAGTGGCGGGGCCCACACCCAGGTTTAAGGGCTCTCCTAGTGAAATTCTCTCTCTTAATTTTTGGGTGTTCAAGAGAAACTGCTCTGTTTTGCTAAGGGCTTCTGGAGGTGGCAAGGCAGCCTGGATTGGGCTGAGATCGTGTTTCTAAGCTGGTGCCAGCTTCCGCCCAGCCCGTGGAAATATGCTAGGTGGTGGGTGAGTCTCAACTCTGTGTGTTGACCCTCGCAGCATTATTTTCAGGAGGCTTTTGGACTTTGACAATGCAGCCATATGTGCTGCGGGGAGTACTTTCATAACTGGTTAAGATGTCCTGAGCATAGGAGGGTGGAGTGGTACCTGCTTGCCACTCACGTCATCTCTGATATTTAATGTACCCTGGAGCTCTCTCTGCAGTTCTTTGTCTTTCCTTCTTCTGTGTCCCTCTTGCCTACTGTGATATTCATTCTTTATTCTTCTGTTGTCTTCCTTTAAACATTTTAACATCAGCCTACTTTGTACTGCCCACTGATTGAAGATGGAAAATTCTCCGAATATGCCCATTCTTTTTTTCTTTTCTTTTTTTTTTTTTTTTTGAGACAGAGTCTCGCTCTGTAGCCCAGGCTTGAGTGCAGCGGTACAATCTCGCCTTGCTGCAACCTCCGCCTCTCGGGTTCAAGCGATTCTCCTGCCTCAGCCTCCCGAGTAGCTGGGATTACAGGCGCATGCCACCATGCCCAGCTAACTTTTTTGTATTTTTAATAGAGACGGGGTTTCGCCATGATGGCCAGGCTGGTCTCGAACTCCTGACCTCAGGTGATCTGCCTGCCATTAGCTTCCCAAAGTGCTGGGATTACAGGCATGAGCCACTGCACCTGGCCCAAATATGCACATTCTTTGTGATACCATTTCAATGTCAGAGTCTGAACAGCAATGCATGTCGAAGCCTGGACTGAAATGCCCTTCACACAAACTGCTGAGTCCAGGGTCAGACACTGTCCTTCCAGACCCGAGCCCTCTGCCAAAGAACACAGTGAGTGGTGAGAACGCAGCTCTGTTGTACAACCCTTCCTCCTCCCTCTTGAAATCACACCCACACGTCTGTTCTTCCCATGACTCCACTCTCCCCACGTCATGATTCTGGTGAGATGAGTGTTCATTGTCCCTGGGCTGTGAGCAGGTGAGTGCTGCGGAGCTCTGCAGTCACACAGCACGGCTGCTTCTCTGTTTTCACATAGCCTTTTGGTTTACCTGAAGTTAATAATTATCTTGTTTTTTTCTTTCCTTGGGTTTTTTTTTTTTTAATGGGGTCTCACTGTGTTGCCTAGGCTGGTCTCAAACTTCTGGCCTCAAGCAATCCTCCTGCCTCAACCTCCCGAGTAGCTGGGACTACTGTCTGCCACCATGCCTGGCTCACTTCCCTAAGTTTTTAATCTATCTTTTTTTTTTTTTTTTGAGATGGAGTCTCGCTCTGTTGCCCAGCCTGGAGTGCAGTGGCGCGATCTCAGCTCACTGCAAGCTCCACCTCCTGGGTTCACGCCATTCTCCTGCCTCAGCCTCCCAAGTAGCTGGGGCTACAGGCACCCACCATCACGCCTGGCTAATTTTTTTGTATTTTTAGTAGAGACGGGGTTTCACCGTGTTAGCCAGGATGGTCTCTATCTCCTGACCTCAAGATCTGCCTGCCTCGGCCTCCCAAGTGCTGGGATTACAGGCGTGAGCCACCGCGCTCGGCCATTTTTAATCTATCTTAAAGATTCATCCCCAGAATTCTCCTCTGTTATCTAAACTCAGGTTCTCACTTGTGTGTCTTTGGACATCCCTCCAGACCCTTTCTGCCTGCTTTGGTTTGTGCCTGATATGTCCCGTGTTCATTGTCACCAACATCCTGAGATTCTCTGCATCTTTCTTGAATTGAATCTCCTCTTTTCCAGATCATCCATCTTCTTCTTACTTGGTTTACTCCCTTGTTTTGGTGGAGAGCATCCTTTAGTAGCTTTCTAGGAAGGGAGACACAAAACATAAATTTTTTAGAGACTTTGCATAAATGCTTTTAGATTATCTTCACACTTGATCAATAGTTTGGGTATACATTTTGAAGACATTTCTACTTCTAGTTTCTAGTGTAGAGACGTCCACTCTATTCTGATTTCTTATTCTTTATATATGACTCCTTTCCTTTTCTCTCTCTCTCTCTCTCTCTCTCTGGAAGCTTATAGGATCTTCCTTTGTTGCCGGTGTTTGGAAGTTTCCTGATGTTGTGCCTTGGTGTGGTTCTATTATTATGCTTGTCATTCAGTGGACACTTCCAGTGTGTAGCCTCATGTCCCTTACCCCTGGGAAATTCTCTTGACTTTTTCGTTGTTCTCTTGTGCTGCGTGTTCTCTGTCTTCTTTTAAGAACCTCTGTGACTCGTATGTTGAACCTCCTGAATTGGTTGAGTAATTTTATAAAATATATTTTTCTTTTTTTTTTATTATACTTAAAGTTCTGGGTTACATGTGCGGAATGTGCAGTTTTGTTACATAAGTGTACATGTGCCATGGTGGTTTGCTGCACCCATCAACCTGTCACCTACATTAGGTATTTCTCCTATTGTTATCCCTCCCCTAGCCCCCCACCCCCCACAGGCCCCAGTGTGTGATGTTCTCTTCCCTGTATCCATGCGTTCTCATTGTTCAGCTCCCACTTAGGAGTGAGAACATGCAGTGTTTGGTTTTCTGATCTTGTGATAGTTTGCTGAGAATGATGGTTTCCAGCTTCATCCCTGTCCCTGCAAAGGACATGAACTCATCCTTTTTTATGGCTGCATAGTATTCCATGGTGTATATGTGCCACATTTTCTTAATCCAGTCTATCATTGATGGACATTTGGGTTGGTTCCAAGTCTTTACTATTGTGAGTAGTGCCACAGTAAACATACATGTGCATGTGTCTTTATTGTAGAATGATTTATAATCCTTTGGGTATATGCCAAGTAATGGGAATGCTGGGTCAAATGGTATTTCTGGTTCTAGATCCTTGAGGAATCACCACACTGTCTTCCATGATGGTTGAACTAATTTACATTCCCACCAACAGTATAAAAGCATTCCTGTTTTTCCACATCCTCTCCAGCGTCTGTTGTTTCCTGACTTTTTAATGATCGCCATTCTAACTGGCATGAGATGGTATCCCATTGTGGTTTTGATTTGCATTTCTCTAATGACCAGTGATGATGAGCATTTTTTCATATGTCTATTGGCTACATAAATGCCTTCTTTTGAGAAGTGTCTGTTCATGTCCTTTGCCCACTTTTTGATGGGGTTGTTTGCTTTTTTCCTGTAAATTTGTTTAAGTTCTTTGTAGATTTTGGATATTAGCCCTTTGCCAGATGAATAGATTGCAAAAATGTTCTACCATTCTGTAGGCTGTTCATTATGATGATAGTTTCTTTTGCTGCGCAGAAGCTCTTTAGTTTAATTAGATTCTATTTGTCAATTTTGACTTTTGTTGCCATTGCTTTTGGTGTTTTAGACATGAAGTCTTTGCCCATGCTTGTGTCCTGAATGGTATTGCCCTGGTTTTCTTCTAGGATTTTTATGGTCCTAGGTCTTGTGTTTAAGTCTTTGATCCATCTTGAGTCTATTTTTGTGTAAGGTGTAAGGAAGGGGTCCAGTTTCAGTTTTCTGCATATGGCTAGCCAGTTTTCCCAACACCATTTATTAAATAGAGAATCTTTTCCCCATTGCTTGTGTGTGTCAGGTTTGTCAAAGATAAGATGGCGGTAGATGTGTGGCGTTATTTCTGAGGCCTGTGTTCTGTTCCATTGGTCTATATATCTGTTTTGGTACCAGTGCCATGCTGTTTTGGTTACCGTAGCCTTGTAGTAAAGTTTGAAGTCAGGTAGCGTGATGCCTCCAGCTTTGTTCTTCTTCCCCAAGATTGTCTTGGCTATGTGGGCTCATTTTTGGTTCCATATGAAGTTTAAAGTAGTTTTCTCCAATTCTGTGAAAAAAGTCAGTGGTAGCTTGATGGGGATAGGTTTGACTCTATAAATTACTTTGGGCAGTAAGACCATTTTCACGATATCGATTCTTCTGATCCATGAGCATGGAATGTTTTTCCATTTGTTTGTGTCCTCTCTTATTTTCTTGAGCAGTGGTTTGTAGTTCTCCTTGAAGAGGTCCTTCACATCCCTTGTAAGTTGTATTCCTAGGTATTTTATTCTCTTAGTAGCAATTGTGAATGGGAGTTCACTCATGATTGGACTCTGTTTGTCTGTTATTGGTGTATAGGAATGCTTGTGATTTTTACACATTGATTTTATATCCTGAGACTTTGCTGAAGTTGCTTATCAGCTTAAGGAAATTTTGGGCTGAGATGATGGGGTTTTCTAAATATGCAATCATGTCATCTGCAAACAGGGGCAATTTGACTTCCTCTCTTCCTATTTGAATACCTTTATTGCTTTCTCTTGCCTGATTGCCCTGGCCAGATACTGCCCTTTCTCTTGCCTGATTGCCCTGCCTTTCCAATACTATGTCAAATAGGAGTGGTGAGAGAGGGCATCCTTGTCTTGTGCCAGTTTTCAAAGGGAATGCTTCCAGTTTTTGCCCATTCAGCATGATATTGGCTGTGGGTTTGTCATAAATACCTATTATGTTGAGTTACATTCCATCGATACCTAGTTTATTGAGAGTTTTTAGCATGAAAGGCTGTTGAATTTTGTCGAAGGCCTTTTCTGCATCTGTTGAGATAGTCATGTGGTTTTTGTTGTTGGTTCTGTTTATGTGATGGATTACATTTATTGATTTGCGTATGTTGAACCAGCCTTTCATCCCAGGGATGAAGCCGACTTGATCATGGTGGATAAGCTTTTTGATGTGCTGCTGGATTCGGTTTGCCAGTATTTTATTGAGGATTTTTGCATTGATGTTCATCAGGGAAATTGGCCTAAAATTCTTTTTTTGTTGTGACTCTGCCAGGCTTTGGTGTCAGGATGATGCTGGCCTCATAAAATGAGTTAGGAAGGATTCCCTCTTTTTCTGTTGATTGGAATAGTTTCAGAAGGAATGGTACCAGCTGCTCTTTCTACCTCTGGTAGAATTCGGCTGTGAATCTGTCTGTTCCTGGAATTTTTTTTGGTTGGCAGGCTATTACAGCCTCAATTTCAGAACCTGTTACTGGTCTATTCAGAGATTCGACTTCTTCCTGGTTTAGTCTTGGGAGGGTGTATGTGTCCAGGAGTTTATCCATTTCTTCTAGATTTTCTAGTTTATTTGCATAGGTGTTTATAGTATTCTCTGATGGTAGTTTGTATTTCTGTGGGATCAGTGGTGATATCCCCTTTATCATTTTTTATTGTGTCTATTTGATTCTTCTCTCTTTTCTTCTTTATTAGTCTTGCTAGTGGTTTATCTATTTTGTTGATCTTTTCAAAAAACCAGCTCCTAGATTCATTGATTTTTTTGAAGGGTTTTCTGTGTCACTATCTCCTTCAGTTCTGCTCTGATCTTAGTTATTTCTTGTCTTCTGCCAGCTTTTGAATTTGTTTGCTCTTGCTTCTCTAGTTCTCTTAATTGTGATGTTAGGGTGTCAGTTTTAGATCTCTCCTGCTTTCCCTTGTGGGCATTTAGTGCTATAATGTGTCCCAGAGATTCTGATGCTTTGTGTCTTTGTTCTCATTGGTTTCAAAGAACATCTTTATTTCTGCCTTCATTTCATTATGTATCCAGTAGTCATTCAGGAGCAGGTTGTTCAGCTTCCATGTAGTTGTGCGGTTTTGAGTGAGATTCTTAATCCTGAGTTCTAATTTGATTGCACTCTGGTCTGAGAGACAGTTTGTTGTGATTTCTGTTATTTTACATTTGCTGAGGAGTGTTTTACTTCCAATTATGTGGTCAATTTTAGAATAAGTGTGATGTGGTGCTGAGAAGAATGTATATTCTGTTGATTTGGTGTGGAGAGTTCTGTAGATGTCTATTAGGTCTGCTTGGTCCAGAGCTGAGTTCAAGTCCCGGATATCCTTGTTAATTTTCTGTCTCGTTGATCTGTCTAATATAGACAGTGGGGTGTTAAAGTCTCCCATTTATTATTGTGTGGGAGTCTAGATCTCTTTGTAGGTCTCTTAAGAACTTGCTTTATGAATCTAGTTAGCTCTTCTTGTTGAATTGATAACCTTTACTATTATGTAATGGCCTTCTTTATGTCTTTTGATCTTTGTTGGTTTAAAGTCTGTTTTAGCAGAGGCCAGGATTGCAACCCCTGCTTTTTTTTTTGCTTTCCATTTGCTTAGTAGATCTTCCTCCATCCCTTTATTTTGGGCCTATGTGTGTCTTTGCACGTGAGATGGGTCTCCTGAATACAGCACACTGATGGGTCTTGACTCTTTATCCAATTTGCCAGTCTGTGTCTTTTAATTGGGGGCATTTAGGCCATTTACATTTAAGGTTAATATTGTATGTGTGAATTTGATCCTGTCATTATGATGCTAGCTGGTTATTTTGCCCATTAATTGATGTAGTTTCTTCATAGTGTCAATGGTCTTTACAATTTGGCATGTTTTTGCAGTGGCTGGTACCGATTGTTCCTATCCATGTTTAGTACTTCCTTCAGGAGCTCTTGGAAGGCAGGCCTGGTGGTGACAAAATCTCTCAGCATTTGTTTGTCTGTAAGGGATTTTATTTCTTCTTTACTTATGAAGCTTAATTTGGCTGGATATGAAATTCTGGGTTGAAAATTCTTTTCAAGAATGTTGAATATTGGCCCCCACTCTCTTCTGGCTTATAGTTTCTGCAGAGAGATCCACTGTTAGTCTGCTGGGCTTCCCTTTGTGGGTAACCTGACCTTTCTCTCTGGGTGCCCTTAACATTTTTGCTTTCATTTCAACCTTGTGAATCTGACAATTGTGTGTCTTGGGGTTGCTCTTCTCGAAAGTATCTTTGTAGTGTTCTCTGTATTTCCTGAATTTGAATGTTGGCCTGCCTTGCTAGGTTGGGGAAGTTCTCCTGGATAATATCCTGAAGAATGTTTTCTAACTTGGCACCATTCTCCCCGTTGCTTTCAGGTACACCAATCAAACATAGATTTGGTCTTTTCACATAGTCCCATATTTCTTGGAGGCTTTGTTCATTTCTTTTTACTCTTTTTTCTCTAATCTTGTCTTATCACTTTATTTCATTAATTTGACCTTCAATCACTGATATCCTTTCTTCCACTTGATCGAATTGGCTGTTGAAGCTTGTGCATGCATCACGAAGTTCCCGTACTGTGGTTTTCAGCTCCATCAGGTCATTTAAGCTCTTCTCTACACTGGTTATTCTAGTTAGCCATTCATCTGACCTTTTTTCAAGGTTTTTAGCTTCCTTACGATGGGTTAGAACATGCTTCTTCAGCTCAGAGAAGTTTGTTATTACTGACCTTCTGAAGCTTACTTCTGTCAACTCATCAAACTCATTCTCCATCCAGTTTTGTTCTGTTGCTGGCGAGGAGTTGTGTTCCTTTGGAGGAGAAGAGACGTTCTGGTTTTTGGAATTTTCAGCCTTTTTGCTCTGGTTTCTCCCCATCTTTGTGGTTTTATCTACCTTTGGTCTTTGATGTTGGTGAGCTACAGATGAGGTTTTGGTGTAGATGTCCTTTTTGTTGATGTTGATGCTATTCCTTTCTGTTTGGTAGTTTTCCTTCTAACAGACAGGCCCCTCAGCTGCAGCTCTGTTGGAGTTTGCTGGAGGTCCACCCCACACCCTGTTTCCCTGGGCAGAGGCTGCAGAACAGCAAATATTGCTGCCTGATCCTTCCTCTGGAAGCTTCATCCCAGAGGGACACCCACCTGTATGAGGTGTCTGTCGGCCCCTACTGGGAGATGTCTCCCAGTCAGGCTACACATGAGTCAGAGACCCACTTGAGGAGGCAGTCTGTCCATTATCAGAGCTCAGGTGCTGTGCTGGGAGAACCACTGCTCTCTTCATAGCTGTCAGGCAGGGACGTTTAAGTCTGGAGAAGCTGTCTGCTGCCTTTGGGTCAGATATGCCATGCCCCCAGAGGTGGAATCTGGAGAGGCAGTAGGCCTTGCTGAGCTGCGGTGGGCTCCACCCAGTTTGAGCTTCCCCGCTGCTTTGTTTACACTGTGAGCATAGAACCGCCTACTCAACCTCAGCAATGGTGGACACCCCTCCCCACACCAAGCTCCCGCATCCCAGGTCGATCTCAGACTGCTGTGCTAGCATCGAGCAAGGATCTGTGGGCGTGGGACCCGCCGAGCCAGGCACAGGAGGGAATCTCCTGGTCTGCTGGTTGTGAAGACTGGGAAAAGCGCAGTATTTGGGCAGGAGTATACTGCTCCTCCAGGTACAGTCAGTCATGGCTTCCCTTGGCTAGGAAAGGGAAACCTTTCCCCTTGTGCTTCCCAGGTGGGGCGACACTCCACCCTGCTTCAGCTCACCCTCCACGGGCTGCACCCACTGTCCAACCAGTCCCAGTGAGATGAACCAGGTACCTCAGTTGGAAATGCAGAAATCACCCATCTTCTGCATTGATCTTGCTGAGAGCTATAGACTGGAGCTGTTCCTATTTGGCCATCTTGAAAGTGCCTGCTCTTTTTTTAATCTCTTTGTCTTTTTGCTTTACTTTTTTTTTTCTTTTTTTTTGTTTTTTTGAAATGGAGTCTCGCTCTTTTGCCCAGGCTGGAGTGCAGTGGTGCGATGTCGGCTCACTGCAGCTTCTGCCTCCTGGGTTCAAGTGATTCTCCTGCCTCAGTCTGGGATTACAGGTGCCTGCCACCACACCTGACTGATTTTTGTATTTTTAGTAGAGACAGGGTTTCACTATATTGGCCAGGCTGGTCTCAAACTCCTGACCTCAAGTGATCTGCCTGCCTCGGCCTCCCAAAAGGCTGGGATTATAGGTGTGAGCCACCACACCCAGCCTGCTTTACTTTTTGGAATGATTTTACAATTTTGTCCTCTACTCATTTTATTGTGTTTTTTATTTCTAATATCACGTTTTTAATTTGCAAGGGTTTTCCTTTTGTTCTCTTTTCTCTTTTCTTTTTCTGACAGTGTCCTGTCCTCGTTTCACATATATGGTAGTTTCTCTCATTTCTCTAAGGAGACTAATGATTTTTGTGGGGGAGTTTTCTTCTCCCTACACTGTTTCTTTTTTTGCAGGGTGCATTACTCGGTTTTTAAGGCTGGAGGCTTTCCTTAGATGTCATGCAGTCCTTGATTGTCTGCCTGTATTTCAACGTAGAGGCCCAGTGAGCCGGTGAGGGTCTCTGAGTGTGCCAAGCCTGTGGGCTGTGGGTCTCTCTGGGGAGCGAGCTGCTGTGAGTACAGGGACCTCTGAATTCCGTCCAGATGCCCAAGGGAAGGCTTCTCCTGTCTCTGGCCCCTGGGGCTAAAGACCTGCCTGTGTCCTGGGAGCTGAGTGGGAGGCACAGGCTGGGTCTCACTGTCCTGTGTGTGCTTAGCCTCCTTCTTTTCAGTTCAGCACCTCTGTTTGCAGCTAGGCCTACAGCCCCGAGTCCTGAGAGTTCTGCTTTATCCTCTCCAGAGAATCAGCCCCTGGCCTTCCTCGGGTTGGGGTGAGTGGCCGTCTGGTGTGGAGTAGTGTAAGGTGATGCAGAGGTTCCCCCCTCTGCCACATTGCTGCAGCCAGGGAGCCTGCCCCTAATTCCTAAGCTTTCTGAAGGTTGTTCTCTGCAGATAGGGTCAGGCCTCCCGCGGCTGGCTCAGGGTCAACTGTCTTGGGGCTGTTACCAGTTTGTCCATCTGTTTTTTAGCTTCCAACATTCTGTTCTGGAATATTGTCTCTAAAACATAGCTTTTTTGAAATATGATTCATGTACCCTTTTTTCAAGTGTACAATTCAGTGATTTTTAGTGTATTCACAGAGTTTGCAACCACACAAGTAAGTGCATACCCATTAGCGGTCACCCTCCATTTTCCTCCCTCCACATCCTTTGGTAGCCAGCTGTCTGCTTTCAGTCTCTATGGGTTTGCCTGTTCAGGACATTTCATATCGATGGGCTCATACGGTGGGTGGGCCTTGGTGACGCTGGTTTCACTGCACAGTGTTTCCAAGGCTCATCTCTGCCATATCATAAACTAGCACAGCATGCCTTTTCATGACTGACTTATATTCCATTGCGTGCATGGAGTGCATTTCATGTACCCATTCATCAGCTGATAACAGTTGGATCTTGTGGCTTTTGCATTTGAAAATCCATTTACAGGGCCGGGCGCAGTGGCTCACGCCTATAATCCCAGCAGTTTGGGAAGCCGAGGCAGGCGGTTCACCTGAGGTCAGGAGTTCGAGACCAGCCTGGACAACAATGGTGAAACCCTGTCTCTACTAAAAATACAGAAATTAGCTGGGTGTGGTGGTGGATGCCTGTAGTCCCAGCTACTCAGGAGGCTGAGGCAGGAGAATCTCTTGAACCTGGGAGGCGGATGTTGCAGTCAGCTGAGATCACACCACTGTACTCCAGCCTGAGTAACAAGAGCGAAACTCCATCTCAAAAAAAAAAGAAAAAAGAAAAAACGCGTTTACAGGAATGAGGCTTTAGGAAGGAGCGCAGTTTGCCATGTGTGTAACCCACCATCTTTATCCTGGAGTCCCCGCCATGTCTGTGCCTTGTGACTTCTCTGTGACTGCCACTGGCCTTACCCATGTTGGGGTTGGGCTGGATCTAGAGGAAAGCAGTTTCAAATTTCTTCTCCTCTCAGCAGAGGTGACTGTGGACAAGTCCTATCTGGTCTTGTTTTCTCATCCATAAAATAAAGATAGTAAAGTACACTAGTGATTCCTGAGCTTGGCTGGGGCCCCTCAGATACTCTCAGGGGGACCTGGGTGGCAGGGTTGTGGCAGCACAGGTACAGGCCCTCATGTCTCATAAACCAAGCAGAACAGAACAGGCAGCAGTTGTACAGCTGAGCCTTGGGCTGTGCAGCCCCTGCTATCTCTGTCAAGGAAGAACTAAAAGAATAGCTCAACTGAGGAAACAAACACCTTTTTCTTCACATTCTTCTTTTAACTATCTTACAGATTACTGCAGTTTTTAAATCCTGATCCTTTGAGAGCTGACGGAATCTCTGATCTCCAGCAGGTATTACAGGCCCTAAAAAAAGTAAAATAAAAAGAGAGAAAAAACTGTTTATTCTTTAAATCCTTCTCCTTCCTCCCTCCAGACTTGAGATTAGAAGAGAAACTCCTTAGATGGGGGACTTAACCTGAAGACATCCTTTTAGAAACGATCGAATGGATTGTTGCTTCTGAGAAATTGTTCCTTGTTTTTTGGATAATAAACGATCTTCCTTTTGGTAGTTTGGTGGTTTTTTTTTTCTTTTTTTTTAAGTAAGCATATATACCCAGGTGTTTACATTGAAATCTATATTTTCTTCATTTCTGTGAAGTTCTTGATCTCCTGTGCTGACGCCTCAGGGCAGACACTGGTTGTCTAATGCACACGTTCTCTCAGTTGCAGAAGCTGAAGGGCCTGCAGCCGCCCGTGGTAGTGCTCCGGAACAAGATCAAGCCCTGCTTAACCATTGACTCGTCGCCGCTGTCAGCAGACCTGAAGAAGGTAAAAGTGCTCGTAAAACTGAATTTATCAAGAATGCCAACTTTTTCTAATAGAGAAGGATTTTGAAATAAATGGCTCTAAGGTTGCATTGTATAATTTCTTTGCTTTTGAAATTCTCTTTTTATTTGAGATTACAGGCATGAGCCACCACACTCGGCCTAATTTCTCATTTATTCTTAAATCCAAGTTAGCTTCTTAGAAGTGAGTGAGTGATTGTTTTGTGAGGCAGCCGCTGTGTAACTGTGAGCCCCTTCTGCAGTCAGGTTTCCAGGATGCCTGTGGACAGGGCTGTGGGAGGAGCAGCAGGCCACCAGGGCAATTGTAATGCACTCCCCGACCGTTCTTTTCAAAATTGTCTTACACACATATGGTTTCATTTGGAAAATTGATCATACGTGTTTATCTACTTTTTTCCTGATTAAAAAAAGTTAAAAAAAAATTTTTTTTAAGATAGGAAGCTAAAACAACCAGGACAAATAGCATGAGAGAGAAGTGGACAGATTCCACAGTCTTAGAAGATGAAAGCAGGAGACAGAGTGTGGCTGCCTCTTCAGGGAAGGAGTGCTTTGCGAGCGAGGGGAGCGTGAACCACCAGCTCTGTCTTCTGAGCACCCACAGCCAGCTTGTATTGTTCTCAGCAGCAAGGTTGGAGGCTCTTTTTGGAGAAATTTGAATGGCTCTAGAGAAATGACCTTCAGATGATGCTATTTGGAATTCTCCCATGAACAGGGCCTGCTTGCCTCCCTGCCTTTCTGCAGTGAGGTGACACTCATGTGATGACAAGAGTCCCCAGAGCCTCCAGTTGGGCGTTAGTGTCTTGCTGTCCACCATGAACAGACATCAGGGATCATGGACATTTGAAGAAAGCCTTCACCTTAAAAAAAAAAAAAAAGACCAGGCTGGGTGCATTGGCTCACACCTGTAATCCTAACACTGGGAGGCCGAGGCAGGCAGATAACCTGAGGTCAAGAGTTTGAGACCAGCCTGGCCAACATGGTGAAACCCCGTCTCTACTAAAAATACAAAAATTCGCCAGGCATGGTGGTACATGCCTGTAGTCCCAGCTACTTGGGAGGCTGAGGCAGGAGAATCACTTGAACCTAGGAGGCAGAGGTTGCAGTGAGCTGAGATTGTGCCACTGAACTCCAGCCTGGGCAATAGAGCAAGACTCCGTCTCAAAAAAAAAAAGACCGAAACAAACTCTCAAGGAAACAAACAATGCAGTGAGGAGGAGAAAATGTTAAAGAATAAATATCCCCAGAGAGAATAAATATCCCCGGAGAGAAGACATTGCATCTCTAACAGCTTACTGTTAAAGGGATGTAATGTTTTTTCTCTCTGGGGATATTGAAAATAGGATATTTTAAAAAGGAACAGGCAGAATAAAAGATTCTTGGAAATTCAAAATATAGAAAAATGTAAAAATCACTAGTATGTTTGAGACATAAAAGAGAAGCTAACTCAGAAAGTAGAGGAAAAAGGCAAAGAGACGGAAATAGGAGGAAAAATTTTTGAGGGTCAGTTTGAGGTCCGGTTTCTGAAAAATGGGATTTCTAGGAAGAATGAAGGAAGATGATAGGACATTTTCTGAAGATTAACATAGGAACATTTTCTGGACCTAATGGACAAGAATTTCCAGATTAAGAGGGCCTACCCATCACAGGCCCAGCACAACTGCTGAAGAAAGAGATTCTGAAGCATCTAAGTTGAGGGAATCTAAAGATTATGAAGGCTTCAAGAGAGATGAAACTGGTCCTACACACTGGACCAGGAATCAGAATGGCTTCAGATGTCTCCACAGTGCACCAAATGAGCATTGATGTCAAAATTCTGATGAGGTCAGGTGCGGTGGCTCACGCCTTTAATCCTAGCACTTTGGGAGGCTGAGGCGCAGATTGCCTGAGCTCAGGAGTTCAAGACCAGCGTGGGCAACATGGTGAAATCCTGTCTCTACTAAAATACAAAAAATTAGCTGGGTGTGGTGGCATGTGCCTATAGTCCCAGTCGCTTGGTAGGCTGAGACATGAAAATCTCTTGAACCTGGGAGGCGGAGGTTGCAGTGAGCCAAGATCGTGCCACTGCACTCCAGCCTGGGCACAGAACGAGACTCTGTCTACAATAATAATAATAATAATAATAATAATTCTGATGAAAAGCTCTTTCCAACCAGAGGTCCTTACTCAAACTGTGGATGGAGCGTGAGGGTAGAGTGAAGACATTTGCAGACATACAGAGTCTTAAAAAAACGTACTTCCCTTCCAACCTTTGTCAAGAAGATATTAAAATATGTTCTCTACCAAAACAAAGAAGTAACCCGAGAAAGATGACCACATGGGTTTGCAGACAAAAGGTGATGGTGAAGGATGATACCAGGATAGTTGCTCAATACCAAGTGCAGAGCATGGCGGGTCCTGACTGCAGCTAGGGCTCAGGACTCGAGAGGACCTCACAGAGCTCATGGTGCCGATGAGCTCGGCCATTTGGAAGATCCTATCCATGTGGGTGGAGAACTCTATTGGAACATTTGGGTTTTAGTGACAGTTACATAGAAAAATAAGCAAATAAAAGTCTATCTTTTAAAAAGCTTTACAAGTGAAGCTGATGGACTGGCAGTTTATTAGGAGAATGAGGAGGAAAAGCCACATCTTTGATCCAGTGAACTTTAAGTTCCTGTCAATGGGCCATCTATTGGATCCTTTTAATTTAGAAAATTAAAGCAAGAATCTTTTTTTTTTTTTTTTTTGAGTCGGAGTTTTGCTCTTGTTGCCCAGGCTGGAGTGCAATGGCATGATCTCGGCTCACCACAACCTGTGCCTCCCGGGTTCAAGTCATTCTCCTGCCTCAGCCTCCTATGTAGCTAGGATTACAGGTGCCTGACACCACGCCCGGCTAATTTTCTATTTTTAGTAGAGACGGGGTTTCTGCATCTTGGTCAGGCTGGTCTTGAACTCCCGACCTCAGGTGATCTGCTCGCCTTGACCTCCTAAAGTGCAGGGATTACAGACATGAGCCACTGTGCCTGGCTTTTTTTTTTTTTTTTTTTTTTTTTTTTTTTGAGATGGAGTCTCGCTCTGTCACCCAGGCTGGAGTGCAGTGGCACAGTCTTGGCTTACCGCATCCTCTGCCTCCTGTGTTCAAGTGATTCTCCTGCCGCAGCCTCCAGAGTAGCTGGGATTATAGGCATGCACCACCACACCTGGCTAATTTTGTATTTTTGGTAGAGATGGGGTTTCACCATGTTGGCCAGGCTGGTCTCGGACTCCTGACCTCAGGTGATCCACCCACCTCGGCCTCCCAAAGTGCTGGGATTACAGGCATGAGCCACCGTGCCCTGCCTAGCAAGAATCTTTTAATGGGAGTCTTAATAGGAGAAAAAGCAACAGTCTTTTAATAGGAGGTTGGTACTGAGAAAAGATTTGGGGAAACTTAACAAGTTAGGGCTTGGAAAATACTGGGTTTGGCAATGTGTAGTGCTTTTTGGGGTGAAATGAGCCATGCAATGGAGTTTTTGTTAGTTTTCTCTACCTTATTTTGGTTTCTGGTTGTTTCTGTTTTGTAGGCTCTTCAAAGAAATAAGTTTCCGGGCCCCAGCCACACTGAATCTTACTCTTGGCCTCCCATAGCGCGTGGCTGTGATGTGGTTGTCATTTCTCACTGTGAAAGCAACCCTTTGCTCTACCTCCTACCAGTGTTGACAGTTTTGCAAACAGGAGCCTGCTACAAGTCATTACCAAGTAGAAATGGAGTAAGTCAAAGACAGTTTTGCCTCACAACCAAATGGGTTAAATATTTATTTTAAAATTATACACCTCACCTTTGAGGAAGGTCGTCTATTACTCAGTTTGGTTTTCAAACTTCCAGGCCAGAAACTGTCCTGTGGGAAAGTGTCCTTTCCCATTCCAATTACTGATGCTCTCATACTGATTCTCACCTGGAGCCTATAGTTGTGGGCCATTGGCTGAGGCTTTTAGAAATGGATATGGAGGCCAGGCACGGTGGCTCACGCCTGTAATCCCAGCACTTTGGGAGGCCGAGGCGAGTGGATCATCTGAGGTCAGGAGTTCGAGACCAGCCTGGCCAACATGGTGAAACCCTGTCTCTACTAAAAACAGAAAAATTAGGTGGGCATGGTGGCATGCCTGTAATCCCAGCTACTTGGGAGGCTGAGGCAGGAGAATCACTTGAACCTGGGAGGCGAAGGTTGCAGTGAGCCGAGATTATACCATTGTGTTCCAGCCTGGACAATAAGAGCAAAACTCCATCTCAGAAAAAAAAAAAAAAAAAGAAAGAAAAAGAAAAAATGGATATCGAGTGTGTAAAATGCTGTCACAGACCTGAGTCTATCTATCCATCACAGTAGCAGCATGAGATGGGCATTGTTCTGACCATTTCACGGAGGAGAAAATGAGGCTCAGGAAGAGTTACTGGGGTAAATTTCCCACTGACAGGGCTAGGAGTGGGGTTGAAGTCTGAGCTTCTGCTGCCTTGTCCCGTGCTCTGCCAGTCATTTCCTAGCTCCCCACCCTGCTTCATAATCCTTCTTAACTTTTCCCATGTGGGAAAACCTCAGAATAACTGTATTAAGTCTGTTCTAGCATTGCTATAAATACCTGAGGCTGGGTAATTTATAAAGAAGAGAGGCTTAACTGGCTCATGGTTCTGCAGGCTGGAGCGGAAGCATGATGCTGGCATCTGCTCGGCTTCTGCGGAAGCCTCAGGAAACTCACAATCATTGCAGAAGTCTAAGGGGGAGCAAGTGTGACACATGGCTGGAGCAGGAGCAGGAGCAGGGGAGGTGCCACATACCTTTAAACACTAGATCTCAGAAGAACAGCACCAAGAGGACAGTGCTAACCCATTCATGAGAAACTGCCCCCATGAGCCAATCACCCCCCACCAGCCCCCACCTCCAACACTGGGGATTACATTTAACATGAGATTTGGGTGGGGATGCAGAGCTAAACCATTTCACTGAGAAAGAGGTGGTGGGAAAGAGAGGAGCGGTGTGAAGGTAAATGATGCAGGGCATGGCCCTGTGCTGCTGGTTTGTGGCTGTTAGGGGCCTGATGGGTGTGGAACCTGCATCTCGGGGCCTGGCACTGAGGGTGCTCCAGACGGGGCTCCACCAGTGAAAAACAGCAGTAAGAAGACATAGGGTTGCAGTTAGGAAAAATACTAGCTCATTTTTCTAACCGTGCCATGCAGTTTTATGATTTCCCTTTAGAAAGTTGCATCTGTTGGCCGGGCGCAGTGGCTCATGCCTGTAATCCAGCACTTTGGGACGCCGAGGCAGGCGGATCACGAGATCGAGATCGAGACTATCCTGGCCAACATGGTGAAACCCTGTCTCTACTAAAAATACAAAAATTAGCTGGGCGTGGTGGCACACGCCTGTAGTTCCAGCTACTCGAGAGGCTGAGGCAGGAGAATCGCTTGAACCTGGGAGGCGGAGGTTGCGGTGAGGCAAGATCGCACCATTGCACTCCAGCCTGGGCAAGAAGAGCCAAACTCCATCTCAAAAAAAAAAAAAAGTTGCATCTGTTATTAGCAGCTGATTTAGTCAAATTAATGGATATGTTTCTATCTCCCAAATTACTTAGCAGCAGACTAATGAGAAGCAACTGATGAGAAGTCGCTTATATTGAGGCCGAACCCAGGCTCAGGGCAGAAGGGGATGTCCAGGTCTCGTCCCTGTGGCCCCCAGCTTTCTCCACGCCTCCATGGTCAGCCTGCTTTCAGGCCTGTGTCTGGAAGCTGGGCCCACCTGGATCTGTATGAATGAAAGAGGAGCCTCAGCTTGTCTTCAGTTACTGGAGGGTGTGTGTCTGGCAGGCAGTGCAGCTTCAGGAGTTACCTGTCGGCTTGCAGAGGGCAGGGTTCAGAAGATAGTGTCCTAAGGAAGAGAGGTTCGTCTTTTTTTTTTTTTTTTTGAGATGGAGTCTCGCTCTGTCACCCAGGCTGGAGTGCAGTGGCTCCATCTCGGCTCACTGCAACCTCTGCCTCCCGGGTTCAAGCAATTCTCCTGTCTCAGCCTCCTGAGTAGCTGGGACTACAGGCACACACTACCACGCCTGGCTAATTTTTGTATTTTTAGTAGAGATGGGGTTTCACCATATTGGTCAGGCTGGTCTCACACTCCTGACCTCGGGTGATCCACCTGACTCAGCCTCCCAAAGTGCTAGGATTACAGGCGTGAGCCACTACACCCAGCCAGGGTTCGTCTTTTTTAAGGCCCCTTTCAGGAGGCATTTAGTTCATTCTTGTGCTTAGGATCTGTGCAGGGGATGTGGAGCCAGACTGCCTGGGTTCAAGTCCTGTTGCTACCATGTATTAGCTGTGCAGCCTTGGGTAACTGACTTCACCTCTCTGTACCTCAAGTTCCTCACCTCTGAAGTGAAGCAGTGACAGCCTCTGCCCCATAAGAGCATCTTAAGAGCTAAATGAATGCATACGTGTGAAGTGCTTCATTGAGACTCAGCAAATATGACTCAATGTGTCTAAATCTGTTTTAATGAAATTATATCGTCACTTTTCTGACCTGTATGATGATTATAGCAGAAACTTACGGGGTGCTGCTTCTGTGCAAGGAGATGTTCTTGATGTTTCATATGGATGCTGAATTCCTAACTACTGTCTGGAGTCATTTGAATTTGTCTGTCTTCGCAGCCTCTCGCAGTCATCGTGTGCCCTGGGTGGAAGAAGGCCCAATTTATTTTTGAATTATTGGGAGAATATAGCATGTCCTCCAGGCCTCTTCATCCTGTGCTATTAACAATTGGGCTCCATAAAGAGGAAGCCAAAAATACAAAGCTTCCAAGGGGCTGTAAGTATCCTTTTCAAGCGGCTATAAAAGTTAAAGTATCCTTTTCACTGTCTTCCCTACAGAAGACAGTGGAGCCTGGCTGGGCCTGGGTCCACAGTGACATGGCTTGTGTGATGACACACTCACAGTCACTAGTCCAGACCTACTTGTCAGCTCCCGACGGTTTTGATTACGAAGGCTTGATCTTGACTTACGTCTGCTTCACTGAGAAAACTATGTCACTTCATTCATTTATCATCTATTTACTGAACACTTAAACTGTTTGTTAGATGCTGGGCATATGGGGTTGACTAGGACAGAAACAGTGTTTTACTTCATTAGAAGGCATTTCTAGAAAGTATGTGGACTCTTAGCAGAGGAAATCTTAGAAAAACCTGTGGAAAATTGAAAATGTTCACTTTTTTTTTTAAATGCAGGTGATGTGATTGTTACGACCCCATACAGCCTGCTGAGGCTTCTCGCCTGTCAGAGCCTGCTGTTCCTCAGGCTCTGCCACCTGATCCTGGATGAGGTAGAGGTGCTATTCTTGGAAGCCAATGAACAGGTGAGCGTGGCTTAAGGTCCTCAGCACTCAGAAGAGAGGCGTGATTAACATGCTAACTGATGGCAGGAAGGAGGAAAAGTGTCTGGTTGGGGAATACATTGGTTAATCTAAAAAAATTTTATGCTTTAACTTCTATAATTAAGAAGAAAGAATGGTTATGTGAAATTTCCTTCCCAGTGTTAGAATTCTTTCTGAAGTGCAAACATTCTTTCCTAGAGATTTCCTAAAATACTTAAAATTTTTCTGATTACAGAAGTAATGATTTTTATTTTAGAAAATTTAAGACATGGAGAAGAGCACTTGAAAAACCCAGCCTGCACAGCCATAGTTTCAGAAGGGATCCCTCTTACTATTTTGGAGTATTTGCTTCTTTTTCTTTGAATTCTTGTGTTTGTAGATACATATAGTTAATAACATCAGGGGTGTGTTTTACAGGCCATTTTGTAGCCTGCATTGTGCAGGGCGCAGCAGCGTAAGGGCCACCGCTTCCTGTTCCACAGCCTGGTGGTTACTGGCCATATAGTATTCAGTTCTTTGGACATCACAGAATTTGTTTTACAACTGTCTTAATATTGGATATTCAACATAATTTGTATACGTGTGTGGCTACAGAACATGCATGCTTTTTGCACCTGTTTCCTTTAGGATGAATTCCTAGGAAGGGATTCATGGGTCAGAGGCTTTGAGCTCTTGTAAGGCTTTTCTTGGAAGCAGTGTCACACAGTCACCAAGGGTATGCACTTGGGAGTAATGATGGCCCCAGTTTTGAGTCCAGGCTTTGTTACTGACTATGAGGCGGTGCAGGGTTCTTGAACTCCTCTGAAGTCTCAGGTTCTGATTTTTGTAAAACTAGTATCTAGGCATACTGCTCTGTGCAGCATCCTTTCTGAAAGCATGACCTGATGTGCACTCCTGTCAGCCATGTGCAGGCTCTCCACACCCCTGCCAGAGCAGGCTTGCCCCAGTTTTCTCCTCCAGCCTAACTGGCCAACAGTGGGATCTTGTCAGCCTAATTTACATTTCCTTGATTATTTTTTAGGTTGAACATTAATTCGTATTGATCATTTGTATTCACTCTGAGTTGCTTGTTCACTTCCTTTTCTTATTTTCTGTTGGTAGGATCATCTTCTGCTAATCAGTTTTTAGAAGTTTTTATGCAAGAACATTAATCTCTTGTTTGTTTGTTATACATATTTACCAAGATATTGCTTATGCTTTAGTTTTGTTTATAATGGAGATTGTAGGATATTTATTGACTTTAAACTTGACATTTTCTCCTATTTAGTTTTTGCCTTTTTTTTTTTTTTTTTTTTTTTGAGACTGAGTCCCACCCTCGTCGCCCAGGCTGGAGTGCAATGGCTTGATCTTGGCTCACTGTAACCTCCACCTCCCGGGTTCAGGCAATTCTTGTGCCTCAGCCTCCCGAGTAGCTGGGATTACAGGTGCACACCACCACACCCAGCTAATTTGTTGTATCTTTAGTAGAGATGGGGTTTCACCATGTTGGCCAGGCTGGTCTTGAATTCCTGACCTCATGATCCGCCTGCCTCAGCCTCCCAAAGTGCTGGGATTACAGACGTGAGCCACCACACCTGGCCTTTTCCTTTTATTTTTGAAAGACTTTCTCCACTCTGAGAACAGAAAATATACAAACCCTTACATTTTATGTTCTGCCACACTAGTTCTTACTCTTTTGAAATAAAAATGAAATTAATTATGCTAATTTTTCAGATGTTTGCTATATTAGATAACTTTAAAAAAAATATTGAAGTTGAAGAAAGGGAATCTGCACCACATCAGATTGTTGCAGTTGGAGTTCATTGGAACAAACATATAGAACATCTCATCAAAGAGTTCATGAATGATCCCTACATTGTGATCACAGCCATGGAAGAGGCTGCTCTCTATGGCAATGTCCAACAGGTAACTTTGTGTGTATGTGTATGTGTATGTGTGTGTGTGTGTGTATGTGTTGGTGGGGGGCTGATGAACACAAGCAAGTAACTTTTATTTCATGGCTTAGTATTAAACAATTACAGCTTTGATTTCATATATAAATTATGAATGAAATACAATTATAGTTGAATATTTAAATTTATATTGATTTCCTATACATTCTTTTCTATTAAAATCCCAACACCTGTGGAAAGTGGATCTGGAGCACCTAAAATATTAAAAAGTCACATTGTTTCTGTGCTTCATTACCAGGTAGTACATCTTTGCCTAGAATGTGAAAAAACTTCTTCTTTACTCCAAGCTCTTGATTTTATTCCAAGTCAGGCACAAAAGACCTTGATCTTCACCTGCTCTGTAGCTGAAACAGAAATAGTGTGTAAGGTGAGTCCATCTCCATATAAAAAATGTTCTGTTTGTTTCAACTGGTCGAATCTCAAGTCATCACAAAATTACTGGGGTGGTTGACTCTGTGGCAGGGAAGTAAAGTTTTACAAGTTTAACATCAATCAGAAGAGGAGGTGGGGTCTTCTCACAGAGCATGCAGGCTGAGGCCTGGATCTGGGGAGGAGCCAGGTGCGGGGGCAGGGCTTTTCCTCTGCAGCAGCGTTCCCCAGGGCAGGGCAGTTTCGTCTTGGTGGAGTATTAAAAGTATCAATTTATAGACATGACAACATCTTCTGTACCCTCTGTTTAAGAAGATTGAGGTGGCTCATGCCTGAATCCTAGCCCTTTGGGAGGCCAAGGTAGGAAGATTGCTGGAAGCCAGGAGTTCAAGACCAGCCTGGGCAACATAGTGAAACCCTGTCTCTACGAAAAAAAAAAAAAAGAAGAAGAAAAAGAAGATTGAGAAGATAACAGTAAAAGATATCATATAGCCAAAAAATCAAATAAATTGGCTAAAGATTTATTCAGTTTTATTTTGTACATATTAGTGCTAAAACGTAGAAATGAAGCCAACTACCAAATAAAAGAATTAATAGTACATCTAGCTTTCTGCAGCAGTCAGCTAGAAGTATAGTTATATGGTACTGTAGTCAACCAGGACTTTCTAGCTGATGTGTCTGTGTGTGTGTGTATGTGTGTTTATACACACACACAAGTATGGCTGTGTTATTTTAAAAGGAAGCAAAATAGTTTCAGCAAAATACTGCTTATTTCACTTGAGCAAGATTTTAGACATAAACAACCGAATTTTGGAAATATATTTCAGTTTATAATCATCTCATTCTTAAGAATTATGGGATCAGTGAGGTAGTGCCCTCACAGATAAATTAAAGTGCTTTACATTGACAATTATTGATGGAACGGTTGGCTTCCAGCCTATATCCCTGACTGTGACCTGGCCTCTTTGATTTCATCTTTAGGTAGTAGAAAGCAGTTCAATATTTTGCTTGAAGATGCATAAAGAAATGATTTTTAACTTACAAAATGTTTTAGAACAGTGGAAGAAGAAGTTAAGTTCTGGCTCTCAAATTATATTAGGTAAGTGTTTTAATTTCTACTTCTATTTAGTGAAGGTTGAGCTACTAGGAATTCTATCTTTAATTCATTTATATATCTCATCTCCAGATTTCTCATTATTCCCCAGGTTTACTGAGACTTTATTAGCAATGTTAATTTCAAAATGAAAAATTAACCTCCACTAAGATTTTGATGTTGAGGTAAATCTCTCAGGTCAGTGGGCAGCCACCATTAGTCTAGACATTCTCCCTAGAGTTATAGCTTGAGGATCACTATCATATATATGATATATATTATCATATATATATATGATAATATATATCATATATATGATAGTGATATATATGATAGTGATCATATATATGATAGTGATCATATATATGATAGTGATATATATGATAGTGATCATATATATGATCATATATATCATGATAGTGATCCTCAAGCTATATATATATTCATGTATATGACTATATACATATGACTATATATAGTCATGCATGATTGCTAAATTTAATATTAAAAATATAAAAGTCAAAATATATAGAATAAGTGAAAAACATATGGGCCGCTTGGATTTGTAATAAGAGACATTTTTCAGGCTAAGAAGGAGACCACTTTTCTCTGGAATTTAAGCACTGGGCTGTGGCATTTTGGGGAAAAAAATGGGGAAGAAGTTTCTTTGCATCCAAAAAAGTAAAATGTGATATGGAAATGCACTGCAGTGTGGCCGTGGGAACTGCCGGTTAAAGTAAGTGCGGTAACTCCAGCGCGTGTGACATTGTCGGACTCCCTCTCTGCAGCCCTCACAGACGACTGCGTCCCACTCTTGGCCATCACCGATGCCACGTGTGTGATTCACTTCAGTTTCCCTGCCTCACCAAAAGTTTTTGGTGGACGCCTGTATTGCATGTCTGATCATTTTCACGCTGAACAGGTTTGGTGAATTTTTATTCTCTTCCATATTCCACTGGCATCTTCTGTGTCATGATAAGCTCAGAGTCCACAAGGTTTCCTCAGTCAGACTGGGATAGATGATCCACTTCCTTTATTCACCCCCAATTTTCAGGGTTCTCCTGCAGAACAGGGAGATAAGAAAGCCAAATCTGTCTTGCTGCTGACGGAGAAAGATGCGAGCCATGCGGTGGGCGTCCTGCGCTACTTGGAGCGAGCGGACGCCAAGGTCCCCGCAGAGCTGTACGAGTTCACCGCAGGAGTTCTGGAAGCCAAAGAAGATAAGAAAGCCGGAAGGCCTCTTTGTCCATATCTGAAGGCTTTTGGTTTTTGCAAGTGAGCCAGTAATTTGTTTCTTATTAAACTGATGTATAACCTGCAGTAAGGTGCACAGCTGTTGCAATGTGGTGAATTGTCATGTATCTAGAAGCCACCACCCACTCTGAGGGAGCAGTCTGGGGGTTCCCTCGCACTCTTCCCCACGTGCCCTCCCCTCTGCAGGGCTGTCAGTGTTGATTAACTTTGCATGATTTTGAACTCCATAGAAATGGCATCGTGGTATGTTCTCTTTCGTGTCTGGCTTCTTTCTCTCAGCCTCATGTCTGTGACATTCGTCTGTGTTGTTGTGTGTATCTATGGTTTGTTTTATAGCTCAGTGTTCTGTTGTATGGCTGTATCACAGTGTGTGTATCCATTCTCCTATTGATGGGCCTGTGGGTGGTTTCCACTATCAGGCTATGATGTTTGAAGCTGTTAGGAACACTCTTGGCCATGTCTTTTGTGGAAATGTGTACGCATTTCTCTTGGGTAGACGCTCCAGAGGGCAAGTGGCAGGTCATGG
This sequence comes from Homo sapiens, assembly GCF_000001405.40. Classification (NCBI taxonomy): domain Eukaryota; kingdom Metazoa; phylum Chordata; class Mammalia; order Primates; family Hominidae; genus Homo; species Homo sapiens. The sequence continues at coordinate 32,803,648 of NC_000019.10, forward strand.
GGTAGGCATGCGTTTAACTCTTCCAAAGCGGCTGGCCATTTTCCGGTCTGGTCAGTACTGTCTGACAGAGCCTGAGTTGTCCCCAACCCTCACCAGCGCTTAGTGTTGGTGGAGGTGGAGTGGTAAACCATTGTGATGTTAATATGCATTTCCCTAATGATTAATGATGTTGAATATCTTTTCATAGGCTTGTGGGACAGTTGGCCATCCTCTTTTTGTGAAGTGCCCGTTGAGGTCTTTTGACCAGTTTTTACAGGGAGTGTTTATCTTTTTCTTCTTGGTTTGTCGGGGGGAGTAGCTTATATATACTCAACATAAGTACTTTGTGTGATGTGTGCACTGAGAATGTCTCCTCCAAGCTGTGGCTTGCATTTTCACTCTTTTAATACTCTGCTGATGATGAACAGGCATTTTTAATTTTGATGAAGTTTTTTTTGTTTTTTGAGATGGAGTTTCACTCTGTTGCCCAGGCTGGAGTGCAGTGGCGCCATCTCGGCTCACTGCAAGCTCCACCTCCCAGGTTCACGCCATTCTCTTGCCTCAGCCTCCCGAGTAGCTGGGACTACAGGCACCTGCCACCATGCCCAGCTAATTTTTTGTATTTTTAGTAGATATGGGGTTTCACCATGTTAGCCAGGATGGTTTTGATCTCCTGACCTCGTGATCTGCCCGCCTCGGCCTCCCAAAGTGCTGAGATTACAGGCGTGAGCCACCGCGCCCAGCCTGATGACTTTGTGTGCTTATAGGAAATATTTGCCTATCTTGGCCAGGTGCAGTGGCTCACACCTGTAATCCCAGCACTTCGGGAGGCCGAGGCAGGCAGATCACAAGGTCAAGAGATCGAGACCATCCTGGCCAACATGGTGAAACCCCGTCTCTACTAAAAAATACAAAAATTAGCTGGGCGTGGTGGTGCGTGCCTGGAGTCCCAGCTACTTGGGAGGCTGAGGCAGGAGAATCACTTGAACCCTGGAGGCAGAGGTTGCAGTGAGCTGAGATCATGCCACTGCACTCCAGCCTGGAGACACAGCAAGATTCTGTCTCAAAAAAAAAAAAAAAAATTAGCTGGGTGTGGTGGCACACACCTGTAATCAGTTACATAGGAGGCTGAGGCAGGAGAATCAATTGAACCTGGGAAGCGGAGGTTGCAGTAAGCCAAGTTCGCGCCACTGCACTCCAGACGGGGTGACAGAGTGAGAGATTGTGCCACTGAATTCCAGCCTGGACAACAGAGCGAGATTCCATCTCAAAAAAAAAAAAGTTGTCTATTTCAAGGTCATGAAGGCATTCTCCTATATTTCTAGAAGCTTTGTAGTTTTAGCTTTCACAGTTACACTTATAATTCATATTAAATTAGTTTGTATGTATGACCAGGTATGGTGGCTCACACCTATAATCCCAGCGCTTTGGGAGGCTGAAGTGGGAGGATCACTTGAGCTCAGGAGTTCAAGACCAGCCTGGGCAACACACAGAGACCCCGTCTCTTTAAAATATATATATGTGTATTATATATGTTATATATTATATATATAACATATATAATATATATATACACACACACACACACACACACATATATATATATATAAGCCAGCTGTGGTGGCACATGTCTGTAGTCCCAGCTACTCAGGAGCCTTGGGTAGGGGGATCGCTTGAGCCTGGGAAGTCAAGGATTCAGTGAGACGTGATTGTGCCACTGCACTCCAGCCTGGGTGATAGAATGAGACCCTATGTCCAAAAAAAAGAAAAAAGAAAAAAAAAATATGTGTGTAATATGAGATCTGGGGCAAGGTTTGATTTTTCCATATGGATAATGGTTTGCTCCAGCATCGTTTATTTAAAATATCATTCGGTTCTCACTGCATGAGTGCGTTTGCCATGAGCCAGGTGATGGTATTTGTGGTCCATTTTTGGACTCTATTCTGTTACTTTGGCCTATTGGTCTAACTTTATACCAGTATTACACTTTGTTATAGCACGTCTTAGGAGCTGGTGTATGAGTCCTCCAGCTTTGGTCCTCATCAAGGTTGTTTGGCTATTTTAAATCCATTGCATCTCCACATACACTTTATTTTTTTTATCTTTTTTTTTTTTTTTTTTTTGAGATGGAGTCTTGCTCTGTCACCCAGGCTGGAGTGCAGTGGCATGATCTCGGCTCACTGCAACCTCCTCCTTCTGGGTTCAAACAATTCTCCTGCCTCAGCTTCCTGAGTAACTGGGACTATAGGTGTGTGCCACCATGCCTGGCTAATTTTTGTATTTTTAGTAGAGACGGGGTTTCACCATGTTGGCCAGGCTCATTTCGAACTCCTGACCTCAGCTGATCCACCTGCCTCAGCCTCCCAAAGTGCTGGGATTACAGGCGTGAGCCACCGCACCCGGCCTCCACGTACATTTTAGAATGAGCCTGTTAGTGTCTTCAGAAACCTTGCAGAATTTTGCTAGGGAGTGCATTGATTGTGTTGATCAGCTTGGAGAGCATGGGTACCTTGACAGTCATGGGGCTTCTCTGCCTGATCCAGACGCAACACCACTGCGTGATACACAGACAGCTGAGGCTGGGGCATGGGTGCCTGATACGTAGCTGCTGGATTGAATTTAAAGATAACTGTTGACATTAACGTTTTTGAATTATGGTACATTAAATGTGTTACTAGCAGTATTCCTATTTACGCTTAAAGAAGACCGAGTTTTTTTTTTTTTTTTTTTAAGACAGTCTCTGTCTGGCTCTGTCACCCAGGCTAGAGTGCAATGGCGTGATCTCAGCTCACTGAAACCTCCGCCTCCCGTGTTCAAGCAGTTCTTGTGCCTCAGCCTCCTGAGAAGCTGGGATCACAGGCGTGAACCACCACACCTGGCTAATTTTTGTATTTTTAGTAGAGATGGGGTTCGCCATGTTGGCCATGCTGGTCTCAAACCCCTCACCTCAAGTGATCCGCCCTCCTCAGCCTCCCACAGTGCTGGGATTACAGGCATGAGCCACCGTCCCCAGCCAAATACTGACTTTATTTATTTATTTATTTATTTAGAGATGGAGTCTTGCTCTGTCGCCCAGGCTGGGGTGCAGTGGCACCATCTTGGCTCACTGCAACCTCTGCGTCCTGGGTTCAAGCGATTCTCCTGCATCAGCCTCCTGAGTAGCTGGGACTATAAGTAGGCACCTGCCACCATGCGCAGCTAATTTTTGTATTTTTAGTAGAGACGGGGTTTCACCATGTTGGCCAGGCTGGTCTCGAGCTCCTGACCTCAGGTTATTTGCCTGTCTTGGCCTCCCAAAGTGCTGGGATTACAGGCACGAGCCACTGTGCTCGGCCTCAAATACTGACTTTTAAAACGGCAATTTCAACTATTTCTCAACGTGGAAGCAGCATTGTAGTTAAGGAACGGCTTCTGGGTTAGAGATCGATTGCCCTTTGTTGTGTATTATGGCAATGTATTTCTAATTCAGTCTTTATTATGGAAATACATTTTGTTCATTTACATAATGCATTTTAGAATGTCTAGAGAAATAGGGTGGCTGAGCAGGGAGGATCTCTTGAGCCCAGGAGTTAAGAGGCTATGGTGAGACATGATCTTGCCACTGCACTCCAGGCTGGGCAACAGAGTGAGACCAAACTCTTAAAAAAAAAAAAAAAAAAAAAAAAAAAAAGAAAGTTTGCTAGAGAAATAATGAAATAACTCATTAAGTTTATTCAGTGTTAATTAAAATGTAAAATCCATTTTCACTTATTTGTATATTATTAATGTCATCTGAAATATTTAATGTGGTTATTCAGTCTTTAGGGTGTTTGGAATAAAAGTTATCTGATTTAGGTTGCAGATTAATTTTCTGAAGAAAGCGTTAAAATTCACATTAACAATTATTACTTACTTATGATAAGTCTAGTCATTTCATTTTCAGAGACAAAAGGATCTGTCCTGACCGACACCGTATTAATCCAGAAACGGACTTGCCCAGGAAACTGTCCAGCCAAGCCCTACCTTCATTTGGATACATTAAAGTAGGTTTGGTTAAAGATGCTTGTGTCCTCTGACGAATGGTCATGTTAATAAACGTGTTTTATTTGTTAAGCAGGATCTTAGTAGATGTCATGGTGCCTTCCAGTGATCAGTATTAACATACCACCATTAGTGCAACCAGAGGCACGTGTCCTTACAAGGCGCCTTATTTCAGGGCCCCAGCGTATTTATAAGCCAAGATCAAATTCAGTAATGGATGACAGTTTAAGGATTTTTTTTTCAATTATATTTTCAGAAAATGTTTCTATTTGGGGGCCATTAAAAATAATGCAGTGACTGGGCACAGTGGCTCACACCTGTAATCTCATCATTTTGGGAGACTGAGGTGAGCAGATCACTTGAGGCCAGGAGTTCAAGACCAGCCTGGGCAACATAGTGAGATCTTGTCTCTACAAACAGATTTTTTAAAAAATAATGATACAGTGATTACATGAATCTTTTCAAGACATTCATGATAATTTCTTTGAGGAAAATTCTGTAATAAGGTGCAGATAGAATTGCCAAGTTAAGAATTTTTTTATTTTCTTTCTAATCCTTTTTTATTAATTTATTCATTTCTTTTTGAGCATACAATTTCTCTCCCTTTCATCTGTTTCCCTTAGAGCAGTATCTGTTGTGTTAATTTCCTAGGCTGCTGTAAAAGATTACCACCAAGTTAGTGACTTAAAGCCACACACATTTCTTCTGACATGTTCCTGGATGTCAGGGTGTCAGCAGGGCCATGCCCCTCCACAGCCTCCAGAAGGTGACCTGGCCTGTGGCTCGCCTGGCGTCCTTGCATCTCCGCCAGCAGCCACTGTCACTCTCTCTCCACCTGCATCTTCACATGACCTCCTCTTCTCTGTGCCCCTTGTAAAGGACGTTTCATTGGAGGGAGGGCCCACCTAGATAACCCAGAGCCATCTCCCAGTCTGCAGACTTCACTACCTCTGCAAAGACCCTGTTTTCAAGTCAGGTCAAAGTCACAGTGAGCTTGGGGGTTAGGACATGGACATACCTCTTTTGGGAGAGTCACCACCCAACCCACTACGGTTTTCATTATTGAATTTTTAAAAAAATTTCTAACTCTTTCCTGCATTCTGTCACCTCATTTCTAAGTTGTTGTAATTCTGATCTGTTACTCTTTTATACACTCATTGTTTTCTTAGTTAACAAACTGAAAGCAACATTTCTTGAAGGTTATAGTTTTGATCTGTTTGTGGATGTATCTTTCTAACAGGTTTCATTGTCTGTAGGGATGGTTCTTCTGCTCTTTATTCTCTTTTTAATTATTTTATTTTTATATATTATTATACATTTTGTTATTTTATGATGACTTCATATCGGATTTGACCTTGTTACTTTGCTATTGCTCATTTTTAGATAGAATTTGTTTTCTTGACATTTTGGAGGAGGTGTGGGTCAGGGTAACTTTTCTGATTTCACAGAGTTCCCATTTCTGTTTTTTATGTGCTGTGTAAAATGAATATGGTGACATAGTGTCTGAGATTTCTGAGATTCCCTGGCCCTGTTCCCCTCCTGAACTGTTACCTGGTTTTCTCTTCCTTCATCCCTCCTGTCCCTGGAGGGACAGTGTGGAGATTTCACAGGGGCTCCAGCCTTCACCCACTGTGGAGGCAGGTGAAGCCTTCCAGGCTCGCTTGTTGCACTGGCTGAGCCCGTTTCCAGGGAGGGCCTCTTGCCTCTTCTAGAGCTCTCTGTTCTCAGGTCTATTGCTTCCCTCTGCTTCCTCCTGCACAGGCACAGACACTGGTGCCTGTGGGTGTCGCCAGCCCGGTCCTCTCCCCTATCCTGCCAAGTGCCTACTTCTCACTCCTGGCATCTGCTCTGGGCAGCCAGGGCTCCCTCCCTTCACACAGAGCGTCTCTGCCCTCTGCACACTGACTTTTTCCTCACACACAGGTCCCCCTGCCTACTCTAACCTGTGAAGGGCTGTCTTCTCCAGCACACACAAGCTGTGGCCTCTCTGTCCACTTCTGGATTGCCTAGGTCCCTGTAGGACAGTTTCATCCCTGTAACCCTGGAGGCTGATATACAGTAGCTCTTAATAAAATGCATCTTGTTACCTGAAAAAAGATCAGAAAGTTTCAAGAGACAGCAGTGCTATTTTAAGAAGAATTTCTATAAAAGTGCAGTTAGAAGGTAAACAAGGAACACTTATACCTAATAATGAAGTTTTAAAATAATGAAATTTGCAAAATAAAAAAATCTTCCATTAGATTTAAAGTGAAACTAATTCTTTATGACTGTGTGAGGTATTGGTTTTGCTTTGCTTTTTTGGCTAGCTTCCTAGTTTTTTCTAAATCCACGTTGCTAAGCTTTGGTTTCTTAGGTTGGGTACTGATTTCTGCAGATACAGGGAATGTGTACATATCCGGTTTAGACTAAGTTTGTTTCTTGGTCATGTTTACTATATATGTTTCAGATAATACCTTTTTATATTTTGAATGCAACAAATTACTTTGGCCGTATAGTTGATAAACACATGGATCTTTATGCAACTCTCAATGCTGAAATGAATGAGTATTTTAAGGATTCTAATAAAACAACTGTGGAAAAGGTGGAGAAGTTTGGATTGTATGGATTAGCAGAAAAAACGCTTTTTCACAGGTAACACATCTGTTTACTTCATCTGTAAAGTTTTGAAGCATGAGGTAACTAAGTGGTGTTGAGTTCCGATTTTGACCTCTGTCCATTTGACTGAGTGTGTATGTGAGCCTGGTGACAGCGGGGTGTCCCCCCAGATGCCTGCTCCAGTTCTTTGTGGGAAACTCTTCCCCAGGCTCCTGAGCCCAGTGACACCGTGACCCATTGAGCCATCACTGCGTGCGACATACACATACATCTTTAACTCACTTAATTCTTGCCAAGTTCCTATCAAGTGGGCATCATTCCCATTCTACAGATAAGAAAACAGCCTTGGCGATGTTACGAATGTGGTGTCAGGTCAGCTCGATACCTGGCATAGTTTGTTCCAACCTGGTCAGTCTGAATCACATGCTCGTTTGTACCCACTTCCCTTGAATCCACACCTGGCACCACTTGGTGATAGCCTTGAATTCAGAAACTTTGAAACTTGACAGGTGACGTTGCTCATGCCTGTAATCCCAACACTTTGGGAGGCTGAGGTGAATGGATTGCTTGAGCCCAGGAGGTCGAGGCTGCATTGAGCTATGATCATGCCACTGCACTCCAGCCGGGGCCACAGAGCAAGACCTTGTCTCTACAAAAAACAAACAAACAAAAAAGACAAAAGGAAAAAAATAAAAAAACTTTGAGACTTTAATTTGCTATGTTAATTTTTATTATGTTGTTAGATAAAAGGATTTACTCTTATTCAAAAGTACATGTTTTTATACTTATGTATACTTTAAATAATCCACCACTTGAATTTTTGAAGGCCTTAGTTTTTTATTTCTAGTATAGAGTAAAATCATGGCGTTTTGGAGTCTTTTTATATGTTTTCCATTTCATGGTAATTTGAGGCAAAGATGATCCTTTCTGGAATCTCTGCGTTGAACCGATGCCCCATTGCTCTCCAGGGTTCAGGTGTTGGAAGTGAACCAAAAAGAAGACGCCTGGGCCCTGGATGACATCCTTGTAGAGTTCATCGATGAAGGCAGGACGGGGCTCGTCACAAGGGACCAGCTGCTGCATCTCCCAGAACATTTCCACACACTTCCCCCGCAGGCTGTGGAGTTTATTGTCTGTAGGGTGAAACCTGCTGACAACGAAATAGAATGGAATCCGAAGGTGGGTGATTTTGGCTTTTTATCTATTGTTGACTTTTAGAATATATTTAACCGAGAATATACACAGAATTGAGGCCTGTCTGGATTTACAGTGTCACGTTTGGGCAGGGAAAGTGCAGTCTGCTTAGATCCCCACGGTGTGTGAACGTCCCAGCTGAACCCTCGGAGAGGTACCAGGCAGCTGCAACACTGTCTTCACCACTGTCCTTGTGCTTACGGTCACAGAATCTGTATAAAGTAGGGATGTTGGTAAAATAAACTGCCCCTCAGCCTAAGCAGGGGAAGCACCTACAAAAGTGAACATTCCAGGCTGGGTGCTGTGGCCTGTAATCTCAACACTTTGGGAAGCCGAGGGATGAGGATCCCTTGAGCCCAGGAAGTTGAGGCTGCAATGATCTATGATCGTGTCACTGCATTCCAGCCCAGGTGACAGAGTGAGACTCTGTCTCTTAAAAAACAAAGCAAATCAAAAAACAGAAAAAAAGTGGAAAAGTGGACCCTCCAGCCAAAGAGGGGGCACAATGGGCGGTCCCAGGAGAGGCCAGGTGATTCCACTGGTGCAGGGACGATGGGCCAGGAAGGAGAGATGGAGATCAGAAAAGCTGCCAAAGGAAGGGTCATTTCCTCTGGGCTTCGTGGGGTAACTAGGGTGTCACCAAATAGAACAGATGGGGCGTTGAAAGCAAAGAGAACCACTTGTGCTCAGGCACAGGCACAGAAGAGGGCTCCATGCGGGCTCACGTGGCCATCCAGCTGGAGTGGGAAGGCCCAGCCCTTGCAGACCTGTGCTGAGGGCACAGGCACAGGGGGGCCCGCGTCTCAGGCACTGTCCAGGTGGGGTGGGAAGGCCCAGCCCTTGCGGCCAGGGAGAAACCTGCAGCCAGTCCTGCCCATCACTGGAGCATGAGTCGTGTTGATAAGCGCTCCAGTTCTCCAAGGAAAGGTTATATTTTGCATAATTCGACAAATGGGACATGAAATAAGTTAATTGCAATTGGTAAAGTACAAACAGTTTGGGTTATAAACAAAGTTAAACATTATCCAGGAAATAAACAAGTGAATGTTTCCATGATACAGGATAAATACACAACCTTACTCTTCTAAGTTTAGTAAAAGGAGCCTTTATCACAAGGCAGTGGCATTCCTTCTTTGTAATGACTGTCTGCTGTGTACCAGGTGCCCTACTGGGTTCTGGGGATGTAGCCGTCAGCAAGAATGTCACAGTTCTTTCCCCAAGAAACATCTGACCTGTAAAGATGACTGACCAAAAGTATTTCTTGAAGGAGCAGCCTTCTGTGGGAATGGAGAAAGGTTCTCCTGTGTACATTCTTCTGAATTAATTCACCAAGTGCAAGGGGGATGGAAACGGGCAGGTCCCTTTCGCCCTGCTTTGTTCATGTGAAAATGTGTGTGAGAGGTTGCTTAGACAGGTCCTGCCTGTTGTGTTCCTCCTTGAGAGGAAACTGCCATGGCCAGGCATGGTGGCTCACACCTATAATTCCAGTGCTTTGGGAGCCCAAGATGGGAGGATTGCTTAAGCCTGGGAGTTCAAGACCAGCCTGGGCAATATTGTGAGACCCCCATCTCTAAAAAAAAAAAATTAAAAATTAACCAAGTGTGGTGGTGCATGCCTGTGGTCTCAGCTACTGGGGAGGCTGAGTAAGGAGGATCGCTGGCACCCTGGAGTTCGAGGCTGCAGTGAGCTATGATTGCGCCACTGCACTCCAGCCTGGGTGGAGGAGAGAGACCCTGTCTCAAAGAAAAAAAGAAAGAAAACAACAGCCATTTACTCAGCAAGGGGTACACAAAGACCAGGCCCTCAGCTCCAGTGTCACTGGCTGCAAGGCAGCTCCATTGCAGTGACGGCCTTGGAGCAGGAGGAACAACTTTCACTTCACTTTCATTGAGCTTTCAAAGAAATAGGCATCCGTGCTTTAAAGACAGATTGGCAGGTGATGGAGGAGATGGGGTACGCACGTCCACAGAAGAAAATGTACAGTGTTGGGTCCCAAAGGCACAGACCCCCGCCTTGAGCTCTGGGAACTCACTAGTACGAGGCCATGGGCGAGTTCCTTTCCACACCTGCCTCACTAAACTCTGCTGTTAGCCTTGTGGACGAGAGGGGGTGATGACCTCTGTGATCTCATAGCATTACTGTGAGGCTCAAATGAAATGCATGGAATATTTTGCAAACTGTATGGCATATACAAAATAAGGTATTTTGTTAAAGCCTCACCTAAAATAATGTTAAGTGCTTTTTTCAGGTTACTAGGTACATTCATCATAAAATTGTTGGAAAATTGCATGATGCAAAAGTGATCCTGGCTTTGGGAAATACAGTTTGGATTGATCCAATGGTAAGTACGCATTTTTTCTTAGAAATAAATTTGTTTGAATGGGCGGCTAAAATTATCCAGATTATTCTAAGCCCTCACTTGAATAACTGCTGCATAGAAACGGTGACTTATTTGGGGATTTGTTAGGGAGAGGTGTTTTTCATGTTATTGGGTCATGAATTGGGTTGTGGGTTTAGTTTTTGTTCAGGGGAATATTTTACATTGTAACCCCAGCGCACACGTGCATTGTGTATGCGAGGCACACGCACGCACACACATGCAGCCGAACAAAGCTTTGTGAGGACTCCATGCTACATTCTCTGATGCTGACAGTTTCTAACTTTCTCATTCACCACGCACTTAACTGAGCACCTGCCACGTGCCAGGAGCAGTGCTGGGCACTGGGGTTCCTTCTGTGAGCAAAGCAGACGAAGCCCCCATCCTGCAGAGCAGCCGTGGGAGGGGGCGGGGGAAAGGGGGAGGGGAGGACACATGACAAGGACATGTGACTCACGGGCCTCCGTGTCTCTCCACGGCTGCTGGCACCACCCTCCCTGCTTGTTCCCCAAGAGCTCCACTCCTCCACTCAAAGTTCTGCTGTATTAGACTTAAATCTTACTATGAATACTTACCAGATTTAACAGAGTCAATTTATAAAAACTTTTGCTGAATGTTATTTTTATGAGGTTGGAAAAGTTTTAACATGTTAAAAGGGAGTTTGGATGTAAGGTTTAAGACTAAGCAGAAAATGGTTTTCAGAAGAGAAAATATGGATTACAAATGCAGGTAAATGAGGAGATTTGGGCATCTTAGTTGATGTTGTGATAGTATTGTGTTTGTTTCTTGTTGGGGGGAGAAAAGCAGATATTTTATTAAGCAGAGATTTAAAAGAGATTGAAGTAAAAAAGAAAGCCCACCTGGCAGATGTGTCCACACTGCAGCACGTGTGGCAGTGACCACGGCGGCCAGAGGGAAACAGACCCACCCTCACCATCTCCACCCGTTCCTGCCCCCACCCATTTTGAGCAGAGAGAGGCTCCTCCACACATTCCCCGGTGGACACACATTCCTGGGGTTCACCTAGGAAGGGGCCCCAGCCAGGGCAGGCCTGGAGCACCCCCCACCCTCACCATGGGAGGGACAGCCCCTCCTATACCCACACTGCCACCAACAGTGCCAGGCTGTTGCAGATTTTTATGTTTTACTTAATTTTGTATAAATGGAAATGGATGAGGATGTTTGGTTGCAGAAAAGACGAACAGAAGAAATGGCCCAGAACAGGATTCAGGTCCTTGGCTTAGGTCCTTCCCATCAGGCAGACGCTGAGCCTCAGGAGGTAAAAGTAGTTGAGAAGGAATGAGAAAGATGTACGAATTATGCATCTGACTAGGGGTTTATCCCAGATTTGCAATTTGGTCTTGACTAGGGGTTTATCCCAGATTTGCTCTTGCCACCCCCCCACCACCTGCCCATATTTCTGTGGCATGGGGTGAGGCCTGGATGATTTGGATGGAACCTCAGGTAGGAAGCAATCCAGATGCTGCCATGGAAAGCCCTGCACGTTGTGGCAAGCGCCGAAGTGCAGCCAACGTGGCAGGCTGAATGAACCAGAGAGGCCCTGTGGGAATGTCTATGCTTCAGTTAAAATTCAGAGTGATTACTGCTAATGTTCAATTTTTTCATTGATTCAAGGTGCACATTACAAACCTTTCCAGTTTAAAAACCTCTGTCATTGATTATAATGTTCGAGCTGAAATTTTGTCCATGGGCATGGGCATTGATAATCCAGAACACATAGAACAACTGAAAAAATTACGCGAAGATGCTAAGATACCAGCTTGTGAAGAAAGCCTAAGCCAGACCCCGTAAGTGGATTTCTGTCTCCTTTTTGGAAGAGTTGTTTTTTGGAAATACAACTCACAAGTGTTAAGGACATGTTTTATGAAAGTAGAAGAGTTGGCTGGGTGCGGTGGCTCACACCTGTAATCCCAGCACTTTGGGAGGCCAAGGTGGGCGGCTCACGAGGTCAGGAGATCAAGACCATCCTGGCCAACATGGTGAAACCCCGTTTTTACTAAAAATACAAAAATTAGCTGGGTGTGGCAGCACGTGCCTGTAATCCCTGTTACTCGGGAGGCTGAAGCAGGAGAATCGCTTGAACCTGGGAGGCAGAGGTTGCAGCGAGCCAAGATCATGCCACTGCACTCCAGCCTGGCGACAGAGTGAGACTACGTCTCAAAAAAGAAAAAAAAAAAAGTAGAAGGGTTTTTAATGAGTCTCCATGTACCCATCACTCAGTTGTAATAATGACCAAGATTTTGGAAATCTAGTTTTATCTATACCCCAGCCCACACTTGCTTTTGTTGGAGTATTATAAAGCAGATCTCAAATATAGTATTTTACCTGTATTTCTTACAGAAAGGATTGTTGTTAACTTTTTCTTGACAAATAACGCACACACAGAAAAGTGCGCACATCAGACGTGATGTGTTTCCTGAACATACCTGTGTAACCAGCCCAGATCAAGAAACAGAGCCTGGCTCAGAGCCTCCCCTCCCTCTAGGTACTCCCCCTCCCCAAGAGGAGCCATTCTCCTGATGTCGAAAAGCAGGGATGGTTTTCCCCAGTTTTGCACTTTGTTTGAAAGGAATTAGACAGTATGCCTCCTCTCCATAGTGAGTTACAGAAGCTAGGCTCAAAGGAGGCATAAATTCTCTAAATTCTCACAGCTACATAATGTTCCTTTGTATGAATATACCATTATTTGTTTACCCATTCTACTGTTGACTGGGGAAATTTCCAGTTTGGGGTACTTCAGGTAATGGCGCTTTAAACATTACCGTACATGTCTTTTACAAATATATACACTTACAAATATATTTCTGACGGAATGGGATTACTGAGTCATAGTTAGAGTTACTACCCAATAGTGTTCCAAAGTGGCTGCGCCAGCGTCTCCTCCCATGGGGGGCATTAGAGAGACTGTGACAGTCACTCCGAGGAGGGATCCTGGCAGCTCCAGAGGGGGAAGGATCTGTATCAAGAACTCCTTCCAGCCAGGAGGAAAACAGCAGGCACCTGTTAGGAAAGTGGGCAAAAGACCTGAGCAGCCACTTCAGGATACCTAATTACCATATGAGAAGGTGCTGGAACTCCTGAGTCATCAGGGAGATGCAGATGAAAGCCCAGGGAGTAACACCACAGCATGCCCAGCCCACCAGAGAGGGGAATGAGAGAAGGAAGGAAAACACGCACCAAGTGTGGGCAGGGATGAGAGTGGCAGGGCTTCCCAAAACTTGACCAGAGCACTGTTAGCACAGCTAAAAAGGCTCACAGTGATTCCTTCAATTGCATGTGTTTTATCGTGGCAAAATAAACATGACAACAGCTGCCATTTAAACTCTTTTTAAGTGTACAATTCAGTGGCATTTAGGACATTCTCAGTGTTGTGCAACCATCATCGCTATCCATCTCCAGAACTTGCTCATCATCTGGACAGAAACTCCATACTCCTTAAATAATAATTCCAGAGTCCACCCCCCGCCCAGCCCCCTACTCTCCTTTGTCTCTACGAATCTGCCAATCCTGGGCACTTTAAGTGGAATCGTCCACTGTTTACCCTTTTGTGCCTGGCTCGTCTCAGTGTAAGGTCCTCAAGGTCCACACGTGTTGCAGCCCGGGTCAGATTTCCTTCCCTTTGAAGCTCATCCTCCATGGCATGGATCACCACGTTTCACTTCTCCATTCATCTTCCTGCGCACACCTGGGCTGCTGCCCCTCTTGACTGTGGTGAGTGTGCTCCTGTGTATACAGGTGTACAAATACCTGTTTGAGCCCCTGCCTTCACTTCTCTGGGGTTGCTACTCAGAAGTGGAGCTGCTGGGCCCTGTGGGAATCCTGTGTATGATTTTTGGGGAACCTCCATCCAGGTTCCGCAGCAGCTTCCCCATTGCCTGTTCCAGCAGCCATGCCCGAGGCCTGCAGTTCTCCATGTCCTCTCCTTGACCCCGCCCGAGGTGCAAACTCCAGGTCTCTTCAGGGCTCTTCCGGGCGTGCCTCTGTGCGCTTGTGCAATTCTAAATGGCCCGTACACACGACTGCTTTTGAACATCCTAATTCCCCAGTCTCTTGCTCTCTGCGTCTCCTCTGGCCCAGCCCACCCAGGCATCCTAGATCTGTAGGGCCTGGTAGCTTTAGAAGCAGGCCTCTGTCTCAAAAAAAAAAAAAAAGTGTTTTTACCCATGCACTCCAAGCTCTGTCCTCTACTGTCCCCAGACAGGCTCCACAGATGCACATGATTATTTGCAAATGAAGTCTGCTCTGCTTTCTCCAGGCCGAGGGTGACAGGGACCAGTCCTGCTCAAGACCAGGATCATCCATCCGAGGAGCAGGGGGGGCAGGGGTGAGTAAGAACACCACAGAGCTTCCTCCCAGAATGCCAGGGACAGGGGGCCATGTGTGAGGGGGACAGTGCATGGGGACACCTGGGAGGAGTCTCCACGGGCCGAGGGAAGGACTGGGCTGTGAGTTCCAGGAGCAGGGATGAAGGTACTCAGAGCGGAGCAGAACACAGAGACCCGGAGGTGCTGGGCCAGGTCTTGTGGGGCCTGTGGCCACTGCAAGGAATGGGTTCTTGCTCCACAGAGGCAGGAGCCATGAGGGGGTTTTGAGCAGAGGAGTGACTTGAACAGAAGATGGTTCGTGGCTACTGTGTTGAGAACAGACTGAAGGGAGGGCTAGGGGACAAGACTGTGCCAGGAGCTTAGGACAGGAGGATGGAGGCTTGGACCAGGTGGCTTTGTGGAGGTTGAGAAGCTGCTGGTTTATCAGTGTGTTCTGCTAGAGCTGACGGGGCTCCAGGCAGCCTGCATCTGTGGCAAGAGCACAGCCCTCGTGGCAGGGCCTGGGAGCCCCAGAGGTGTGAGAGGAGGGGTCCGGGGGTGAGCCCTGGTGCCTCCACTGGGGAGCATGGAGTAGGGTGGGGACGTTGTAGCCAGCAGGTGGAGGGAAGCCTGGAGAGGTGAGTAGGCGAGGGATGCGTGTCCCGGACAGGAGTGATGAGCTAGCCCAGGTGCAGCTGCAGACCCAGCGAGTGAGGACCAAGACAGACAGCTGGGCTAGTGGCCTGCTGGACTAGTGGGCTGCTGGGCTAGTGACTTGCTGGGTTAGTGGCCTGCTGGACTAGTGACTTGCTGGTTTAGTGGCCTGCTGGGTTAGTGGTTGTTGGTGACCTTGAGAGATTCCTAAGTTCAGCTGAAAGGAGGATTTAAAATAATGTGGGCCAGGCTTGGTGGCTCATGATTGTAATCCCAGCACTTTGGGAGGCCGAGGCAGGAGGATTGCTCAAGCTCAGGAGTTCGAGACCAGCCTGGGCAACATAGCAAGACCCTGTCTCTACTAAAAATACAAAAATTAGCTGGGTTTGGTGGTACAAGCCTGTAGTTCTAGCTACTTGGGACACTGAGGTGGGAAGATTGGTTGAGCCCAGGAGGTTTAGGCTGCAGTGAGCTGTGATTGTGCCACTGCACTCCAGCCTGGGTGACAGCAAGACCTTGTCTCAAAAAAAAAAAAAATGACAAAGATAAACATAGTATGATCTAAAGTTTTTTAGTTTTTTACCTTAATAAAAATGGATACCTATAGGATTAGAATACAGGGTAGTTTCCCTCTACTTTCAAGAAAAAAAAAATTTCCCATACTTTTAAGATACTTTTTTAGAAATGAAGATGTCATTAAACTTTAGTAGATTTAACCAAAATGAGGTTTGGTGGCTTATGGGAAGCACTGACTTTGAGCCCCAGCCCTGTGTAAAGGCTCCCACAGCCCCCTTTCCCACTGTAGCTTTGTGGTTAAGGGAGCTTAACATACCCGTGGTCACGAACACAGAGCATACAGCACTGCGAGGTTTCACAGAGAGCCTGCTAGAAGAGACCCCATATCAGACAGCTCCTGGAGAACAGGGGATCCTGACAGGTAGAGAGGGAATGGCGAGAATATTTCATGCTGTGACCCGCAGATCTGGAAGCCACAGGACTTGGCGGTTGGCAGATGTTAGGGAACGTGGGTCTGCAGGTCTGAGCCCTGGTGCCTGGGGAATGCTGGTGCGGTGGACAGTGACAGGTGGTTTCCAGGCACAGCCCACAGCAGAGGAGGAGAGGCTGAGGTGGGCTGTGGAGGTGCCAGTTTTTAAGGTTACTGAAAGTCTACGCCTAGGGCTCAGGAAAGCAGCTGGGGAAGGCTCTTGGTTTGCTGCTGTTTGAGGAGAGTCAAAGCTCAGTGAGTGTGAGGAGGAAGGAATCTACCTAGCAGAGGAGGATCTATCGAAGGAGAAGAGGGTGGGCGACTGCACAGAGCCTGGGGAGGGGCGGTGGCTCAGGACGCTCGCTGCCTGAATCTGGAAAGTGCCACACTGCAGGCTTCTTCTGGGCCCCTCAGAAGACAGGCACGGACCCCTCCTTCTCACAGGTTTGTGTGTGTGGCTGTCAGAAGACAGCACACCCCTCCTCCTCGTGTGTGTGTGTTTGCTCATTTAGGCTTGAATTGTCTCTTCAAAGATGTACAAAAACTGAGTCACATTGTCACCCACGAGGAAGGGAGCTGGCTGGCTGGGGAGCAGGGGTGAGAGGAGCTTTTCAGTGTACAGCCAAATTTGACTTCTTTTAAAATACTGAACCACATGAATGTGGTTACCTATTCAAAGAACCAAAAGAATACTACCATTTAAAAATTTTAAAATAAGTATTCTAGCTAGTTATTAAGTAGGATAAAATATGGGGCAGCACGTTGAATTTAGTACGTTCCCATATGTTTAAATGTGTGTATGTGTCCATGTGTTTTAGATAGAAAGGCATAGAAGGCAATAATTTCTTTTTTATGCAAAGAATATTTCTAGAAGTGGGCCCAAACTGGTAACAGGGGTGGTCTTTGGGAAGATGGCCCCAGAGACTGGGTCAGGGGAAGCAGGAAACTGGCTTGTCACTTTCTGTCCTTTGGTCCTGTTTGAAGTGGGCAGCAGTGAGTATGGAAGGCAAACCATCTTGGTGAAGAGTGAAGGCCTGCCTGGTCCCATGTCAGTCATGCACTGTGTGCTTGCCCATCATCCTTGTCGGAAGGAACAGAGTTGATGGGCTGCCTGGGGCATCTTAAATGTCATAAGCTCTACGTGGGTCTGACTCCACGGCCACAGGCACTTCACGGTCATTTATTGCCTGCCTTCCTCTTCCACTTGGGCAGTTCCTGTAGAGAGCCAGGTGTTAACCCCTGCCTCTCCCGTCTAGGACGCCTCCAGCAGAAGATGCTGCTTGCCTGCAGAGCCCCCAGCCTGAGGACACGGGTGCAGAAGGAGGGGCTGAGTCCAAGACGAGCTCAGAAAACCAGAAGCCTGGTGGGTACTTGGTATTCAAAAGATGGTTAAGTTCAAATCGTTAATGTCTGGAAAATTGCTAATGTTTAGACTTTCTACTTTGAGATGAAATGTAGAGAAGATGACATAAACTGATATCACCTAACTGTTCTTATTTTTGACAGGTCAGCCCCCAGTGTTTTGTTTTTGTAGTTTGAGGTCTAACTTCCATCCAGTGATGCGCACAGATGTTAAGTGAACAGCTCAGCAGAGTGTGTGTGTGTGTGTGTGTGTGTGTGTGTGTGTGTGTGTGCGTGTGAACCACACCCACATCGAGCTGTTGAACATTTCCAGGACCCCAGCAGTCTCCTGTCCGGAACCCTCCTGACTGACCATTCTGATTTCTGACACCATGAGTTTTGCTGACTTGGAAGCATATAGAATACATTCTTTTATTTTAAACAGAGATGGAGTCTCACTGTGTGGCCCAGACTGATTTTGAACTCCTGGCCTCAAGTGATCCTTCTGCCTTGGCCTCTAAGAGTGTTGGGATTATAGGCGTGAGCCACTGTGCCCCGCCTATAGTATATGTTCTTGTGGCTTCCTTCAGTCAACATTATGTGTGTGAAATTAATCTGTATGATTGCAAGTGGAGGCATTTTTTCTTAATCTTGGAAAGTATTTGCATATTGCATGGCTCTCTCCAGACTTTACATCTAGGCTCACTTTTATTGCACAGCGCCTCAGCAAAGAGGAGGAGCTGGCGTTAATAGAGTTGGCTGACCTCGGCCAGGCTAATTGCACGGACTTAGCAGACATTTCTGACGTGTATGAACTTGGCACTGAGTTAGGTGCCATAAAGAAAAAAGATAATTAGCTGGGCATGGTGGGGGGGCACCTGTAATTCCAGCTACTCAAGAGGCTAAGGTGGGAGGATCAATTGAACCCGGGAGGCAGAGGTTGCAGTGAGCCAAGATCACACCACTGCACTCCAGCCTGGATGACAGATTGAGACTATAAAAAACAAAAAACAAAAACAAAAACAAAACTGGTTGGGCACGGTGGCTCATGCCTATGATCCCAACACTTTGGGGGGCTGAGGCAGGCAAATCACTTGAGGTCAGGAGTTTGAGACCAGCCTGGCCAACATGTTGGAACCCCATCTCTACTAAAAACACAAAAATATTAGCCAGCTGTGGTGGCGCACGCCTGTAGTCCCTACTACTTGGGAGGCTGAGGCAATAGAATCTCTTGAATCCAGGAGGCGGAGGTTGCAGTGAGCCAAGATTGTACCACTGCACTCTTGCCTGGGCAACAGAATGAGACTCCGTCTCAAAATAAATAAATAAACAAATAATAGATAAACGGGGCTGGGTGCGGTGTCTCACGCCTGTAATCCCAGCACTTTGGGAGGCCAGGACGGGCAGATCGTGAGGTCAGGAGATCGAGACCATCGTGGCTAACACGGTGAAACCCCGTCTCTACTAAAAATACAAAAAATTAGCCAGGCGTGGTGGTGGGCACCTGTAGTCCCAGCTACTCGGGAGGCTGAGGCAGGAGAAGGGTGTGAACCCTGGAGGCAGAGCTTGCAGTGAGCCAAGATCGCGCCACTGCACTCCAGCCTGGGTGACAGAGCGAGACTCCATCTCAAAAAAAAAAAGATAAATGGGACAAAACCCAAGCCCCTTGTGGAAGGAGAATTCAGTGAGGGAGAAGGAAAGGAGAGGTGAGGAGACCATTTGCCGTCACTGGAATTTATCTTCGTGTGGCCTTTTAATTTTGATATTCACTGTCTTTATGAAATGGAGTTAGATCATTGCTCCTTGTCTTGACAAATCTTAGAAATTGCCCAGACAACATATATTGATAAACTCATCCCATGACTAGACAAAGTCTCCAACACTCCAGTGCTGGGAGCTCCAGCTTTCCACACTGCAGATGTTCTGCACCTCTGCTGTGGTCCCTCATTCCGCTTCCCAGGAGGGCGGGATAAGATCCTGGGAGGGTGGACCCTGCATGGCTCTGCTCCCTTTGATATGCATCCGAGACAGTGAAACCCACAGATAACACAGCTGAGGTGCTGAGAGCCCCAGAGGGTGGTTTGCTCCCTGACAGGTTCATTCCTCATTGAGGATGGAGAGTGTGGGAGGAGGAGCCGCAGAGGTGGCTCCTGTGACGAAGGCAGCCTTGCCCACTGCCTGTGTGATTCCCATGCATCTCTGGGTATGTTCTGGAAGTTGTTTCCTAAGGAAATTCTTCCAGCCATTTCCCCACACAGCTTTTTTTTGGGGGGTGGGAGGGGATTGTTGTGAAGGATGGGGGTCATCTGGAAGGATGGGTTTAGACGCATTTCATTATTGCCGTGGTCCAAACCCAGGTTCTTCATCACAGTCCCATGTGCTGCTCTTGCTGGCCGTGACTGTGGCTGGTGAGGTGAGAGGTGCAGGTGAGGAGAAAGGATCTTCCGGAGCCGAGTGGTACGTGGGGGACTGAATGTAGCTGTTAAAATGCACATACACGTTCTCTTCATAAAGTTTGCCCCTGGATTTGGCCACAGCGGGGGGCAGCTGGTTTCGCTGTGTGGGAACCACTGGAAAAGGGTTCTGAAGAGTTCTGGAAAAGACAGTTTGCAAGGCCAGCTGGTCAGAGGAACAGGGTCATTGGGACAACAGTTGTCATTAAGAGGATTTTCCCAGAGCAGTGTTTATTCCACGGTAGCAGACCGGGATCCAGTAGACTGCAGAGTGGGGCTGAAGAGGGTCTGCACTGTCGCAGGCCCTGCTACCGGCCCATTTGCACTTTGCATAGAGCCTGGTGTGGGGCCCTCGGGGGACGTCAGGGCAGCCAGGTGGGTCCCCCAAACCATAGCCCTTGGAGGACATGCAGTTGTTTACTGAGCTCTACTGGGAAGCTCTGGCTATTAGATGTCCACTGCAGCCACCAGGCACTTGGCCACCTTCCTGGAAGAGCCGTTGTCTCAGCTGGAAGAGACTTCATCTCTGGGCTCCTGCTCAGGTTCAGGCAGGTGAAGGAAAACGTCATGCACTTTCTTCATGGTTCTTCTTGCCTTGGCTTCCCGCAGGGTTTCTGGTATTTGGACAGTCAGTGTCTCCATGTGGCTAGAAAAGTATGATGCATCCATTGTGCTGCCACACGCTGGTGAGGGGCAAGGCCTGAGCTTCAGAGGCTCATCACAGTTAGGGCAGCATTCCTCCGCAGGATCTGCCAGCCCTGCTGCAGCTGGTCGGTCTCAGGTGGACCCCGTGCCCTCCTCTGCAGACGTGACACCCGCATGCCACTGTGCCAGGCAGGGCTTCTGGAGGACGCAGGTGTGGGGTTGTTTGTGTTGCATGTGGCCCGGCTCGGGGGCTGCTGCCTGCTCTTGCCCTCCTAGCTGTAGCTGTGCTCTGTGCAAGCAAACACGATCTCGGGACCCTAAACTCCCTCTGCCAAAGGGGAAGTTACACGCTGGACCTGGGTCTAAGCCTGTCTGCTTTTGTTCGCAAGCAGACAGCTGTCGCTTCATAGCCCTGGGTCGTAGCCCCGTGTCCTGTTATGTCTCCTGTCACATGTCACTTTATCTTGTGTAAAGCTAGCTTTCCTGAGCTCGAGGGGATGCGTGATTGTCTTTGTCCTGCCCCACCCCCCGCCGCCCTTTCTTCCTCCAGCTTGCTCTCCCTTTTAGACACAGATGTTTAGGAAGCCCCTTTGGAAAAGCAGAGGCCATGGCGCTCCTGTGATTTGTGTTTCCCGGGGCACATCCTCAACTTTGGATAAATCAACCTCGAGTCGGCTGAGACTCCCTCAGTCCCTTTTTGGTTGACGGCTCCGAGGAGGAACCTGGCCGCTTGCTCCCAGAAGCGGTGTCTTGTTCTTGTTCGCGTTCAGTGGCAGGACTGCCTCCTTCGCACCCTAGCTTCACGGCTCTGTCTTTAGGATCAGTCCCAGCTCTGTGATCAGGCCAGGCCACCCCGGGTTTCCTCTGCTCGCCTCCTCTCAGAAGGGCTTGGGGATTGTGCTCTCCAAGGTTCTTGACGTCACTGGGTCAGTGCACTCTTTTCCTGAGGCCACTCGATGGCAGGCGGCATGTGACACCGAGGATGGCGCTTTCTCAGCAGGAGTCTGTTTGTTTCTTTGCCATTGTTTTCTATACCATGAATAAACCACAGAGGGTGGATCTGTTTTCCGTCTCAGGCTACTGTGATTCCAGCAGCTGTGAACATTCTTACTCCGGTGTTTGGATGGAAGCCTTGCCTGTTGGAGATTGAGAAGTTCACATTGCGTTGTTTGAGAATATGTCATGTCCAGCACTGGCTCCTCGTGCGTGCTGGCCGCTGTCCTTAGGGCATCCTGGCAGGTCAAACAGCTCCAGAGAAGCCTGCATGTTTGTATCCAAGGCCAGCCACTGCAATGAGGTTCTTTTTCAAATGAGTGACTTCACTTCCTGGTCATTGAATTTTAATACTTGTCAAAGGCTGTTTTTATTTTAAAATAAAATTTTAGGCCAGGCACAGTGGCTTAAGCCTGTAATCCCACCACTTTGGGAGGCCGAGGCAGGTAGATCACCTGAGGTCAGGAGTCCGAGACCAGCCTGACCAACATGGTGAAACTCCATTCCTACTAAAAATACAATATTAGCCGAGTGTGGTGGCGCATGCTTGTAATCCCAGCTACTTGGTAGGCTGAGGCAGGAGAATCGCTTGAACTCGAAGGCAGAGGTTGCAGTGAGTCAAGATCATACCATTGCACTCCAGCCTGGGCAACAAGAACGAAACTCCATCTCAAAAATAAAAATTTTAAAATTTTGTTTACCTATGTGATGGTTTTAATTTTTTCTAACTGTTCTTTGCAGCTAGATACTAGGGTTACTCAATTTACACTTTTATGTGATTCCTCATCTAGACGTTGCATAAGGTACAAAAAAGTATATATATATGTGTGTACATGATGGAGTTACATATAAATAACCTGTAGGAAAATATGACCTTGATTTTGTGCAGAAACTTTATCTGGAAACACTGAAGGTGCCTTCATTAGCAGAACTGCACAGCCGCCTCTGAAAAGGTACGTCCACTCGGCATGGAGGAGTCGGCGTCCCTTACCCAGTTAATAAGATCAATGAATGCGCAGGTCTTTCTTCTTCTAGCTTCCACCCACAAATAAAATGGTTCCAAAAAGAAGATGTCGTCATCTTAAAGATAAGAATAAGGAATGTAAAGGACTACAAGTGTCAGTATTTAAGGGATAGAGTCGTTTTCAGGTAGGTTTATGTATAGTCATATAAAGTAAAATAGAAATAATTTTTAGCATTTTAAAAGGCTGACTTTATTTCTTTTTATAAACCCAGTGCTTGGGTGGGAGACAAATTTTACCTGGCTGATCTGGAGCTGCGGGGCAACATAAGGAAAGATGACTGCCAATGTGTGATTAGAAACGATGAACCTGTAATCACTCTGGCCAAAGAGAGAAGGGAGGCATGGTGTCACCTACTCAGACAGAGGGTGAGTTGGGATGCACTCAGCGGGTGGTCTTTACCCTGCGTGTGTCATATTCACGCGCTCACTGTCAGCTGTTCTCTTGAACAGAACCCCAACGTGGCTTTTGATTTTGATCACTGGGAAGACTGTGAAGAGGACAGCCACTTCCCCAAGGGTAAGGCATAGAGCGCCCACTCTCCGAGGGGTTGTAGGTTCTGAGGGCAGTGAGGGACACCATCACCCACTTAGGAATTCAGCCTTGGTGGAAGTGGACCGTTCATGTCAAGCCCTGAGAAATCAGTTTTCTCTTTGTTTATCTTGGTGCTAAACGTTCTGGTTTGAGTACTTTTCAACCCTTGGTGATAAACACACCTTTTAATAACACACTACAGATATTCTTCCTAGAAGAATAAATTATTTGTAAGCAGACCAATTTGACCTGCTCATTTCTTACCTAAAATAATGAAAATATAAGATACATAGAGCTGGAACCCAAGGCATTTTTTTCTGCATTGACCCAAATAATGGGGGGAAATAAAGATTTGCTGATTAGTCTACACTTATTTGTTATAATATCTTACTCCTTTAGTAGTGAATTCTAAAAACCTGCCGTACACAGTGACAGAGGTGGTTGAAGACAGTAGCAGCACTTCAGAGGATGACGACAGTGAGAGTGAAAGAGAAGGTGAATGACGTCCTCAAGAGCGGCTGGAAGATGTTGAACAAAAATGGATATTGCCATGTGACCGACAGTTAAGAAAACAGTCAGTCATAACCAAATCTTTTTCTTTTCTTTTCTTTTTTTTTTTTTTTTTTTTTTTTTGAGACAGAGTCTTGCTCTGTCGGCCAGGCTGGAGTGCAGTGGCATGATCTTGGCTCACTGCAACCTCTGCCTCACAGGCTCAAGCAATTCTCCTGCCTCAGCCTCCCGAGTAGCTGGGATTACAGGCATGTGCCACCATGCCTGACCAATTTTTGTATTTTTAGTAGAGACAGGGTTTCACCATGTTGGACAGGCTGGTCTCGAACTCCTGACCTCAGGTAATCCTCCCACCTCAGCCTCCCAAAGTGCTGGGATTACAGGTGTGAGCCACCACACCCGGCCAACCAAATCTTTCTTTACCTCAAGGATAAATGATTACTGTCACCTTGTGGTGCTGGACTTGATAACGGTGAGAAATTCTTCATTGACTTAAAAATAGGCTGATGATAAGACCATCAAAGGAGGGTGGACACAGAGAAACAGCAGGTGTGGTCTGATTCCGCCGGCTTGTCTGTCCTGTCTGGCGCCTCTCGCCACTCACCCTGGCAGAGCAGACATGCATCTGGGTGATGAAATGCACTGTCTGGAGTCAGTCCATTCATTTTTTTTCACCTAGACCTTTGCTACATTGCTACAAACCTGATCTTACACATATAAATTGAGGTTTCTAATGTACACACTTAGACTCAGCAACTGTTGAACCAGCCCTTTCAACCATGAGATAGTGGGATTTAACATAACCATCTATGTGAATTGATAGTGTTAGCATTCTTGGATAGTGATAGCTCCTCAGAGTAAGTTGACTTCTGATGAAGAGATAGTCCAGGGATAGAAATTGGATTGCTCAGTAAGACCCAGGCCTTTCCGGGGTGAAGCTGCTGGTTCTAAACAATCCCTTGGACCTGCAGAGTCCTGAGCAAATGGCACAAAGGTTGCTTTTTAGTGGAAATTCACAAGGGCCTGTGGGGTGCCTGGAGGTGATCTTTGAATGCCTACATGTCGTGAGCCCTGCAGACATTCGCCACCCCATCTGCATTGTGGCTGCAGCACTGGGGGGGGTCACCAGGTTTAGGGGAGGAGTGTATGTAGTCATGGCCACACCCAGAGGCTGGCTTTTGTGCTTTGGGTTTCTTTGTTGACTGAAAAAGCGAGAAAGGTGAGCTATTGGGAAATTAAAAGTCCTGTGCACTCTGTGTCTTGTTTATCAGCTTTGCCTCGGAATGGAAAAGAATTTGGATAGAACATGAGTGTTGTGTGACGGCCCCAAGATCTTTATTATTTTTTTGTATCAGAAAGCGCCAATGCCCAGGCTTATGTATGTCCCAGCAGAAGCCACCGCTTGAACTAGAGGTGAACTTTGTCATCAAGCTGTCCTGTGAGCAGGTCTGGATCACACTCTGGCTCAGTTTTCTCATCTGTAAAATGAGACATCCCCTCATTGTGTGGCCTGGCCTTGTCTCAGGGAGCGCCCGCCGAGTGCTGCTGGGTTGGGCAGTTTTTCTGCCCAGTGGCTCTGATGGGGGCTCAGAGCCCTGGCCTCCCCTGGGAGGACACGCTGTGCAGCCAGGACAGCTGCCGGGAGTGTGCCCAGGTCACTGCTATGGCCTTCGCAGGGTGACTGGCAGGTATCAAATCAGCCCATGAAGGAAGATGGTGATTTTCCTTTTTTGTAGCTAAATTGGGCAGGCTCTTGGGAAGTAGAAAGTTCTGGTGTTTTTGCTGGTGAAGGTTTTGACTGTGGAGCTCTTCTAACACCCATATCAGTGTCTGTTTCTCTGCATGTGGCTGCTGCCCTGTTGGTGGAGCTCTGGGGGCAGAGACCAGGCCGCCGTCCAGTGGCGCCCCGTGCGCACCAGCTGCCTGCTGTTTACACCCAGGTGCGCCGAGTCTCTTTCATACAGCACAGCAAATGATAATAGCTAGTGACAATGTGTTTCCTGTGCACTCGTGAAAATGCAGGGAGGACAACTGCATGCTTAGATCTGTTTCTTTTTTCAGACATTCAAATGTTCTAATATCTGAAGCTAACATTTTGTAGGATATAGGATGCTGATTATGTGAACAATTAGTCATTGGTTTTCTGTACTGCTATGAATATGTCTGATTTCAAGTTTTGGTCAAATATCTAAAATGCAAGGTGAAAGTGCCTTTGTCTCTATGCTTCTAAAATCGCTCATGCTTAGTTGTGGTATGGATGTCTTCCGCAGTGTATCATCAATAAAATTTCACTGTTTTCACAGAAATGTTGCTTTTTACATTTTTTAAACAGTACTTTCCCTGAATGCCAAACACAGAATAAAACTTTACTCACCACACTTTCTGGTTTGACTAAAACGCCCGTGAAGGCTGCTAGGGAGCCAGCGATGCTGACTGGCAATGCAGGCGACCCTCGTGATGAGCACACCGGCTGTGGAGGGTTCTGGATGGAGGCTCAGCTCTTGCCATTCATCCTGGCAGATAGATAGATACATGGCACGCACATCACAGGTTCAGCACAGGGCGCCAGTACTTTACTTTTAGGGTAGGGGAGAGTGGGTGAGAAACATTTGTACTTTAATATTTTTGTATATTTATTTACTTTTTGAGTTGGGGTCTCTGTCATCCAGGCTGGAGTGCAGTGGCATGATGATGGCTCACTACACCCTGGACTCCAGGCTCAGGTGATCCTCCCACCTCAGCCTCTTGAGTAGCTGGGGCTACAGGTGTGCAACACGATGCCTGGCTAATTTTTTTATGTTTTTTATAGATTAGATACATGATTTTGCCATGTTGCCCAGGCTGGTCTTGAACTCCTGGACTCAAGCGATCTATCCGCCTTGGCCTCCCAAAGTGCTGAGATTATAGGCGTGAGCCACCACACCTGGCCAGTAATTTACTGTTGTTTTAAAATCTATAGCAATCAATCAATCAATCAAAGCAAAAATGTCATCCATTTTATATAAGAGACCTTATTGACATTGAGTTTAAAGAACACCTTTCATTTAAGTGTGATGTGCCCCTTGTTAAATAGCTGCCACTGTAATGGAGGCTTTTATTCAGCCCTTCCCTAAGCATCTGCCTCTTGTTTGTTAGGTGACATCTCACCTGACAACAACTTTAGCAAACAAACACTTGCCACTTCCCCTTTCTAGAACCCCCACTCAGAGAACTAAGAATATCTAAAAATAACAATATTTTAAACATCTGAGTATATTTTATTCGTAAGAAAAAAAGGAAGAAATAACCACAAATATTGCTTAAGAAAATAAATTCAGCTGACTTGGCTACAAGAGACGGAGCTTGTTACTCAGGGTCTTCCTCCGGTGGGACCACTTCCATTAGCATCTGAAGGTGCATGGTAATCGGCTCTGAAATAAGAGTCAAAAATGAGTACAGTTAGTTAGACTGAAATTCGAAAGTTTCACTGGAGTTGTTGTGGGTGAGGGTGACATTGTTTTCAGTCTTTGGTGATGCGTCACCTAGACCCTGTGCTCAGGATGGCCAGCTTTCCTGCCTTCTGGTTGGATTTCACACTTTCCTGGCTTCTGTCTTCTCCCAGAATTGCAGGAATAGAAATAAAAACCTCCTAGGAGTGTCCGGAGGGACGACTGCACTTTCCAGTTCAGATGAGCTGAACAGGAGAAACAGGCAGGCTTTTAATCACATTCACTTAATAAATCTTAACTGGCTGTTACAGGCTGCCGCAGCCAGAGTTAAATTGCACACAGCCCAAGTCCTGTCCTCAAGGAGCTCCTGGAAGAGGATGCCCAGGAAGTCTTAAAGGCTTTTAGAAATGGGGTTTCCTAGGCAGGCGGATCACGAGGTCAGGAGATCGAGAATATCCTGGCTAACACAGTGAAACCCCGTCTCTACTAAAAATACAAAAAAAAAAAAAAGAAAGAAAGAAATAGGGTTTCCTGCAGTTGAATCTGTTGTAAAGGATAAAACATTGTGAATGTAATATAGACTTTTTGTTTTTGTGTTTTTTGAGATGGACTCTCGCTCTGTTGCCCAGGCTGGAGTGCAGTGGGGGGATCTTGGCTTACCGCAAGCTCCGCCTCCCGAGTTCACGCCATTCTTCTGCCTCAGCCTCCTGAGTAGCTGGGACTACAGGCGCCCGCCACCACGCCCGGCTAATTTTTTTTTGTATTTTTAGTGGAGACGGGGTTTCACCGTGTTAGCCACGATGGTCTCGATCTCCTGACCTCGTGATCTGCCCCCTCAGCCTCCCAAAGTGCTGGGATTACAGACATGAGCCACCGTGCCCGGCCCGATATAGACTTTTTTAAAGGTGTAATTCCGTCTCTTTTGATGTACTTTGACACAAGTGCTTTCTTTTCAGAAGCAAAAGTGGCTACTAACATAGCTAAACTTTTAAACAACTGTCCTAAAACTGATGAGGGTCAGGACTGCTGAAAGAGTGAGCCCTGTGCCCTTGGCATTAAAAGGCTTGGGCCCCAGCCCAGTTCCCCAGGCCAAGGCCATGACTTTTTGTGTGTCTTTGCAATGCTGCTAGGCCTCTTAGATGATGTCTGCATATCAGACAAAGGAGAATGGTGTTTCAGGATGAGACGCATGATGGTGGGAATATGCCTAATGCTACTGAACTTTACACTGACAAGTGGCTGAGATAGAAACGTTTATGTTGTGTGTCTTTCGCAATTAAAAAGAAAATGGGGCTGGGCGCAGTGGCTCATGCCTGTAATCCCTACATTTCGGGAGACTGATGCAGGTGGATCACCTGAGGTCAGGAGTTCAAGACCAGCCTGGCCAACATGATGAAACCCCGACTCTACTAAAAATACAAAACAACAACAAGGAAATTAGCCGGGTGTGGTGGCAGGCGCCTGTAATCCCAACTACTCAGGAGGCTGAGGCAGGAAAATCGCTTGAACGTGGGAGGCAGAGGTTGCAGTGAGCCGAGATCGTGCCAGTGCATTCCAGCCTGGACAACAAGAGCAAAACTCCATCTCAAAACAAAGAAAATGGGCCGGGCGCAGTGGCTGACATCTGTAATCCCAGCACTTTGGGAGGCCGAGGTGGGTGGATCACCTAAGGTCAGGAGTTGGAGACCAGCCTGGCCAACATGGTAAAACCTCATCTGTACTAAAAATACAAAAATTAGCTGGGCGTGGTGGTGCACACCTGTAATCCCAGCTACTCGGAAGGCTGAGGCACAAGAATCGCTTGAACCGGGAGGTGGAGGTTGCACAGTGAGCTGAGACCGCACCACTGCACTCCAGCCTGGGCAACAGAGTGAGACTGTGTCTCAAAAAAAAAAAAAAAAAGAAAGAAAGAAAGAAAAAGAAAAACGGCCAGGTACGGTGGCTTAGGCCAGTAGTCCCAGCACTTTGGAGAGCCAAGGTGGAAGGGTCATTTGAGCCCAGGAGTTCAAGACCAGTCTGGGCCACCTAGCGAGACTCCTTCTCTACAAAAAGTAAAAAAAATAGCCAGGTGTAGTGTGTGCCTGTGGTCCCAGCTACTTGGGAGGCCCAGGTGGGAGGATGGCTTGAGCCCGGGAGTTCAAGACTGCAGTGAGCTATGACCATGCCACTGCACTTTAGCCTGGGCAACAGAGCAAGACTGTGTCTCCAAAAAGAAAAGAAAATGGTGCTTTCCCTTCCTACTTATTACAGTAATTGACAGGAACAAAACAATCAAGGGTGGACCCAGAGGTGTACAGTGAGGGCGTGGGCATGTGTCCTCCTGGGACGAGGGAGATCTGCCAGCAGGGTGAGACACTGTGACAGAGGTCTTGGAGTCAGGACAGGTGAGGACGCCGTGCCTGCCTGCACCTCACAGAGGCCAAGCGGCCCTTCTGTTGGTACTTACTTGAGATTTTCTGAGCCCATCCAAACTTGTAGTGGACAAACAGGAAGTAAAATAAAAGGCCGCTTAATATAAACAGCACACAGTAGAGGTACTCCCAGGTGGGCTTGCTGATGATTGGAGCCAGAACCAAAAACACAGAGATGAGTGTCATCAAGACGGGAATGACTACGGGCACCTGGAGACGAAAAACAGGTCATGGGTACCCATTTTCTTTTTGAAATTTTTCATGATAAAAAACCGATTTTTATAAAAAGAGTATGAACTCCATGTACCCCCTCCTCCAATTTCAATCATTTTAATGTAATTTTGCCAATCTTATTTCATCTATACCTTTTAAAAATTTTCTTTACTTTTTAAAAAGTTTTTTGGCCGGGCATGGGTGCTCACACCTGTAATCCCAGCACTTAGGGAGGCCGAGGCCGGTGGGTCCCTTGAGGTCAGGAGCTCAAGACCAGCCTGGCCAACATAGTGAAACACCATCTCTACCAAAAACACAAAAGTTAGCTGGGCGTGGTGGCAGGTGCCTGTAATCCCAGCTCCTCAGGAGCTGAGGCAGGAGAGTCGCTTGAACCCAGGAGGCAGAGGTTGCAGTGAGCCGAGATTGCACCATTGCACTCTAGCCTGGGCCACGGGAGGGAAACTCCATCTCAAAAAAGAAAAAAAAAAATAGATAAACTGTTTAAT
This sequence comes from Homo sapiens, assembly GCF_000001405.40. NCBI lineage: Eukaryota > Metazoa > Chordata > Mammalia > Primates > Hominidae > Homo > Homo sapiens. Next base: position 32,833,833 of record NC_000019.10, read on the forward strand.
GTTTTAGCATCCACTGATGATCGTTGCCTTCATTGTTTCATCAGGGTTTGCAAAATGGTGATTTTTCTAATTTGTAATTTCTTCCTCAATTATCTGAAATGCTATATGAAGTACTTCAACTTTCTGGTTATTCTGAATTGCAGTTCATACAGGAAAGGCAGGATTAGTGCTGTATTCTGTGTGTTTCCAGAATGACAAGTTGGGCCCCTGAGACCTCCAAAGGCAACTCCAGCCTGTGGGTTTTTCTATACATGGTGAGTTTCAACCCGTTGTAGTCATTGTTCACGTTGTTCAGAAGGTCCTGTGCGGGGCGGCAGGAACCCCTCACACTGTCCTGGGCCCTGGGAATGGGACGCCAGTGCTCTTCAAAAGCCTCTTTGTTTTCTGGGTGACAAGAAGTGCCATACCTGGGTTTTCATTTATCTCTCCAGAGCCAGACGTGGGTTTTCATCCATTTCTCCAGAGAGCTTTGTTTCCTTTTAGCAGGAAATGGCATTTAAAGACCATAACCTGGAGGCTGGCTGCAGTGGTTCGCTCCTGTAATCCCAGCACTTTGGGAGGCTGAGGCAGGCAGATCACTTGAGTCTAGGAGTTCAAGATCAGCCTGGCCAACATGGTGAAACCCCGTCTCTACTAAAAATACAAAAATTAGCCGGGCGTGATGGCAGATGCCTGTAATCCCAGCAACTTGGGAAGCTGAAGCAGGAGAGTCGCTTGAACCCGGGAGGCGGAGGCTGCAGTGAGCAAAGAATGTGCCACTGCACTCCAGCCCAGGAGACAGAGTGAGACTCTAAAAATAAATAAAGACCATAACCTGGGTGATTGGAGTACTCATTATCCTTTTTCAAGGACAGAGATTAATTTTGGTATTCTCTTATTAGGAACAAAGTTAAGTTTGCTGGGATTGTTTTGTTTTCATTTTTAAGTGTCATTGCATTTTTCCTTTGACTGTGTTTTTTTGTTTGTTTTGTTTCCCAAGACAGAGTCTCGCTCTGTCGCTCAGGCTGGAGTGCAGTGGCGTGATCTTGGCTCACTGCAACCTCTGCCTCTTGGGTTCAAACAGTTCTCCTGCCTCAGCCTCCCAAGTAGCTGGGATTACAGGCGTGTGCCAACATGCCCAGCTAATTTTTTATTTTTAGTAGAGACAGGGTTTCACCACGTTGGCCAGGCTGGTCTCGAACTCCTGACCTCAAATGATCTGCCCATCTTGGCCTCCCAGAGCGCTGGGATTACAGGCATGAGCCAATCACACCCAGCCCCTGAATTAAACTTTTAATTAATGGATTTTCGGTCTTCAGCTACCTTTGCATAGGCTGGACCTAGTCATGATATATTATCTTTTTAGTGTAACTGGGTTCTGTTTGTTAACATTTTATTTTAGATTTTTTATATCGTTATTCCTAAGTGAGATTGGTGAGTACATTTCCCTTTTTTGTGTGAAGTTACCTTTGTAAGGTTTGGTGTCAATGTTACAGTCTAAAAATAATTTGAAAAATCAATAAAATCAATAGCTAACCTTAAAAAGGAGAAAGCACAAACACAAATAAAAAATAAAAATGGGCAATTAATCTTTACAACATAAGTTATGTTCTAAAGATTAATACAAATCATAAGACTATTTTGTACAACTCTATACAGATAAATTTGAATACATGGAAGAAATGAACAATTTTCTAGGAAAATGTAATTTACTAAAACTGATCTTAGTTGCATTAGAATCACAGGGAAATTCTAAAAATCAGACAATTCCAGTATTGCTTAATTTATTCCAGAGCATTGAAAAAGGAGGAAAACTTTCAAAAAGACTGATTATTATTCACTCATTCATTCATTTCTGTTTTTTCTAACACCTTAAGTTTTTTTCTGCTTATTAGTTCCTTCTGTTTTCTTTTGGTTTTCTGTTGTTCTTTATCTTGCTTTTGGAGTTGTCTATTTAATTTGTTTTCATTTTTATTGATATATTTAATGTAATGGAGCTTCCTCAAAGCACTATTTAAGCTGTGTTCATAGATTATATGTCCTGTCATCATTACTGCTATTTCTAGGAATTTATGTACTGTGTGTGTGTGTGTGTGTGTATGTGTGTGTGTGTGTGTGTGTGTGTCCGAGTCTCACTTTGTCACCCAGGCTGGAGTGCAGTGGCACAATCTCGGCTCACTGCAACCTCTGCCTCCCAGGTTCAAGTGATTCTCAGCCTCAGCCTCCCGAGTAGCTGGAACTACAGGTGCCCGCCACCACGCCCGGCTAATTTTTTGTATTTTTAGTAGAGACAGGGTTTCACCATGTTGGCTAGGATGGTCTCGATCTCCTGACCTTGTGATCCGCCGGCCTCAGCCTCCCAACATGCTGGGATTACAGGTGTGAGCCACCACACCCGGCCTAATTTTTGTATTTTTAGTAGAGATGGGGTTTCACCATGTTTGCCAGGCTGGTCTTGAACTCCTGACCTCAAGTGATGCAACCGCCTTGGCCTCCCAAAATGCTGGGATTACAGGCGTGAGCCACTGCGCCCGGCCAGAATTTATGTACTTTTATCTTCTATTTCTATTAATATTTCCTCTTGGACCCAAAAGTTTAACTTTTTTCTTTTATCAATTTCCTGTTTTGTTTCATTAAAGAGAGAGAATGTTATTTGCTTTTTGGTTGTTTTGATTTCTGGGGTTTTCTTTTTGAAATATCAAGGTTTTCTTCATGGCATTAAAAGCTGTCAGTTTTCAGACAGGTCCCATTTGCAACTGAAAAAGGTATACTCGCTGTTGCTGGGGTTCGGGGCTTGATACAAACCTCTAAGATCTATCTTGCTATATTTTAGATCCCCAGTCACTTTTACCAGTGCTGCGTCCAGATCTGTCTTGGCCTGAAGGAGGTGTTTTCCAGTCACCTGTTATTAACGTGTTTCTCCCTCCGTGGATTTCCTGCAGTTTCTGCTTCGTAAAGATGGTTGCTATATGGTTTGGTGAATAGGTTTTCAAAACTTACCTCTTCATTGTGGATTTTAGCCTTTAGCATGGCCTGTCTTTGTCTTAAATAATGCTTTGGGCCTGAGCACTTGTCTGATAAGATCACAGCCCCTGTTTTTCTGTATATTCATTTGCTTGATATTTCTCTGCCTGTTCTTTTAATTTTTCACAGCTTTGAAGATCCGCCTGAAAAATCTTTTACTTTCAATGGCTGATGTAAGTCCAATTTAAATGGAGTAAGCCCGTTTATTCATATAATGATAAGTCTGGTCTCCATTCTCTCGTGTTGTTTTATCTTTCTGTATACAAGCATCCTCTACTCACTGTCAGTCTTGCGTCCTCGAAGAGTGATGTTCTATGGAAGAACCCCCCAGGCCTGTGTCCCTTCTTTTAAATTCACCATAGGAAACCTCAAATTTCCTGCCAGGTGCTGTGGCTCACACCTGTAATCCCAGTACTTTGGGAGGCCAAGGCAGGAAGATAACTTGAGCCAGGAGTTCAAGACCAGTCTGGCCCACATGGCGAAACCCCATGTCTACAAAAAATACAAAAATTAGCCAGGTGTGGTGGCGTGCACCTGTGGTCCCAGCTATTTGGGAGGCTGAGGTGGGAGGATCGCTTGAGCCTGGGAGGCACGGTTGCAGTGAGTTGTAATCACACCACTGCACTCCAGCCTGGGTGACAGAGGAGATTCCATCTCAAAAAAAAAAAAAAAAAAAAAAAAAAGAAACCTCAAATTCCCAACCAAAAAACAGTAAATGTGCATATAAATAACATGTTACCCAACACAGATTACATTAGATGGTAAACTGTGTTTAAAATAATTTTTGGTGACCAAACAGTTAACATGGTTGTTGACCAATGACTGCCTTTAATGCAATAACATGGTCTCGCAAGACGTGAGACGCTTACACCTCACACTGTCAGTACGCCTACACGTGGCTTTCAGTACGCCTACACGTGATTTTGATGTGTGTTGAATTTGGAATGTAACTTGAAACTTTTATCACACATTTTGTCAAAAGTTTATACTACATTTTGGGGATTCAGATACTGATTTTTCCATATAAATATCAGCTGGAAATGAAAGCATTTAGAGATGCATGGATTCTATAGTTCAGGGTGTTAAAAGCTAATAAGCAAAAAATAGCAATGACAAAAAATCCTAATAAGCAGTCTACAAGAAAACATCAACCAGGAAGGTATTCTGAGGGAGATCTGCCAGCAGGGTGAGACACTGTGACAGAGGTCTTGGAGTCAGGACAGGTGAGGACGCCGTGCCTGCCTGCACCTCACAGAAGCCAAGCGGCCCTTCTGTTGGTACTTACTTGAGATTTTCTGAGCCCATCCAAACTTGTAGTGGACAAACAGGAAGTAAAATAAAAGGCCGCTTAATATAAACAAGGCTTTATAGGTAGGGTCCTTTACAGTATGGTCTGTTTTGTTTCCCTCCTTTGTTTAAATGTTAAATTTTAATTATTTCATGTATTCTAAGCACACTTCCTCTTTTTTAATGTGTCTTTTGGTAGGTATGAAGGATGTGTTTTTGTTCTGAGAGTTACTGTAACTATTATAGCTAATATATTATAACTAATATATTTTAAAGGGGACTAAGGGCATTATTATATAAGGATATATTCTGTATAATATATGTGTATATTATATAAGAATATATTATATCTAATAGGCACAATCTATACATATATAATAGGCATAATATACATATATTTAATGCTATATATATTTGTTGTATATATGTTATATATTATGTATATATACATATCATGTGTATATAAAAACGTATATTATACATATACCTATAATATATACTTATATACAACATATTTATATCTTATATCCTTATATAATACCCTTAGTCCCCTTTTAAAGATATTATATATGTATATATGTACTTATATGTATATGTATTTGTATGTATAACAGACATGTAATGATACACATATACATATATACATATATGCACATATATACATATACAAATATATACATATATATCTATTATACACATATATTACATATATTATACATTATACACATATATAGTACACATATATGTATATATTATGTATAATGCCCTTAGTCCCCTTTTAAAGATATGAATTATATTATTAACTGAGCATATAATACCCTTAGTTTCTTCTTTTTTTAGACATTGTGTATAATAAGCAATAATGAAGTTAGCTAGGTGTTCTCTTCCTCCCAGCATCTAATTTAAAGTGGCTTCCTTATTGGCAGCTTGTCTGGCATACTTTCCTCAGTTGGCATATACTTTTCCATGTGCTTTCTCTCGTCCATGTTTTTGTATGATATTGCCAGTGCATAATAGTGGCATACACTTCTGTCCCCTTTATCTCTCATCATTAATCTTAGTTCTATAATTTGATATATTCACCTTTGCCAGTGACTTTTTGGTTTCTGAAGCTCATTCTCTGGGTGATTCCTCAAGGTCTCATGTAATTGGCGGGGCACGGTGGCTCACACCTGTAATCCCAGCACTTTGGAAGGCTGAAGTGGGTGGATCACAAAGTCAGGAGTTCGAGACCAGCCTGACCAACATGGTGAAACCCTGTCTCTACTAAAAATATAAAAATTAGCCAGGCGTGGTGGCACGCGCCTATAATCCCAGCTACTTAGAAGGCTGACACAGGAGAATTGCTTGAACCCAGGAGGCGGAGGTTACAGTGAGCTGAGATGGCGCCACTGCATTCCAGCCTGGATGACAGAGTGACACTCCGTCTCAAAAAAAAAAAAAAAAAAAGTCTCGTGTAAGGATATTTGCCTTGAGTTCTTTCATACTAGTGACTGTAGACTTTATTCTGCAAGGTCAGTTTGGCTGGGTATAAGAATCTGGCTTACATTTTCCTCCTTTGAGTAGTTTAAATATGTTGCTCCACTCTCTTGCAGCATGAAGTGTTGGTGGTGAAAAGTTTGAGGCCAGAATTATTTCCTTTCCTTTATAAGTGAATTGCAGATGGGAGTGGGAACAGGAAAAGGGGAGGGGATGCCCAAAGCATTTTTTTAAAGCTCTGTAATTTTATCAGCATATATTTTTGCTGCCAATTTTAGCTCAAAATTTCCAGTTACATTGTATGCCTTTCAGTATGTTGGTTCAAGATCACCCTCCATTTTTCCTCCCACCCCAGGAAATGTTTCTTGAATTATGGATTTTGGGATTCTGTTACTTGCATTTTCTTCTTCAGGGACTCCAATTATGCATGTATTAGATTCCCCACCTTCCCCACCCCTAGTTTTTTTCTGTCCCCTTGTTTTCTCTCAAACCCTTTCTACTTCTGTCTGATATTTGTTTTCTTCCTTTTGGCCTTCTGTTTCCTAGCATGTTTCTTTGCTCTTATGTTCTTTCTTTTCTTTTTTTCTTTGCAACGGGGTCCCTCTCTGTTGCCCAGGCTGGAGTGCAGTGGCACGATCTTGGCTCACTGCAGCCTTGACCTCCTGGGCTCAAGCATTCCTCCCACCTCAGCCTCCCAAATAGCTGGGACTATAGGCGTGCACCACCACACCCAGCTATCTTTTTGTAGAGACAGGGTCTTGCTGTTGCCCAAGCTGGTCTTGAACTCCTGGGATCAAGTGATCTTCCTCCCTTGGCCTCCCAAAGTACTGGGATTACAGGTGTGAGCCACCACACTCAGCCTCTGTGTTCCTTCTTTTCCTTCTTGCCCACTCTTTATTTCTGAAATGATTTTTTTCCCTAAAATGATGTTTTGAAGTGCTAATGGGACATGGCCTCTCTGTGGAGCCCCTTCCCAGTTGAGAGATTTGTATCCACAGGCTCCAGCTCCTTGACCCTGATATTCTTGCCAAGTTCCATGTCCTTTCTCTCCCAGCAGTTGTTTCTCTTGCTGTTGTCGTCAGTGATCCTTATCCTTCTGGAAAGGAGTTTTTGTGGGGAGTTTCTGGGATCCTCAAGGGCTTAAGCCACTGCAGCCCTGCTCCTCCACCTCCCCTGGGGGTCCTCTGATCTTCCCACTGAGAACCTCGTTCCACGTGCGCCCTCTCTCCTGGGAACACATGGTGCTGGAGTCCAGTGGGGCATCCACTTAGAGTCTGGAGTTGGTGGTAAGACTTCATTTCCTTGATTTGTGTTGACAATGTTGGCTGAAGTGTTTTCCTTTGGTATCCTAGAGGCTCTGTCTGTTTCTATGAGGGATTTTGTGCAGATTACAAGTCTATGCTACCGTCATAATTTTGCCTGCAATGACTTAACCAAGGTGGATCTGCCAGACTCCAGGCAGGCTGTGCCATGACTCAGCTGATGCCAGAGACTTGTCCATAGTCAAGACACAGGGCCAGAAAGACCACTGGATGTATCTCTGAAAACAAAGTCCTAAAGCTAAAGACATTGTCCTTATTCTCGTCCTAGTTACTTAAGCCCTCAGCTTACCTTTTTCTTATGTCTGTTATCATAAGAATTAAATAGCAGGTTTTTTTTAAAGCCCCTTAACATAACAACAATAAAATTCTACTTCATCCTTATTGGTATATAGATCCACACCAGCCATGCAGGGAGTGAGAGGGAGCCCGAAACAGATGGCAAGAATAGACTCTGAGTGGTTGCATGCACAGCAATGAGTCTGCGGCTGGAGTTCAGAAGTTCCCATCAGTCTATGAAAGGAGGCCGGCATAGTGGCTCACACCTGTAATCCCAGGACTTTGGGAAGCCAAGGTGGGAGGATCGCTTGAGCCCAGGAGTTTGTGACCAGCCTAGGCAACACAGTGAGACCCTGTCTCCAAAGAAAAAAAAATGAAACAAGAAAAATCTATGAAAAATATATGTGCGAGAGATATCAGAACTGGGCTGGGTGCAGTAGCTGACACCTGTAATCCCAGCACTTTGGGAAGCCAAGGCAGGCAGATCACTTGAGGTCAGGAGTTAGAGACCAGCCCGGCCAACATGGTAAAACCCCATCTCTACTAAAAATACAAAAATTAGCCAGGCGTGATGGCAGATGTCTGTAATCCCAGCAACTTGGGAAGCTGAAGCAGGAGAGTTGCCTGAACCGGGGAGGCAGAGGCTGCAGTGAGCCAAGGATGCGCCACTGCACTCCAGCCCAGGCGACAAAGTGAGACTCTGCCTCAAAACAAATGAGAGCCAGGTGGACCTCTTTGGTTACAGAGACGGGCCACAGGTATTCGTGATGACTTAATAAAATGAATAACAAGGTGGCTAACTGGATCATAAACTATGCTGTGAAGAGTAAACTCCACTCTAAAATACGATATTTTAAAAGAGTCAAGTCAGATTGGAACTAGAAGGCATGCCCCTAGCATTTGAAAGAGTTACATCTAATTCATTAAAAAATCCAAAGCCACTCGTGACTCTGGGGCTGCAAGCTTACCTTGATAGGCCTTTCCAGCTCTTTCCTTGTAAATCTCATCACGATGAGTCCTAGAATCGTCAGGCCATAAAACAGCCATGCGGCAAAGCTGAAATAATTGACTAACGAGTTTATGTCACCAGGGATGATATAAATCGTTGCTATGATACCCTAATAGAAAGAAGAATGGATTTGTAGGTCATTACTACAAAACACTGTTCTCATGTCACAGAAGACCGAAGAAGCAGTTTTTCTTGTGAATAAACACTTTAGCATGAAACGAACTTCTAGGCATTCCTTCATAGTTGGGGTTAAACCTGACTTTGGCTATGATAGCTCTTCTCTATGAAGCTTGCAGAAAAGACCTGGGAAATTTCTGAATCTTTGAGGTTGTGATTTTAAGCAAGGGAAAAATAAAATATTAGGTTGGTGCAAAAGTAACTGTGGGTTTTTTTGTTTTGTTTTGTTTTGTTTTGTTTTGTTTGAGATGGAGTCTCACTCTGTCACCCAGGCTCGAATGCAGTGGCGTGATCTCGGTTGACTGCAACCTCCGCCTCCCAAGTTCAAGCGATTCTCCTGCCTCGGCCTCCTGAGTAGCTGAGATTATAGGCAGGCACCACCACACCCGGCTAATTTTTGTATTTTTAGTGAGATGGGGTTTCGCCATCTCACGGTTTTAATGGTAAAAAACCGCAATTACTTTTGCACCAACCTAATATGTATGAATATTATACCAGCTTCATAATTAAGAATTTTCCACACAGAGAGTTTTCAATGTGGGCTGGGGCCCTGGATTAGAAGCTCAGGTCTAGTCTTGGCCTGTGTTAGTTGTGTGGCCCTGGACTGGTATTTCCTGGGTGTGTTTTCCTGTCTTCAGAATGATAGAGAGTAGTGGTTCTCCTCTGGGGGAAGGAGTGTAGACCACCCCTGGGGCTAGAAATGTGGATGGTTTATCAGTGCCCAGAACAGTTGCACAAAACAAGAACCATGCACCATGGAGAAGCTCCCATGGGCAGATGTCAAAGGGGTGGCCAGGCACGGTGGCTCATGCTTGTAATCCAGCAGTTTGGGAGGCTGGGGTGGGCAAATCACTTGAGGCCAGGAGTTCAAGACCAGCCTGGCCAGCATGGTGAAACCCCATCTCTACTAAAAATACAAAAAGTAGCCAGGCGTGATGGCAGGCCCCTTCAATCCCAGCTACTCGGAAGGCTGAGGCAGGAGAATCATTTGAACCTGGGAGGCGGAGGATGCAGTGAGCCAAGATCATGGCACTGCACTCCATCCAGCCTGGGTGACAGAGCAAGACTCCGTATCAAAAAAAAAGTCAAAGGGCGTTTACTGCACAAGGATCCGGTGACTTCTTAATCATTAGAGCATAATGAGAGGCAGCTGTCAGTAACTACCTGGGAAAATGTCTTGCTCTCCTTCCCTGTAAGCTAGTGGGCTTTTATATAGAGTTTGTTACCAGGGACCCAGCACAGACAAATGCACACAGAAGCATTGAGGGCATACACTGTCTTTCGTGGATAAATTCAGACAAAGGAGCAGATATTGGGTATGTTGTTTCACTTGTCCTGGGACTCTTTCTATATCTGTTTCATAGCAAGGAATAAGGGCATCTGGGTCATTTGGAAGCCGCCGGGCTTAGCACCCCATGGATGGAGTGTCCCCGCCTTGAAGATAGGCTGGTAGCGGGATTTGTACTCACATAAAAGATGATGGCGGGGGCTGGAGTGAGGCGCCTGACGCTGATGTAAGAAAGCACTTTGAGCATGTGACCCTCCCGGCCCGCCACGTAAATGAGTCTGGAAAATAACGACACGGGAGTCCGCTGACCAGAGTGCAGACCATCTGTCCAGGGCCACTGAGGACTTGTGCTCCGGGGTCCACCAAGGAGCCCTCGGGAGGCTCAGGAAGGGAGCTGAGCAGGGACCTGAGCTTCAGATGGGGGTCTGTCTTCGGGAGACGAGTGGGTTTTGGCAGAGTGAGTGAGGAGGTTAAACGCACTGAGAGACTAGGTGTGGTGGCTCACGCCTGTAATCCCAACACCTTGGGAGGCCAAGGCAGAGGATCACTTGAGCCCAGGAGTTGGAGACCAGCCTGGCAACATAGTGAGATCCCATCTCTACAAATAACTTTAAAAATTTTTTAAATGTACCATTTATTTGTGTTGGGAACATTCAATATCCTCCCCTAGCTATCTGAAGCTACATATTAATATTAATGTGAGCTCTAGCCACCCTGCTGTGTGTAGAACACTAGAACCTGTTCCTCCTGTCTAGCTGTAATTTTGTATCCTTTAGCAAGTCTCTCTCTATCTCCCTTTCCCCCCATGCTTTTCAGCCTCTGGTATCCTCTGGCTAACCAGAATTTCTTGAAAAAGTTACCATAATTAAAAATTTCGGCCAGGCACAGTGGCTCACACCTGTAATCCCAGCACTGGGAGACTGAGGCAGGTGGATCGCCTGAAGTCAGGAGTTCGAGACCAGTCTGGCCAACGTGGTGAAACCCTATGTCTACTAAAAATATGAAAAATTAGCTGGGCATGGTGGTGCACACCTGTAGTCCCAGCTACTCAGGGGGCTGAGGCAGGAGAATCGCTGGAACCTGGGAGGCAGAGGTTGCGGTGAGCTGAGATCGCACCATTGCAGCTAAGATCGCACCATTGCACTCCAGACTCCAGCCTGGACGACAGAGTGAGAATCCATCTCAAAAAAAAAAAAAAAAAAAAAAAAAAGCCAGATGTGATGGCTTACACCTGTAATCCCAGCAATTTGGGAGCCCGAGGCAGGCGGATCATGAGATTAGAAGTTCAAGACCAGTCTGGCCAACATGGTGAAACCCCATCTCTACTAAAAATACAAAAAATCAGCTGGGCATGGTGGTGGGCGCCTGTACTCTGAGCTGCTTAGGAGGCTGAGGCAGGAGAATCGCTTGAACCCGGGAGGCAGAGGTTGCAGTAAGCCAAGATTGTGCCACTGTACTCCAGCCTGGGTGACAGAGTGAGATTCTATCTCAAAAAAATAAAAATAAATAAGAGGAGAAGATATAAAAAACAGGAGCCTGAGCTGGGCATGGTGGCTGTCGCCTATACTCCCAGCACTTTGGGAGGCCGAGACAGGTGGACTGCTTGAGTTCAGGAGTTCAAGACCAGCCTAACCAACATGGGGAAACCCCGTCTTTACTAAAAATACAAAAATTAGCCAGGTGTGGTGGCGGGCACCTGTAACCTCAGCTGAGGCTGAGGCTGAGGCAGGAGAATCACTTGAACCTGGGAAGCGGAGGTTGCAGTGAGCCGAGATCTCACCATTGCACTCCAGACTCCAGCCTGAGCGACAGAACAAGACTCTGTCTCAAACAAAACCAAACAAACAAAAAAACCCAGGAGCCCTTGAAACATAGCAGACAAAAATTGGCAAATCCAATTTGAGCACAAGATTTGAACATTACAAGTTATAATCTTGATGATCATATAAAAATCTAGATATAATTATGGAATACACATTATCTTCAAGACCACAGGAAACATAAAAATATCAGTGAGCCACGAAGGTCATTTTCAAACTTCTAAAGAATTGAGGCCAGGCACAGTGGTTCATGCCTGTAATCCCAGGACTTCGGGAGGCCGAGGCGGGTGGATCACTTGAGGTCAGGAGTTCGAGACCAGCCTGGCCAACATAGTGAAACCCCCTCTCTCCTAAAAACACAAAAATTAGGTGTGATGGCAGGTGCCTATAATCCCATCTACTTGGGAGGCTGAGGCAGGAGAATCACTTGAACCTAGGAGGCAGAAGTTGCAGTGAGCCGAGATTGCACCACTGTACTCTAGCCTGGATGACAGAGTGAGACTCTGTCTCAAAAAGATAAATAAATAAGAATTGATGGGGGCATGGAGCCAAGATAGCCGAATAGGAACAGCTCCGGTCTACAGCTCCCAGCGTGAGCAACGCAGAAGACGGGTGATTTCTGCATTTCCATCTGAGGTACCAGGTTCATCTCACTAGGGAGTGCCAGACAGTGGGCGCAGGACAGTGGGTGCAGCACACCGTGCATGAGCCGAAGCAGGGCAAGGCATTGCCTCACTCGGGAAGCACAAGGGGTCAGGGAGTTCCCTTTCCTAGTCAAAGAAAGGGGTGACAGACGGCACCTGGAAAATTGGGTCACTCCCACCCTAATACTGCGCTTTTCCAACGGGCTTAAAAAACGGTGCACCAGGAGATTATATCCCGCACCTGGCTCGGAGGGTCCTACGCCCACAGAGTCTCACTGATGGCTAGCACAGCAGTCTGAGATCAAACTGCAAGGCGGCAGCGAGGCTGGGGGAGGGGCGCCTGCCATTGCCCAGGCTTGATTAGGTAAACAAAGCAGCCAGGAAGCTCGAACTGGGTGGAGCCCACCACAGCTCAAGGAGGCCTGCCTGCCTCTGTAGGCTCCACCTCTGGGGGCAGGGCACAGACAGACAAAAAGACAGCAGTAACCTCTGCAGACTTAAATGTCCCTATCTGACAGCTTTGAAGAGAGTTGTGGTTCTCCCAGCACACAGCTGGAGATCTGAGAATGGGCAGACTGCCTCCTCAAATGGGTCCCTGACCCCCCAGCAGCCTAACTGGGAGGCAACCCCCCAGTAGGGGCAGACTGACACCTCACATGGCCGGGTACTCCTCTGAGACAAAAATTCCAGAGGAACAATCAGGCAGCAGCATTTGCAGGTCACCAAAATCCGCTGTTCTACAGCCACTGCTGTTCTGCAGCCACTGCTGCTGACACCCAGGCAAAAAGGGTCTGGAGTAGACCTCTAGAAAACTCCAGCAGACCTGCAGCTGAGGGTCCTGTCTGTTAGAAGGAAAACTAACAAACAGAAAGGACATCCACACCAAAAACCCATCTGTACATCACCATCATCAAAGACCAAAAGTAGATAAACCACAAAGATGGGGAAAAAACAGAGCAGAAAAACTGGAAACTCTAAAAAGCAGAGTGCCTCTCCTCTTCCAAAGGAATGCAGCTCCCTCACCAGCAATGGAACAAAGCTGGACAGAGAATGACTTTGACGAGTTGAGAGAAGAAGGCTTCAGACGGTCCAACTACTCCGAGCTACAGGAGGAAATTCAAACCAATGGCAAAGAAGTTAGAAACTTTGAAAAAAAATTAGACAAATGGATAACTACAATAACCAATGCAGAGAAGTCCTTAAAGGAGCTGATGGAGCTGAAAGCCAAGGCTCGAGAACTACGTGAAGAATGCAGAAGCCTCAGGAGCCGATGCGATCAACTGGAAGAAACGGTATCAGTAATGGAAGATGAAATGAATGAAATGAAGCGAGAAGGGAAGTTTAGAGAAAAAAGAATAAAAAGAAATGAACAAAGCCTCCAAGAAATATGGGACTATGTGAAAAGACCAAATCTACGTCTGATTGGTGTACCTGAAAGTAACGGGGAGAATGGAACCAAGTTGGAAAACACTCTGCAGGGTATTATCCAGGAGAACTTCCCCAATCTAGCAAGGCAGGCCAATATTCAGATTCAGGAAATACAGAGAATGCCACAAAGATACTCCTCGAGAAGGGCAACTCCAAGACACATAATTGTCAGATTCACCAAAGTTGAAATGAAGGAAAAAATGCTAAGGGCAGCCAGAGAGAAAGGCTGGGTTACCCACAAAGGGAAGCCGGTCAGACTAACAGCGGATCTCTTGGCAGAAACTCTACAAGCCAGAAGAGAGTGGGGGCCAACATTCAGCATTCTTAAAGAAAAGAATTTTCAACCCAGAATTTCGTACCCACCCAAGCTAAGCTTCATAAGTGAAGGAGAAATAAAATACTTTACAGACAAGCAAATGCTGAGAGATTTTGTCACCACCAGGCCTGCCCTAAAAGAGCTCCTGAAGGAAGCACTAAACATGGAAAGGAACAACCGGTACCAGCCACTGCAAAAACATGCCAAAATGTAAAGACCATCAAGGCTAGGAAGAAACTGCATCAACTAACGAGCAAAATAACCAGCTAACATCATAATGACAGGACCAAATTCACACATAACAATATTAACTTTAAATGTAAATGGGCTAAATGCTGCAATTAAAAGACACAGACTGGCAAATTGGATAAAGAGTCAAGACCCATCAGTGTGCTGTATTCAGGAAACCTATCTCACATGCAGAGACACTCATAGGCTCAAAATAAAGGGATGGAGGAAGATCTACCAAGCAAATGGAAAACAAAAAAAGGCAGGGGTTGCAATCCTAGTCTCTGATAAAACAGACTTTAAACCAACAAAGATCAAAAGAGACAAGGCCATTACATAATGGTAAAGGGATCAATTCAACAAGAAAAGCTAATTATCCTAAATATATATGCACCCAATAACAGGAGCACCCAGATTCATAAAGCAAGTCCTTAGTGACCTACAAAGAGACTTAGACTCCCACACAATAATAATGGGAGACTTTAACACCCCACTGTCAACATTAGACAGATCAACAAGACAGAAAGTTAACAAGAATACCCAGGAATTGAACTCAGCTCTGCACCAAGTGGACCTAATAGACATCTACAGAACTCTCCACCCCAAATCAACAGAACATACATTTTTTTCAGCACCACACCACACCTATTCCAAAATTGACCACATAGTTGGAAGTAAAGCACTCCTCAGCAAATGTAAAAGGACAGAAATTATAACAAACTGTCTCTCAGACCACAGTGCAATCAAACTAGAACTCAGGATTAAGAATCTCACTCAAAACAGCTCAACTACATGGAAACTGAACAACCTGCTCCTGAATGACTACTGGGTACATAACTAAATGAAGGCAGAAATAAAGATGTTCTTTGAAACCAACGAGAACAAAGACACAACATACCAGAATCTCTGGGACACATTCAAAGCAGTGTGTAGAGGGAAATTTATAGCACTAAATGCCCACAAGAGAAAGCAGGAAAGATCCAAAATTGACAACCTAACATCACAATTAAAAGAACTAGAAAAGCAAGAGCAAACACATTCAAAAGCTAGCAGAAGGCAAGAAATAACTAAAACCAGAGCAGAACTGAAGGAAATAGAGACACAAAAAACCCTTCAAAAAATTAATGAATCCAGGAGCTGGTTTTTTGAAAGGATCAACAAAATTGATAGACTGCTAGCAAGACAAAGAAGAAAAGAGATAAGAATCAAATAGACACAATAAAAAATGATAAAGGGGATATCACCACCGATCCCACAGAAATACAAACTACCATCAGAGAATACTACAAACACCTCTATGCAAATAAACTAGAAAATCTAGAAGAAATGGATAAATTCCTGGACACATACACCCTCCCAAGACTAAACCAGGAAGAAGTTGAATCTCTGAATAGACCAATAACAGGCTCTGAAATTGTGGCAATAATCAATAGCTTACCAACCAAAAAAAGTCCAGGACCAGATGGATTCACAGCCGAATTCTACCAGAGGTACAAGGAGGAGCTGGTACCATTCCTTCTGAAACTATTCCAATCAATAGAAAAAGAGGGAATCCTCCCTAACTCATTTTATGAGGCCAGCATCATCCTGATACCAAAGCCTGGCAGAGACACAACCAAAAAAGAGAATTTTAGACCAATATCCTTGATGAACATTGATGCAAAAATCCTCAATAAAATACTGGCAAACCGAATCCAGCAGCACATCAAAAAGCTTATCCACCATGATCAAGTGGGCTTCATCCCTGGGATGCAAGGCTGGTTCAACATTCGCAAATCAATAAATGTAATCCAGCATATAAACAGAACCAAAGACAAAAACCACGTGATTATCTCAATAGATGCAGAAAAGGCCTTTGACAAAATTCAACAACCCTTCATGCTAAAAACTCTCAATAAATTAGGTATTGATGGGACGTATCTCAAAATAATAAGAGCTATCTATGACACACCCACAGCCAATATCATACTGAATGGGCAAAAACTGGAAGCATTCCCTTTGAAAACTGGCACAAGACAGGGGTGCCCTCTCTCACCATTCCTATTCAACATAGTGTTGGAAGTTCTGGCCAGGGCAATTAGGCAGGAGAAGGAAATAAAAGATATTCAATTAGGAAAAGAGGAAGTCAAATTGTCCCTGTTTGCAGATGACATGATTGTATATCTAGATAACCCCATTGTCTCAGCCCAAAATCTCCTTAAGCTGATAAGCAACTTCAGCAAAGTCTCAGGATACAAAATCAATGTACAAAAATCACAAGCATTCTTATACACCAATAACAGACAGAGAGCCAAATCATGAGTGAACTCCCATTCACAATTGCTTCAAAGAGAATAAAATACCTAGGAATCCAACTTACAAGGGATGTGAAGGACCTCTTCAAGGAGAACTACAAACCACTGCTCAATGAAATTAAAGAGGATACAAACAAATGGAAGAACATTCCATGCTCATGGGTAGGAAGAATCAATATTGTGAAAATGGCCATACTGCCCAAGGTAATTTATAGATTCAGTGCCATCCCCATCAAGCTACCAATGACTTTCTTCACAGAATTGGAAAAAACTAAAGTTCATATGAAACCAAAAAAGAGCCTGCATTGCCAAGTCAATCCTAAGCCAAAAGAACAAAGCTGGAGGCATCACTCTACCTGACTTCAAACTATACTACAAGGCTACAGTAACCAAAACAGCATGGTACTGGTACCAAAACAGAGAGATACATCAATGGAACAGAACAGAGCCCTCAGAAATAATGCTGCATATCTACAACCATCTGATCTTTGACAAACCTGACAAAAACAAGCAATGGGGAAAGGATTCCCTATTTAATAAATGGTCCTGGGAAAACTGGCTAGCCATATGTAGAAAGCTGAAACTGGATCCCTTCCTTACACCTTATACAAAAATTAATTCAAGATGGATTAAAGACTTACATGTTAGACCTAAAACCATAAAAACCCTAGAAGAAAACCTAGGCAATAACATTCAGGACATAGGCATGGGCAAGGACTTAATGTCTAAAACACCAAAAGCAATGGCAACAAAAGCCAAAATTGACAAATGGGATCTAATTAAACTAAAGAGCTTCTGCACAGCAAAAGCAACTACCATCAGAGTGAACAGGCAACCTACAAAATGGGAGAAAATTTTCGCAACCTACTCATCTGACAAAGGGCTAATATCCAGAATCTACAATGAACTCAAACAAATTTACAAGAAAAAAACAACCCCATCAAAAAGTGGGCAAAGGATATAAACAGACACTTCTCAAAAGAAGACATTTATGCAGCCAAAAGACACATGAAAAAATGCTCATCATCACTGGCCATCAGAGAAATGCAAATCAAAACCACAATGAGATACCATCTCACACCAGTTAGAATGGCGATCATTAAAAAGTCAGGAAACAACAGGTGCTGGAGAGGATGTGGAGAAATAGGAACACTTTTACACTGTTGGTGGGACTGTAAACTAGTTCAACCATTGTGGAAGTCAGTGTGGCGATTCCTTAGGAATCTAGAACTAGAAATACCATTTGACCCAGCCATCGCATTACTGGGTATATACCCAAAGGATTATAAATCATGCTGCTATAAAGGCACATGCACACGTATGTTTATTGTGGCACTATTCACAATAGCAAAGACTTGGAACCAACCCAAATGTCCAACAACAATAGACTGGATTAAGAAAATGTGGCACATATACACCATGGAATACTATGTAGCCATAAAAAATGATGAGTTCATGTCCTTTGTAGGGACATGGATGAAACTGGAAACCATCATTCTCAGCAAACTATTGCAAGGACAAAAAACCAAACACCGCATGTTCTCACTCATAGGTGGGAATTGAACAATGAGAACACATGGACACAGGAAGGGGAACATCACACTCCGGGGACTGTTGTGGGGTGGGGGGAGCGGGGAGGGATAGCATTAGGAGATATACCTAACGTTAAAATGACGAGTTAATGGGTGCAGCACACCAACATGGCACATGTATACATATGTAACAAACCTGCACATTGTGCACATGTACCCTAAAACTTAAAGTGTAATAATAATAAAATTAAAAAAAAAGAAGAATTGATATCAGGCCAGCCACTGTGCCTTACACCTGTAATCCCAGCACTTTGGGAGGTTGAAGTGGGTGGATTGCTTGAGGCCGGGAGTTTGAGACCAGCTTGGGCAACATAGTAAGACCTCACATCTACAAAAAACTTAATATTAGCCATGCATGGTGGCACGTGCCTGTGGTCCCAGCTACTTGAGAGGCTGAGGTGGGAGGATCACTTAAGCACAGGGAGGGGTCTGAGGCTGCAGTGAGCCATGATTGCACCACCACACTCCAGCCTGGGCGACAGCGAGACCCTGTCTCAAAACGACGAACAAAAACCCTAAATCAAGACTTGATATCATAAAGGTCACATACTCTAATTACAGTGCAGTAAAATTAGAAGTCAATACAAATGCCACAAAGACCCATCTATTTACAACTACATATCTTAACTTTGAATTGATATGAACTTGATATTAATTCCCAAAAGAAGTGAAACCAGGAGGATGGGAGTTGATTAATGGAAGGGAGATTTAGACACAAGGTGAATACTGTCAAATCTTTTTATCAGTCCTCCAGAAATTAATATAGAAATTCCATAAAATCAGAATGCAAGCAGTACTTTTGGAACCGGACAAAATAATTCTAAGTGTATAGGGAATGCTAAACAGACAAGGAGAAGTCTGACGTGGGAGCGTTAGTCCTGCCAGATTTTACAAGACCAAAGCTATAAACTTTTTTTTTTTTTTTTTTTTTTTTGAGAGACGGAGTCTCGCTCTGTCACCCAGGCTGGAGTGCAATGGTGCAATCTCGGCTCACTGCAACCTCCGTCCCCCAGGTTCAAGCCATTCTCCTGCCTCAGCCTCCTGAGTAGCTGGGATTATAGGCGCCCACCACGTCCGGCTAATTTTTGTACTTTTAGTAGAGACAGGGTTTCACCATGTTGGCCAGGCTGGTCTTGAACTCCTGACTTTAAGTGATCCACCCACTTCGGCCTTCCAAAGTGCTGGGATTACAGGCGTGAGCCACCACGCCTGGCCCATGTCATTCCATTTAGATGAAATGTCAAGAAAAAGCAGTTATAGAGACAGAAGTAGATTAGTGGTTGCCTGGAGCTGCGGGTGAAAGCAGGGATTAATTAGGCAATGAGGAAACTTTTTGGGGTGATGGAAATGATCTAGAATTGGATTGTGATGTTTGTACAGCCTTATAAATTTATGAAAATAATTGAGTTGTATAATTACAAAGGGTGAGTTTTATATTTGTACCTTAATTAGAACTGTTAAAATTGTGTTTGTGTATACTAGCAATAAACTATCAGAAACTAAAAATTAAGCAACTTTTTTTTAACAGTACCATTTACAATAGTATGAAAAATGAAATTCTTTGGAATAAATTTGACAAAAGATGTGCAAGAACTATATACCAAAAACTACTCAAAAAACTTTTTTTTACAGAAAATTAAGCCAGGCCCAGTGGCTCACGCCTGTAATCCCAACACTTTGGGAGGCTGAGGCAGGTGGATCACTTGAGGCCAGGAGTTTAAGACCAACCTGGGCAACATGGTGAAACCCTGTCTCTACTAAAAATACAAAAATTAGCCAGGTGTGATGGTATATGCCTGTAATCCCAGCTACTTGGGAGGCTGAGGCATGAGAATCGCTTGAACCTGGGAGGCAGATGTTGCAGTGAGCCAGGATCGTGTCACTGCATTCCAGCCTGGGTGACAAAGCAAGATCCTGTCTCAAAAAAAAAAAAAAAAAAACACCAACAAACAAAAAAGTTGTTAAAACAAGATTAAAGACCTAAATAGTCCACCCATGGATTGGAAGACTCAGTATTTTTTTTTTTTTTGGAGACAAGGTCTCACTCTGTCTCCCAGGCTGGAGTGCAGTGCAGTGGTGCAATCTCAGCTCACTGCAGCCTCGACCTCCTGGGCTCACACGATCCTCCCACCTCAGTCTCCTGAGTAGCTGGGACCACAGGCATGTGCCACCATGCCTGGCTAAGTCTATTGTACTTTTTGTAGACATGGGGTCTCACTATGTTGCCTAGGCTGGTCTCTAACCCATGGGCTCAAGCAGTCCTCCCCCTCGGCCTCCCAAAGTGCTTTGATTACAGGTGTGAGCCACCGTACCCATGCTGGAAGACTCAGTACTTTTAAGACAGCAGAGTCTTCCCCCAGTTGATCTATGGATTCAACCCAGTCCTGATCAAAATCCCAACAGCTTTACTATAGAAACTGGCAAGCTGATTGTAATATTCATATGCAAGTGGGAAAGCTGCCAGAATGAAATTGGACCCTTATCTCACCCCTTAGACAAGAAATCTACTCAAAATGGATATAAGACTTGAAACTGTAAAATTCCTAGGAGAAAACAGGCAAGCTCTGTAACATTGGTCTGGGCAATGATTTTTTGTTGTTGTTGTTTTTGAGACGGAGTATCTCACTGTGTCGCCCAGGCTGGAGTGCACTGGTGCGATCTCGGCTCACTGCAACCTCTGCTTCCCGGGTCAAGCAATTCTCCTGCCTCAGCCTCCTGAGTAGCTGGAATTACAGGCATCTGCCACCATGCCCCACTAATTTTTGTATTTTTAGTAGAGACAGGGTTTCACCATGTTGGCCAGTTTGGTCTCGAACTCCTGACCTCATGTGATCCACCCACCTCGGCCTCCCAAAGTGCTGGGATTACAGGCGTGAGCCACTGCACCTGGCCTTGGGTATATATTTGAATGAATTGAAATCATATGCCAGATACCTGCACTCCTATGTACCTCTGGGTATATATTTGAATGAATTGAAATCCACATGTCAGGTGTCTGCACTCCCATGTTCATTACAACGTTATTCACCACAGCCAAGACATGGACACAACCTAAGTGTCCATCACAGATGAATGAATAAAAATAATGTAATAGATACACAATGGAATACTATTCCGACTCTAAAGAGAATGGAATTCTGTCATCTTTTGACAACAGAGATGACTCTAGAGAACATTATGCTAAGTGAAATAAGCCAGACACAGAAAGACAAATATCCCATGATCTCCCTTATGTATTATGGAGTCCTAATTAGGGAAAATGAGTCAGGCTGGTGGGACCAAGGGAAAGCCAAAAGAGATAAGACAGATAAGCTACAAGCCCGCCTTTCTTCATGGTCCAGGACACATAGCCCCCCTGCACAAATAACTTACAAGCTTCCTGTGCCCAGTGATCGCCAGTCCCTCAGCTAATAGAAAAATGCAGCCGGGCGCGGTGGCTCACGCCTGTAATCCCAGCACTTTGGGAGGCCAAGGCGGGCGGATCACGAGGTCAGGAGATCAAGACCATCCTGGCAAACACGGTGAAACCCCATCTCTACTAAAAATACAAAAAAAAATTAGCCGGGCGTGATGGCAGGCACCTGTAGTCCCAGCTACTCAGGAGGCTGAGGCAGGAGAATGGCGTGAACCTGGGAGGTGGAGCTTGCAGTGAGCCGAGATCATGCCACTGCACTCCAGCCTGGGTGACAGAGCAAGACTCCGTCTCAAAAAAAAAAATAGAAAAATGCAAGTTAGCTCACTGCAACCTTGGCATTATCAGTACTGCACGTACCCCTGTCCAGCACACAGCACAAGCACCATCCTACAAAATCCCCAGCAAGCCTTTGTCTCTTTGCAGTCAGTTCCTCTCTTGCTGACCTGCTCATTGCACCCTTGCAATGTATTTTCCTACTTTCTGTAATAAATCTGCCTTTCCTGACCTACAGCTGTCTTGGTAAATTCTTCTTATCCCTGTACCACCAGCCCAGATAGTTGTAATCATCTGCAACATACATGAAATCTAAAAATTCAAACATAGCAATAGAGAGTAGAATGCTGGTTACCAGAGGCTGAAGGAAGAGGGGCCTGGGATGGCAAAAGGGGAAATGTTGGTCAAAGGCTACAGAGTTTCAGTATGATGGGAGGAATAAGCTCTGGTGATCTACTGCACAGCAAGGTGACTATTGTTAGTAATAGTGTATATTTCAAAATAGCTAGTGGTTTTTTTTTTTTTTTCTGAGACGGAGTCTTGCTCTGTTGCCCAGGCTGGAGTGCAGTGGCGTGATCTTGGCTCACTGTAAGCTCTGCCTCCTGGGTTCACGCCATTCTCCTTCCTCAGCCTCCCAAGTAGCTAGGACTACAGGCGCCCGCCACCACGCACAGCTAATTTTTGGTAATTTTAGTAGAGATAGGGTTTCACCATGTTAGGCAAGATGGTCTCGATCTCCTGACCTCGTGATCTGCCCGCCTCGGCCTCCCAAAGTGCTGGGATTACAGGCGTGAGCCACCATGCCCAGCCAGTGAATTTTTAATGTTCTCAGCATAAAGAAGTATGTGAGGTGATACATATGCCATTCCACAATGTTTACATGTATTGAAACATCACACTGTACCACATACATATATGCAATTATTGTTGTTATTTTTTAGAGGCAGGGTCTTACTCTGTTACCCAGGCAGGAGTGCAGTGGTGTGATCGTGGCCCACTGCAGCCTGGAACTTCTGGGCTTCTGGAACTACAGGCATGGGCCTCTACACCCAGCTAATTTTTAAATTTCTTTTTGTAGAGACGGAGTCTCACCATGTGGCCCAGACTAGTCTCGAACTCCTGGCCTCAAGCAATCCTCCTGCCTCAGCCCATATAAGCAATTATTATTTGTCAATTTAAAATAAGGCGGCCGGGTGTGGTGGCTCACACCTGTAATCCCAACACTTTGGGAGGCTGAGGCAGGTGGATCACGAGGTCAGGAGTTCAAGACCAGCTTGGCCAAGATGGTGAAACTCCGTCTCTACTAAAAATACAAAAATTAGCCAGGCATGATGGCAGGTGCCTGTAATCCCAGCTACTCCAGAGGCTGAGGCAGAAAATTGCTTGAACTAGGGAGGCGGAGACTGCAGTGAGGCGAGATCACACCACTGCACTCCAGCCTGGGTGACAG
Organism: Homo sapiens; assembly: GCF_000001405.40. NCBI lineage: Eukaryota > Metazoa > Chordata > Mammalia > Primates > Hominidae > Homo > Homo sapiens. Next base: position 32,857,134 of record NC_000019.10, read on the forward strand.
AGCAAGACTCCATCTCAAAAATAATATAAGGCTGGGCACGATAGCTCATGCCTGTAATTCCAGGGCTTTGGGAAGTGGAGGCAGGAGGATCACTTGAGCCAGGAGTTCGAAATGGGCCTGGGCAACATGGTGAAACCCCATCTTGACTAAGAATACAAAAGTTAGCTGGGTGTGATGGCACGTGCCTGTGGTCCCAGCTATTCCAGAGGCTGAGGAGGGAGGATTGCTTGAGCCCAGGAGGTAGAGGCTACAGTGAGCCAAGATCATGCCAGTGTGCTCCAGCCTGGGCGACAGAGTGAGACCTTGCCTCAAAATTAATTAGTTAATTAAAATTTAAATTTAAAATTTATAAAGAAATACAAAGGATCTAGCCAAAACGCTTTTGACAAAGAATGAAGTTGGAGGCCTAGCACTACATGTATTTCGGTTTGGCTTTAGAAGAATGATTTTATGGTATTTCATTTTTTAACATACACAGACTTTGTCAATTTCACTCTGAAATATATCCATTCAGAACACTGGACAACTAAGCCAAGACACGTGTTCGAGGATGTTCACTGCGGCAACGTTCATGGAAACCACCCACACCCAGGTGTGAGTGAAGGATTTGTTAAGTTATGCTACATCTGAAAGTGTGATACAACACAGCTGGTGGCAGTCTCTAGACCAGATGGGTCTAAAGGATTGGCAAACCACAGCTGTTTGGGCAAATAAAGTTTTATTGGAACATGACCATGGCTGTTCACTCTTGGGTACCAAGGCAGAGTTGAGAATCTGTGACAGAGGTTTATGCAGCCTGCGAGCCTGGAATATTTACCATCTGGCCCTTTAAGGGAAAGTTAGCCAATTCTGGGTTATTTATTAATTTGCTAATTAGCAAATTAGTTTGTATATATTAACATGGGGAAGATGTTCAGGAAATATCACTATGTGAAAAATATCACTAGGTGAAAAGGTAAAAAGTGCCACGTGGAAAACCAGTGCCTCATTCACGCGGTGTCGCTTCCCTTCGCCTCAGCATGGGCAGCTTCCCCCCCATGTTGGGAACTAGGGCCCCCTGGAGTGGAAAGGCTGAGATTCCAGGCAGCCTTGATCAATTCCCGTGTGCAGGCCCATCCATGCCTTCCTGGCCAGTTTGCGGTGTGGGTTCAAGCTACATCCCTTCTCTGGATTTGGGTCTCCTACTTGTACTGGCGTGGGTTTCGCCTGGCAGAACCCTGAGGATTTTAGCTGTGTGTCTTCCTCGGGGGTGATATTGCTTTCGCCGCCCCTGTCCACCCTGGGAGTGACGGTGGGGGTCCCCTACCTGCCCGCTGTGAAGCAGGTCCCGTTAGCAGCACCGATGGTTGAAAATGCCACAAAAAGTGGAACGATCCAAGAAGCAGGATAGAGAACACGGTCACCAAATGTCTGGTGAGAGAAGCGAGATGAGTCCTGAGGGTCTTTCTTGGCCTCCAAGAGCGGCCGGCCCCCAAAAGCTATTCTGGCCTCCCAGGGGACCCAGGGACCCACCTCGCCTCGGGGCACAGCCTCTGACTCCTCCACTGCAGAGGAGAGAGGAGAACGCCACTCGCCTATCTCCAGATATTGTGATGGCAAGAGAAGTCTCTTATCTACTACTCCCTGGCATAAATCTTTATTTATTTATTTATTTATTTATTTATTTATTTCTGAGATGGAGCTTTGCTCTTATTGCCCAGGCTGGAGTGCAATGTTGCTGTCTCGGCTCACTGCAACCTCTGCCTCCCAGGGTCAAGCGATGCTCGTGCCTCAGCCTCCCAAGTAGCTGGGATTACAGGCGCATGCCACCACATTCAGCTAATTTTTGTATTTTTAGTAGAGACGGGATTTCACCACGTTGGCCAGGCTGGTCTCAATCTCCTGACCTTGCGATCCACCCATCTCGGCCTCCCAAAGTGCTGGGATTACAGGCATGAGCCACCATGCCTGGCCAAATCTTTATTTTTTAATTTGATTTTTTTTGGAGACAGGATCTTGCTCTGTCGCCCAGGCTGGAGTGTAGTGGCGTGATCACGTCTCACTGTAGCCTCAATCTCCTGGGCTCAAGTGATCCTTGCCTCAGTCTTCTAAGTAGCTGAGACCACAGGCACTCGCCACCACACCCAGCTGCGTAATTCTTGGTCATTTCAATATCCTGACACCTTCACCTCTCACTTCCCTGAACCCCCACTCCAACCGGAATGGCTGAATTCTCCCTCCCACCTCAGCAGCCCCCAGTCTTGTGGTCAGTGACCTCAACACTTATCCAAACTGCGTCTCCTCCACCTTCCAAATCCCCAACACGTGGTTGTCTGTTTGCAACTGCAGGAGGCCCCCAGCCACCTCTTCACTGACCCCAATGCCTCTCACCTCTCACCTTCTATGATTCATTATTATTTAGGGTGGTGCAAAAGTAATTGCCAGTTTTGCCAAAAATATATATATTTTTTAATATATAATGACCTAATATAATGACCTCCCCCGACTCCCTGGCACTTTCTGCCTCTGCTTCATGCTTGCCTGCCGAACCCTCACCCTGGCTAGCCCGGCCCTGCCTCCAGCTCCATGCCGTGCGTGCCCAGTCCATGTCCCCGTCCGTGAATATCGCCCTCCTTCCCTGGGAGGGAGCTCACCTCCAGTGCTGACACCTGCCTTACCCCTTCCCACAAGCCACAGCCCCCGCCAGCAGCGATGCCCGGGCACTCACCACAGCCACCGCCTGGGACTGCAGGAGTTCGGTGGCAGTCATCACGGTGAAGTAGGACACGTTCATGAGGATGTAGCACGCCGTCACCAGGGGGATCCCGATGATAATGGCCAAAGGCAGGTTTCTGGGAGGGGCAATGACACGGAGACCCACGTTCAGACCACAGCCTCCCGCGGAAGATGGACGCCCTCCCTGAGGCCCTCCCAGGGAGAAGATTCGCAGGTAGCAGAGGCCCAGCAGGAACATAAGACATTTTCAAATGAGAATGCTGCCTCTCTCAGACTCCAGAGCAGTTCACATGGAACTGTTTATAAAGCAAAATAAGCCAGAGATAAAGGAAGACCAAGCTCTTCCCTCCCTTAGGAGCCACTGCTCTGTCCCAAACCAAACCAAACTCTAAGCGTGCATAGTGAGCTCATAAGAAACCATTCGCTGGCCGGGTGCAGTGGCTCACACCTGTAATCCCAGCACTTTGGGAGGCCGAGATGGGCGAATCTCTTGAGGTTGGGAGTTCAAGACCAGCCTGGCCAACATGGCAAAATCTCATCTCTACTAAAAAAATACAAAAATGAGTGAGCTGAGATTGCACCACTGCACTCCAGCCTAGGCAACAGAGCAAGACTCTGTCTCAAAAAAAAAAAAAAAGAAATAATTCACTGTCGGGAAGGGCATCATGGAATACCCAGGGAAATAGCTCCAGCCTTCACCAGGAGAAGAGAAATCAGGCTGCCCGGCTACTGTCCTCTGCACTGATTCAGCTGTTACCTGTAAGGGTTTCTAAGTTCTTCTGTGATGTAATTGAGTTGATTCCTGGAAAAAGGAAAGTAACAAGCGTCACACACCTTGACTTTCTTTTTCGATAATGAAACCCACAATAATAAATGTTGGCCTCATTTAAGATTCTCTACCAGAGAAAAAAATTCTCCTGCAGGAATTCCAGGTGAATTTTTTTCCAGGTGAATGGCCCTGCTAGTGGTGGGGCCTGGGGCCCTACCCAGACCTACACATCTGTCAGCTGGTTGAGCCTTTGCCCTCCTCGGGAATCACACGGATTTTCAAGAATAATCAGGAGTAGTGAGTCCCCAGGGTGCTTTGAAAAAATGGAATATTCTTTGTCTGAAAAGGGAATTAAATCTATAAATGCTTTGCAGGAGAGAAGGACCATCGTTGCAGATGGCCATGCTTCTTCCTTAAAGGACAAAAATGGGCCAGGCATAGTGGCGCACGTCTGTAATCCCAGCACTTTGAGAAGCCGAGGTGGGCAGATCACTTGAAGTCAGGAGTTCAAGACTAGCCTGGCCAACATGGTAAAACCTCGTCTCTACTAAAAATACAAAAATTAGCCCTGCATGGTGGCAGGTGCCTGTAATCCCAGCTAGTCGGGAGGCTGAGGCAGGAGAATTGCTTGAACCTGGGGGATTCAAGCAATTGCAGTGAGCCGAGATCTCACCACAGCACTCCAGCCTGGGTAATAGAGTGAGACTCCGTCTCAAAAAAAAAAGAAAAAAAAGGACAAAAACAGAATCTCATCCACTAAACTCGATAAATATATAAAATTTATATGGTATTATTTATTTTTGTAGGGCAGTCCCCCAAACCATAATAGATTCAGAGAGGCTCCCAAACCTAATGATTTTCAAGGTTAAATAGAAGTGCTATTGAGTATTCTTTGTTTAATCAAGAGCTTGGGGCTGGGCGCAGTGGCTCACGCCTGTAAACCCAGCACTTTGGGAGGCCGAGGAGAGAGAATTGCTTGAGTGTAGGAGTTTGAGAGCAGCTTGGGCAACACAGAGAGACTGTCTCTACAAAGCATAAAAATAAAAAATTATCAGGGCATGGCAGCTCCTATCTGTAGTCCCAGCTACTCAGGAGGCTGAGGCGGGAAGCTGACTTGAGCCCAGGAGCTCAAGGCTGCAGTGAGCTATGATCACGCCATTGCACTCCAGCCTGGGTGACCAAGTGAGATCCTGTCTTAAAAAAACAAAACAAAACAAAACAGAAAACCTGAGCTTGGGCCCTGGCTGCCTCTGATTTGGCTGAGCCTGTGTTGGCCCAGTGAGGGTTCTACACAGAGCACTCTGGCTGACTGAGCAGGTGTCTCAGGGAATAAAGGGGAGAGGTTGTCGCATCCTTCACAAAAAGGAAATGTGAGGGTGAATGTCAGAGTCACACCAAACCCCAGAAAGGAGAACTCATTGTTTTCCATGACAGGTGGAGTTAAAGTCACCTGGAGAACCCCACCCACCCCCAGACTCGGGACATCTCAGGACACCTCACCATCCATCATAGGCCCAGAGTCCATTGTAAAACGCCAGGCTGATGGCTCCCACAGACAGCTGGGCGCCCTCGAAAGAATTATCAAAATTCTTTGTGTTTCCTGTAATGAAGCCAGACAGTGAACGGCGGGTGTCAACCGGGCAGATCTTGAGTGTATCTCCACGGGAAAGATGGGCATGATTGTGACCCCAGCTTAATAAACACGCCCTGAAACTAAGGATCCCTCCCACCGAGTTCCTGCCATGCTTCCTTGGAGATGGGCTCGTGGGGCAAGGCTGCTCCTGCTCCCAGTGGAAGGGCGTTTGGTGTGTGCCCGTGCAGGGCCCACCCTCCCGTGGGTCACCTTGGGCCAGGAGCACCAGCCCGCTGATGATGATGATGGCCACGATCACCAGCTTGGCCGCGGTGAAGATGTTCTGGACGTAGCTTCCCAGCCGCACGCTCAGTGAGTTCACTGTCGAGATGAACACTGGAAGGGTGGGGACAGTTTCTGCATTTATGGTTTTCAGCAAAGCCCTGGAGAGAGTCTCCTTTCTTTTATATATTTTTTATTTTTTTTTTTTTTTGAGATGGAGTCTCACTCTGTCACCCAGGCTGGAGAGCAGTGGCATGATCTCAGCTCACGATCTCAGCAATCTTTGCCTCCCCGGTTCAAGCAATTCTCCTGCCTCAGCCTCCTGAGTAGCTAGGACGACAGGTGCACGCCACTATGCCCAGCTAATTTTTGTATTTTTAGTAGAGAGCTTGTCTGGAGGTTCTAGCGGGGGAGCGCAGCTACTCATATACCCTTGACCGAAGACCAGCCCTCCTCTATCGGGGATGGTCATCCTTTTCCACCGAGTGCGCAGCTTCGGGAGGGATGCACGTGGAGCAGTGAGGGAGGAAGAGGACACTGGCCTAGCCAGCCAGATCACCTGAATCAACCCTGGCGATCAGTGGGGTGACAGATGTCCCTGCCAGATCGCCCTCATATCCAATTTTTGTAATTTTATTTTTATCTATTTATTTATTTGAGATGGAGTCTCACTCTGTCGTCCAGGCTGGAGTGCAATGGCACAGTCTCAGCTAAATGCAACCTCCACCTCCCGGGTTCAAGGAATTCTCCTGCCTCAGTCTCCCCAGTAGCTGGGATTACAGGCATGCACTACCCCACCACCCCCCTCCCCCGCCCTGCTAATTTTTGTATTTTAGTAGAAACAGGGTTTTGCCACGTTGGCCAGGCTGGTCTCGAACTCGTGACCTCATGTAATCCCTCCACCTTGGTCTCCCAAAGTGCTAGGATTACAGGTGTGGGCCACTGCACCTAGCCTCTTTTATTTTTTGAGATAGGGTCCAAGGCTCAAGTGATCCCCCCTCCTCAGCCTCCCACGTAGCTGGGACGCCAGGTGCATGCCACCATACCCGGCTAATGTTTTGATTGTTTGTAGAGTCAAGGTTCTCACTGTGTTGACCAGGCTGATCTCAAACTCTTGGCCTCAAGCGATCCTCCCACCTCAGCCTCCCAAAGTGGTGAGATTCCAAGCATGAGCCACTGCCTGCGGCCCACCCCTACTCCCCCACCAGCCACCATATCATCTCCCAAATTCCAAGAGGGCAGATCCAAACATGGGAGTTTAAGGACCTTTTAAAAGAACCTGGAGATGACCTTAGCCGGGCTGCCTCAGATGGCGAAAAATTATCAGGGCGTGGTAAGCAGCCTCCCGAGTAGCTGGGATTACAGGCACCTGCCACCACGCCAGGAGAAGCTGGGCCCTGAGCCAAGGCTCTGCCCTGCAGGACAGCCAGCGGCACCCCTCCCTGCAGCCCCCACGGGCCTGGGGGTCCCCAGTGTGCAGCACCCACAGGTACTGCAAAGGCTGATGCCAGGCCCTGCCTGGGCTCTCACCAGAGACTCACTGGGGAGGAGCTGAGGGCGGAGTCCCCAGACACCCTCTGTGCCAGGTCTTTTCTGACCCCTGCCCTGGGCTCAGGTACTCACAGATGGCGGCGGCGGCCAGGCATTTCACAACGATTTGAGGAGGCTTGCAGCCCACATAGAAGGGCGCACACACATACTCGGAGAAGCTGAGGCAGATGATGGCGAAGGACGTGGGCTTAATGACGATCAGGCTGGCCCAGGAGAAGAGGTAGGCGGGGATGGGCCCGTAGGCCTCCATCAGGTAGGGATACTCTCCCCCTGACTTGGTGATCATTGTGCCAAGCTCCGCAAAGCACAGGGCACCTGGAACACAGAGAGGAAGGGCCCACAGGCCCCTTGTGAGGCACTGCCCCGGCCCCAGGGAGCCTTCCTCCCACCGGAGGCTGCGCTCGTATGGAGGGGCCCACCGTGGTCCGCCCTCGCTGGACGGCCCTGAGCTCCAGCGTTGGACATTCAGTCCAGCCTGATTTACACCTGTTTGCCATACATGTGCCAAGAGGGATACTGGCAGGGTGAGGGCTGGCACAGGTAGCAGCTGCCTGGCGTGCCCCTGCATGCTTCCGGGGCTGCAACAGGCTCCCAAGTCTCTTTACCCAGCGTCGCGAGGACCCCGCAAGCCGCCCATATGATGAGGCAGGGCCCCACAGCTTCCGTGTTGCTGAGCACAGACTTGGGGGAAACGAAGATCCCAGAGCCAATGATGGTGCCCACGATGATGGAGATGCCACTGATGAGGCCCAGCTGGGTGTGGAGGAAGGAAGAGGGCGTTAGTGCCACGCCCGGACCCAGCCCAGAAGGCCAGGTGCCACCCTCCCTCGGTACGGCCAGGGCGGCCCCAGCCAAAGCCCATGTCCCAGGCGCTTCCACCCTGAGCGGCTGCCCTGGCAACACCGGGGCACCGCTCCCGGAGCTTTGCTTATGTTAACGTGATTAATTATCGTGACAGCCCCGCGAGCTGGCCACACTGTGTCACCCCCATGGACAGAGGAGGACGCTGAGGCACAGAAAGATTAGGAGGCTGTCCGGGGTTTACAGCTAGAGAGGGGGAAACCTGGCTCAGGTTCCACGTGCCTAACCGTGATCCTGTGCCCTCAATGAAAAGGCTGACTTGGCAACAGCTCACCAATAAGAAAGGCCCTCGGGATACGCCTCTGAGCCTAGAGTCCTGGCCAGAGGCTCCATGCAGGGTGAGCAACGGAGGCCTCCCAGAAACAGAAACATTTGGGCACTCTGAACTTTCTGTGGTGCCATTTTCTTTTATCTTATTTTTATTTACTTATTTATTTAGAGTCAGATCTCTCTCTGTCACCCAGGCTGGAGCACAGAGGTGAGATCATGGCTCACTGCAGCCTCGAACTCCTGGGCTCAAACAATCCTCCCAACTCAGCCTCCCAAAGTGCTGGGATTGCAGGCGTAAGCCGCCGTGCCTGGCCCAGTGCCATTTGCTAGGATGGGAGCTTTCTGAGAACAGAACCCAGCTCAAAGAGACACCAGATGGTTCCATGCCTGTGAAGTTCAAGAACAGGTGAAACTAATCCACAGCCACAGGAATTCAGGGCTGGGGCCCTGCCTAGAAAGGGGCACGAGGGAGCTTTCTGGGGTGGTACATCTGTCAAAACTCACCAAACTCAGCACTAAAGAGCTGTACATTTCGACCAGGTGCAGTGGTTTATGCCTGTAATCCCAGCACTTTGGGAGGCCGAGGCAGGCGGATCACCTGAGGTTGGGAGTGGGAGACCAGCCTGGCCAGCATGGAGAAACCCCGTTTCTACTAAAAAATACAAAAATCAGCCAGGCATTTTGGTGCACACCTGTTCCTAGCTACTTAGGAGGCTGAGG